>NC_000008.11:60302265-60927265 GCF_000001405.40 Homo sapiens | reverse complement strand
CAGGAATGGGGAGGAGGGCTTCCCAGCAGCACTAAGGTTTGCTTTCGGATTCAAAGCACCAGCTTCCCCGGCAGAGACCTGGGTATAGAGAGTGGCAGCTGCACAGAGACTCATCTGTGTCGTGACCAATACAGCTTTAAACAGGGACAAAGAGAACAGGGAGAGCCAGGCAGTCTTAATTTAGGGAAACAGGTCACAAGGCTCTTCAATTTGGAGTTGGTATAGCCAAGAACCCCCAAGAATTGAGAAGGTAAACAATGCACCTTCCCCTCCTTTCCTACATCATTCTGAGGAGAGCATGGAGGCTGAAAAGAGCGTGGCCCTCGCTGCTCATTTTAGCTACAGCCCAGCACCACGGATGACCTCCAAAAAGTGGGCAGTATAAAGCACTGGACCACGGCATACTGAGAAGCACCTGCTGCATGCCCAACAGGATGGGGCATGAACACCCCTGAGGATTTCTGGTCTACTAAACAACCAGCAACAGCAGCTAGGACGATTGCTAAAAGGCACAGCAACTGTAATGAATATAACAACCGGCTGCTGCTGCTGCTGCTGCGGTTACAACCTAGTTTCAGCATTTGCCTCAGCCAGATAATTCATCCTCTTTCTCATGGGGAACTCTCCCCTGACCACTATTACCTCCTCAAATTAAAAATCAGCCTCTGCATTATCACTTCCTTTGCACTGTCACTGAGGCCACAAAAATGTAAGGGAGACAGTGACACCCCGCCTAGTCCTGCCCATGGGTACTTTGTCCTACCTCCCCAGTGACATCATGTTTTTGCAGAGTTAGGGAAGAATGAGCCAGGCTTCGCACTGAGACTCTCCAGCAAGCTAGGGCTGACCTAAAGAAGTGTGTAACAGGAAAAACGGCCGCCAAAGCCATCAGAGGAATGCTAACCTTGTATTGTGTTCAGAGACGATTTTAGCGAACACAACTTCAGAAGAAGGCATTGACAAGACAAAGGCAAGTGGCTCTATCTTTATGTGCAGCTTTCCACCCACATCTTCCCACTTACAAGTGTGTGAAATATTAATATCCACATTCAACAGAGGAGGTCCTTTCCATCAGGCCTTTGCCCAACGTCAACTTCTCAGGGAAGCCTGCTCTGGTTATGCTATCTACAATATCAACACTGGCCAAGTGCGGTGGCTCATGCCTGTAATCCCAGCACTTTGGGAGGCCAGGGCGGGAGGATTGCTTGAGCCCAGGTGTTCAAGACCAGCGTGGGCAATAGAGAGACCTCATCTTTACAAAACAACAACAACAAAAAAATTTAACAGCTGGGCACAGTGACATGTGCCTGTAGACCCAGCTACTCAGAGGGCTGAGGAAGTAGCATCACTTGCGCCTGGGAGGTTGAGGCTGCAGTGAACTATGATCACACCACTGCACTACAGCCTGAGTGACAGGGTGAGACTTTGTTTCAAAACAAACACAAAACAAAATATCCATACCAACCCCTACGTAAACACATCCGACCCCATATATCACCTTAGCACTTAATCATTCTCTAGTATGCCATCTTACTTCCCTTATTGCCTGTCTCCCAGGCTAAAATATATAACATTTATAATTACATATTCCAAAACCTCCATGAAGTCAAGACAATGTCTGTTTTGCTCAGTGCTGTATCCCCAGCAGCTGGAATAGCGCCTAGCATGTAGTAAAGGCTCATACAGATGTGTCGCGTGAATAAATAAGGGAACTGAGGCTCCTAAGGTTGAATCCAGCAATGCAAGCTGCAAAAAGGCAGAACTCAAATTTGCCAATACCAAATTTTCCCCAGGCACTGGTGGAAGTGGAGAGAAACTGCTACATTCACTGGCATCATGGGAGACAGAGAGACCATCAAACAAAAGTAGGTACAATAGGACCCAAGGGGAAAAAACACAAGCTGTTTGCATTTCTTTGAGAAAGGCTAGAAAAGCAAAGGCAAGTGGTAGGACTCATGAGAAAATACAAAAGTGACAGCTAATTCCAGGCTGGTGAAGGAAGAAAAACATAGGAAGATGAGGCAATATGAAAATAGGAACAGAGCTCTGGGGTGGAGGAACCTACTCCATCCCCGGGGCTTTCTTTAACAGCAGATGGAAAAATGAAGAATTCATATAGTATGCTTGCTTCATGAAGAGTCAGGAAAAGAAAGAGAACAATAAAAGAGTCTAGGTCGGGCACAGTGGCTCATGCCTGTAATCCCAGCACTTTGAGAGGCCAAGGCAGGCGGATTGCCTGAGCTCAGGAGTTCAAGACCAGCCTGGGCAACAGGGCAAAACCCTGTCTCTACAAAAAAAAAAAAAAATACAACAATTAACAGGCCTATGTGGTGCGTGCCTGTAGTCCCAGTGACTTAGGGGCTGAGGTGGGAGGATCGCTTGCGTCTGGGAGGTTGAGGCTGCAGTGAGCCGAATTCGCACCACTGCACTCCAGCCTAGGTGACACAGTAAGTGACACCCCATCTCTAAAAGTTTAAAAAATAAAAAAAAATGTCTAAACTTTGTAACAGCCCAAGAGACCTCTGAGGGTTGAGGTGGGGATAGGACTGGGAGGGGCTGGGATGAGAAAGCTGTGGAAGGAGCAGATGGTATCCTAAACCAGGATGGGGAGGGGAGGGGAGGGAAAGAAGGGAAGCTTGTTTCGGAGCGGCCCAAAGGAGAGGCAAGGAGATAGGTAGAGGCTGCACACTTAGGACTAGCCAGGTGGAGTCTAAGAGAGCACTTGGCACCTCTCTGGAACAGAAGCAACACAGATAGCCAGACTGAGCTAGGGCCCGACAATCAAGGGAGGTTACGACAGATGTCAGTGATGGCCATTCCCAGAAGCTATGCCTAGAATGTCCCCTTTTCCAATCAGGAATTATGCGGAGGGTCAAGTAGCCCAGAGAAGCTCCCCTTGGGGTGTGAGTCCTGGACCTAACTGATGCAAATAATCCTATGGGCTTGCACTGTTGTGGGTACCACCCCATCCCTAGGCACTCAGAACTCCACCCTGGAGGGGAGACGCCTTGTTAGGAAAATACCTCAGGGGAAACGATGGTTGTGGGAGTACATGATGACAGATTGGGGACAATGAGCAGAAAATGAAAGATGGGGACCAGGTGGTGCCCTGACCAGGCCAGGCCAGCTTGCCAGCAGACCCAGTGGTGATGTTTGGGCATGTGACAATCTGCTGGAAAGGAACTCCCGAAGGGTGGTCTCAGAACCAAGATATGGGCATGGATTTCCCAGAGAGAGGTACCAGATTCTGCCCCAATGTGAAATGACCACAAGGAAGCCTGCAGTCCTCTCGGCTTAAGTAACCACCGAATCAAAAATCATCTATATAGGTGAAATGATAGGATGGCTGGGAATTGCTTTATAATTCTCCAGCAAACCAAACAAAATGTGGGAGGGGATAGAATGAACAGAGTGGGGAGGTGTTGTACATATTGAAGGTGGGAGAGGGTACGCGGAGATTTATTGGACCAGTGGATAGCAGTGTCCTTTCCAAACCAGAAGCAGCACCACCTGAGGGCTCTAACAAGTTGCAAATTCTCAGGAGGGAGCTGACCCCAGATCTGCTTAAAAATACACAACAAAAAACTCTAGGGCTAGGGCCCAGCAATCTGTGTTTTAACAAGCCCTCCAGAGGATTTCGCTCCGCGGTTCGGATGCTTGATCAAATTTGAGACCCACTGCACAATACCTTTCTCTCTCCTTTTGTGCATGTGCTCTGATTTCCATAATAAAGGGTTTTAAAAAACCGTCCCTATGGGCATTTTTGTTGTCGAGTTGTTTATTTCTTACATCACTTGTCTTCAATTGCTATTTAACTATTGTTTTGATCTTTTCCTGGAGCCAGAACAGAAAAGCCAGAAAGCAGAAGCCACTGAGACTCTCTCTCTCCCGCCGCGCCCCGCCCCCCCCCCCCCCCACCGCCCAGTTTGCAAATATAAACTTCCTGTAAGAGACGCCCCCGGCCGGCGCACACACCGCTCACACCTGAAGGCTGTGTCTGCAGAGGGGCCCGGGAACGACTCCCAGGGCGACGTGCAGGCCGCATTTCGGAGCTGCCCCACTTTCCCCGGCCTTCACCGGGTGCCCTCAGCGTACGCCCAGGTCCTGGCCCCAGGCGCTCCCGCCTCCCGCAGTCCCAGAGTCCGGGCCCAGGTGGCACTGCCACGCGTCGATCCTGTGTGGGCACCCGGGCCTCGCGAGAGACGACCCCTCTAGAACTGACTTTTCAGAACTGCAGCTCACGAGATATGGGTCCCCTCATCTTTTCCGTTCTCCCTTTCAGAAGTTCTTTAAAAAGACGGGGAAGGAGGTGAGGAGAGCTGGAGGTCGAGTCACAGGGCGGGGCCCTCCACGCACTGTCGCCTCCTCCCCGCTGTTTCGGGTCCTGGATGAGGGTGCGGAGCTCGGGAGACCTGGGCGGTCGCAGGAGGTGAAGGGTTAAGAAGCGGGAGGCCTCCTCCCGCTCCGCGTATCCAATGCCCCTTCCTCCTCCTCTCCCTGTTCCTCCCGCCACCCCCCTTGTGTGCTGTAAAACAATCCCTTTGTTTCCTCTTTAAGACATTAGCCTCAGGGGCCATTATAGGAAAGAAAGGTAGCCAGGCCCTTTTATCTGCGAGAATCCATTAAGCATGGCCTCTGTACAGCAGGCCGGTCGGTTATGGGCTGCTCCACGAGGGGTCCCAAAGTGGGAGAACCCCTCCCAAGCGAGGACCCAGACGCACCTGTATCCCATCTCACTACCTCCCCCTCGGGAACTGGAATTTAGGGGGAGTGGAACGCTGGCAGTTTTCAAACGAGAGTGAATATAGAGCCACGGTGGGTCTCCCGCAGAACCCCAGTTTCACACCTTCCTGCCCTCGCGCCATCTCTTCCTGCACACCCGGGAAATGGGATAAACTTTCGACGGCAAGATGGGAAATGACCCTACTCTTCGTTTCCTCAGCGGGTCTTGGTGCGGGGCCGCCACCGTGCGCGGGAGAGGGGACGCAAGCAGCTGCTGGTCCGGTCGACCAGACGCGCACGTGTGTATCCGCCAGACAGCTGTGGGTCTGTCCGAGGGTACGCGAGGACGCCTCTGTCCCGCAGCCCCGCACGCATTTGATTGTGGTGCTGGGCGACAGCTGCGAATTTTGCCACTGGGGGACCGAAAGAGGGCCTTTTACCTTTCTTAGGAAGCTGTGATGCAAAATGCCTGCTGAAAGCACTGGAGGTTTCATGTGTCTCATCAGAAAATAATCTAACACCGATTCATTATTTATATCTTCCCCCAAGAACCAGTCGCCCCAAATGCGCACTCTGCCCGTGCGCTCCGTCTCACCTAGCCGCCCAGTCACAACAACAAACACCGCCCGCAGGCCCAAGGCACAGGCTCAGTGACCGCGGCTCCGAATTCTGGATTTGGGGACCTGGCGCAGGGGGAGGGGAGAAGGCGTGGCAGCCTGGCCAGGGCCCGGGGAAGGGCCAGTGTGATACTTTTATCAAGTTTAGTGGGCGGAATCTTTTCTTTTTTAAATTGCCAATAATTCGGATTGTTGGAAGTAACGGTGGCAGGAAAGCCACAAAAGAAAACTCTTTCTTTAAATTCTCTGTTGTATCCAGGTCAAAGATACAATATCAAGTCAGTGTCTCTTGCTTGAAATCTCTGTGGAATGACCTTCTTTGGATCTTCTCCTGCTCTTTCACCATGAATATAAATATTTTCTCCACTTACCATATGTTACCCACGCACTTCCACAGACCCCACCGCCACCGCCCTGCTGGGCTCCTTGCAAAAGGAAAGTCTGCCCTGCTCTCTCCTCTCAGCCGGGAGGGCAGGGGGAGGAGGGAGCAGTGTTGTTCAAGGGACAATGTCACTTTCCTCTTCATCAAGATTCTTTGTCAATTGCTGGGGAAATAATTGACCTCAAGCTACTTCAGTCACAACTAATAGAAAAATGGAACGGTGATGTGTCCAGCTGTTAAGGGGAGGCAGGCTGGAAAACAAAGGTGGCAAGGAAGGGGGCTGACATGAAAAATATGTAAAGCTTCATGTGCAAATTCTTGGGAAACAGTGGAATTTCACTTTAAAATAAAACAAAAAACCAGAATTGTGTTCATTTGTCATATCTCCAAGGTTGCGGTTCTTGATTTGTGCCTTTGGATAGCTTAAAAGGAGAATCCCAGCACAGAAGCCCTTTCATACAGCTGCCGTCTTTTCGGTTCTCTGACCCTTTCCTTAACTTACACAATGGCACTTTTCCCCAACACCCTTCACTCAGTTAGCAGCCAGAATGATTCAGCTCCATCTGATTCAGGGGCCCAGGGAATAATTTGGTAGTTCTTTGAGTATTGTTTGGCATTTATTGTTTTTGGTTTAGTTTAGTTTTTGTTTTGTTTTGTTTTTTTTGTTTGTTTGTTTTTTGTTTGTTTTGTAACTAGTAGGAGAAAGCAGCCTGAAAGAGAAAAGGAAAAGTAGGAGGAGTGAGAGGGATAACCAGAGAGAAGGCCAAGAAGAAATTCAGCAATTGCCTTTCCTGGCTTCCCTTAAAGAGATGATGGTTAGGAGTGGTTTGTTAAAACAAATCTCATATTTCAGCCCACAAGATGTCCCATTTATGAAGCTGATCCTGTTCTAAGTTAGACCAATCAGGCAAAAATCAATAAGGACATTCAATGCCACCAATGTGGTAAGAAGCAAGAACAATATCAAACAGCAACTCAGCGAGGCCTCAAACATGAGCTCTTAGCCTGAACTGTGTCTTCTCCAAAGAGGAGAAAAGAGGACTTGGGGTAGTGGAGGGGAGGGGGCAGTGGCAATCCAGATGCTACAAAAACAGCCCGATATCTTCCATGGTACACATTTACCTTCCAGCGTGCGACTAAACCGGTGTGGTGGATGTGTGAGTGCTGATGAACAGCCACCGTGGAAGAGCCAAGGTCCCTGCCTTCTCCAGGCCCAGCATTGAAACACAAAAGGTGGAGAAGAAGAAGAATATTAATATGGCAGAAACCCCTGTCACCTGGGTGAAAGAGCTCATCAGACTCACAAATACATTTTTGACAGCTTATATCTTCTCCATGGAGTTGCAGGGAGTGGTGAGTGAGTGATCAGGCCAACCTTAAAAGCAAGCACATAAGCACACAGAAAGTAAATGTTATCAGTGCAGATTCTCAGTGACAAATATTTGGTATCATTTCAAAAATTTCCCCAAGAGCATGATGCATTTTTCTCTAATGGAATTTTTAAAATTTTTGTCTGCTCTAAGATGTCACCAGGTAAATGCGATAATTTGTACTATGGTCAGAATGTTTGTGTCCTCCCCAAATTCTTATGTGGAAATCTTATACCCCAAAGCCATTGTAGTAGGAGGTGGGACCTTTGAGAGGTAATTAGATCATGAGATTAGGACCCTTATAAAAGAGGCCTGAAAGAGACTCCTCCCCCTTCCATGTGATGATGCAGCTAGAAGACACCATCTATGGACCAGGAACCAGGGCCTCACCAGACATTGAAACTGCCTGCACCTTGATCATGGAGTTCCCAGTCTCCAGAACTGTGAGCAATAAATGTATGTTGTTGATAAGCCCCTCAGTCTCTGGGATTTGGTTCTAGCCGGATGACTGGACTAAGACAGTCAGCATATATCAATTTATCCAACCTCTCCCAAGTGCTTTCAAGATCTTCTCCAAGGCTTATTCATGTCATAGAACAATCAGCAGGTATACTTTACTTCTCTCAGAATTACTAACTCCAACCAGCTGAGTGGTGTTTATTTAAGGAAAGACTTCACTGCTTAAGGAATTCTCTAGTATTCATCACGGTTTACAGCTGCTTAACCCTGTTTCACTTGAAGCTAAAGAGATTTTTACATATAACATCCTTGAAAAGAGCTAGTTCTGGACTAGTTGTATTCTAGCTGTATCTAGAATGCACCTAATTGTTTACCTAATGGAACTTCACCTAATAGAAGCTCACCTAATGGTTCAAAGATGAAGCTGTTGAATTACTGTCTGGTAACGGCAATAGATTTGCACTGAACTCTCTATGTTCTCTTTCAGTCTTCCTTATGACCCCTGGCACTCATTTTCAAGGTGGGAAACCAGGATTGGGGTAAAATCTGTGGATATAGTAGTAAGGTTAATTGGCTCCTGTGAAAATGAAACCTACGGCTTGGCCTCATTAGCCTTGCATTAAATCTAACATCTCAAAGTGCAGTTGAATGGACATAGTTCTTACCTGGAATATATTTGTAATTTGGTAGAATCCAATATGGTTCTCACCAAATATTGCCCCATCCTGAGATGTGCTGGGTGAAACAGAGGAAATTACAATAAGATGTCAATCGATATTCTAGATTAATGAAAGTCAAATGCTTTCAAAGTATGTTTTTCATTCTGCAAATAATTTAGGTTTAAACATCTTAAAATACATTTTATTATGTATAAATTATGATTATATTATGTAAAATTAAAAAATGCCTAGAAGAGAAGCTAAAAAGAAATAAATCAAATGGTTTATGTTTTTATTTGGATGGCAGGATTATGAGTAAATGATTTTTTCTCATCTCAGTTTTCCAAGATGTTATTGAGTGGTTATAATTACTTGCTAATGGAATAAAATATATGATCATTCCATAAATATTGGTTAATGTTTATGCATAGGAATCACTCAAAAAAAGTGACTTGACAAGTACAATTTCTGTTTTCTGAAAAAACAGTGACTTGAACAAGCATAAGAAGAAGTAACAGGAGGAAAGGAGCAGTCATGAGTGCTTCCTACCATCTGTTGGGCACATCACAGCGTTATCTCATTTAATTCCCTCTGCTGGTAAAGGAGACACTGATTTTACAGAGTAGGGAATTGAAGTTCTGAGAGTGCATGTAAATTGCTCAAGATCTCACTGGTAAAGGGGCCACTCACACTCAGTGTTTTATGCTTTCCTCCTGCTACGTGAAAGACATAGTAGCAGCAGAAACATTTAATAGGTTAGACAAATAAATAAGTGTAACATCCTGTCCTACCAAAAATCACTGTATTGAACTGGTCTGACTACACCCCTTACATAGAATCCCCCTCCCCACCATACACACACACACACACACACACACACACTGCTGTCACTGATTGGACCAGAATGGTCACCTGACCCAAAGCTGCTGAGCCATTAACTTCTCAATAATTTACATAAGGAGATGCATAAATTGTGATAAAGTCTAGCGTAAGCTTTTCAATTCAGATCTTAGGCCAGTTGGGGGAGTAGAAAGGATTGGTTCTGTAGAGAGCAAAGATAACAGAGGATGGAGGCCACATGGATAAGCAGAGAAGACGTGCCTACAAAGCAGGGAGGGAAGCAGAAATGGAGGAACAAGAGGCCATATGGTCCTCCTGTGTAGTTCAGAAGAGCTTTTCCCATTCTCACAGCTTCCCTGTGGACAATGTTTCCCATGGAGCCCTCTGTATTTGAACAATACCACATTTTATTTGAACTAGCTTGAGTGAATTTCTTTTCCCGCAATAAAAATATGTCAAACTACAAGCCAGGTGCGGTGGCTCATGCCTGTAATCCCAGCACTTTGGGAGGCCAAGGTGGGAGGATGGCTTGAGCCCAGGAGTTAGAGACCAGCCTGGGTAACATAGTGGGACCCCTGTCTCTACAAAATTTTTTTTTAAAAAATTACCCAAGTGTGGTGGTGTGCGCCTGTAGTTCCAGCTACTTGGGAGGCTTGTGGTGGGAAGATAGCTTGAGCCTGGGAAGTCAAGGCTGCAGTGAGCTATGATTGTACCACTGCACTATAGCCTGAACGACAGAGTGAGACCTTGTCTCAAAAAAAAAGAAAGAGAAAGAGAGAGAAAGACAGACAGAAAGAAAGAAAGACAAAGAAAGAAAGAAAGAAAGAAGAAAGAAAGGAAAGAGAAAGAAAGAACGAAAGAAGAAAGAAAAAGAAAAAGAAAGAAAGAAAGAAAGAAAGAAAGAAAGAAAGAAAGAAAGAAAGAAAGAAAGAAAGGAAGAAAGAAAGAAATCTCAAACTACAGAAGCAATAAACACACACTTTGTCAGAATCTCAAGTCACAAGTCTCTGCCTGGCTTTGCCAATCATGACCAGTGCTCCCAAACACATATCCATGTGGATGTCTCTCAGGAACCTCAGACTCAGTATTCATTAAGTGAGTGAACCCATCCATTTCCCTCCACATGCTCCCAAAGTTTCCAAACTCAATGAATCACTAATATCCTCCCAGGTTTCTGACCTGTGAGTTCCCCTCAACCCTCCCTTCTTAGCTTCCCATATCCAACCTATCTCAAATCCTCTCAAATACTGCCCATGTCCTTCTGCTTCTCTGCCCCACCCCAGTGCAGGCTCCACCGCCTCCCGTGTTACAGGCCACAACCTCCTTGCTGGTTTCCCTGCCTTGGTCTTGCTCCTCTCCAACAGCCAATACTCAAGTCTGGTCAGTGTACACACAAACACATACACACACACACACACACACACACACACACTCACATGCTCGCGCATGGGCGACAGCATTTAAAACCCTCCCATGGCTTTCCTTTTAGGGTAAAATCAAAACTCATGTGCGTGGTCTCCAGGGCACTGTTCATTGTAACCTCTCCAGTCCTGTGTCTCAGCATCCTGCCCACACTCTGCCCAGGCTGAACCGCTTTCAGTTCCTCAAACATGTCATGCTTATCTGCCTGAAGGACTTTTGTGTACCCTGTGCCTCTCAGTGTGGAACTCCTCCCCTACCTAGCGGCTCTTACTCTTCTCTTGTGCCTCAGCTTAGATTTCATGTCCTCCACAAAGTCTTATCTGATCTTCTGAACTTAAGGTTAAGTATCCCTAGTATGTGGCCCTGTGACCTTCTGTGCCTGACCACCCAGAGTACTTGCCAACCTTCACTGTAATTACTTGATTGTCTTTCTCCCTGGTTTGACTGTAAACTCCCTGTAGGCAGGGTATTGCTCTGTTATATCTCCAATGCTGAGCCCATCCTGTGATCAGAGAAGAGAATGTGGAACCTGGGGGCCTGGTTATATAGCAACTAGAGCATCACAGTCATGAGGTGCTCAGGATCTAGGCATGTATGATGGTCTTGGAAAAGAAATAGCTGTGAGAAGGAGTCAGTAAGAACAAAGGGGCTTTGGACCAGTCTCAGTAGATGAGGACAGTGGTAGAGAAGAAGAGTATTCAGGAGAAGTTGGAACCAGTATGGCTCCAAGACATTTGGAAGTTGAGAGAGGATTTCTGGTTTAGCAGGAAGATGATGATTTGGTTTTGTGAGAGTCTCATTGGGTTTGTGATGGCACAAGAAGTCCAAGTGACACTTAGAGTGGCAGGACACCAGCTGCAGAGAGGCAAGGGCCAGAAATGACAATTTGGAAGTAACTTGTCTAGAGGTGATGGTGGAAGAATGAAGGAAGGAGCTTCTACAGTGTGAGCCAAATATAGGGCCAACAGGAACTTGACAGTTAAGTCAAGAAGAGCAGAAACGAAGATGGAAGAAGGACTTCAAGGAATGAGTGAGAAAGCAGAGACTAGAGTCCATCCCCAGAGCATAATATGAGGTTATGAAGGCCAAGAGAGGAGAGAGATTAAGGAGGAGCTAGCTTGCAAGATTCAGTGCTGATTGTTGTAATGGCCAGCCTGTATTTAAGCCCTTTGCATGAGCAAGGCATGTTTTGAGGAACTTTTCATCAATGACTTTGTTTAATTCTCACAGCAAGTCTATGAGATGGGTGCCACTATTATTCTCACTCTATAAATGAGTTACCTGAGGCTCCAAGAAAGCCTACAGCTTATTGAGGTCATATGGCCAGAAAGCAGCAGAGCTAGGACTCAGACCCATTGTCTTGGAACTCAGAGCTGGAACTTGGGAGATCAAGGGAAAGATGGAATGGCGGGGTTGGGGAAGGGGAATATCAGTTTTCTGTGACTCTAGATAGCTTGATGAAACAAAGCAGAAATCTCTATTGTGGAAGAGAATTGAAGTTGAAAAGATAGGAAGCCTAGCTTCCTATCTGATGAGTGGGGCCAGGAGAGGGTGACAGTCAGAGGCCAGGAGAGAAGGAGGCCCAAGGCCTCTAGACCCATGTCCCTGCCTCTGCCTAGCAGCTGCCTCTGCCCAAAAGAGTGAGCTAAGGTGGTTTCTCCAGAGCCTTCTCTGCTTCCTGACTGTAAATAGCCCCAGGGTTGCCATTCTGGGCGCTTTTCAACAGGCCAAAGGGCCGTTGAGAGCTGGCAGTGCAGAGATGAACTGCTAGCTTCCAATCAACTTCCCAGGGCCCGTGTGTAAAGCTCCCTGCAGCCCTGGCAGGAGACAGAGGCCCTGAGAGGAACAGGAGGTAGGCAGACCCACCCATTTAGAGACCCCACTAGGGGAACTGCCTGAGGCAAACAGCTGGGGTGTCCACAGCACCCCATTTTAAAAGATGCCAGAAACAGTCAATCTTAGCGCGTGAGTTTACTTACACCTGACAACAATTCTTTCCCCAACATGGAGACCTGGGGATGAAGGCGGAAGAGTCCTCCCACCCCCACCTCAGCCCCTAGTTCCTCTTCTTCCTGCTGCCTCATTTACTCTTCCTTTATTTCTTCCTCTCCCTCATATTTCTTCCCAAGGACTGGAAAACCCTTGTCCATCAAGAACCTAAGTTTAGGAAAAAGAGAAGCAGGGACCGGGTGCGGTGGCTCACACCTGTAATCCCATCACTTTGGGAGGCCGAGGCAGGGGGATCATTTGAAGTCAGGAGTTCCAGGCCAGCCTGGCCAACATGGTGAAACCCCGTCTCTACCAAAAAATACAAAAAAATTAGCAAGGCATGGTGGCATGCGACTGTAATCCCAGCTACTTGGGAGGCTGAGGTAGGAGAATCACTTGAACCCGGGAGGCAGAGGTTGCAGTGAGCCGAGATGGCGCCACTGCACTCCAGCCTGGGTGACAGAGTGAGACTCCATCTAAAAAAAAGAAAGAAAAAAAAGGAGAGAGAAGCATGAAGGGAGGAGAGAGAATCTCTTTTCCTAGGAACTCCGAGTTGACTTGGTGCTTTTGTGGGGAGAACAATCAAATCTGTGGACTCACTACCCAGGCCAGGGAGTGTGAGTGAAGAGCCGCAGGCCTCCAGGAAGACATGTGGGGCAGATTTGGGGACTGAATTTCAGGCCTCTGGGACATATAGGCAGAAGGAGAATCAAAGGAAGAGGAGAAAGGAAGCCATGCCCACGTCAGAGAGGACTGCTTCCAGTGGGTACAAAATTCACCTGAGAGGAATATTGGTCCTCCATTGGATGAGTCATGGATCTCTCACCTCAAACCTTTGCAACCCAGCCCCTCCCACCAGTCTGCCAGCTCCCAAGACACACTCCTTTGCACCTCCCTCCTGCACATCAGACACCATTTATTTGTCTTTGTTCTGCTGCTTCTGCTGCTTTCAATAAATATGGCTGGCTTTAAAGTCAAGGCAAAGGAGATTTACAGATAAAAGGGATGGGGTCTGAACTGTCAGCTGTGTTGCTGGCTTGCAACTGGACCTGAATCACAGTAGATGCCGGTTACAGGCAGCCCACAGTAATGACAGCACCCCTGGGGTTGTGCAAATCACCAACGCTGGTAAGCACAGAGGAATCGGTGGGTGAAGGGACCCTGAACCCCTTCTCCACTCTATTTCTCCCCATCCCGGTGACAGGGGCCTCCACGCGGCTCATTTCAGCCTCAGGCCTTTATGTGGATGTCTGCCTGGACCATTTCTTCCAAGGGGCACCATGGTTGGCTCAAATATCAACTCCTCAGAGAAACCTCTCTATTCTGTTTTATTATCTTCAAGGCACTTATCTCTATCCAAAAGTTATTTTTAAAATTACTTCCTAGCCCCCACCGCCACCCCATAAAAGTTCCATGAGAGCATGGCCTTGGGGTACCCTGTTCTCACCTGCATCTGGGGCACATAGGAGAGCACCTGGCTTTTACCAAGGCTGCTCTGTAAAAGTGTGTCAAATTGAATTCATTGAAATTGAAGCTTCCACCAACAAAAAGCAGCCAAATGTTTAAACTGATTGTTTATCAGCAATTAAAATTTAGTTTCAAATCATTATTTTTGCCCATCTCTCAAAACAATAGTCCATCTTCTTCCTAATCAGTTGCCTCTTTCCTTTCATCTCACCAGATCCTACATTTGGAATGTCGAGAATATCTGTAGACTCCCGACAGTTAAAGGAAACCTATGGCTTTAAAAAGACGGTCATCACTGAAGATTGCATTAAACACGCTGTAAAAAGAAAATCTCCAAAGGAGATAAAGGGCCTCAGGGGTGGGTGGTGCCTGCCCAGCTGCCCCACCCCTGCAGGGAAAAACCTGCCCGCAGCCTCCTTAACCCTTCCGTGGCCCGCACCTCAGGAAGATGCTGGGAAAGATCAGAAGAATCCAAGCACTACTTGCTGACTGGAAGAAAACAGCAAAAAGGAAAAAAAAAAAAAAAAAAAAAAAAAAAGACCGATTCCAGTGTTGCTCCCCACCCCCATCCTTTCTTCTTCCAAAGAGGCTTCTGTTCAGAAAAATTAAAGGACTCTGATAGCAGATCACAAATTCAGGACAGAAAAGCTCCACTATGTAGCCAGAGACTGTATTGTGGGTAACCAGACGTTGGGCACTTTTTTTGCTTATGAACTTTTGGACACCACTCGAATAAAAGACTATTTGTTCCTGGACAAACACTCACCAGCAAAGAAGCTTTTAAGAGGAGGGGATATTTTTGTTTTGCATTTTCTCTTTGTGAAAAAAAAAATGAGAGAGTGAAAGAGATAGAGAGACAGAGACCAAGAGACACTTGCTCTACTTACTTTTCACATAAAAGAACTTAGACTAATTTGTTTACTATTGCTGGGGATTCATGTTTACAAGTTCTTGCAGCATTGTGGTAAAAGAAATGCTATTTTTAAAAAGTAAAAACCCACACAAGTCTCCATATTCAGGGTTCTTCTTCCCCTTCCTGCTTTCCTCACTCCCCACTTTCATTTCACAGATGGCCACAAACACATGAGCCAAGTCGAAGCTCAGGAGGCCCTTGTCTTTCTCTCCCAGACCCCTTTGAGACTGCCCTGTGAAAGGGTCGTACCTGAACTTGGAAGGCAATCTCTAGTTCAAGTTCAGTGGAATTCTACTTGCCACAAAAGTCACACCCCACCTGTGCTCCTTTTCAGCAGACCAAACTCCTGGCAGTCCTAAATACACACCCTAGATTTCAATCCCCCAACCCTTGCAGTTTTCATTTTCCTTATATACAGGGACAATTTCTGAAATCAAGCTAGCAAGATGTTGAATAATGTCCTTTTTAAAAGAGGGTGTGCCGTAACTGGGTCACTAACAGTGTGACTAATCACGGGTGCCTGTAACCACAGTGACTGTGGCTTCAACCTGACTTGGTCATTTGTAAACCACAAAATGACCCAGCCATCTGCAGGGGCTGCTGGCTCTGGAGTTCGAGGCTCTTCCCACGCCTGTCCCCTCCTCACCCACAGGAGCAATGGGAGCAGCCCCTGGCCGGAACCACCCTCCCCTTGCCTCTGCACTGGCAGCATCTGGGAGGGAACTACTCACTTCAAACCTCTTCTTACTCTAGTCTTTACAGGCCTGTGTTGTAGAGGCAACCGCAGCAGGCATTTGCAACAGTTGCTCTGGCCTGAGTTCCATTTAGCAACACCAAGTCCAAAGGAGAAAAGGAAGGGGTCTAGAATACATTTTTTTTTCAAGAAAAAAATCAAAACAAAACTGGAAAAGTGGCCTGAGAAAAACTTTCCCCAGCTAGTTTAGGGCTCTTTGTTGTGCCTAACATTTATTCATTGCACTAAAAGTTAATAAAATCCATAAAGTTTTCCCCAATCACTAAAGCAGCTTAAGGAATTTTCAAGACAGGTGTGTCCTTTTGCCCAAGGGTCCCCAAATGTATCCTAAGTTAGGAGCACTAAGGCTGCAGTGCCTCAATGCAGGTCCCTCCCAGGGATCAGCCCAGATTGGGAGCTGCAAGGAGGAACAATTAACCCCTTACCTTCTGGAGACCCAAGTTCATTTTGGGGCAACCTGCAGCGCTTTAAGAAAAATCTTGGCCAGGTGCAGGGGCTCACGCCTGTAATCCCAGCACTTTGGGAGGCCGAGGTGGGTGGATCACCTGAGGTCAGGAGTTCGAAACCAGTCAGGCCAATATGGCTAAACCCCATCTCTACTAAAAATACAAAAATTAGCCGGGCGCGGTAGTGGGCGCCTGTAGTCCCACATAATCGAGAGGCTGAGGCAGGAGAATCACTTGAACCCGGGAGTTGGAGGTTGCAGTGAGCCGAGATTGCGCCATTGCACTCCAACCTGGGTGACAGAGAGAGACTCCGTCTCAAAAAAAAAAAAAAAAGAAAGAAAAAGAACAAAGAAAAATCTTAGGGCCAAAGGGCTTATTTGTAATTGAGGAGGATGATTGGTGGTAGCGGTGAGGAAGATCTGCTCTCACTACCTCTCAGCGTGAACCCTCCACCCCATCTCTCTGAAAATGGCCTTACTTTTTTCTTCATGGTCTGGGTAGAATTGGTCGAAGGTACACAAAAGACTAAGCAACCTCTCTTTCAGCCCCACCCCCTTACCTGTGTTCAACCATTCTCTTAACCATCAATCCCTTTTTTTTTTCTCCTTATCACATTAACTCAGTAGGGCAACTGCTGCTGTCCTGGGGAGGGAAAGAGTCTTCTCCAAAAGGACAGACGGAAGCAACAAATGGGAAGGAAACTGACAAAGCTTGTGAAATCCCAAACCGGATTGGTAAGAACAACATCATAAATTACGGATCCCTCGAGCCGCCTCCGGCCTGTCACTGCGTGGTCTGTCTCCACGGCCCTGCCCGGCGCGGGCGACACTTGTCCATGAGCGCGGGTCTGTCGGGCCTCAGATGTCCCCGCCCGGCCCGGCCGCAGCGCCCCGCCAGGTGGCCCAACTTAGGGCCGCGGGGGGCGCTGGGCGCTCAGCCTGGAGGGACGCGCCAGCTGCGGGGACGACGCCCCCCAGCCAGCAGAGCACAGGCTCACCATTGTTTCCGGAGACCCCCACGGGAACACCCTGAGCTGGCCTGGGCGCTCCGGTCCGAGGGGCCAGGGCCGAAGAAGGGAATGCGAAGGGCGCCGGGGGCGGGCGGGCGGAGAGGGTGCGGGATGTGCCCGCCTGCCCCGGGCGCGCAGGGCCCGCGGCCTTGGTGGGCGGTGTGGCGGGACCCAGGGCAGCGTGCGACATCTGCGCGAGAGCGCGGGGGCGGGAGGGGACGTCGTCACACTCAGGACGCCCATCTGGACAGGCTTTCCTCCCGTGCCAGAAGCGAGGAGGGAGAAGTCAAGGTTAAACGCTGCGGCGGGGCTGCGGGCGGGCACTGGCGGGGGCGCACAAAGCCGCCGGCCCCTCCACTCGCGCCCAGCTCGGCGCACGCCGCCCCCAGCCCGCCAAGAGCCCCGCGCGGGCTACCGTGGCCCCACCTTGCCCTTTGTCTTTCCTCCGGAGCAGATGTGCTGTGACCCCTGTAGCATTCGGGCTGTCAAGATTAAAGGAGCCTCCACTCTGTTTCGAAACTGCAACTCTTGTCCCCCAGACCTCATCAACCCCACCTCTTGTTTTTGTTTTTGTTTTGTGTTTTTGGCCACAAGTCAACCACTCATCATAAGGTGGGCAAACCCCTCGGTCCACATTTAAATTTGTTTGTGTGACAAATTGTCCTGCCGTTCCACCCTCTTAGCTACTGTAACCAGCACCAGAGAAACAATGAATTACGAGATTAAAGTTACCGAAAAACGACTCATCCTGCAGATGTTGTCTGCTGAAGGCTGTTCTATGGACAAATATGTAAAGGGTCTTTGTGTGTGTGTGTGTGTGTGTGTGTGTGTGTGTGTGTGTGTGTGTGTAAAGCCAACAGCCTCACATTTGTTCTTTGGTAATTTGTCTTCAATATGCCTCCCCCCGACCCCCATGATGAAAGGTCAATTATCAGACTCAAAAATAAGCAACCTTATCTGGCAAGCCTGTACTCCCAGAAATGAATGGGAGAGCTGGGGTTTCTCATGGGGCAGAGAAAAGGGAACTCCAAATCAAGCTGAATTGTGTGTGAGTCAGACTCTGGAGAAAATCGTGGGTAAAGGAAATGTGGGGGGCGGTTTCCTGGATTTCTGCTGCAGGAAGAAACCACCGAAGGGAGGAGGGAGGGCTGTTAGGGGAAGAAGTGAGGGAGGGGTGGAGGAGGAGAGCGTGGGCCGGGAAGGGAGGGAGAAGGGCCTCCTTAAGGCCGAGAGAGAGAGGGGCGGGGTGGATCGGTAGGAAGGCCTGGGCTTTCTTTGTTTAGTTGGTGTGGGCTGGGGCTGGGCTCAGTGAATGCGCCCAAGTGTGCACCGCGCGGTCAGCTGCCCGGCGAGGTAACAGCTGGCACCTGTGCGCGAAGTGCAGCCTGCATTAGCAGCATCATTATTCAGCATTAGAGCATTACAAAGATAATTACTGCGAGTTAGAAAAGCAGAGGACAGAGGGAATTGAAACCCCAGACCCCTTGGCTTATCAAACTCCCAGGTTACGAGTGTAATTTCAAGCAGCTTTGGGAAAGCCACCTCTCGCAAAGCTGTGAGTCTGCCACGTTAAAGGGGACGCTCGGAAGACCCCACAGCTGGAGCCAGTGGCCCAAGGGCTCTTTTCCAGGTTTCATCCTGGCTCAAAGATCAAATTAGTGTCATAGATAGGATGCTGAAGGTCATCACACTAACATTTTCTGGTCTCCAAAGCAGTTCTACTTAGACTATCAGAACCAGCCTTTTTTAATCTAGAATTAAATGGGTCAAATGGAGCAGAGCAGGTACTTTGGTCTTTGAGTAACAATGATAGCCTCAACAATTAACAACTGTCCAGCTCTTTTTGTGTCAGATCCAGTGGAAACACATTTATGAATTCTCTCCCTCAATCCTCACAGCAACCTTAAAAGGAGGGCATGATTATTACAGCCATTCGATAGATGGGAAAAATGAGGCTTTGAGAAGAGTCAGCAAAGTTCTTCAGCATTTTGCTCCCACATTTACTCTGTGCTTTTTCTTGGTCTAGAGCAGTGATCCCCAACCTTTTCAGCACCAGGGACCATTTTGTGGAAAACAAATTTTCCACAGATGTGGGGGGATGGTTTTGGGATGATTCAAGTGCATTACATTTATTGTGTATTTTATATCTATTATTGTTACATTGTAATATATAAGGAAATAATTATACAACTCAGCATAATGTAGACCCAGCAAGACCCTTGAGTTTGTTTTCCTGCAACTAAATGGTCCCATCTGGGGGTGATGGGAGACACTGGCAGATTTTCAGGCATTAGATTCTCATAAGGAGCATGCAACCCAGATACCTCACATGCACAAGTCACAATAGGGTTTGCACTCCTATGAGAATCTAGCACCAACACTGATCTGACAGGAGGTGGGGCTCAGGTGGTAATGGGAACAATGGGGAGCGGCTATAAATGCCAATCCTGGTCCATGGCCCGGGGGTTGGGGACCCCTGGTCTAGAGAAGACTCAGGCCTACTGTGCCTCCGATTTCCCATTGGTCAGACAGGAATACAATCCCGTCCTACTGCCTAGAGGTTGAGAAGTACATGCCTTTGATTTTGGATAGCCAGTAAATCCCTTTCCCAAAGCTTGAAATTTGCATGAATGCCAGCTCTCCAAACACACATTCTCTCTGCTTGTATCCTTGATTGGGTCAGAAGCAAATCTCACAAAAGTAAGTACTGTACTGTATTGTGATTTCTGGAAAACAAAGTATGTTTAAGAAGTGACTTCTTGGCCGGGCGTGGTGGCTCACGCTTGTAATCCCAGCACTTTGGGAGGCCGAGGCGGGTGGATCACGAGGTCAGGAGATCGAGACCATCCTGGCTAACACAGTGAAACCCCGTCTCTACTAAAAATACAAAAAAATTAGCCGGGCGTGATGGCGGGCGCCTGTAGTCCCAGCTACTCGGGAGGCTGAGGCAGGAGAATGGCGTGAACCCGGGAGGCGGAGCTTGCAGTGAGCCAAGATTGCGCCACTGCACTCCCGCCTGGGCCACAGAGCAAGACTCCGTCTCAAAAAAAAAAACAAAAAAGTGACTTCTTTTATAGCTTGGTATACTAATTAGTGAAAAGTGTTTCACAAACTGGTTCAGCAAAAAGTTTGCACTTGGCACATCTGGCTAGCTATGTGGGCCATAATAAGGTGAAGAACTTGGGAATCAACATTAACTTGAGCTTCATCTAGGCCAGTAAACTCATTTCCCATCTCCTGACTCAGACACAGTAGGCTTGAGTCTTCTCTAAACCCGGGGTTCCCTAACCCCCAGGCCACAGACTGGGAATTTTTTCTAACAACTTTTTTTTCTGACACTGTAGTGAATGAAGTCAGAGAGGACATTTAGTTTCTGGTGTACACGTTGAGTTTATACAATCAGATTATGATGCCAAGGAAGTACTATTATTAATAATATAGATCATAATTATTAATAGAAATGACTAACATGAACTGGGAAATGATGATGGGTCAGTTATGACACTGAATGCTACACATTCATTATCTCATTTAATCCTTACAATGGAAGCCCTGGCTTCTGCTCCTTCCCTAGTCCCCTCTCCACCCTCTAGCCAGGGAGCTCTTTTTTTTTTTTCAGGAACACATGCACTTTATTGAATGCCATTGTAGAAAAGTGTGTGAGGATAAAGGGCTGATACAGGGCGAGGAATGGAAGGTGGAGTGTGTGGGAGACAGGTCATGGTCAGAGCTCCTGGCCTGGATGCTGCCTCCTGTTCTATCAATAGACTTGGAAGATCAACACTGGGATGATGATAAACAGAATGATCATAAGGATGTGCAGAACCAGGGCCCAGATGTTCAGGCACTTGGCAGTGGGGGCATAGGCCTGGGTCCTGCTCAGGTCACCAACCATTTTCCTGTTCCTAGACTTCATGGAATAGGCGAATGCTATGAAGCCCAAGCAGCAGGAGTTCATGAAGCGGTTGTTAAACGGGGACCAGATGACATGGTCGGGCACAGAGGTCTTGCTGCAGATGTGGATCATGGCGGACGTTGAGGGAGGAGGGTTGTAGGGCACCCTCAGCACAGCCACCTCTTACTCCTCCCTGAGCATCTCATAGTTGCAGGGTGGCCGGTGTTTGAGGGAATGAAGAAGGTTTGGACCATGTGGTTCATGGTGTCCAGCAAAGACCAGCTGTCAGGAGCTCTTTTAAAAATGTGAATAAGGCATGGTGGCTCACGCCTATAATCCCAGCACTTTGGGAGGCCGAGGTCAGGAGATCAAAACCATCCTGGCTAACATGGCGAAACCCCTTCTCTACTAAAAAAAAAAAAAAAAAAAATTAGCCAGGCATGCTGGTGGACACCTGTAATCCCACCTACTCTGGAGGCTGAGGCAGGAGAATCACTTGAACCCGGGAAGTGAAGGTTTCAGTGAGCCGAGATTGCACCACTGCACTCCAGCTGGGGTGACAGAGTGAGACTCTGTTTCAAAAAAAAAAAAACTGTGAATGAGGTCAGGTCCTGCCCTTGTGTTAAAGGCTTCCAGTGGCTTCCCACTGAACTCAGGAAAACTCCAACTGCTTCTCTGGGCCTACAAGCCAGCACCACCTGGACCTGCCTCCTGCCAATTGACTCCATCAGCCCATAGCACATGCCTCCACCTGCTTGGCTTCTTCAGCCTTAAAGACATTCACACGTCAGGGCCGTTGCACGCACCCCTTCCTCTGCCTGCAATACCTAGCCCTTGCCTGGCTAATTTATTTTTTTAATTCTTCCATTTAAATGTCTCCACCTCAGGGAGGCCTTCCCTCAAATCAATCAAATCACCCTCGTAACCTATTCTTTTTCTTCTTAGCTTAACACCATGTAAAATTATCATTATCATTATCATTATTATTATTATTATTATTATGCCTCCTTACACCTCCATTTTTCTCCCTGATCCCTAAGAGCCAGGAAGTCAGGGATAGGCATTGCTCTCCATGTATCTTCAATGAATAACACTTTTGGACCATGCAACAATGTTTGCTAAATTAATCGAGAAGCACCCTCAGAGGTAGATACTATTATTATTGTTATGATTATGATTATGATTGTGATTATTTTGAGATGGATTCTCACTGTCACCCAGGCTGGAGTGCAGTGGCATGATCTTGGCTCAGTGCAACCTCCACCTCCCGAGTTCAAGCGATTCTCCTGCTTCAGCCTCCCAAGTAGCTGTGATTACAGGCACGTGCCACCACACCTGGCTAATTTTTTATATTTTTGGTAGAGACAGGATTTTACCATGTTGACCAGGCTGGTCTCGAACTCCTGACCTCAAGTGATCTGCCTGCCTCAGCCTCCCAAAGTGCTGGGATTACAGGCATGAGCCACCGTGCCCGGCTGTAGATACTATTATCCCCACTTTATAAATGAAGAAACTGAGGCATGAGGATGTTTAATAACTTGTTAAAAGTTACACAACTGGACCTGGGATGGGCAGGTGACTATCTCAGATTGCTACCATTGAATGAAACCAAAAACAAAATGATAAACTCCCATGATCTTCAAAAAATGTTAAAATCAAATCGGACTCTGTAGAAAATGAAGTTATCTTGTGGACAGTTTAAATTATTTACATAAAGGAAATATCTCCAAATACGTCAGAGATTAACACATCAGCTTGCACATTTATTCCAGCCACACGGGTTAATATTAACATATTCTGTGACTTCAGATGCAATGTTTCCTACTATTTCTGATTTCTTAAAAGGTTTCGAACTATTTGAGAACTTGGACTGTTCTCTTCAAACTGTATGGGCAGGTGGGCATTCCGTCCAGTCATTTCTGCCCTCACCTTAGGGAACAAGCCGAATGTGGTTTTATTGCACAAGCTTAAAAGCCAATGCCGCCACAAACCCAGTGACCTTCTAGCTACTTTCTAAATCTTTAAATAACTTAGAAACAGCCGTCACCCAAGAGAAGGGTGGAATTTAAATTAAAGAGAAGGGGCTGATTTTGTGCTTACATTGCTGAAGTCCCTTCAAAATCAAGTGTCCCTGGTTTCTCCAGACAGGAAGTAGACAGCTTTTTTCTAACAAGGAAAACACCATGGGTCTTATCTCTGTGTTGCTTTCACAGCTTAGATAAACCTGTGTGTCCTACAGAGGAAATGCAACAGGGTTCCAGCAAGAACCTGTATGCTGCGGGAGAAGCTCCCTCCAGAGAACTGAAGTCTTCCGTTTCCTTCCAGCGGGAACCATAGCTGCTCTGTAGGAAAATACAGGAATTTGATTCACATAGAACAAAAACCAACAACCCTGAGGGGTAAGGGGATTTTCCTGAAATATATGAGTTTCCCTGGTTTCACATGATACTGTGTATGGTTTATACTTCATGTACCACAGAAGGCTGAAAATGGTCATTTCCTGGCCCCTCCGGTGGTGGTTTTCCAGCCAGGAAAGCATTCTGACTAACCAGTCAATGCTATTTTTTTTTTTTTTTTTTTTTACTTTGAGTCTTCATGTTACTGAAAGAAAGCCGACTTGTCCTTGCAGAGGTTGCGGGAGAGGGTGGGGTTTCAGAGAAGCAACCTCGAGTTGGTCTTGTTATCAATCATCTCTGCCTATTGTGAGAGTTTGAACAGGCAAAACCTACCCACACACACTGGCGTGATATGCATTTTCAGTGTGTTACTTAAAGCATAAATGAGACGTCATCTGCTTTTCCATCAGATTAGGTTTGGTTTTTAAATATAAATATTCAGACCAAACTGAGATTTTTAGAACTTTGTAACATACAAACTTGATTGTGAAAATATAGACAAGAAAGATTAAACTATTTTTAGTGTTTTTAAGTACAAAACTCTGTCTTCACTGGTTTGCTTACTCTTTCATATGTTCAAATGTATATACATGAGCACCAGTGTGTGTAGTAAGGGAGTGGAGCTTTCAAATCTTGAGAACTCTACACAACGTTTATTTGCTGTTACACTTAAACGAGGTTGAAGTTCAGCAAAGGCAGGCAAAGCAGGCCTTCAGTTTGCTTTGGTTTCATAGACACATCGATCATTTCTTCTCTTTTGTGTGGTCGTTGTCAAAATTGTCTGCACATGGAGGCACCAGCAGGGCCCATTCAGCCCTTCAGGAAAGGCCCCCTGACACGCAGAAACTCTTAGTATACTAGATGCAATCAACTGTCTGTAGAAATGATAGACTCTGGGTGATAGTCACAGAATGCATGGCTTAGAGAAACTTAAGAACCCCAGGCCCAGTGGATGGTGAGCATACATTTCTAGGAAGGCAATATCATGTCACCAAATGGGTCCCTGGGCTGGTCACAGTGAATGAAAAGAACTAATCTCAAGAAAGACTCTTCCAAATTGAAATGATAAACATGGGGACTTTTAGAAAGATAATTTAATCCAGAAATTGTCACTCTTTCCCTGATACTGTTGGGGAGAAGACGGGGAGGAGGATAGCCTGACCATAGCTAAAATTATTATGTGCCCTGAGATGGACCGCCCTGCAATGGAGATGGATACAGGAGGCTCTTATGGACAGACACCAGCAGCCACCAGTGTTACACATATTCTTGACCATTTGGCTGGTATATTTTGCACTAAGTATGCATAAACTGGACTTACACTTCACATGTCAGTTTCTTGTGATTTTGATTAAGCAACAGGCAGTCCTAAGCCAAACACCTCCAGGTGCCCTAACAAATCATTTCTTGCCCTGAGAAGCCAGGACCAGACTAGAGACTCACTTTGGTAGTGCCCCTGGGAGACCAGTCTGACCAGCCAGGTGGCCCCCTAGATGACCTCTCTGGCTTCTCTCTAATTCAAACAAACAAACACACTGAAATGAAACCTCAGGACATCACAGGAACCCATGAGGAATCCCTGTGAACTATCATTTCTTTACAACACTCATACCAGAGTTGCAACTCAAACATCTGATGTTTAACATGATTCATTACTATTCATCAAAAGGCAGTTATTTTTCAATACAATTTTGAAAACATACACCCCTGATCAAAGTTTCTAAGGATTTTTTCCTCCAGGAATAAATGTTTGAGAAAGAACCTTCCTGAATAGACATACATATTTTTAATAGAGCAAGAAGCCTGGAATACGTTCCAAGAAAATTAAAGGAAATGCCATGCTTATCACTATAAGGTATGCTCAACGTGCAGAGTAAGACCTCTTAGGAAGTAGAAGAATGAATAAATGAATGAGTGAATAGGGTGCCTCTCAGTGAGGGAATGAGTGAAGACTGCTCCCACTGTTTTCTGGGGAGATATCTGTTCTCAGGATTTTTTCACTGCTGGAAGGAAAGTTGAGTGAGGTGATTATGCCAAGCAGCCGGGAGACAATTAACCCAGGTTTCCAGAGAACATCCTGGTCCTGTCTAGGCTGGTGCTCGCCTCAAAGGCTTCCTCATCAGCATAGAGTTACTCAGGTGATCCTTCAATTTCCCTGAAGGTGTTAGACGAGTAATGTAAAAATCTAGAAGAACTGAGGTCATAATGTGATAAGTAACAAAACTTTGCAAGCCTATTAGAGGGGAAAATTGGAAAGGTTGCAGCCAATTATTAATAAGACAGATGAACATGAGCTGTCTAGAAAGCACTTGGACTCTGGGAGACATTGCCAATGCAGAAATGCGCGGAGCAGAGGAGGGGACCAGGCAGCCCCAGACAAACCCAGCCAGGAGGAGCGTTTTGATCATTCATGTTAAGTGAACTAACATAAAATCAAGATTTTTTTTTTTTTTACATTTAGAAAAATTTGCATTTTCACCTCTGTCTCACACACATACGAAAGAAATTCTTCATTTTTAGTCTGAATCTATTAATCCAGGTCAGAAAGAGAAGGATAAAGTGATTGACCTCATCTAAAACACCAAAAAGTTCTGCTTTTAGGAAAATGAAATCACCACACTTCCATTGCAGAGGGTCAGGAGCCCTGGGTGCAATATTTAAGGAGGCCTTCACTTCAGGGCCCCCGCAAATGCAGTGCTGGTGCCTGGGTGAGGGTCTCCTTCAATTTTATGCTAGCCTGGTGCTAGTTCTGACTACCAGTAATCACAGTTGGGAGGGAGGAAGACAGCATGGTAGATAAAATGAAGATTCCTTTATTAAAATGAAATTAAAGAACTGTTGGGCTTCCCATTTTATTAAATTTTAGAACCCAAATTACAAAGCTCCTAAATTTCAATTACATTGAAGTAGTCACAAATCTATGCCATGGCCCTGTGTAAGACTATGCTTTTAGAAGCTTCTCTTACTACTCCCGTCTGGTTTAATAAAATTGTTTCTTGCTACCTTTGAAACCCATCTGCCATGCTTTGTACTCCCTGCAGGTGTGGAATAGCTGAGCAACGTCTTTTTTAACCTTTGTTTTTCTTTTTTTGGGGACGGAGTTTCGCTCTTGTTGTCCAGGCTGGAGTGCGATGGCGCAATCTCGGCTCACAGCAACCTCCGCCTCCTGGGTTTAAGCAATTCTCCTGCCTCAGCCTCCCAAGTACCTGGGATTACAGATGCTCAACACCATGCCTGGCTAATTTTTTTTTCTGTGTTTTTAATAGAGACGGGGTTTCACTTTGTTGGCCCAGCTGATCTCAAACTCCTGATCTCAGATGATCAGCCAGCCTCAGCCTCCCAACGTGCTGGGATTACAGGCGTGAGCCACTGTGCCCGGCCAACCTTTGTTTTTCTAAAAGCATCTCTTGGT
The DNA here is from genome assembly GCF_000001405.40 of Homo sapiens. Lineage (NCBI taxonomy): Eukaryota > Metazoa > Chordata > Mammalia > Primates > Hominidae > Homo > Homo sapiens. Next base: position 60,900,513 of record NC_000008.11, on the reverse strand, counting down.
CACCTTTTAGCTTTTCTTACCCTCTTTCACTTTTTCTTGTCCAACTCATCTTCCTTCAGTCACTGAGGTTGTTGGTTTCTAGAGTTTTCATCCAGCCATGCATCCACCAGTGGTATCACCTAGAGTATAAAAAAAGCACATTGCATCTACTCTATAAAGATCTTTCTTTCAGCAAGTGTTATGTTAGGTTTATATAGCATAGACAGAGATAATGAAGGCTGGTCCTTTAGGACAAATACCAAATGTGTTCTTTAGGCCATGAAGTTCTGATTGTTGTACTCTGAGCAAAGCCACCAATAGTCGTACCTTCTATGTGGGTCCCTTAATTTATAACACAAGATGTGGCTCTATCATCCTGCTGGATCATCCTAGGCAAAGGCATCAGACCTGAAGGAAACAATCTGGAGGCTGGTTGGTGGCTCTGAGCTGGCTTCCCATGACCCTGCTGATTAATAGGGACACTCTGTCCTAGATGCTAACAGACCCAATTCGATACACTTCCAGGGAACTCAATGTGAGACTGTAAAAGAGGAACAACAGCAGAGTAAGCAGAAATAGGAGGAGGCTCAGAAGAGAAAGTAAACAGGAGGCTTGAGGGCGTGGAAATTGGGAGGCAGTAAAAGGCAGAGTTAGTATAGTGAGGAGGTAGAGAAAAGGAGGCGAGAGAGACTGCATGGTAGTGACTGCAGAAACGGAGGCAAGAGAAGTGGGAACGGAGAGGATCTGAGAAGCTGACGTAGGTCGTTTTTGCCTGTGAGCATCCACTGCCATTTCTTCAGCCACAGCAGCCTGGGACTCCTTGGGTCCCCCACCCCGTCCCGCTCTCAGGCCTTTTGTTTTTTCAGGGAGTGGATTGAACCCAGCATAGCCCCCTGCTCCAGGCCCAGGACTGGCCAATGAGAGCACCACTCACACCTTCGTGGCCTGGCCTGGTGCTGGGATTAGCATATGACCCAAACCAGGGTAGCAACAGCCAATGGAACTGGCTTCCAGAATGCCCATTGTAACTCTCTGCAAAGGGACACTCTCTTTGCTGTAGTGGGCAAGCTAAAATTGCCAGGAGCTGACATATGGAGAAAGTGGGTCCCAAAGTGAAGTCAACCCAGAGAAAAGCAGAGCTGAGAGATGGAAAGAGAAAGGCTGAGTCACAAAGGGGGACTACCTCTAGATGGCTCAGATACAAGAGGTGCCACCAAGGGACGCCGGTGGAATGAACATCGCCTGGCACTTGCTTCTGAGGACAACATAACTGGATACAGCAAGGAAGGAATCAGCCGCCTTTATTCCTAGCATATGTATATAATTCCAAAACAATGCCTGCTGAAATAAAGACGCTCAGAACACAGTTGCTGCTTAGCCAGTGATGGTTATTTTTATGAGGACATGATATACTTATTATCGCCCAGTGGTGTCATATCTCACACTCTCAGGGAACACTCACAAATTTTCAAAATTACCCTTGAAAACCCCTTAGGAGGCTGCCACATTGCAAAGGGGGGATTCTCCAAAGCCCAAGACATCCAGATTTTCCTCACTGCCAGGCAGATCACTGCTTCTTGAGCAAATCACCAATTGGAGTTGTTGGTCTCCATGTCGAGGCTTGTAGAGAAACCACCTCTTTCAATGCTAGGGTCACTCAGCTCACACCATGGGAGGCCCTTGGGAACAGAGACCCACTGGGGGGATGACAGACTACCAACTCCCAGCTTAGCCTTCTTCCCGGGGTGTAGTTCATTGAGCAGCACCCACATGTTAACTGCCAGGAAAATCTATCTGGAAAGTAGTCTGACACTTGGATTGTCTCTCCCCCAGCATGTTAAGAAAGCTGCATTTTTGGAAAGTAAACTTTGTGGTAATTCTAAAAGAGTTCTTGGATTCTTCAAAGTGTAAGAGTGTAGCAACGCAAAGGTTGGCTTTCCGCAAAAAACTGTAATAGTTGATGATAAAACCAACACACGCACCATTTCCTCCCTGACCACCTCTGACCTTATTAAGCGAGCATCTTTGTGAGAGCTCTGCCCGGGGGAAACGGTGTGGCTAAAATTCTTACCACTGGGACACACGAGGTAAAGGTATTGATTATGTCCTCCCAGAGCCAAAGATTCAGCTTAAAGGAAGAAGCTTGATTCAGTTAGCACACACATTACATTCTGAACGCAGAATAGATGAAGATTGGATATCATTTGAGAGGGCACAGGAGGACCTACAAAAATTGAGACTACAGAGTATTGGCAGGGCTCGGGGGTGGAAGGAAGGGGCTTGGAATGAAGAGTGAAAGTCACTGAAGGCAAATATTCCAATTGACTGGATCCACACCTGGCACCTGGGAGGATTAAGGGGGTGGGGCAATGAGTAGAACCAAAGAATATTCCTTTTTATTTTTTTTTAATTTATTTTTTTCTGAGACAGGGGCTTGCTCTGTTGCCCAGGCTGGAGTGCAGTGGCATGATCACAGGTCACTGCAGCCTCAACCTCATGGGTTCAAGGGATCTCCCTGCCTTAGCCTCCCAAGTAACCAGGACTGCAGGTGTACATGCCCCGGCTGATTTTTTTTGCTTTTTTTTTTTTTTTTCTTTTTTGTTTTAGAAACAGGGTCTTACCATGCTGCCCAGGCTGATCTTGAAATCCTGGGCTCAGGCAATTCTCCTTCCTTGGCCTCCCAAAGTGCTGAGATTACAGGCATGAGACACCACGCTCAGCCCCAAGGAACATTCTTGACAGGCCAGAAATAATCGTCCAGAAGGCATGGGACCCTATTATTTATTGGTTCCTGGTCTCTCTCTACTCCTTCTCCCTGTGAAACATAGCAGACTAATATAATTCTTAAGAGTTCAGGATCTGAGTCAGATAAATGTAGATTCAAATCCTGACTCTGTCACCTGGTAGTTGTATGCCTCAAAGCAAGTTATTTCACTTCTCTTTGCCTCAATTTCCCCATCCTGCCAATGAAGGTGATAATAATTCTTCATATCTCAGAGATTGTCATGAGGAATATAAGAAATAATGGCACATAGAAAGTGTTTGGTAAATATTTGCTGCTATAATATTTTTACCATCCTTAATTATTTATGCAGTGTCTGTGATAATTTACGTGTGTATAGATTATTGAGAAGCCACCATTCTCCTCTGGGGATGCCAAGGCTGTATGGAATGCGTAGGATGTCACTTTGATCATGTGTGTATGTGTTTACAGTCAGCAGAAATTAATTCACATACTAGATGTGTCTTTTACCGCGGGCTTCTGGGTCTTGCTTAGGAAAGACCTTGAGCAAAGGAAGAAAGAAGCTTCAACGTCAATAAGTGAATTTTAATCTTCATCAGAGCGGGCTCTTATTCAAATGAAGTCAAATGACATGTGAGACTTCTTGGACCAGCCTCCCTTGATAGGCAGGTGGAAGCTTTGGTCTTTACATTCCACGAGTGAGTTTGTAAGGAACTGGCCTTTTCAAAGACCCCAAAATCACACCAGAAGGGAAACATCTGGAATATCTTCATAACAGCCTCCCTCACACACACACTTGTTGAGAAGTGGTTACTCTTCTTTAGAATTTCATATTTCTATTTGAGGATGGATTTTCCCAATGTTGGCCCCAATAGGGAACTTGCTCTTGTTTTTGAAGAATCAAGAGACATCTTTTGATAAGAATACCACATAGATTGTCTGCTAAATATGTTTTCTGCTGAATACCCAATTAATGGTGGTTTGCTCTCATCTGGGTTTTGCATAAGGAGATTTAGATCCATGAAATCATCTACTCATCTTTTAGAAAGTAAACCGGTTAAGAAAGTAGGCTCTGGTAATAGGTAATATTCATTACCGTTTCAAACAACTCTTTTTTTTTTCTGTTTCATCACAGTCCTAATTAATTTCATGGCTCAGGTACACGAAGAGATTTAAAGCGATGTTTATAAAATGAATTAGCCTCTCCCTCATCTTATTTAGAGTTCTCCATTGTGAATATACTCAAATTGTAATGGAGAGGCAATTTATGAGAAAGCTCTCTGGTGTCCTTGATTCTGTATCCTCTAGAGGATTTATTATTTCAGCTCTCCTCCCTTGGGGCCAGAAGACAGACCATGTGGCTGAAAGACAGCAGCTTTGATGCTTTTCATTGAAAAAGAATTGTTCTGGAAACATCCCATTTGGGATATTTTGATGAGGCTGAACAGTGGGAGTATGGAGAAGAGAAACGGGGTACATCTATATCTCGTTGGTACCAATGCAGGTTTAACATGAATGAGGTGGCAAATCTAGGTGTGTGAAGCTGTACGCAGTCCTGCACAGCCCTGGAATGGGGCTGGGGAGACCTAGCTCTAGTTCTGCTTCTGCCCCTATCTCGCCCTTGACCCTGGAAAAATCACATATTCCCCTGGTCTCCTACTTTCTCAGCAGTAAATGAGGTGGGTTGAAACAGATGAGCTCTAAAGTTTTTTCCAGCCATGAAATTCCATGATTCTGGGTACAACTGTAAAACTATTCATTTGGCTACTTCTTATTTCCACATATCTTTGGGGTTTGGGTGGTTGATTACATATATTCTCATCTTTGAAATTATTTCTCTTTGCTTATATTGATCCATATAATGATTTTAAAAAATATGGTTAAGCTAGTGCCTCGAGCTGTGTCCAATAGGCAGCCAGTGGTCACGTGACTATTTACATTTAAACTTGTCCTGCCATTAAGCTGGCTGCATTTCAGGTGATCCATGGCGCATGTGGCTAGTGACAACTGTACAGAAGAGCACAGACCCAAAAAATTTCTGTCATCACAGAAATTACTCCTGGAGAGCACTGTGATGAGGAGGAAACCCGTTTCTAAATAAGAGACTGGCTCAGGGGCACAAGACTGGCTTCCTTCCCGGGGGATATTCTTCATTCTAATCCTAGTTTGATAAATCATGATCTCTAAAGCCAGTCCCATAAGCAAATACTCAAATTTTTGGCAGAATTTAAGGCATCCCAAAGGCCTGTTTACAAATACCATCCCCCATCCCGCCCGTGTTGCCCACTCTCTGTCTCCCTCACCTCCCCCTCATTTCTCTCCTACCTCCGCCAGTCACGTACAGGTAGTGCCAGGGCCACAACCAGTATCCCTGATATACCAGCTCAGAAAAGAGGCAGCTGGAGAGGACAGAACATAGCATTTTCCCTCCATTCAAATGTGCCATTGCTTACAGGGCACAATATCCTTTGTTTGTGTGTTTCTTGTTGTTTTGTTTAATGAAATATTACTGTGAAATATTACTTTTAATGAAATTTTACTGTGAAATATTACTTTTCAGTAGTAATATTACTTTTCGGAGGCCCCTGTGTGGGTTGGTGAAAAAAGGAAAGTTGGCTGTCACACGGGTGATGAGCATAAACAGCTCTTTGTGCCTTTTGAGTTGGATTTGAAAAGAAATATATTAATTTTCCCATCTTCCATGGCTCTTAAACAGAGACTTCAGAGAGAGTTTTTGGTAGTATATTTAGGCAACAACTTCTGGTTTCAGTGACGAGGCAAACACCATATTCTGCCCCTCCTAAGCCTAGCGAGTCTCCCGGGTGAGCTGAGTGTTGCCTAGTCCCTGCTGCTCCCACCACCTTATGCTGCTCAACTGAGTTGAGGAAGCAGAAGCTTCACTCTGCAGCTTCACCTCAACATTCCTTTTGGTCGCTGTGGCCTACAACTTCCCCGTGTCTTTGTTTCTGTCCCATGAAGGGAAAGAAAGTGGCTTACAGGGTACAGTTCTGGAGGCAGGACAGTCCAAGGTCAAGGGGATGCGTCTGGTGAGAGCCTTCTTGCTGTGGGGACTCTCTGAAGAGTCCCAAGGCTGTGCAGGGCATCACATGGGGAAGAGGCTAAATCTCTCTTTTCTGGTTTTAACTTTCTATTTTGAGATAATTTTAGATGCAAAGATGAGTTGCCAAAATAGTACAAAGTGTTTCTGTATACTCCTCATACAGCTTCCCCTTTGTTAACCCTTAAGTAACCATAATATAATTATAAAATGAAGAAACTCGTATGATTCTGTTAGTCAAATTGCAGACTTTTATTTGGATTTCACCAGTTTTTTCACTAAGGTCCTTTTTCTGTTCCAGGACCGACTCCAATGTCCCACCTTGCATGTAGGTGTCATGTCTCCTGCTCCTTGCCCATCTGTGACAGTCACTCAGCTCAGTCTTTCCTTGTCTTTTGAAAAATGCTACTCAGGTATTGTGTAAAATGCTCCTCAGTTTGTCTGTGCCTGATGTTTTCTCATGACTCGACAGAGGTAATGCATTATTGGGGAGATATTACAGAGGGGATGTGGTCTTCTCAGTGTATCATATTTTGAGGTACCTGATGCCAATATGTCTTATGACTGTTGATGTTAACCTTGGTCCCTTGGTCAGGGTGGAGTCTGCCAGGTTTCTCCATAGTAACATTATTACTTTTCCCTTTGTAATAAAAAAGGAAGCAGGGAGCAAATGAGATAATTTGAGGCTATGTAAATGTCCTGTTTCTTTTCAAACTTTCTCTCACTAATTTTATCATCCCTCAGTACTAAAATTGCCTGCAGCAATATGAATATCTGAGTTGTTCTACACTATTGGTTTAATAACAAGCATGGGGCATTAAGAAAAAAAGCACTATGTTTTATATATATATATATGTATATATACACACACATAAATATTTGTGTATATACACACACATATATATACACACACACATATATATATACACACACACATATATATATATTTTTTTTTCTTTTTTTTTTTTTTTTGAGACAGAGTCTCACTCTGTTGCCCAGGCTGGAATGCAGTAGTGCAAACTTGGCTCACTGCAACTTCTGCCTCCCTAGCTCAAGAGATCCTCCTGCTTCAGCCTCCCAAGTAGCTGGGACTACAGGCACACGCCACCACCCTCAGCTAATTTTTGTAATTTTAGTAGAGATGGGGTTTTGCCATGCAGGCCAGGCTGGTCTCGAACTCCTGACCTCAGGTGATCTATCCACTTCAGCCTTCCAAAGTGCTGGGATTACAGGCATGAGCCACCGCGCCCAGCCAAAAGCACTATATTAAATATATTTATCAATTATAAGGCCCACCTTGATTTCAGAAATATTGAAATATGAAAAAAGGAGAGGCATTTCTGAATGGTTGCAATTCAGCCAGTTTGCTGATGCTGAAAGTCTCTGAGGCTTTCAGCAGTGGGAGTAGTTCCCACGCCTTCTCAGGCCCCTGAGTCTACACTGCATTCTGACATAACCCTTTTATGGAAGCAACTGGGTACAGTGGATAAAACAGGATGATAGTTCTCCATAGGTGTCTTTTGAAACACCCATTTCAAGAAATGAGAACTCACGACCAAGGAACACGCAAATTCTAAGAGTTTGTGTCATCTCCAGCTTGTAGAGATTCTCAATGCACATTAAACAGTCTTACATTCCCTGAGGCATCTGGCAGTAAAAAAGCATGTTCAACTTTCTTTAACTTAGAGTCCAAACCTGGTTCTTGGCAGGACCCCTTTTTTCATGTGCAAACACTGGCCAGCAGGGACTGTGTGCCAGCAACGTGTTTGGGGAGTCCCAGAGGAGTGTGCGGGTCTGGAGTCAGATATCAGGAGTCTGGCTCCTGCTCAGCTCTTAGTCATGAAACCGTGCTCCCCCTCAGCTCCCCTTCTTTGCTTCCCTTCCAAGACTCACTGATGTTTGGGTCCTGCTGCTAGTAGTCCACTGACATGCTCAAAAAAGGAGCTGAGTGCCCCATTGTAACCCCCGATTCTCGTAACTCCTTTTCCTTCCCTCTCCTCTCTTTTATTTATAAAGATGTGTTCTCTCCTGCTTTTCCTCTACCTCTCCACCCACTTCTCCAGTCCTTTCCTATTTAAAAATTTAGTGTTGCTGGTCCTAGGAGTCCACAGTTCTGTCCACTATCCCTAGCCAACCTGGTTGGCTCTCAGGCCAGCAACCACCCTTCCTGTGCCTATGAATCCCAAATCTGCATATCCAGGCTAGACCCACTCTCTTGGTCTGTAGATCCAACTTTCCAACCCAAATACCTTTCAAAACAGACCTTATGGTAATGAGGAGAATCTGGGTTTGGTTATCATGCCTAGTTGGGGCAGACAGCAGGAATGCCTCAAATGCCCCAAACTCCGAAAGTCCATAACCAAACAGTATGTTTTCTTCCTGCACCTGTCACTTCCTCCTGTATTTCAACCTCAGTCAATGGCTTTCCAGCTCAGACATTCAAGCCAGAAACATTAGGGTTATCTTTAATTCTTCCCTTTCCTTTGTACTTCATATTCATTTTATCGCCAATATTAATAAATTGTGCTTCCAGAATATTCTCGGGCCAATCCCATCCATCGTCGTGACCTTCATGTTTCTTCTGACCCTTGTAATCTCTCGCCATTGGCAATAACTCACTTAACTTTCCTCCTGATTATGGCCTCCTCCCACTTAAAACCATCTTCCAAAGTTCTCTTTCTAAAACAGAAGTTTTGTATTTTTTTCTTGCTTGCTTAAATGTCTTTACTGGTTCCCCTTAGAAGATAGATATCCAGCCTAGTTTTCAAGATCTTGAAATCTATTCTCTACGTCCCTTTTTAGCTAGGTTGTCCTATTAACTTCGGACTATTTGATATTCCCTGACTATGCCATCAAGTTTAATAAATACTTACACTCTAGAATTCTCTCTTTACGTGTCCCTCATTCTACTCGTCACTTTTTCTTTAATAGGCCCTTATTTAGCCTTCAAGACCCAATGCAAATATCATTCCTTCTACTAAGTCTTCCTCAGTTATCCAAGTTGAAATGAATGATCTTCTCCTCTGCGCTCTCAGGGCCTCATACTTATTTAGATGAGTTTCTCACACAAGACTCTAAGCTGTATAATCTTAGGGACTTTATTTTATTCATCTATCTATTCCCAAGGCAATAGCTACTCAATGAGAATTTTTTGAATTGTTGATGTATCCCGTGACATGGTGTAGTATATATGAATCAAAGTTTTGGACAATCCCCTTCCTAGTTTTAGGGAATTCCCACCTCACAAGTTTTTTGAAAAGCAGAGCCCAGTTCCCATTATCAGAGCTGAAAGTGCCAGGTTTCCTTGGCCTCCCTGATTGCTAGGGCAAAGCCATGACTCAGCTCCACCACGAAATTCTCGTGCCCTGCCCTAGGAGTCAGAGTGTGGCACAAGGGGGTGGCACCATAAGAAGTTCTCCCTGGTGCAGTAATGGTTGTAGCAAGTCAAGATCCCAGGATAACAGATCCCATAGTGCTGGTTCTTGTGTCTCATGAACAAGGTGTCAGATGTGGGAGACAAGAGCCATAATCTTCACTGGATACGTTCTGTGATCTGATTTGGGGGAATTATTCCTTGTTCTCTCACCCTTCTAGAAATTCTCTGAGATGTGTGGTACCTTGTTTAATGAGTTTCTTTTCTGTTTAAATGGACCACAGTAAGTTTCTGCTGCTTACAACTAAAAATGCCCACAGATGGGGAAATTGGAACCAGGAGTGGTTATCAGAAACAGACCTTATGGTAATGAGGAGAATCTGGGTTTTGTTATCATGCCTAGTTGGGGCAGACAGCAGGAAAAAAATGCTGGATGTGACTCTGTCAGGTCTTATGGCTTGGTGGCAAAACGGTTCATCATGACCTGTCATCCTTCAAAAAATTCCCGTTCCCTCACAGCAGGCTTCAGCGGGAACATGGGTCCCTGCCAACAGTGCTATGAAGGTTATGAGGAATTAAAGATCTAAGGGTGGGGTGGTTGTCTCTACAGAGGGGGTCAACTTAAAAAAAAAAGCTCAAGTATCTAAATTCTTGACTCAAAGCATCATCTTTAAACTTGGAATTTTTATAGGAAACTCTTATTTCTTGCAGCCATGGATATGAGGAGGTCAAAAACTAAACTCAAAGTTGGATACTGTATGCTTATGGATTCACAGCTTTCCTAGGTCTCTTATGCAAAATGTAGCACATTGATTAGGAATGAGTAAAAGCCTGCGATTGAAATGGGGACTTGCAGGGATCCAGTGGACTCAGAGTGCGAAGATCCCCTGGCTCCCCCTGAGTTCTCCATGCAGACAAGGAAAGTCCATCCTGTCTTTTGCAACAAAGCTATTGCTATCTTCTGGAAGAACCTCCCCAACTACTTCATCTGGGCAAAAATTATCCTTACGACCCACATCTACAACTTTCTTAGACATCTAATTAGCTTTTTAAGTAGAGTCAGGTCCCAGAATGTTCTGGAAGGCCAAGTAGAATACCAAATCTTAGCCCCCAAAAAATTGTACACCAAAGAAGTAATTTAGTTTAACACAAATCTGGCAAACACATATGAAGATGTACTGTGAAGAGCCACATCAAAGTGGGAAGTATACACCTGTAGATTGAACTGAATTTCACAGGTATAGGTATATTTTCCAGAGAGTCTGGATTCTTTGAGCTAGCCCAGACAGTTGGGAACAAATTCGGTTGTTTACTTGTTTAGTCAGCAGAAACCTGTACTCAATGATAGTCCCTGCTGAATGAGATTGAGATGCCAGGCATTAGTTGATAAAATATAGTTGAAAGATTCCAAAGACGTGGGGGTTGGAGAGCGAGAAAGGATGGGAGCAGATTTATCATGAGCAAGTAAGTGAAACACATTCCCTCAAACCTTACTTACTGCATCTCCAAAGAGGGTCCCAAGAAAACACTCCCTTCACCAAAGCATTGAGAGATGCATGGATCAGGTGAAGGCTAATGCTTTTTATAGCATCATGGTTCCCATTTTCTACAGGATAGATTGCTGATGCTCTTAGCAAGCACCACCTCCTGGAGACCCAGAACACCACTGTGGTCCTCTCATCAAAGAGGGAGCTTTTCGGGAGTGAGGTAAGAAATAGAGTTTCAACCAAAGTCCTCTCCCAGGAGATTCAGTGGAATCCTGAATCCTGAACCCTGAACCCCCACTGACGGCACGTGTCATCTCAATAATCAGTCCAGTCCTCATTTTAGCTCTCCCTTAGAGGTGGAGTAAAGGCTACAATGGTGGAAGAAATGAATGGAAGTCCTTGACACATGCTCTCCCTAGCAAATAGTAAGTAAAAAACTATGTTCTACCCTTGGGGGAACTGCAGAAATGGTTCTTTTTTTTTTTTTTTTTTTGAGACACAGTCTCGCTCTGTTGCCCAGGCTGGAGTGCAGTGGCACGATCTCGGCTCACTGCAACCTCTGCCTCCTGGGTTCAAGCAATTCTCCTGCCTCAGCCTCCTGAGTAGCTGGGATTATAGGCACCCACCACCACGCCCAGCTAATTTTTTTTTTTTTTTGTATTTTTAGTAGAGACAGGGTTTCACCATGTTGGTCAAGCTGGTCTCGAACCCCTGACCTGGTGATCCACCTGCCTCGGCTTCTCAAAATGCTGGGATTACAGGCATGAGCCACCGCACGTGGCCCAGAGATAAATTCTTTTGCCAAAGACTTGAAAGACAGAGGGGCTATACCATACATAAATCAGCCAGAGCCAGTTTCTGTTGCTTCTGACTAAGGATGTTCATTGATAAAGGAACTGGAAACAGAAGTAGTTATAAGCAACAGAGCTCAGGGTGATGCAGAGGATAAAAGCACTCTGGAGAAGGAATGGCAGTGGATTATCATAAGGCTAATAAAATGGTTGTTCTAATTGCCACCACTGTTCCAGATGTGGTCTCTCTCTACTGAAATAAACCAACTCAGCCCCTGGTATTTTCCATGCAAGTACTGATCTCAAAAATGCTTTTTTCCCATCCTAATAAATACAAAACATCAGAAGATTGTTTCTGGCAGGCTGGGCACCAGAACCTTTTCATCCTCTTGCTTTAGGGCTCTGTGCTAAAGGAAAATTGATCATTTTGCTTTCCCAAAAGACATCACATTGGTCTACCACATTGATAACATCAGTATGATAGGACTCAGAGAGCAGAAAATAGCAGGTGCCATGGATTTCTTGGTAAGATAGCATAAGCCAGAGGTATCCCATGAAAATAAAATGAAGGACACATCAGTAAACTTTCTGGGAGATCCATGGGGGTACTGAAGGCATATCTTCTCAAAAGTAAAGAACTAATTGTTTCATCTTGCAGCCCCTAATAAAGAAGTACGACACTTTGTGAACCTCTTTGGAGTTTGGAGGCAACATATGCCACATTTCGCTGTGCTTTCTCCCCCAAGTACCAGGTAATTGAAAGGTTACTAGCTTTAAGAAGGGCCCCACCAGTCTCCAACTGGACAAGTCTGTGGCAGAAAGAGCTCTTCCATTTGAGCCTTAAGATTGGATCCAAGGGTGTTCAAAGTGCAAGTAGCAAGTGAGGCAACTATATGAAGCCTCTGCCAGGGTTTCAGAAGTAAAGCCCCAACCTCTTGGCAAGAATTATTTTTCTATTGAGAAAAGATTGCTACTGGACCCTGATGGATGTTGCATATTTAATCATAGAATACCAGGTGAACCTGAGCTCTGCCTTATGAAGTAGGTTTTATCTCATCCTCCCAGCCAGAAATTCAGGCATTCCCCAAAGCACCATCACTCAGGCTGTGCAGATCCTGAAGGCATAAGAAAATTGTATGGGCAGATGGCTCGCACACCCAGGTACATTGCCTTCTATGTTATGACCCTTCCCTCAACCTACACCTGAGCCTCGTGGGGAATCCTCCTGATCAGATGACTGAAAATGGAAAAAAAAAAATCTGTGTGTATATGACTTTGCACAATGTGTAGGTGTTTGCTGGGAGAGACTGCTGAAGAGTGACACTGACTCTTGAAAAATAGTAAAGAAAGGCAATCATCCCAGCATAAATAATTGGTTCTTCTCATTCTTTATTTTACCAAGAAGGAGATAGGAGCTTAAGTCAGGCTGTGTGGACAGTGATTAATTGTTTGGCCACCTAGTAAAAAATTAGTAAAGAGCAAGATTAAGAGTTGGTGACCAGATCAGGGAAAGAATATAGACTGACCTCTGAGAACAGGCACCAAGAATGCCATGATAACGCTCACCAAAATTCTTCCCAGTGAAGGAGGCGCTCTTTAATAAGGTGGACATGACCGTCCTCTCGGGATATCAGTCAGCCACTATCCTCAGAAACCCAGTGCCACCGAATAGGTACATGAAGTGAGAGGCCGTGGAGGGAGGAAGCTATGCATGGGCTCAGAGACAAGCACGGGCCCTCACCTGGCTGCATATCCTCCTCACCTGGCTGCGTATCCCACTTGCCTACTTCAGTGATGAACCCTGAGTGTCAATGTGGCACCATATTCAGGAGCAGCAGCTTGCCTTCTGGTAGCCTGTTGATTACACTGAATCTTTTCCATAACTGTAGAGGTAGCAATTTGTTTTCACTGGAATGAACACTTATTATGAACCTGGATTGCATTGGCATTCCTTCCTAACAAGCTTCTTCCTTCATGACACACATGGCCTTCATGAATGCCTTATCAATCATGATGGTATCTCATACCCACATAGAATTCCTTCTCACTAAAGCATTTTTTTTTTTTTTTTTTTTTTTTTTTTGGAGATGGAGTCTCACTCTGTCACCCAGGCTGGAGTGCAGTGGCGCGATCTTGGCTCACTGCAACCTCTGCCTCCTGGGTTCAAGTGATTCTCCTGCCTCAGCCTCCCAAGTAACTGGGACTACAGGTGCGTGCCACCATGCCTGTCTAATTGTTTGTATTTTTAGTAGAGATGGGGTTTCACCATGTTAGTCAGGCTGGTCTTGAACTCCTGACCTCAGGTGATTAGCCCGCCTCTGCCTCCCAAAGTGCTGGGATTACAGGCGTGAGCCACCGCGCCTGGCCTAAAGTATTTATTTTTGAGTGAAGGAAGACAGGCAATGGGCTGAAGTCTATGGGAGTCTCCAAGCTTGCCTTGTAGCCCACATCTCAGAAGCAGCTGCCCTTGTAGAACAGCAGCATAACCAAATGAAGACTCAGTTCTAGAAACAGCAAATGTAGGGGGAAATCCTTGCTCTTAAACTAAATGATATTGCCAGTGAATCATCATTTTTGACCTGAAAAAATGGTGAGTTCACGCCACTCGATGTAATGGTTTGGGACATACAGAGAGTGGGAATCAGCGATCCACATGCAGTGGATCCTTCCTGTGAATAGGGATGGTTGGAGGAATAGTAAAGCCTCACAACCACTTGCAGCTATTTTGTTTTCTGACCCCAGAGCTCTGGGCTTTGTTAGAGGTCTTAATAAATAAGGGAAGAATGCTTCCAGCAGGCGAGGCAGCAATGGTTCCATTGTAAATTTGAAGCTGAGACTCACACCTGGGCATTTCAAAGTCCTCTTGCCACTGGATTGAAAAAAGGAAGTGTAGGCCGAGGCAGGTGGATCACCTGAGGCCAGGAGTTGGAGACCAGCCTAGCCAACATGGTGAAAACTCATCTCTACTAAAAATACAAAAATTAGACAGGCATGGTGGTGTGTACCTGTAGACCCAGGTACTCGGGAGGCTGAAGCAGGAGAATAGCTTGATCCCAGGAGGCAGATGCTGCAGTGAGCCGAGATAACGCCGCTGCCCTCCAGGCTGGGTGACAGAGTGAGACTCTGTCTCAAAAAAAAAAAAAAAAGGAAAGAAAGAAAGAAAAAGAAAAAAGAAAGTGTGTGGTGTGTGGGGGATGGTATGGGTTTTGACTGAAGTAATCCGTCTGCTAAGAAAGAGGAAATGGAGTTCTGCTCTGCAGTGGACAATAGGAGCATAGATGGGGTGCCTCAGAGAACCGCAAGGTTCTTGCAACCTGGAGTTGGTGAGCTTGCTAGGTTTCCTCTTCCTGCATAAATGAACCAACTCTCTTTCTGTGTAAGTGAACCAGAGTTGGTTGCCATAACTTGTATCTAAGAACTCTGCCACACTGGGCTATGCCGAGTCCATAGCTGTAAAATGGAGGTAAGAAAATTGCCCATGGATAGGCTAATGGTTAAGGACACGGATTTATGTATCAGAGAGTTCTTGATTTGAATCCTTTCTCTGCCACTGGCTAGTGGCATCATAGGGAAGTTATTTGACATTTTGAAGCCCGTTTTCTCATCTATAAAATAGGAATGACAATAACATCCATATCATAGGCTTTTGCAGGGATTAAATGAGATAATCCATGTAAAATGCATATAGCAAGGATTAATAGTGTTAGCTATTATAATCTATGTTTTTTTTGAATTGATATGAGTCTTAAGAGAAAAGTACCCAATATAGTGTTACTTATTATCTAGGCTGTATCTGCCCCTTTCATTTCCTTCCACACCATCCTTGTTCTTGATGATTAACTACATTTCAACCTTGTGACAGTGGGGGGAAGGGCATTTTGTGTGCTGGTGGAAGAACTGGGGTGAGAGAAAGCATACCCAAGTGTTAGTACCTGCTTCTCACCAGCTGGGTGGACTGAAAAGAGTTGGTTCTTCCTCATAACTTGAATGGGTTGGATTCCTCCAGCTTTTTTCCAGCTCCAGCATGTGAATGCATAAGGGGAAGGCTGCGCTTCTGCTGGACCATCACATCTCTGCAGTATGTCCTGTGATGGGGAAGTTGATAGGTGACAGATAAAATAAAAAATTATTCAGATCCCAATTTTCCGAAGCACCAGACCCAATGACGTTTTCTTTTTTTTTTTTAATAGATCATGTATTTTTTTTTCTTATACTTTAAGTTTTAGGGTACATGTGCACAATGTGCAGGTTAGTTACATATGTATACATGTGCCATGCTGGTGTGCTGCACCCATTAACTCGTCATTTAGCATTAGGTATATCTCCTAATGCTATCCCTCCCCCCTCCCCCCACCCCACATCAGTCCCCAGAGTGTGAGGTTCCCCTTCCTGTGTCCATGTGATCTCATTGTTCAATTCCCACCTATGAGTGAGAACATGCGGTGTTTGGTTTTTTGTCCTTGCGATAGTTTACTGAGAATGATGATTTCCAATTTCATCCATGTCCCTACAAAGGACATGAACTCATCATTTTTTATGGCTGCATAGTATTCCATGGTGTATATGTGCCACATTTTCTTAATCCAGTCTATCATTGTTGGACATTTGGGTTGGTTCCAAGTCTTTGCTATTGTGAATAGTGCTGCAATAAACATACGTGTGCATGTGTCTTTATAGCAGCATGACTTATAGTCCTTTGGGTATATACCCAGTAATGGGATGGCTGACCAGACCCAATGACATTTTCCCCCAGATATTTCAGTCAAAAGGATCAGACCTTTCTGAGTTAAGACCTTAATGAGTTAAGACATAACAAATACTTAGAACAACTTTAGGGTAACTATATAAGTATAAACCATGATACTACACACTTCCTAGATGGGTAAAGCTTAAAAAAATGTTCCCGGCCGGGCATGGTGGCTCAAGCCTGTAATCCCAGCACTTTGGGAGGCCGAGGTGGGCGGATCACGAGGTCAGGAGATCAAGACCATCCTGGCTAACACGGTGAAACCCCGTCTCTACTAAAAATACAAAAAAATTAGCCAGGCGTGGCAGCGTGCGCCTATAGTCCCAGCTGCTGGGGAGGCTGAGGCAGGAGAATGGTGTGAACCCGGGAGGCAGAGCTTGCAGTAAGCCAACATCGCGCCACTGCACTCCAGCCTGGGTGACAGAGCAAGCAAGACTCCATCTCAAAAAAAAAAAAAAAAAAAAAAGTTCCAAGTTATTATTTGCTTCCTTTAAAAAACAGGATGTGTAACTGACTTGGAAAAAATGACCCAACCTTTATAGAATAGGCTAGATCTGAGTAATTTACTGAGTAAACAAATAACTTGAGAAAGGAAAAGATCTAGTAATCCTCAGAATGTTGAATGAGGGATAATTACTTGGGATATGATGTCATTACTTTACACATTTTATCTTTAATTCTGATTAAGGTTTTCTGAATTTTATTCCCCTAACTAAATTTATTCTTCTAACTAAGTATATTTTAAAGTGTTGACTAAACAAAGCATTCTAAAGAGAAAGGCCCAGCAGGGAGTATATATATTTAATAATTCACAGTGACTATATCCTTGTAAATTACAACTCTCCTGTTCTTGTCTTTCTCACAGGTATGCTGAAATGACAAAAAGAGAGTGATCATTAAGTACCTTTCAAATGTTATTATACTTAACAAGAAAAGTAGCGATGTCTTGAATGAGAGGCTCTTAATTTAGGTAATGAAGCTTTCACAGGATTATGGGAAAAATATTTTCTAAAGCAATATAACTGGCATGGTTTCAGAAAATATGATCATCTACTTAGAGAAAAGGATCAACAACACACCATTAGAACTAATCAAGAGTTTAGAAAGTTTGTCAGTGTGATCAACCTACTAAAATGAATAACAGTTTTTATGCCAGAAAATACCCAACAAGAAATTTTAAAATAAGATCCTTCATTCATAATGGTACCAAAATCTACGAACTGGTCAGGAATCCTGAATTCATCTGTGGAGAAAACTAAATTTGATTAAAAACATAAAAGATGATCTGAAAAAAAATGGGGAGCTATTCCATGCCCTTAGATGGCTAACTTGTTACTGTAAGGATGTAAATGTTTTTAAATTAATCCATGATTTCAATGCCATCATAATCATGACTATGAAGTAAATTTTTGAGGAACTCAAATTTTATTACCATGTATAGGGAAGAATAAAACACCTAAATCCATCTTGAAAATAGTAGAGTGGATCTTTCACACTATAAAAAAAAGCATAGCATAAAGCCATAGTAATAAAAAAGGTGTGATATTGATGCAAGAACAAAGAAGCTAATAGAATATTACACACACACACACACGAACTTAATATGTAATAATAGTAGCACTACAAACCAATAAGGGACAGAATTTTTAGTAGCTGATAATGGGAAAATTGTCTCACTATGGAGAAAAGTAAGATCGCATGTTGACATAACACAGATGAAGGTGACACCAGATAGATGAAAACCTAAACGTGAAAGGTAAAACTATAAAGTCAAGAAAACCTAGGATAACACTTTTCTGATAGAGGGCCAGAGACTGACTTTCTAAATAAAACCAACTTGGAAAACAGTAACACCAGTAGAAAAATGGGCAAAAGGGCTGAACAGGCAGTTTATAAAGATGAAATCAAAAGGTTAACAAACATGAAGAGATATACAAAACTCACTGGTAATTAGAGAAATGCAAAACACAACCATAGGCAACAATTAAGAAGATAAGTGATAGGAAATGTTGGTGAGAAAGCGGAGACAGAAAAGTTCATATGCGGTTGGTGAGGTAGATTGACCAGCACAGCCTTTCTGGAGAGCAACCAGCCATTTCCCAGCTGTAATCACCACAGGAGCGCATCAGTGATCCTTCAGTGCAATTTCATTTCTGGGCACAAATCCTAAGAAAGTTTGCACTTGGCTGGGCGCAGTGGCTCATGCCTGTAATCCCAGCACTTTGGGAGGCCAAGGTGAGCGGATCATGTAGGTCAGGAGTTTGAGACAAGCTTGGCCAACCTGGTGAAGCCCCATCTCTACTAAAAATACAAAAATTAGCCAGGCATTGTCATGGGCGCCTGTAATCCCAGCTCCTTGGGAGGCTGAGGCTGGAGAATTGTTAGAACCTGGGAGGCAGAGGTTGCAGTGAGCTGAGGTTATACCATTGCACTCCAGCCTAGGAAACAGCGAGGAGACTCCATCTCAAAAAAAAAAAAAAAAAAAAAAAAAGAAAGTTTGCACACAAGTTCATAAAAAGATATGAAATGCAAATGCTCTTTGCAACATTCTTTGTAGTGGTAAGGAGTTGGGGACAACACTTTATGATGCCTGCCACAGGGAAAGTGGCCCTAAAATGTGGACACAGGCACTGTGCAGTAGGCTAAACAAGGGTCCCCAGAGATGCCCTTCCCTAACCCCTAGAACCTGTGAATGTTACTTTATATGGCAAAAGCTACTTTGCAGATGTGATAAAATTAAGAATCTTGAGATGGGGAGATTATCCTGGGTCACCCAGGTGGCCTGATGTAATGACGCCAGTCTACAAGAAGTTCTCAGAAGTCGGAGGAGAAGGCAGGGTGATGATGGAAGCAGAGATTGGAGCAACAGGCTTTGCAGATGGAGGAAGGGGTGACAGCCAAAGAATACAAGGGGCCACTAGAAATGGAAAAAGGCAAGGAAGAAGATTCTCCTCTTAGCACTTTCAGAAGGAACCAGTCTTGACGATACCTTGACTATAGCCTAGTAAAATAAATTTCAGACTTCTAACCTCCAGAACTGTAGGATAACACATTTGCGTTGTTTTTAGCCATTAAGTTTGTGATAATTTGTCATAGTAGCAATAGTAAACTAAGACATGCTGAGTTCATGCAAGAGTTAGAAGAAATGTAGTATATACACATAGAAACACAAATTAATCTTAAAAATGTCAATGTTACAAGAAAAAAGTTTTTTAAAAATCAGATGTGTGAGTTGGAAAACTCAGTATTTTTAAGATGTCATTCTGCCCAAATTCATACATAGATTCAACATAATCTCAAGCAAATTCTCAGGAAGCTTTTTTGCAGAAATTGACAAGTTGATTTTAACATTTATATGGAAATACAGAGGAATTGGAATAGCTAAAATAACTTTGAAAAAGAAGAATAAAGTTGGAGGACTTATATAACTTGACTTCAAGACTTGTTCTAAAGCTACAGTAATCAAGATAGTGTGGTATTTGGCATCAACATAGATTAATAGATCAAGGGAATGGACTCTAAAGTCCAGATGCAACACCAAAAATATGATTCATAGAAGAACAAATTGATAAAATGTGCTTTATCAAAACTCAAAACTTCTGCTTTTCAAAAGACTTTAAAGGAAGTGAAAATAAGTCACATAGTTGGAGAAAATACCTGCATATTAAAGTGTATATATGGTAAAGCACTTGTATCCAGATTATAAAAATAACTCCCAAAATTTGATAATAAGAAAACAAGCACTCTGCCCTACAAATTGGCAAAAGGTTTTGAATAGACACGTCACCAAGAAGACAGATGAATGGCAAATAAACACATGAAAAGATACTCAACTTCATTAATCATTAGAGAAATAGAAATTAGAACCATTATAAGATGCCATGGGCCAGGTGCAGTTGCTCATGCCTGTAATCCCAGTGCTTTGGGAGGCTCAGGCAGGAAGACTGCTTGAGCTCAGGAGTTTAAGACCAGCCTAGGCAACAAGGTGAGCTCCTACCTCTAAAAAAAAAAAAAAGAAAGAAAGAAAAAGAAAAAGAAGAAAGCAGGGAAGGGAAGGGGAAGGGGAAGCGGAAGGGAAGGTTAGCCAAGCTACAGGTAGCATGCACCTGTAGTCCAAGGTACTGGGAAGGCTGAGGCAGGAGGATTGCTTGAGCCCAGGAGGTTGAGGATGCAGTGAGCTGTGTTCGTGCCACTGCACTCCAGCCTGGGTGACAGAGCAAGACTCTGCCTCAAAAAAAAAAAAAAAAAAAAAAAAAAGAAAAGAAAGAAAAAAAGCCACTATGTGCTTTTTAGAATGTCTAAAATTAAAAGAACTGCCTATACCAAGTGCTGACAAGTATGTGGAGAAACTAAAACACAAACACTTCTGATAGGAAAGTATAAGGCAACAACCACTTTGGCAGAAAAGTTTGACAATTTCTTAAAAAGTTAAACATAGGCCGGGCACAGTGGCTTACGCCTGTAATCCCAGCACTTTGAGAGGCCAAAATGGGCAGATCACCTGAGGTCAGGAGTTCAAGACCAGCCTGGCCAGTGTGGTGAAACCCCACCTCTACAAAAATACAAAAATTAGCTGGACATGATGGCAGGTGCCTGTAATCCCAGCTGCTTGGGAGGCTGAGCAGGAGAATCTCTTGAGCCTGGGAGGCAGACGTTGCAGTGAGCCAAGATTGTGCCATTGCACTCCAGCCTGGGTGACAGAGTGAGACTCCATCTCAAAAAAAAAAAAAAAAAACGTTAAACATAAACCTACCATGTAATCCAGACATTCCACTGTCATATATTTATCTAAAAGAAACAAAAGTATATGTCTATTAAAATACTTGTACATGGCCATTCATGGTGGCCTTATTTATAATAGCCAGAAACCAGACATAACCCAAATGTCCATCCACAGGCGACTAGATAAATAAACGGGTATATTCGTACAATGGAATACTCCTCAGTCACAAAAAGAAGTGAACTATTGATGCATATAACATGAATGAATCTGAAGAACAATTATGCTTTGTGAAAGAAGTCAGATAAAAAGTATATACCATATAATTCCATTTATGTAAAATTCTTGAAAATACAAACTAACCCACTGAAAGCAGATTAGTGGTTGCCTGGGTATAAGAGGTTGGGGAGGGTAGAGGGTAACAGTAACAGAGAAACATGAGGAAACCTTAGTGGGAGACAGGTATGTTCGTTATCTTGATTGTTGTGATGCTTCACAGGTGTCAAAAGTTATCTAAACTGGTCAGTATAATGTATGCCAATTAGACTTCAATAGAGTGTTAAGATGAACTTGTACAAGTTTAAAAAATAGAACAAGATACGTAACAAGATACCATTTACATAATTAAATATATGTATACATACAAACACTACACATTTGAAAAAGTACTAGGAAAAATACATGCATACATATGTAATAAACACACTAGAAATCTGGCTTCTGGGTGGCTGGGTGGGTGGGTGCTGAGGAACTACATCTGGGGTAAAAAAGAAGAAAGAAAGGAAACAGGAGAGAGATGTCATGCATGTAGACCAATGATGAGTGAGGAGCACAATGAACTAACTCTGTATGAAAAAAAAAGTTTTCTCTTTATTACAAAAATAAGTTTCCTAGGTCAACAGAGACGCATTTTTGTCTCAACTTTAAAAGGGAACATTTCTGAGATTTTAATGAAACTGATGCAATAATTTTGTCTCCAAAGAAAGGCAGCTTCCATTTTAGTGCTTTTGGAGATAAGCTTGTGGCTTGTATGTACCACATCTCTGAAAATCCTGTTAGAAATTCTGCTAGTGGCAAAATGCTGCAATTCAGTAAGGGCATAATTAGCTCGATGTTTATAAAGCTCCATCATACCTTCTACGTAGGCCCATTGCACAGATGTTTAAGTACTGTCAAGCTGTGTTTTCATATGTACAGCTAATAATTCCTAGCTGTGGTTTCCCTTTAAATAAAGCCAACAGTAACCAGAAGATGCGCTTACCAGAGGTTTCCCTATGCAAAACATAATTTACTTTTAGTTTATTGCAGGAAAATGTAGGTGGGGGCAGTTAGAAAATAATTAAAAGTGTGTGCTTCCTTATAACATGCTATCTCTACTAACTGAACTTCTAACCTGACATAAATACATTGCATACTGTAACCTGTTTCTCCTGATCATTAACCTTGAGCATGGCAACCTATAAATCATGCCTGAAACAGCTGGCGCTCAGCATTGCCCCAAAGGTACATGATTACGATCGTTTTATATATATCTTGGTATGCAGACATGAAAAATTCATTGAAGAGGTTGGTATTGTAAGACTTATTGTAATGAATTTTCTCAAAAACATAGATCATGCTTAAAATAGGTGTCTGCTTATTATAATGCAGCCATTTATATCTTCTTGAATTACCTTGCCCATAGCTCAGCCATTTTCTTAAAGTCAAACATGATGATACCTAAATAGATTTACTGCAGTCACTTTGCACTGCTTAAAAGTAGAAGTTTGCCTTTTTTTCCCTTTTTTGTTAATACTTACAGAATCCAAGGGTACAGATTTTTTTTTAAGGGGGAATTATCTGGAAAGACATTCCCTAAAGTCATCCCTATTTACTGGGTTTGTCAACCATGAACACATAGGGTAGAAAAAAAACCCAAAATGTTATGCTTCTCACAACTCACCGAAATGTGGCCCTACTCCTTGCAAAGAATGGCTCTTCATATCAACACTTATTAGAATGATAAAATGTTAGAGCCAAAAGGGCCCCCAAGTGTCACTGAGACCCTCACTATGCAAATGGAGCAACCCCAGGGAACTGGTGACTTTCAATCAAGGTCGCACATCTGGAAAGGAGGAGGACCCAGATATGGCCCCCGTTCTCAGGTTTGTAATACTAATAGCTGGGAGAGTGTTTATTAGGTGCGGTTCAGGGCTCAGTGCCCGATGCATGTGAACTGGTGGAATCCTCACTGCAGGCTTCTGAAATGGGCTCTAGCCTCCCCGCCGCCATCCGCCTCGTCGTCATTATTGCGACCAGCCATCTGGGGAAACAGGTCCAGAGAAATGAAGTAGCTCGCCCGTGGCACACAACCTGCCATTGGCTGAGCAGGACTCAACCGGACTCCCATCAGCGCGAGCCCATCTGGTGGATCACAGCATAGCTCTGAGTGAGCGGCCGCATCACACGGAACTGCTTTCACTTCGCCTGGTGGTTTCTTTTTCATTTTCTGATGGGGTTGGCCAGGCTTGTAAACTGTTGCTGTATGAATTCATGAAAGACACAGTTTATTAGTTTGCTGGGGCTGCCATAACCAGGTACCACAGACTGCGTGGCTGAAACAACGGACATCTCTTTTCTCACCGTTCTGGAGGCTGGAAATCCAAGATCAAGGGGTCAGCAGGGTTGGCTTCTTGGGGGCCTCTCTCCTGGGCTTGTAGATGGTTGCCTTCTTCCCCTGCCCTCAGGAAGTCTTCCCTCCGTCTCTGCCTGTGTCCTTATCTTCTCTTCCTATAGACACCAGTCAGGTTGGAGCAGGACCCACCCGTACGAACTCATTTTCCCTTAATCCCCTCTTAAAGGCTCTGTCTCTAAATGCAGTCCCATCCTGAGGCGCTGGGGGCTCTGGTTCTAGCACGTTCATCTGGGGAGGACACAGTCCTGCTGGTCACACATGTGCCTTCTTCTGTTGGGAACCCTACTTATAAAAACACCAATTAGAAACAAACAGGCTCAGTCGCTGTACGTGTACGTTCATTCTTTACCTGATGGGAGCTGTTAAAACCAGCAGCACCTTACTTGCTGTGCCCTTTAAAACTGAGTTTGGGAAGGAAGAGGCGGTTTCCGGCAGAGGCGCTCCGTGCCCACCGTGCAGCCCCATCCATCTCCCACCTGTGCCCAGCGCGGCCGCAGTCCGCCCTTTCCATCCACCGCGGGACCCAGAGGCGTCACTCTGTGTGGGGCCCTGGGCTTCACGACTGAACAGCATAGCAGCAAATAATATTAATAAAATAAGAGGGCAGAAATTCAGACTCCCCAAAGGTGGGCACCTTATGCAGAAACCCTTTTTCCTTTCACCTTTGCTTCCTCCTGGGAAGGAGGAAACCTGAGGACAGCTCTCCAGGGCCCGTTGTGTTTTGTTTGATTTTTTGACTGAAGGGTGAGTAGCAACAAGAGCATGGTCCTGAGTGTGCTGGGGTGGAGGGTGTGGCAGCTATGGGCACTGTCTGCCATCTGGCAGGGGCGGGCACACTTTGGGCACCCAGGAACCTGTGTTAGCTTGGCAGGGATGCCGTTCAGGCCCTATGGCCAGCCTCCAGAAGCCAGACAGGGAGAAAGGACTCATTTATGTTTTCTGGCTTTGTGTGAGGGCCCAGGGGAGGGACCTCGAGGTAGATCAGATTGCCTGGAATTTCTATCAGCCTCTATGCTCATGAATGAGGAAAAGAATTCATTCCACTAAAAACAAACACACACTCACAAAGCACTGGACAGATACAATGGGGACAACACTCTCTGTGGTACTGTCACCACGCAGGGACAGCACGCACAATAGTTGACATTGTGAATGTGTTTATTTTGTACCAGTCTAAGTAGTTCTACAGGCATTATCTCATTCAGTCTTCAAAACTGGCCTGCATGGAAGGTGGTATTACCGTCCCCACTTGGTGCAGGAGAAAAAGGAGGCTGTCCCAACTGCTGGCTGTCACACAAGCGGGAGGAGAGTACCCTGGGCAGGAGGCATTTTGGGGGGAATGTTCCACTTGCTGTGATTTTTCCTCTTCAGGGACTGGTTTTTCATCAGTTTTCCATTTCTGAAGTGGCATTAAAAGTAATCCCCAATCACTCAAAGCTGCTTTTCTGGCTCTCTTATTACCCTCTCAGAGAGGAAGTCACAGGTGCTTTGAGGTCCAAACGAAATTTAGGGATCCTCTCTCTAGAAAAATACATGCACACATAACTATGCATCCAAATTCAAGGGACTTAGGGCCACCCACATCCCCTCCCACAAAGCCCATCCATGGCCCCAGGTTAAGAACCCTTGTTGTACAGCAGGATTTTTCAAAGTGCAGGCCACCAACCACTACTGCATCACTAAGTCAGTTTAGAGGGGAATGATCTCTTATTTATTTATTCTAATGAAATAGAATACAACAGAAAATATTAGAATGTATTGGAATAAGAGTATTGTGAAGCTTTAAAAACAATTTTCATCCAAATCTGGAAGTGTACAAGGCCCCAGGGCTACTTGTATTGCTCACTGGTGTTTGAGAACCGACTTTCTAGAAGCCTTACCTCCTCCCACCTACTCCAAGCTCAAGTCTGCACTGCTGTCTTCAGCCAAGAACTGCCTGTGTTTCAGGACAGGCAGAAGCCTCATTTCTATAGAACACTCCTTATAGGCCAAAACCACCCTGGCCATTTGCTCAGTGTTTTTAGGCTTCATTC
This sequence comes from Homo sapiens, assembly GCF_000001405.40. Lineage (NCBI taxonomy): Eukaryota > Metazoa > Chordata > Mammalia > Primates > Hominidae > Homo > Homo sapiens. The sequence goes on along the minus strand of NC_000008.11, from coordinate 60,874,908 downwards.
TCCTGTACCACTTCTTTAGAATTTGTCAAACGATGTGAAGTTTTTAAATGATCATTTGTTGAGTGCCAGTTCAGTGCCAGACGCTAAGAACTTTGCATATTCAGGATTTCTTTTCTTTTTTCACTTTTTCAAGACAGTCTTGCTCTATTGCTCAGGCTGGAGCGCAGTGGCACAATCTCAGCTCACTGCAACCTCCACCGCCCGGGTTCAAGCAATTCTTCCACCTTAGCCTCCCAAGTAGTTAGGATTACAAGTGCCCGCCACCATGCCTGGCTAATTTTTTGTATTTTTAGTAGAGACGGGGTTTCGCCATGTTGGCTAAGCTGGTCTCGAACTCCTGGCCTCAGGTGATCCATCTGGCTCAGCCTCCCAAAGTGTTAGGATTACAGGTGTGAACCACTGTGCCCGGCCATATTCAGGATTTCGAATCCTCACACAACACTAGAAGGAAGGCATTATCATTATTATGCTTCCAAATTTACAAATGAGGAAGGTGAGGCTCAGAGATGAACTTGCTCTACAGGGCTGCCACTGTGTGTGTGTGGCAGGAGTTACCTGGTTGCTGTCATTATGTGGTAGAGAAACCACACTATGTGATTTGGAGTCCAAAGACCTGCCTGCAAGATTCAACGAAACCACTTGCTAACCTTGCCTCACAGAACCTTAATTTCTTTAATCTCTAAAGTCACAACTGGCCTATTTCTAAGTTGTATCCATTGAGACAATGCATGGATAAATGCCCTGAAATCTGCAAAGCACGGGCAGATCTGTTGTTTATATTACCTACCTCAGCAACACTCTTAGGCACTGGAAGAACCCTGACTATATGCTTTTTCTCTCACCCCTACCCTCCAACACACCCTCCAATTGCCCATTAAATACTTCCCAATTGGTTGCTACTTAAGGACAAGAATGATGCCTATTATGCCCTTTGTTTAGCATAACCCCTGGCATGGCTTTCAAAAGAAAGTGTCCTTAATACACAAAAAGACTCCATAACATTTGTCCCTAAGAGAGCAGAGACTTAATGTGGAAAGGCCGAAAGCAAAACATGGCTGCATTTAGTCCATCAAGCAAGAATGTCCAGATCCAGAAGGAAATCACCTTGTGGACACCAGCAACAGGATGCCATCCTCAGGGCATTGCTGCCTCCGTTTTTAGGTCACCGTTGGTGGCACCTCTAAGAGAAGGGGAATATCATGATCATGCTGATGCAGGAGAGATGTGAGTCTTAGAGATTTAACTGAAGTTACTAAACTTTTTTCTTTTTTGCACTAATTCAGAAGCCTAGATGGTTTACATTTAAAGCAAAACAAGATTAGTTTAAAGCTGTTCCTGCTCTGGATAAAGTGATCAGGTGCAGGAAGCTAAAATTACAAGGAGCAAGGACAACCGATCAAATCCACATGTCCTCTCCCAGGGTCTCTGGGCTCAGTAGCTTCCTCCTTATTCAACATATTTAGCCACAACTGACAATCAAGTGGCTAGGATAATTTGTACCTATAACAGCTATTAAAACAGTAAGTTTGTCTAACCCTTCAAGTTGTTGTGGATTTCAGCATCTCCTTGAAGGCAGGGAGCACGTAATGCCCCATACATACAATCCATGAGAATAAATGTGCCAGATCAGCATGCACCTAAAATCTGCAGATGCGTGTCCAGTAGCAGGTATATCGTAGTACAAAATAAAATTGTAAACTATTTTGGGTAAGCTTTCTGACCAGAACAGACATGCTGGAAGCATGTCAGCTGGAGATGACATTTTGGCCATTTAGTCATTTGAGCTCCAAATACAAGAAACACCAAGTGATTCTCAAAGTTGCTTTTCTTCTTGCATATATTTTACAGCATGTTCTCCTAGGCCTATGCACCTTGGAAGGCCACTGTTGTTTTGCTCATTTGGCCTACCCCCAAACCACATAAGAAAGCAACATAAATACAAAAAGCTTTGGTTTCCCCGACATCGACATCATAAACAATATTCAGGTTTTTGTAGTAACTATCCTCAACAGCAAGATTTTAATGATCATAAACAATTGATACCTGCACAGTCCTCAGCAACAGATGGTTTTATGGTTGAAATGTAAAGGGACATTTTCTGCTTCAATTTTATCCCCCACTGCCACCACCACATATTCTGATGGTCAATGAAATTCTTTTCACAAAGTGGGCTAGGGGCTGGGGGCTGAGGTTCGAGCCAGCACTTTGTCGTTGAGTTGCCACGGCTGCGTTACTATCAGAACACACAGGTTCTGTACAAACTGGGACTGCCAAGAAAAGGTGTTTGGGGGGCAGTTTGTAACTTTACATTTTGGAGAGTAAAATTTCTTTTCATGGTTTTAAGTAACCCTTGGGGCAATTCTGAGTTAGTCCAGCTGCTCCTCAGAAGCTAGCCATGGCTGGAGGAGCAGAAACCGGGAGCTGAGAAAGAGGCCAGCCTCGTCTGGGGAAGAACAATGCCTCCGCAGTCAGACACAATGGCCGCCTCTCATTTTCCACCAACTCTTACAATAAAATGGAAAGGACCATGGAGCTGCCTTGCAGGGCCCCCTGAGCCTAGAGAGAGAACATTAGCTCTGCAGCTACAGATATGCAAATCCGCTATGAGAGCTACAATAGCCTAGGAAAGCCCTGTGGGTGGGGACAGATGAAGCAACACTGTTCTGCTGGGGCTATTTTCCATCCTTGTAGGAGCCATAGGTTCCAGACTTTGTCATCTCGATTTCTACAAGCTGGGGCTGGCTTTTAGGGCCATTCAGATACAAGGTAGAAGAAAGGGCAATATTCACTATCCAGAAATCCTAGTGAATATCCTCAGTAACATGCAGAAATATTTAGACTGTCAGTTGCATAGATCATATCATTAACTCAGCATGGATATAAAGCCTACTTGTTAATTGCTTTTTTTTTTTTTACTTGAACATCTTTCAGCCATTCTTCAATAATCACTTCTGTAATGCAGCATGAGATTCTGGAACTTTCTGATTTGCTCTTCAGATCACACCATCGGTTATTAAAATATCTTGTAGCTTGATCTATTTTAGGTTTTTGTTTAAGATCCTAGACCTGAATTAACATTGATGGTGGGTTTATCCTAAGACAGATGGCCCACAGCTAGCTATCACGTCCGCTGGAAAAGTCCAAATTCTAGTTCTGGCCACCACACTTGTGTACTACTTGGCCTTGGGCAAATGACCCTGCCTCACCTGGTAAAGGGCTGGTGGCAACAAGACTGGCCTAACTTACCAGGGTGTGGTGTGGATTAACTCACCAGTGCCTATTAACAAACACAAATGCTGAATTCTGAAATGTTGAGCTTCCCGACTCCTAGGGAAACATGGTGAAACATGTTAAACAGGATGAGTTTTCCAAACTGTCATGCGCACTCCCCAAAACTATTAACTTTACAGCCTGCTTAGGTTTCAGTCATCCAGCCTATATCCCAGTTGAAGTCTCTTGAACTGAGGCTGACAATTATGAGGTTTTGGATTGCAAACCATTGCAGTACCTGGCTCCTGTCACAGAAGAGAATCAGGTTTCTCTCATTTGTAATCTTGAAATCGAGCTTTCAGATCAAAATGCAGAGGCGGCGAGGGGACAATGGAGGAAGCCACCTGGAGTATAAAGTGATTCCTAAGCAGTATTTTGACCTAGTGCTACTATTTATTATATATTAGAAATCTATTAGGCTGCCCTTTAGCTACAACTCCAAATTTATCATGACATTTATCTGGGAGCCCAGGAAGGACCTCATGAGAAGGGAAGGCTCACAGCAGGATCCTACTGTGGAGAGGCACCAGCACACTTAAATAGCATGCCTGCCAACATGTGAAATGGGATTCTGCCATCTTTGTTCAAGTGAAGAAAATGTCAACCTGCTTAGGAGCTAAACAAATTTTAAGAGTAAATCATTCTGCCAGGCACGGTGGCTCATGCCTGTAATCCCAGCACTTTGGGAGGCCGAGGCAGGCAGATCACTTGAGGTCAGGAGTTCGAGACCAGTCTGGCCAACATGGTGAAATCCCATCTCTACTAAACATACAAAAATTAGCCGGGCATGGTGGCAGATGTCTATGGGCCCAGCTACTCAGGAAGCTGAAGCAGGAGAATCTTGAACCTGGAAGGCAAAGGTTGCAGTGAGCCGAGGTTGTGCCACTGCACTCCAGCCTGGGTGACAAAGTGAGACTCCATCTCAAAAAAAAAGAGTAAATCGTTCGGAAGGTAAAGATATTAGATGTCAAAATATTTCAAATTTTGTCACTAGCTTATTATTTAATTTCATTTAAATTACATAGTACACATTTGATTAAGGAGATCCAAATTAAAATTCAAATCTACATCTGTAGATCCAAAACAAGGTTTATAAACAAATAGACCTATTGGGAGGGTGGCGCTATGTTGCACTGCATAAAATAACTTAAATAGTCCAGAATACTTAGAAAACGATCATCCTAACCCTTACCAGAAAATCTTCAAATTAAGTGACTCCCCTACCAAAAATCTCAATAATGAAATGCTTAAGAGTCTTACATTAGGTAAAGTATTCCCGAAGGTAATTTATTCATCTATTTTGCCAAATATAGCTTATTTTACTATGTCTGTAAAACTGTGGTAAATCTTACCTGTGCTTAAGAAAATATAAAATTGCTCATTAGAGAGCCAAGTTGAATGAATAAGATGTATTCTTTTAAGTGCTTGTTAGTAGAAGTCATTTACATTGTTTTGCTTCCTAATTTAAATTTATTGATGGCCCTAGAGACACAGAGATGTTTGCTGTAACACACATTGCTTCAACAATGCTCACTCTCACCTCCTCTACCGGTCAGGATTAATGTCTAAAACTCTTCCCACAGACAATTAACAATTTTCATTGAACTAAAAAGAAAATTTTATAATGTACATGATGGAAAAATTTATTTTCCCAGTATCTTCTTCTAACACTAATCACAACATTCTTATTTAAAAAAATTAGCATGGTGAACATTCTTTATCTGTTAGTTTTTAGTAGTAGTCCTGAAGAATTAATACAAATTATTCACTGAAAAGTTCATTTAAATTGGAGGGTCTACCTCTTCAAAACATATCCCAAGTCCATCCATGGCTTTCCTTCTCCATTACTGCCCACTAAACTTGACCCAAGGTTGCTACAGCCATCTCCCAGCTAGAATTGCTGACTCCCCTTTACAAGGGAGTTTTTTGAACTGCAGACATAATGATCCTTTAAAAACATGAAAATGACCATTTTTCTGCATAAAACCTTCAGAAGACTTTCTACAGCACTCAGCATGAAACCCAAATCCTCCACCAGAGCCATCCAGGCCCTATGTAATCTGACCATGCCTCCCAACTTTTCAAGGCAGATGGCCTCTCCACTCCTTATTCCAAGCTCATTACCAGCTCAAGGTCTTTGCGTTTGTCATTCCTTTTGTCTGGACAATTCTCCAACTAGAATATAGTCTGCCTACTGCTTCTCATCACTCAGGTGTGAGCTGTCTCCTCCATAGAGAGCTTTTTCCTGGCCATCCTATCACCTTATTTAAGAGTCTTCCTTGCCCTGCAAACATTTTATTTGTATTCTATTATGCATCTCTTCGTACTAGGATGTAAGCTGCATGACAGCAGGGGACTAGTCTGTTTGCTTTCATTTCTATATTCCCAGCACAGCCTCTAGCACACAGCACCCAATGTTGCTGATGAATGTTAATTACACTAGCATAGTGGTTAGGAGCCTGGGCTTTGGAGTTACATCAATTGGGGTTCAAATACCAGGCTGGCAATTTACTCTCTCTGTAACTTATTTGGACAAATTCTTTTTAAAGACTTGATTTCTTTATAAAATAGAAATACTTGTGGGGCAAAATAAATCCAAATTTAAATGAGGTAGGTGGGATTCATTTCCTTAGCCAGAGCTAAGTCTCTAATTCAAGACTTTCTCTTAATTCCCAACCTCAAACTTAAGATGTTATGAAGGGGAATAAACAGCGAACTTTCAGTTATCCTTATGTCATAATTTTCTTTCAGAGACCTAAAAGCACAGTATTTTAGGAGCACATACACAGACTTCTGCAGTCAGACCACCTGAGTTCAAGTCCTGTTCCTGCACTTACTGCTGGGGATGATGCCAACTCCCGGGCCTCAGCCTCCTCAGGGAAGAACAGAACTTCCATCAGGGAGCAATGCCAGGAGAACCCTTGGCACCTCAGTGCTTCCTCCATGCTAGGCACACGATCATACCCATTAGTATCTGACTGAATTGAAAATACTTTACTCACGCCTGTAATCCCAGCATTTTGGGAGGCAGAGGCAGAGGCAGGTGGATCACAAGCATCAGGAGATCAAGACCATCCTGGCTAACACGATGAAACCCCGTCTCTACTAAAAATACAAAAAAAATTAGCTGGGCGTGGTGGCAGGCGCCTGTAGTCCCAGCTACTAAGGAAGCTGAGGCAGGAGAATGGCGTGAAAGTGGGAGGCGGGGCTTGCAGTGAGCTGAGATTGTGCCACTACACTCCAGCCTGGGAGACAGCGAGACTCCGTCTCAACAACAACAACAAAAAAAAAAAGAAAGAAAGAAAGAAAGAAAATAAAATACTTAGGTAGATTCAAGATCTACTACCAAGAATGAATTTCACTGGAAGAAAAAAAATGCATTTTTCAATATGAAAATGTGAATGACATTAAAGCCACGTCAACAGATGAGTACCGGATGATGCACATAACAAGCCAGTGAGCCCCAACAACTCAGGGGTCCTCTGGCCACGAGCAACTGATGGCTTTGCTTTGAAGATCATCATTGCTCTTAGAATTTTATCCTAACAGTGTCACATTATATTCTCTATTTACAGAGGCTCATAGGAAAATTTCCAATACTACAAAGAACTTTAAAAAAAACACCCTTTAATGACTCATTTTATTAAGCAAATTCTCCCTGCTAACATCTTTGTTACTTAAATACTTAAATTTCCTATACTTCATGCAGACCTAGTTTCACTTTCCCGTGTTCAAATAATTCCCTTTCAAAAAATATTCTCTTCAAGGCACTTTCCTCCAGTGTGCACGGCCCATTCACTTTCAGCAGACAACGACGATGATAAATAAAAGCAATCACAGGATCTGTAAGGTGGAGGGTTCAGGTTGTTTCTTTCCCAGAATCATTAAGGGGCATATTTTCATCTTGGGGCATAAACGAACTGAATCTCACAGTCTGGGAGGAATTTAGACCACCTGTCTGGCAGCACACTGGCTGGAGGTGGACTGTGTGCGGACGTCCTGGGGGAAGGGTGTGGAGGAAGGCAACACACACGAAACACTCTCGTCCACATCCCTTCCCCTGCTTTTTAACTGGATGGAAATATGGCTTTGTGTTGGTTCAGGTGACATAAAAAGGTGAAAACAGTAGATCTCAAATTATATTTTACTTTAAATACCAAAGGTCAAAAAGGGGTCCACAAATCAGTAGCTCCTGAGACCGTGCGTGCGCGCGTGCGTGCTTAAGTGGGTCTGTTTCAATTCCACATGGGTTTTTCCACACACTGGTTTCTGGCATCGAGCGCTGGTCTGCAGGACACCAGAGTGCCTTTGTGTCCCTTGCTGACACTACCGCATTGTGTTTTTCTACCCATTAACCAAGGATAAATGACCTAGATATTGTGCCTGTTAAAGCCTCATTTTTCTTTTGCCCTTTTGTTCTTCAGTGTACCACATTATCACACGCTGCACACATTTCTAAGTATTCTCGGTCTCAGATGCCCTTTTGAGGGAGTAATAGGAGCTTTTTGTATGCATTTCTGTTGAGATATCTGGAGTGGAATTATGTGAGAGTAATTCAAGGTTTTCCTTCCTGTCTAGTCTTCGAGACAGTTTAGTGTCTTACCAAAAGCTAATCTAGTATAAGAGGATATATCAAGAAACTGTACAAAAGCCAGAATGCTGTATTTGCATCTATTGCGAATACAAAAAAAATAGAGTGAACACCAGTTTCCCTATATACTACATTCTATAATTACATCTCTGCATATCATGGGTCACTTTTATTAAAAGCATCATTACTACAGTTGGCAGCAATTTACATTTTATCTTACATGATAGCAGTTTTCAAAGAAAAAAATAAAAGGACATCACAACAAAGAAAAACAATACATTTACAAAGTCATGTCTGTAAACTTCAAGGCTAGTTTAGAGCTGAGGTAATGCTGTTTTAGCTTTGTGGCTAAAGTAACAAAGTCCTTTAATTTAAAAAAGGTACCTGATTCTCTCTTCTCTCACTCTTTATTTATTCATCTATTTATTTTGTTTTTACCAGTGCATTACAAGACCACGAGACAATGGAACTGTAGTTCTGTCTGGCAAGAACCCTCCCAGTAGGTTAATTTTCCAAAGGGACCCTTCACATTCAACAGCTGCCTTATTATTGCTGCGCCTCGGGACAGAGGCGTTCACACTAGCGTGGAGATTGTCAGAGTGTATGGATGTGTGTGTATGCACGAGTGTGGGAACCCCCATACAGTCAAAAAGGGAAACAAATGAGCAAGTATGATATGTATGGTAAATTTCAGCTTGACCTTCACAGCAAAAAAATTAAAAATTAAAATTAAAAAATTAAATATATAACTTCATACTTCCTTTGAGCAGCACTTTCTTCCATTAGTGCCACTCAGTTACAAATTGCTCTTTATTATAATACCAATGGTACCAAGAGAAAAAAAAAAAGCAGAGCATTATGTAAGTTTCCTTAAAAAGACATGATCACCTCTCAAATTTCATCTCTCCTAGGGATAATAAATAATGCACTGCACAATACTTAATGACCAAGATACCTTTTGACACACCTGTATAACATGACTTGAACTTTTTTTTTTGCTACACTATGTTACAGAACAGCTTATAAAACTAGGTATGAACATTAACTGTGAGTGTAAACAGTAGGACTACCACTTGTCAAAAGTTTTAAACACTTGAACTGGAACTGGTACTGGTTATTCATCATTTTCATTGTTTTCTATTTCATCCCCCCCATCAAGTGAGTCTAGCTCTTCACCCTGTGCTATTTCGTCTTCTAAGAGGGAGGACTCTGCAGTCTTATCCAGGCTCTCCTCGGCATCGCTGCCTTCAAGGGTCTCTCCATCTTTAAAGGGTCCTCCCTCAGCCTTGTCAGCAGCCTTTTCTTCGCTGGAGCCCACGGCATTCTGAAGTCCTGCCAATGCTGGGAACCCAGGCAGCGTCAATCCCCCCAGTCCTGGAGGTAGAAACATGGATGGGTAGAAGAGGCCCGGGGCCATTGTGGACAGGAGGAAAGGGTTGAAGGCTAGCGGGTTTGAGGGCAATCCAGCCGGGGCAGTAGCAGCACCAACAGATCCATTCGCAGAGTCAGCAGCCGAAACAGCATCTGTGCTTTTCTCAGAGTCTTTGTTCTCGTCTTCATTCTCATTTCCTTTCTCCTCTCCTTTTGAAGTGCTGTCTTCCGGTTCTCCTTGACTAGAAGCAGTAGTGGTGTTTCCAGTAGCAGCTGACAGAGGGTTATTCAACAGCCCGCCCAAGCCAAACACGTTGGGCAGGCCCGCCATTCCTGGCAGCATCAGGGGCAGCACAGCAGCAGGGTTCTTCGCATCGCCTCCGGCGGTGGCAGCTGTTGCCAGTCCTGGAGGGAAGCCCATGAGGCCTGCCAGCTGGAGCGACTGGAGATTCTGGAGATTCTGAAGGCTCGTCAGGTCCATTCCAGCAAACAGGCTGTTCACCAGCAAAGGGTTGATCCCTGACGTGGAGGCCACAGCAGCGGCGGCCGCGGCTGCTCTGGCGATCTCACTTTTGGGCCTTCTTCCTCTTCTGCTCGCTCCCTCTCCCCGCACTACAGGCCCAGTGAGAAGGCGGTCAAACATCGACTCAGGAACAAAACCCTGGAGTACAGGGGAGGCAAACAGTGGCTATAAAGGCTGTCGAAGACAACTTGATCTCAATGTGAGCCTCTGTGGTGAACCTGCCATTCCAAATGGAAATACCTAAGTAGTTCTTCCCTCCTAACAGCTCAATGATAAAACTTAATGACAGCAAAACTTGTTTTTATTATTATGTTAGCTTGCTGAACTGCAGAAAAATTGCTCAAGGCTACTCATCAGTGAGGTAAATGTCAAGTTAGCTGCATCCATAACTAACTCAAGAAATCATACATCAGAAAGTACATTATGGGGTACAAAAATAGAGTTAGACAGGATGAGTAAGATCTAGTTTTTGATAACACAACAGGGTGACTACACAGTCAACAATAATTTACTGTATATTTTAAAATAACTAAAAGAGTATAATCACATTGTTTGTAATACAAAGGGTAAATGCTTGAGGTGATGCATACCTCATCTACCCAACATGATCATTATGCACTGTGTGCTTGTACAAAATATCTCATGTACCCTATATATACACCTACTATGTACCCATAACAAATTTTTAAAAAGGAAAGTACATAATGTATAATTATATCAAATCATCACTTTGAAGCCAGGTGCCGTGGTTCATGCTTGTAATCCCAACACTTTGGGAGGCCAAGACTAGAGGATTTCTTGAGCCCAGGAGTCTGAGACCAGCCTGGGGCACATAGCAAGACCCTATCTCTACAAAATAAAAAAAAAATATCCAGGTGTGGTGGCATATGCTTGTCATCCCAGCTACTTGGCTAATCAGGAGGCTGAGGTGGGAGGACTGCTTGAGCCCAGGAGTTTGAGGCTGCAGTGAGCTATGATTGCACCATTGCACTCCAGCCTGGGTGACACAGCAAGACCCTGTCTCTTAAAAGAAAAAAACACTGTGCTGTACACCTTGCATATATATTTGATTCATCAATTAATTTTTGTCAATTAAATATCTGTCAATTAAAAAAAAATTTTGGCTGGGCACAGTGGCTCACACCTGTAATCTCAGCACTTTGGGAGGTCAGGGCAGGCAGATTGCTTGAGGTGAGTTTGAGACCAGCCTGGGCAACGTGGCAAAATGCCTTCTCTACAAAAAATACAAAAACTAGCCAAGCTTGGTGATGTGTGCCTGTAGTGCCAGCTGCTTGGGAGGCTGAGGTGGGAGGATTGCTTGAGCCTAGGAGAATGAGGCTGTAGTGAGCTGTGATTTCACCACTGCACTCCAGCCTGGGTGACAAACACCTTGTCTCAAAAAAAAAAAAAAAAAAGAAAAAAAAAGATATTGTATGGGAGAAAAATTATAAAATAGTATAACATAATATAAACCCAGGATGTTTTATGCCCTCTATAATGTGTTATTTTGGATATTTCAAATATATGTAAAAGTATTTTTGAAATATGGAAAATGTAATTATATTTTAGTATCTACCCTAGAAAAATGAAAACTTATGTTCACACCAAAACCTGTACACAATTGCTTATAGCAGCTCTAATCATAGTTTCAAAAATCAGGAAATAACCCAGATGTCCTTCAGTGTGTGAGGGCTAAGCCGTCCAGTGTCACATCTATGCAATGGAGACAGCTACTTGGCAACAGAAAGGAGATAACTGTGACACATGTGACCATCGATGACCTTCCATATGATGAGCGAAAGAAACTGCTTCAAGACTTATGTCCTTCATGCTTCCATTTCAGGACATTCTCAAAAAGACAGGGATGGACAACAGGTCAGCGGCAGCCAGGGGCTGGGGTCGGGGAAAGGACGGTGTGAGGGAACTCGGGGTGGTGGGGGTGGGGGATGGAACCCTATTCTGACTACGGTGTCAGTTCACAAACTCACACGTGTGTTAAGATCAACAGAATGTTACACCGAAAGACATTTTTAATGTATAATTAAAACAAAGAACCAGCATGTCATGAACGAATTTTTAAAAAGCTAATGGTAACAAATCTTTTAGGCAGAACTGTTGTATTTTTGTTTTGTTTTGTTTTGTTTTGTTTTTAAATCAGAAATCACAGTTAATCTTAATGATCTCAACCACCATACATCCTATTCCACAGGTGAGCTGTTAAGTAGGCTTAGCTGGGGCAATCCCCCCTGGAGAAGTCTACCTCTAAGATTGTGAATGTATGTTTCCATACAAACCTTTTAAATTGGAGCTGATAAATGAATTCACTTTGGATTAATGATGTATTAATGATGTATGAAATGATGTATGAAAATGATGTATTATGTCAATTCTTTTAAGCTAAGTTACAACTGAATAATTAATGGCCAACAGAAAATAAGAAAGACTAAGGAAAACAGTTTTGTATAGCTACCTTTCTTGATAGAAATGCAGTTTGTACTTACAGACTGCTTAACTATATCAGTCCAGTCTGGAGCAACTGCAAATTCAGGATTTTCTTCCAGCCACCTGGGTAGATCCTTCATTGGAGGCGCCATAGCTCCACCCATCTGGGTAGAGGCATTTGACAAATGATTAAAAACACAGTCTTCCCTCCCCTTTCTGTTAATCTACTCCCTCCCCCTTCTATAATACACACATACACGCACACACGCATTCGGGCAGACAGGATTCTTTTCCCCTATAGAAGAAGGCAGGATAAAACACTTCCTTCTGGGCTAAGAAATCGCATAGTGATCAATTCCCTTTCCCAGCGTTTACCTTCTTCCCATTTCGTTTATTGACAACAGGCACCCTTTCTTCTCCTGTCAAAGTGTTTATATCCAATTTATTAGGGTTTCGACATCTATGTCGTTTCTGTTTCGGTTTCTGAAATGAGGAAAACAGCACATCTGCATTCTTCTGCAAAAGAAAAAACATATTTAGTAAAATTGGTATTTAGTACTTATTCTTCTCTATATAAATGCCAAAGAGAACTGTCAGATCATCTTCAATTATTATGGAAGTTTCAAGAATCATTTTAATTATTAATATTAGAAACCATATTTTTCTCTTTGAAAGAAAAAACTCCTATTTTACCCGTCCATTAAGGAATACATAAGTGAGAATTGGCTTTTCCTTTTATCTATCAATAACCTCACTTAAAGTTTTTCTTTAAATGTTTAACCAAGTCATGATACTTTTAAAGGAGGCTTTCTGTAGTACTTTTACTAATTTCTAGTTAGTGGCTCCAATGAACACAGAGATGATACCCCATCAACAACATGAGACTGTCTGTAATGAGAACTAACCAACAAACAGACAGATCTTGTAGGGGGTGGGGGTACTTTCTGAGTGGCAAGAACTCTAGGCTGAACCCAACAAAATAAAATGTAAAACTCTACATTTAAGTTTTAAAAAATCAATCACATAAATACAGAAAGCAAAAGACTTGCATTGCTAGCTAGCAAACAGTTCGTGTGACAAACCATTTGGAGATATGAACTGTCTAACGTTTAATATAAGGCACCAGGATTAGTTGCCATAAAAGCAGCTAATACAATCTTGGGCTGCACTAACTGGTCAAATCTCTGGAAGTAATTGGCTTCATAGCACTCTGGGATGGCGGGGCCTCGTCTGGAGACTGGAGAAAGTGCATTCAACAGTGTTACCCCAATACTAAGACTGCCTGGAAACGATGCCATGGAAAGAATAACTGAAGAAGTCACATGAGTTTGATGGGAGAAGCAAACAGTAAGGAAATGCATAACGCGCATCTTCAAATAACTGTAAGGCTGCCTTCAGTAAGACAGACCTGAAGCTAGTATCTGTAATGAAGAAGATTCAACAACAAAGACCTGGGAAATGTTTGAGACCAGGAAACATTCAAGGAAAAGGCAGAGGGACCAGCTGTCAGGGATTTCTATGTTGTAAGGGAATGAAGTGGACCGGCCTGCAAGATTCCTTCCAACTCTAAACTCTGCAATACTCACTGGTACATAACTTGGCATATCAACAGTGTAAGTAGGGTGCAGCTTCAGCCATTCAACTAAATCCTTATTTTTAGGAGCATCTTCCCCCACCAGCCTAGTCCCATCTTCAAGATTGATAACAGGGATCCGTGTGTCTGGGTCCAGCTGTCCGGGAGAAGGAATGTTTCTTGTTGGTGGGGTCTCTATATCTTCTTCAAAAGCTTTGGTCACCTCAGCATCCTCCTGCAGAAAGTTCACAATGGTATGAATTCTCACACGAAGAGAGAGCCTCTGACAATGTCCTATTTCAAGAAAACGCTATCCTAGAATGGATCTTTTATCAAAAAGAGAAAATAGTTACTAGAAACAATGTCTAGTTGTTTGGGAACAGCTATTAAAAGTCAGAAAATGAGGCTGGGCGCGGTGGCTCACGCCTGTAATCCCAGCACTCTGGGAGGCCGAGGTGGGCGGATCACCTGAGGTCAGGAGTTCAAGACCAGCCTGGCCAACATGGTGAAACCCCATCTTTACAAAAAATACAAAAATTAGCCAGGCATGGTGGCACTTGCCTGTAATCCCAGCTACCTGGGAGGCTGGGGCAGGAGAATCACTTGAAATCAGGAGGTAGAGGTTGCAGTGAGCAGAGACTGTGCCACTGCACTCCAGCCTAGGCAACAGAGTGAGACTTCGTCTCAAAAAAATAAAAATAAAAAGAAGAAGACGAAACTTTTATATCATTCTTCACACTGTAGAACTAGTAATTAGGTAAAAAATTTATAGTCCACTAAGGTTCCATGCTCTGAAATCCTAAGCCAGCCACTGGGAATACAACATGGGGGGTATAGTCTGAGCTGATATGCATGAAAGGCGGCCTCTCAGTCTCTCTTGGAGATCCCCGGATAATGATATTAAAGATAATTTATACTAAAGGAATTTCTAAAAGCCAGTCTATATGTAACTTATGGGCACTCTGTGCACAATATAATTTTGTTGGTAGTGGGACACTTTGTCTCAGACATGTGTGGCAACATTGGAAAGACCACCACTAACTGAAGTCTACAGTTATTTCAACCTCCAGACACCCATTTCTCCTTCCCCACAGCTCTACCATGGCCCAGGCTTTTGTCACTTCCCACCCAGGTTATTGCAATATTCCTAAATGGTCTCCCTGATTCTAATCCCACCTATCTTCAATCCAACCTCCACACCACTACGCTGGAGTCAGTTTTCTAAAATGCAGCCCTTCCCAGTTCAAAAAATTATGTCACATCACTCTCCTATTTTTTTCAATAATTGCATCCCTATTACCTCCAGGACAAAATCCAAGTTCTTCCGAATGGCATCAAGGCCCTCCATGATTTGCATCCTGCCTTCTCTGCAAGCTCATCTCTGCTGAAGCTCACTTCCTCAGCAAATTCCTCAGTTCTTCAAACCCAAGAGGCTCTCTCCTCTTACACATGTTCTCTGCCAACCCTTTTAAAATGACCAACTACTACATGATCTTCAAAACTTAATTGAAGTACAGCCATCCATAGGGAAACTTCTTCATCTGTTTCTCCCCATATCCTCTTCCCTCCACTCCCAGGCTTCCTTTGGGCTCACAAAGTACCCTAGACATCCCTTGGTCGTGGCACACATGAACAACCAGGACACATTATGATTTATGTGCTACCCCATCCTAAACACTGCATTCTCCAGTGCAAGCACTTGTCAGGACTGTATTTTTTGACTCTCAGTGCTGGCACAGGGAATAGTGCCAGCTTGTCCACTGTTGCTGAATGCACTCTTACTTTTTCATGGCAGCACAGTTAGAGTGCTGACAAAATACTAAATTCTAGGATCTGTCCTCTTTCATCCAGGTAACACTGCTGGCCTTTACATCTTTTCCTACTTGGTTTATTTACAGATCGAGCAGTGCTTTCCTTGTATTTTATGTGCATGCACATCACCCCCGACAACACCAAATGAGGAATCCCTACATTTCAAAATGTGACAGTTAAAAAAAAAAAGTTTTAAAAATACATTCTCTAACTTCAATTAGGAATTCTCTCAGGCTTTCTAAATGGGACTTTAGAAAAAGAAAAATATCAACAAATTCTTAACAACGGCTTAAAATAGTGAAATGAATAAAATCAGTCTCAGATTTAAAATAGAATGTGTACTTGCAATAGGAAAAAAGCACGTGTGTTGCATTATTAATTCCTAACACCTGATCCAGAGACAAAGCTGTGTCGTGATCCAAATACTGAACATGATTGCCTGTAATCCCAGTACTTCAGGAGGCTGAGGTGGGTGGATTACTTGAGCCCAGAAGTTTGAGACCAGCCTGGGCAACATGGTGAAACCCCGTCCCCACCAAAAATACAAAACAATTAGCCAGGTATGGTGGTGCGCGCCTGTAGTCCCATCTACTAGGGAGGCTGAGGTGGGAGAATCAATTGAGCCCAGAAGTTGGAGGCTGCACTGAGCCGAGACTGCGCCATTGTGCTCCAGCCTGGGCGAAAGAGTGAGACCCTGTCTCAAAAACAAACCCTGTTTCAAAAACAAAAAAACCTACAAATATTGAACATGATAACAAACAAAAAGAAGTGTCAGCTGCAGAAACTTCCCAATTTGTTAAAGTTTATGGAGAAAGAATTTATCAGTCAACAAAATCTATCAAAGAAGTAGTTTCAAACAGGAAGGCTATTTACTAGTGCTACAACTCTGTCTGAGGGCCATACCCCTAGAAATGGCATTTTAACTTACAGAAAACATGTAAGTCACAGCTAGTCCATTACAAAGTGTACTTTTACAGGATTCTGAAAACAATCATACCATCAACAAATATGACCATTATGATGATCACTGCATTGGTAATCAATTTTGAAAAAAATTTTCTTTATTTTTTTGAGACAGAGTCTCACTCTGTCACCCAGGCTGGAGTGCAGTGATGCAATCTCGATTCACTGCAACCTCCGCCTCCTGGGTTCAAGCAATTCTCCTGCCTCAGCATCCTGAGTAGCTGGGATCACAGACACGTGCTACCAGACCAGGCTAATTTTTATAATTGTAGTAGAGAAAAGGTTTTGCCATGTTGGCCAGGCTGGTCTTGAACTGCTGACCTCAAGTGATCCACCTGCCTTGGCCTCCCAGAGTGCTGGGATTACAGGCGTGAGCCACCATGCCCGGCCCAATTTTGAAAATTTACTCTTAGCCACCTGAATGCTTCTGTTTTAATTAGACCCCACCAGAGGGCAAAGAAATTTCAGTGGATGTTATTTTTCATTTCTGAACTTTAACTCAACCATGTCTTTTCCTGCCATCTTATTAAGCTTTCTCTGAGTTCAAGAAATAGAAAATGGGCAAATAATAATAGGGATGGTGTAAGTAAAAACATGTTGAAACAGACAACTGTCTTCCCTCAATCTCAAATTTCAGTTTCCCAAACTGTGTCCCACTGCTTGAAGAAGGGTCCAGGATGGCCCAGTACCTGGAAGGCTTCCTGGAGCACCCACTCCTCACAACACAGACAAGGAGTTCCAGCCACTATGGTGACTGGGGCTTCTGGTCAATAGGTTCAAGATATATAGTGCTAAACCATTTTTTAAAAAAGCACATGTAATTGTGCTCTTTGGGATAAAATTCTGGTCATCAGTGAGTCAGGCACCACATTTTTGGGTGAGATGTAGTTGAAGCAGATTAAGAAAGAAAATCATTTTGATTATACTGCATTAATTTATTTCCTCTGAACTGAGAAAGGAAAAGTCAAAATCCATTGGTTCACACATTCTATTCAAACCTATTCTAGCAAAAGCACAGCTCAAATTTTTAAAATATCTACTTAAGGAGACAGGAGAATTTGCAGTCACTAGCTTTTTATGTTAACCCAAATCTTAGGTCCAAAATGAAACATTTATACTAATTTTAATAAATGCCAGGCCTAAAACATATCAATGAAACTTGTTCCACCTCAAGAATTCAGAGATAACAATTCTAGATTCAGAAGAACATGTTTCTAGGTTTGGCTGTTCTTCTGAGAGCAATCAACACATCAGAACTTGGGAAGAATACATCCTCAAGCTACACTTCGTTCAGGCCAAGTGATCTGTATCAATGATCAGAATCATGACTGTTTATTGTAAAACTATTTCTTTAGTGGAGGAAGCTGGCTTTCATACAATGCTGCTGAGAGAAACACAGCCCAGCATCGTGAGCATCACAGGACCCTCAGCTGTCAACACGTGCAATCGCCATGCAGGCAAGCTCCCCAACTTACTGCACTCAATGACGTCCGTTTGTGGCTCATGAAAAGCAGATCAAGTCCCTCCACATTTTTCCTCCTTCCCCGCCTCCTCTTCATGGGAGGCTCTCCATCCACTAGGGAGCCATTAAGGAGATGCCTTGTGGGTGTGCGCGAAAGGCCTGCTTGGAGCAGTTCCATTTGAGTCTTAAAGGCATCAGACACTGGTGTTGAGACATTAGGCAAGATAAACTTTGAAGAAAGAGATGAAAAATTTGAGGTAGAGCTTGTTGCCTCTCTTGAGGCCTTTGATAAATCTACAACTTTTTCTTGTCCATTTTCTGAGACCACCTGAGACTCTCGAAGCTGGGCAACCATCTCCATGAGATTTCGCCTCTTGGCAGCTCTTTCGGCCTCAATTTCGATTTTTCTCCTCCTCCTCCTCCGCTGGCGAGGGACAGAGAGGTTGAGGGCATCTTCCTATTGAAAAATTCCAACAGAACAGAGTTGCAGTGAGCCAAAACAGTACTGCTATATGGGCTGGCTTTTAGAAATAAGGAACAAGAAGCTTAAGGAATTAAGCATTCATGACTGGTGCACAGAGCTGAGGAAACAGCAGCTATCTTATTTCTAAGCAAGGCCAGTGAAATATAAGCTCGCAAACTCAGTTAAGGCTTAGAGAGCTCCCTTTTAAGCTGCAGAAACAAGCCATTCTAATTCACCTTTGACAACTGAGGAGACGTAGTGATGTCCTCACTCCCACTAATGCTGGCTTGGCCGACCATGGAGAGCTCAGCAAAGCTCCTCTTCTGCAAGGGGCTGTCCACTGTGGTGGGTGTGTAACCTGGGATGAGGCCTTGGAAATCAAACATCTGGCGCCTATTTACTGGCCATTTGCCTTTCAACACTGCTTCACAGATGTTGTCTAAGCGGTTTATCATTACTCTATCCTGGAGGGAGAAGAAAAGTCACAAGAAATTTTAACAAAGCCCTGGTTAAAATTACTAGATAAATACATCCATCAAGATGCAAAAGAGCATAAAATGTTTAAAAGTCAACTGGAGGACAAAAAGTAAAAGAAAACAAGGCAAGAAATCAAACAAGAAAGTAAATAAACAAAATCTCCTATAATGGCATTGCTCTGGCAGAAGGTCCTAGGTGGCTTCAACACAGAAAACATGCTATTTTTAATTACGAACACTGAACTACATAAAACAGAAAAATGTACTACATAATCACCACCTTCAAAATATCTTCATATTTAAAAAGTAACTCTTGTACAAGCTCCATAGAGCTCTGCTGGTGGATGTCAGTAGATGACAATGGAAACCCTGCATTAGCTTCTTGCCGCCCTGGCCCTTCAGATCTACAGGCTGGATTGCAGTCCCAGGAAGTAGGACATCATTAGCGTCACTATTAATAAAGTTCAGCATTATGAAGTGGGCACCAACCTAGGAACACCTAATGAATGTCAATTTGCATTCCCTACCTATTATCACTTCAAATTTCATTGAAGCGTGTACATTAAAAATTTCTAATTACAGCTTTAGACTGAGTTTCCATAGATTAAAAGTGCCTGCTACTATAACCTTTGACTGATCTGGGAAACTCCCTCCTACACTCAATAAAGGAGGTTAGCATAACAGGGGAACTAAAGGGATAGAGAGAGGAAACAAAATGTCTTTGACAGTACATTCTTTGGTCAAAATTTTCACCTTGTTTCTTACACAATAATACTGGGAAAGACGAGCCTGGGGGGTAGGCTGACTGAAGCTCATTTTTTGTGTTGTTTTAAACCAGACAGCCCTGTTATGGTGATTAGGATGATTATTTCCTCACCCTGAAAAACAGACCTAAATTACACAGGGAATTATTATAAAATTATACTATTTAGCCAAAAAAGTAATTTCCATTTTGCTTTTGGTTACAGATAACTACATTTGGAATTATCTCATAATGCGTCAAAAGCAAATGGGTCAACAGTACACCCTCTTCCAAGTCAAGAAGCTGGTAGGTTTCCAAAACTATAAAGTTGTCTTAAATCTGAAGGCTTTATTTCACAAAAAAATTTTAAAACACAGTGATAATCCATACATTATGCTAGACAACGGGGGTAAGTAACCTAAAAGCCACATGGAGCCAAAGATCAATCCATATACACACTTCTATTTCTTATTATCTTTCTTTCACATCACATTTCCCATCCTATTAGAAAAGTGTTCTACAATTTTTTTCTTTGGGCTTTTTCAGATCATTCTTTAAAAGTATAAGAAAAATCTATAGTCTTCATATACTGTGTCAAAAGTTTACCTTAAAATTACTTGAAAAATCAAGCTAGAAAGATTTCCTCTACCCTAATCCTTTTTGGTCAGCAAAACAACAGCAACAAAAACCTGCCAACCTTAGGCCAAAACGAGAAGGCAAATGTTCTTTCATGAAGGAGCTGAGCTACTGAAGGATCTCCGTCCTCCATGTAGAATCCATCTCGGGTTTCATCTCTAGCAGTGCTCATGGAAGCATTGCTTTCTTCATCAAAATTCTTCCCTCTAGAGACAGCTCCTGCTGAGAAATGAGTTAATGTGCATTACTCACAACCACAGTATCAGGGAAACTGAAGTTTAGAAAGGACATGATTAAAAATGTGAATACTAATCAGCTCCATTTTATTGAGTACCTACTACATGGCTAGAATGGTATTGGGCACTGTTGTCTAAAGCTTACAACAGCCCTTTAACATAGATGGTGTTATTTCCATCTTGCAGATGATGACACAGAGGCTTAGAGAGGTTAGTCACTAGCCACCTAGCACCGTGCAAGTAAACCTTACAAGAGGCTGATAGCCAACCAAGTCATTGACTCAAGAGTCTATGTTCTTCCACACAGAAAAAAGGGCTGACCTTCTGTCAAAAGTTGAAGGTTCCAGCTACAGCACAGTACGTGCTCTATTTTTATTCTGGGCCAGTTTCAGCAACCGTACTGTGACTTAAAAAATTGGTTATTTTTAGATTCTATTCCCACTCTTTACTTCTGAATCAAAACATAACAAGCACCAGTTGTTTCAAAATGATTAACAATATTTACTCAGTGAATGACCACCTTCCCTCACATTTGTCAAAATTAAAATCACATAGAATTCTTAATACACTGTCACTCACTACAAGTTAACTTCCATCCTTAAACCAGAAATTGCTAATGTGTCCATGCAACCCTTCTTAGAGTTTATGTTCTTCAAAATACCATGGTTAGGTGCTATAAGGTGCGAGAGCAAAACACAGATATAAGCATAACTTGAAATTATCCCTTCACAGAAGAAAATGTACACTAAGTACTCGTGAAAAAGAGCAGGTGCCGTGCTGCCAGAAAGCAACGCATCTCACAACCAGCTGCTGCAGGGTCAGGAGAGGGGCCAGTGGTAAGGCCTTACCTTCGGGCTGGGAAGACTCTTCCGACTTATCGTCATCCTCCAGCTTTTCCTCTTCATCCTCTTCGGAACCTTTCTCTGAAATAGATTTGGACCCAGTGTCTGCGCCGACCTCAACACCTTTCAGTTCATTTTTCACAGAGCTGGCCTCTGCCTCACATTCCTGCTTGCTCTCCTTCCCGCTGCCATCGGTTTCTTCTTCCTCTTCTTTGCCCTCACATTTCTCCTTGGCAGCTGGGTTTTCAGGCTCCTCCACTTTGCCTTCGGCTTGTTCCAGTACCCTCTCATCTTGAATATGAGCAGATGAGATGACTGGAGGAGTCTGGACAAATCCAACTGCCAGTGGGTTCAAGGAAGATGTATTACCTGCCCCTCTGTTTTGAGCAAAGTTTTTATGTGCATCCAAGAAGGATAACTCAGGGTCATTGAGGATGTGATAATCCGTCCGACTGACCCCGTGTTTAGCAGCACCAACCAGCAAGTCTCGGTCATGCCGTCCACACTCCCACCACTCTGGCAGATCCAAGCTTGGCTGGCAGAGCTTAAGCCTCTCTCCCAGCTGGGGGTGATGGAGAACCTGCTCGCGGATCTTCCGTAGCAGCTCAATGCGGTACAGAGTTCGAGAGGCTCGCTCCTCTGTGATCGGCTCAATTATGGAGGAGAGGTCGGGCGGTTCTGTAACACAGAAGGGCTCATATTTACTTGGGGAGAATTCAAGGGCATTCTACATTGTACACTTTCTTATTTTTCACTTTACTCGTCTTTTTGTATAGAACTTTGTTGCTAAATGTACCTACCATCATCTGGCTTGACGGGCATTCGACATACTCGCCTACACATGGCCACAAAACAACTGAAGTATTTCTCCAAACTCTCATCAGATTTTTTGTCAAGCCTGGCAAAGGCTCTAAATTGGTTCCAGTCAAATTGCTGTTTCACAGGGTCAAAAATAACCCCAAAGGTGGATACCACACGGTAAAAATCAGCCTCTTCTCTTCTTGTCCACCTGTTAGAAAGATTATATTAGCTTGCATCATACTTCAGGAAAAGACTTAATATTTACTGTTTCTTTTCTTCTTCCCCCCAGACTTTATACATGGTAGTTATTTGGGGGTGGGGAAACAGACTGCTTTGTTGGAGCGAGCCTTTCTTTGGTGGTCACTACCTTTGATATGAGTCCTGTCTCTTGTGGGTCTACAGGAGCAGGGCAGAGGGGCATGTACCGGGAGCTGAGTGGAAACCTTGAAGAAACTCACTTTTGCCGCTTCTCAGATATAATAGCTTCCCTTTCCGCTTCCAGAGCTCTCACTTCCTCTCGAGGCCGCCGTCTGCGCCGGTCAGTCTTCATTAGGGCCTCTTGCCTCATCTGTTGCCTTTTATAGCTGCGCTGATAGGCAGTAATGAGCCGGCGCAGACGTGTAGTCAGGGTTGAAGTGTTAGGCCAGTAAAGTTGGCCTAACTCAGCATTACTCTCACTGTGCTTGCCTGGGGAAGTGGAAAAACATTTTTGAAATGTGTAGCTGCAATCTTGCAATACAGAGTATTCCAACAAAACAGGATGACTCATTAAGATTCAAATGACAGTGTGGGAAAGGGCATCTCAGTGCCCTCATTTTTAAAATATAAATAAGTAATAACATTCACTTGGAATATATACACTTATTTCTTTTTTACCTCCTTAGAGGGGATGAAAACATTATTTATTAGTCCTACATAAAGAAACACACTTTACAGCATAAACTTCTTATAAGGTACTCTCCTCTAATGTATGTGCAATAATCATCTTGAGTATAAAAAATAACTGCATAATTGTTGTGTAATGATTTTATATTCGGTAAAAGGTCAATATTCTAAATAAACTGAAAATATTTTAGGTGAATACTTAGCAAATGCTCTATGCTCTATTCCCAAGAGCTATAGTTTAGATGCTTAAAATTTTTCACTAATTAGTGTAAAATATAAATCAGCTAATTATCATCAAAGAAATAGTTATCCTATCTAAGAAATTCAATGTCATGAAAACACAGCCATTAACAAGAATTAAAATGATTCACAAAACAGGTCAGTGTAGAAGAAATAAGGTGTTAAGACACTGCTGTCATGAAGCAGGACAGTCCCTACCACGTGAACAATGACTGCTCAGTGCACGTCTGCTCGGCTACACAAGCTTTTCTGGGACCTTACCTGTGGCATGTATTTCCATGGATTCTTCCTTATCCTCTGAAGGAGAATTTGCAAATTCCTTGAAAGCAAAGCAAGAAACAGAATTACTTTAATTTGGGGTCTCATTTTTCTTTGTCTTTTAAAGAAAAGGTCATTATCTATAAAGTTTAACAAGTCTTATGTGGGCATATAATATTTTAATGGAGCTATAAAAGCCAATATACTCAAGTTCATACATCTATTTCATCTTTGAACGGTGTTCTGGTTGGTTTATATTCTGGGTCTTCATCTTCTCTATCAAATTCTCCCCTATGTAAAACAAACACAAAAATTATTTGAATCATACTGATAAGCAAAAGAAGGAAGGGGGGTGGGTAGGAAAGAGTAATAATCTGCCCAGTGCTACTTTTAATTATGGGTTTGACATCAAAAGCAACTCTATCAGTATTTAAAACATGCAGCCATGGCAGTGTGGTGGAGGGGGTCTGGGGAGATTGCGGGAAATGACATTTGGAAAAGAAAAACAAGTTTCAGATTATCAAGATAATGTATATTGTTTAAACAGTCATTACGACATACAAATAGAGTAGACTGGTAAACATCTCCTGAACTTCAAATCAGACACAATACAGTGTGTACTGCAGGGTAAGAACTGAACCCTGCCAATAGATGTGAAACTGACATAAAGTTTATTCAAATTTTAAAATGTCCTTCTTACCCGTCACCACCATCTGCTAGCATGTCTGTTCCTCTTTGCTCGGCAGCTATGGCCTTGGCATCAGGCATACCGACTCGTTCCAGAAAGCACAGCGCGGGGTCAGCTCGCATGGAGTTGTACTTCTCATAGCCTGTGCCGTGCCCATCCGTGCACAGAAAACACACAGAAACAAAGAAAGGCCCCATCACTGGCAAAATCACAGCACTGCCACAACACAAGTTTGTTTTTCAGTCAAGGTTAGCATCTCTGTTGAATCCAAGTGGACCTTGTTTTAGTAGATCATTCTATGGAACGCTCCTTCTAGGGAAGCTACTGGGAGCCAAGTTACACTTCAGGGATATTATCAGAATTACCACAAACACTAATAGAAAAACAGGTTCAGAATAACTGCAAGATGCCTGGGAGGATTTCTGACCCTATTTTTCCCCAGATCTAATTTTGCTTGACATTTAGAAGGATTCGCAATGTTCCTTTATGACCTCTGCAGGGGTGCACTGAGTCCACCCCCATCCACTCTGTGAATAGCATCAGTCCTGCAGGAACTCGCATGGCTGGCTGAAAAATCCCCATATACATAAGGCCAGCGAACCTGTCTTATTAGGTTTAGGATGATGCATGTCAGTAAGATGACACGGTTCCCTCTATGGTTTTCAAACTGCAATTTGCTTTTTGACTGCCCAAGTTGACTAGATGGAAAATGGCAGATCCCAACAGTGCACTGCGGGAAAATGATTTTGAGGCTGAGCTCACAAAATGTGGCTGCAGTACATAGGCAGAACAGCACAATTCAATTAGGATGTGTACTACAACACACCGCTCCTAACTGCTGTAGAGCCGCAAGCCAAACTGTAATCATGAAAGGTTTTATAAGCCATCATTCTCCCCTTTAGTCAGGCTGGGCTGCTGAGAATACCTCCGCGACCTCCAGAGAATTGGGATTATAATCAGGAATCGCTCACTGTATATATCATGCCAGTTCTGCATCCCCAGCCTTTCAAAGTTAACAAGGCTGCATCCCACTCAGGGGAGCCGCGAGTTCTCAGCACTGACATTTGTGAAATATTGCTTGGAACAAAGCCCAGGAGGCACTTGTACAGATTAATAGCAGAGGTTAAGCCCACCGTCCACTTTGACACTGGTTGGCAGAGTTAGCAAGGGAAGCCGCGCTGGAAGCAAAGTTTAGGGAGAGCTATAGTACAACTTGGCTATTATTAAAACAAATATGGTTTGGGTTTTATTTACAGCCAAGAAAGAAATGTTTTCTTCTCAAATGCTCAACAAACATTCAAAAACAGCATCTGATATTTACAGTTCATATTAGATTTTTAGTACAGAAAAATGGTAGACGCCAAGAGTCCTTTGGAACTATCCTCATTAATATTATGACTTTGGAAAAGAGTATGTAAAGAGTTCTAAATAAAGACCAAGCCATACAGTTGAGATGTATTCAAACAGAAACGTCACTTACCATGTTTGAACACTCCAATTAAGAGGGATTTGTCTGCTTCCTTATCCCACCAATCTGCAGGAACTTCAGCATGGAAAGGTTCAGGGATCCACACATCGGCTTCACTGAAAGACAACATTTATAAGAAATATTAGTATTAAAAAAGAATTCCAAGTAATGAATGTGATACATAGCTCACATGCCCTCTCTCCCACGATAAACATCTGAGCATGGTGGGGAGGTATCAGCAAGGTTAAAAGAAAGGGCATGAGTCAGTAGCCCTCTGCCATGACCAGAAATGAACTTTATCACATGGTATCCCATTTTAAGGGTCATCTCAGAACACCAGTGCTTTAGTTCACATCTCTTTACACTACAAACATAAATGCAAACAGCCTTTTCCTGATTCTCATCACATCCCCAAGCACGAAGGACAAATACTGCATTCAAGATGCAAAAAAGGAGATGGGTTACTAGTGGTTTATGAAGGTTCTGAAACACAATCCATGATGTTTTCCGGCTACCCAGATTATCTCACTGAGGTTGAGAACAAATGTGAGCTCGCACTAACCTTGAGTCAGCACCCTCTAAGATCTTATCCGCCTGGTCTCCTATCACTTCTTGTCTTAGGTAGTACAGCATGCGGACACGCAGCAGGACCCTGGAGAGGAAGACAGAGGGGGGAAAAAGTTCTTAACTTCAGGACTGTTTGCCAACAGTGGCTTTTGGCAGCTGCTGCTGTTCATCCATCATCCTGCCAAGGCTGATTAGCCATGCTGTATGGTAGGCTTGAAGCGTGACAGATGGTGGCACATAATCACCTCTGTGTGGTGCTTTCTGCTGGCTTCCAACAGGCCTGCCTGGCAACCGCTCACACTGCACAGAGAGGGCCCGAGCTCAGCCCAGCCCAGGCGCACTTCATTTAGTTCTACCTAGTGCAGCTTGTGAAGTTTAGACACGTACCCTACCATTGCCTCTGAAGTATTGAAGCAAGTTTGTAAACAACTGAGCAGATGGCTTTCAGTAACTGTTCTGCTTCATTATCTCATAAAATTTCCTCAGCTGCTGCCTTAATACCATTTTTGGAAGCACATCAGAAGTTGTAGGAATAAATGAGATATAAAATCTGGTTTTACTACCTTACAATAAACCCTCAATATGGAATGTCAGGTTTTTCAGATTATACAACTTTGCTTCCGAGAAAGGAAGATGGTGACAGGGTGGGGTAGAAGGTGTGTCCTTGCTCTTCTCCTGTATGAAATACTATGTTAGACATTTTTATTCCTTCTAGTTTACTGTACCTGGGAACCTAAGCTGTAGTAGCTTGAAAAAAAAATTAAACATTAGAAAATTAAAATGTGTCCAATTCACTGACATTCTTAATCATTCTCAAGAAATCGATTTTTTAAAACCCTTGGAATTCTAGGAACTAGATTTTCAGTCCTGCATGGAGTTTCTCAATGGCGAAAACATAATTCTTTCAATAAAGTCCACCTGGTAAGTCCCAAAAGCCAGTGTCTACCAAAGCTAGCATCCCCTGCTGGACAGCCCTGGTGTGCATTCAGGACTGATACGTGAATCGCAGCCTTCTTGGCCATGAGTACATGGTAATACAAATGCTATTTCCCCAGCTGAATAATCCCATCATGTACTTGTACAGCACTTTACAATCAATGTCTCACACTTATACTAGCCCTTTTGATCTTCACGATAACCCTATGATGAAGCAGGGCAAGTTATAATTTCCGTTTTCAAATGGGAAAACTGATGGTAGCAGAAGATAAGTGACAAATCTAAGGCCAGAGTTACCTTGCACATGGCACAACTGGAACTAGGTCTTCAGGCTCTACTACACCATGCTGTTCTCAGGGTATGGAAACTGTCCCTAAAACTTCAAAATAACAACTAGGATTCACCAGAACAGACAACTCCCAATCACACATCAACAGATGCTCCTCAACAGGCCCTCCCCCAACCACGAGCCTACTCACGGCCAGCATGGGTTCTGGATAGGCCAAGTGTGAG
Source organism: Homo sapiens (assembly GCF_000001405.40). NCBI lineage: Eukaryota > Metazoa > Chordata > Mammalia > Primates > Hominidae > Homo > Homo sapiens. The sequence goes on along the minus strand of NC_000008.11, from coordinate 60,847,150 downwards.
CTTATAAATCCCTGAAGAGACTCACTTTGGATAACTCATTTCTATTTCTTTAGATTTTTTTCTCTTGTTAACTCATGAGATTAAACATTGACTGTACCATACTGACCAGATATTTTCTAAGAGTGTAAGTGGGGTCGGATTTTAGGGAGCACTCTTATGCCACAGCAGTAACCACCAAGTTTCTGAGATACCAAAAGGGTTGGAGGTAATGGTTCTGAAGACACCTCAGAGCCTCACCACAGCCCCAAGGAGCAGGGAAGACTTCCAAGCTGAGGCTGCCCTCATCTACTCGGGTTCAAACCTGGTTCTGCCCCCTAACTGGCTGAGGGTCCTTGAGGAGGTTACTCAACTTTAGTCTCAGTTTTCTTGTCAGTTAAATGGGGATAAAAATCATACTAATCTTAGACAATTCAAACAGATAATCCATACAAAGCGCTTGGCATGCTGCCAGTATTATGTGCTCAGACTTTGTTGCTGCTACTTTTACAAAGAGAAATGCATACTTATTTACATCCTGCCTTATCCAGTTGAGATCTTGCTGCCGAGGTCTACTGGACTCACCAGGAAAGTGAGTCCTCAAGAGGCTGAATAACTTGCTCAAGGTCACACGAAGCTAGGACATAGAGCTGATCAGTAGCATTGTTGCCTGAACTAGTGATACGGAAAAATGCATATTCAGAATAAGGAAACAACATATGCAGATGTTAGTTTAATAGGAACTGTTAACAGAACCCCAAGCAATGAAATAAATTTAGTTTCAATATTCTTCAATTATCTATAATCAGTTTTTGGAAATAAAGGTAAGAAATATGATTCCAAGCTCACAGGCAGAAAAAATGGACCCAGCAACTGAGGTAATATTAAGCAAAAAATAATACATGAACTCCCCAGTCTTCCCTCCACTGTACGCAGTTAGTTGAAAGTGGGATCATATAATGCTGACTACTATTCTCTAACCGATACTGGTTAAAAACCAGTCCTCTACAATGTTCATAGCACCATTATTCACAACAGCCATGATAACTAGCCCAAGTGTCCGTCAACAGATGACTGGGACAAACAAAACGTGGCATATACACACAATGGAATACTATTCAGCCATAAACAGGAATGAAATTCTGACACCGTAACACAAATGAACCTTGAAAATATTAAGAGAAGTAAGCCAGGCACAGAAGGACAAATAATCTGTGATTCCCCTAGGAGATACACAGAATAGACAAACTAATAGAAACAGAAAGTAGAATGGTGATTGCCAGGGGCCAGGCAAGTTACTGTTTAATTGATACAGTGTTTATATTTGGGAAGATGGAAACATTTCAGGTACAGATAGTGAGTATACAGCATTGTGAGTGTAATTAATGCCAATGAATTGTTCACTTATAAATGGTAAAAATGGTAAACGTTGTGTTGTGTATCTTACCATGTTAAAAAATAATCAGTCACCTAAAGGTACGCTCTCCTGCAACTTGACACCACATTTCAAGAAAAATGATAAGGCTGTGCAAAGGCAATAACTATACCATTTAAAAGTCTTAATAACAGAGCTGTCCCTCCATATCCGCGGGAGTATGGTTCCAGGACCCCCCTCAGACACCAAGATCCGCAGATGCTCAGGTCCCTCAGTTGACCCTCCAAATCTGCGAGTTCTGCATCTGCAGACGTGAAGGGCCGGCTGCATGTATTTTTTAAAGAATAAAAAGGGAATTAAGCTCTCCAGGTCCACCCTCTAATAACATACTTGTTACAGTGATGCTTCAGGTGTTTCTTGTAGCTGTCCTCCTGGAACAGGGCATCTGGGTTGCAGCTGGCCAGCCAGTCGGCATCCTGCACCACCGGCTGTGTGCTCTGGGCTTTCACCTTCTTTCCCTTCCTTCCCCTTGGCACAGGAGCTGACAAACCTAGAATCACCATCATAATAATAATAGAAGCCTTTTACATTCCAATTATAGTGTCAATGGCAGAGAGCTTAATGCACGAGGCAGGGAAATATGGGGTTTATGTCACATCTCTTTATCAACAGTGTGTCACAAAAGTTCCTGGTGGCTTTGTGACCCTGTAGCACAAACAGCATGGTGGAGACCTACCGGAATGGTTGACCAAGGCTCGAGTCTGGCCATCCGCTGTGGGTGTGATCAGATCCCAGATGAAGCTTTTGATATTCTCATCCCCTTTGTAATGATTAAGACAGTACACCAGGATGGTTCTGCAGATGGTTTCTACATCTTGCTCAGTGAGTTGGCGTTTATAGCGTCCGTGGGAAAGAATGTCTGTCCACCGTCCCCAACTGCAAAGCAAATATCCAGCATGCAGAGGTGCCTGTGAGTTTTGATTTATGGCTTTACTTTAAGTCAGGTACCAGCGTTGGGAAATCCTGGGTCAAAACTAGCAACAATTCACACTGGGTGATAGGAAAGAAATCCAGGGTGCAAGAGTTAAAAACACTCCTTTATACAGTAAGCTGCCCCTCAGTTCACTGCTTCTAAGCGCATGAGTTGAACTGCCACAAGAATAACACCCACAAAGCTAACCCTGGCCTTTCCAGGTACATGAAGGCTGTAGCAGCAATTTTCAGGACATGAGTGCATCCGAGGGCCTGGAAATCATGGACTTTGCTTCACACTGTCATGATTAGTACATTTTGATGTTGACCAACCATCTGAGACAAAAGGCAACTCAAGATAAAAGGTGTGACTACCCCAAAATCAAGGATGCGATGCTGAGCAGTATGGCCGCATCAACCCACCTCTAAGGGGATGCCACAGTCACTGGTGAAAGGTTCTGGAAAGCTCTGAGGTTCCTTTTGAAACGGAGTAATAACCCCAAGCATAAGAACCATCACAGGCAAGATATTCTGCCAACCCTCAGGTCCTCATGAGAAATGAGTGGGAGAAACGACTATGGACAGAAGACAGAAGCAAACAGACAACACACCATGGGGACTGACTGCCTGTTTTGTGTTATAATCCCAGGCTAAACAGTGCTGTGCTGTCTCATCTGGGAGCTATGGAGTAAGACCACACAACAAATAGGTACGGGGGCAGGCAGCAGCAGGTGCTATGTGAGCCATGTCTTCTCCCAGGCGACAGCAGACTGAGCCACCAAGGCAGTGCTCATGGTATGAACAGCCCCTCTGCTGCAGACTGAGAGTTGTGTTTGGAGCAGAGAGCAGCGCACATCCTCCCTCAGGCCCTGCCTCTCACTTGGTCTCTTGTCACTCCCTGGTCCTCTCTGGCTCCTGTGAACTTCTTCAAGTTTCTCCAACCACAGGGCTAGCTCTCACTGCTAGGCCTTGGAACACACTGCTCTATCTGCCGGTACCTCACTTCCCTTCCCTACCCAAACCCCAGCACTCCCTCTTACCCTGGCTGATTTGTGATATCCACCAAGTCACAAGCTGTACATGCCACCTTTTGTGGAATTCCTCCTTTCATTCCTCCTAACCCCAGAAGTGGGGAGACAACACTGGAGCTGTGTCTTAACAGTGAGCTGACAGGCTCTATGCTCCACAGCAGAGTGCTTCCCTGTCACAGTATTGTCACAGTCTGCACCACTTCTACTTGCTCACCTGCCTGCCTGAGCCATGACTGTCTTGCTCAGAGCTCCACCCCTAGTGACTGAGAGGATCCTAGACAGTGCCTAGCACATAGGTGTTCAGTACATAGTGACAACTATGGGAAGAGGGAAGGGCTCGACTGAAAGACAATCTGCGCTAAGCACACTTCTTAGCTGTAGGAGTTATTTATGTGTTCCATTCCTAAAGTTACCCACAGAACTCTCAAATCTGATGATTGTGCTGAAACATGGCAGCAGGCATGGGTAGCAAAGGGCTTTTGCGGGGCAGGGCTTTTGGGACGCAGGGGGTGAGTCTCTGCCCCATGTAAGAAGAGACAAGAGAGGATGTCCAGCTTCACAGATAATGATGGACTTCTGTTGAACAAGCATTTATCAGCACTGTGTGTCTGCTCACACTGCACTACACACTGAGGGCACAATGAAGGAGCTTCCATCCTCAAGGAGCTGCAAACTGAAAGAGGGAGGCGACTCAAAAATTGTAAACAACATGATGAGTGTGATGGGAAGTGCAGGCCAGACTCAGTTGCAGAGCACAAGCTGATGCCTGCGTCGGACACCCACGGAGAGCAGAAGGGAGGTAGGTCACCTCCCAGCGGAGGTGCAAGTGGGGGGTCCTCTAGGCAGTGGGAAGAGCTTGTGCAAAGACACAGATGAGATGGAGCGTGGCGCACTGAAGGAGATGAAGCCGTCTGTCCTAACAGAAGCTTGGACTACCCATGGGAAAGAACCAACAGAAGACAAGGTCCCAGAAGAGCTCTGGATGCCATGTCAGCATATGTTTGTGTTTACTCTGAAACTAATGGTAATTCATTGGAAGAAATCATCCAAGACAGGACGTCATCAGATCTGTAGAAAGGTTACTCTAGCTGCAGTTTTTTTTTTAACAGGAGTTGCCTGTAGTCCCACAATCTGCTAGAGAACTCTTATTGACCAATTCAGATATTTACTGAGCACCCTGCCATTCAAAGTACCACTTTGGGCATCACAGTGATTCAGAGATAAATTGGACATGGATCCTCCCTTTCAGAAACTTATAGTCCAGCAGGAAAAATACAACACTTTCACAAAGTTCAAATGACCATTCATGTTTCATATGAGTTGCAAGGAAGAATTTAACAAGTGAGATTACTGCCTTTGACAATTTTTTATAAGAGAAATATTAAAAGCTTACGACAGTCATAAATTTTATGCAAAGCTTGTAAAGTGAGAAAAGATTACATAATTTTGACACTTTGTTCTTAATTATTAATAATCAACATGTAACTCTAGATCTGGCATAATTCCTTAAGGTATACACAAGCACCTTAACTTCAGGTGACCTCTGAACCAGAAGCATCTGAACAACTTAGATTATGTTAACCAAATGGCTTCAAAGCCCTGTAAAGTTACTGCAGAAGCATTCATTTGACTGTGCAAAGGGGTGTCACACAAATTCAAACACAAATATAGTTTTTCTCTACCAGTTGGGAATTCTAACTACTGTTACAATAAAATTCTATCTTACGTAGTGAGTCCTACTTACCCATAGACAAGCAGATTCTTCTCCACCCTGAAACATTCACTCCTTGCATAGCCCTGTGACTTATCCTGGGGACGCCGTGGCTTTGCACAGGGCTTTTCTTCAGAATCACTTTCCAAGTCTGAGAACTCCATCAGCTCATCTTCCTTCACTGCACTGTAGAGCCTGGTCTGCTTTCTCACTCTTGGAGTATCAATAACCAGGTTGTTCTAATAATAAAAGAGGAGATACATTTGACATTTCTCAAAGAGTGGCTCTTGGTTTAGATCAGATAGGTGTTCGAATGGGACTTCTTACTCACCCTCCCATTTAAGGCATCAATATCCAATTCAGCCTTCTTAGCCCACTTTTGCCAGAAATTTGGATCATCCAAGGAAATATCTGTCCTATTTCCAGATGCAACAAAACTGGCCTAAAGAGAAAAAAGAAACGCATTACTTTGAGAGGCCTTTCTCAGAAGCAGAATGTAAAGCAGCTTTTGTTTATGTATTTGCTCCGATATTGTGCATTCCTCCACTTATGCCAGACACTACAGTAGATGGGACTAGAATGACAGACTGGCCCTCAGGCAGCTCACTGACCAGGGCCTGAGACCAAACCAAGAATTACACTGCAGAGTGATAAATGATAGGGAGCAAGTGTATAGACCAGTGCAAGTGATATACAGAGGAGGGGCCCCTAACCTGGTTCAGGCAGGGTGTTGCTGGAAACCGAAAAGAAAAGTCTCTTCCATAAAATGATGCCTGAACCATTCTAAAACATTTATAAAACAGGAAAGCATGTGGAAATGTTCACAGCAGAGCATGTGCCAAGGCACAGAGAGTAAAGGGGATAAGGGTAGTCAGGGAAGAAGAGCCAGAGGTCGAGCTGGTGAGGGAGAGAGAAGCCAGGTCAAGCAGTGTCTGTATATGTTAACAGAGTTAACAGAGTTTGAACTCTATCCCGAAGGAACCAGGAACTATTTGAAAATAGGAATAATCTCATTATGGACACAATCATAACCAGAGTCACAAGTTGGAAAGGTCATACCAATGCTTGGAGCATGGAGGTCAGAACACAGCAGAAGAAGCCACTGTAATAATTTACAGAAGAAATAACAAAATGGAGAAAAGAAGGTGGTTTAGAAACATATTCTTTAGGCCAGGCATGGTGGCTCACACCTGTAATCCCAGCACTTTGGGAGGCCGAGGTGGGTAGATGGCTTGAGGTCAGGAGTTTGAGACCAGCCTGGCTAACATGGTGAAACCCTGTCTCTACAAAAAATGCAAAAATTAGCCAGGCATGGTGGTGCACACCTGTAATCCCAGCTACTCGGGAAGCTGAGGCAAGAGAATTGCTTGAACCCAGGAGGTGGAGGTTGCAGTGAGCCGAGATTGCGCCACTACACTCCAACCTGGGCAACAGAGCAAGACTCTGTCAAAAAAAAAAAAGAAACATATTCTTTAAAAGGTAAAATTATTGGGAAGCTGAAGGTGGAAGGTCACTTGAGCCATGTGTTCAAGTCTGGCCTGGGCAACATAGTGAGATATCATCCCAAAAATAAAATAAAACAAAAGGCAAAATCAATGGAGTCAGAATCTGGGTACAAGTGAAATATGAAAGAAGCGGAAGCCAGAAAAACCTCAGCATCCATCTCAGGCATCTGAATGATGTCAGTCAGGTGGACAAACAGAGATAGGGGCAGGAGGAGAGACAGGGGTGATAAGTTTGGCTGTGCACATATTGAATACACAGTGCCTGTGAGCTCTGAGAAAATAATCTGACACAAGGCTGAAAGATGTAAAGGAGAAGATGTGGGTCTCAAAACCCACAGGAGAAGAGCCTTTCCAGATTGGAGCGGCTAGGACAACTGGATAGCCACATGCAAAACGAACGTTGGACCCCTACCTCACACCATACACAAAACTCTATCCAAATGGGATCACAGACCAAAATGTAAGAGTTAAAAACTATAAATCTTGGAATCTAAGTTACACTAGTGAATAACATTATGCTAACTGAATGAAGCCAGACACAAAAGATCATATAACATATGATTCCATTTATATGAACTGCCCACCGTCCAGAGTAGGCAAATCTGTAGAAAACATAAATCTTTGTGAGCTTGGGTTTGACAATGCACTAAAAACACAAGCGATAAAATAAATTTGGTAAACTGGGCTTCATTAAAATTATATGCTATTAAGAAGAGAGTAGGAGAAAATATCTGCAATCATATTAATACAGAACCTTCATACAGAACATATTTTAAGTCTGAAACATTAATAAAAAGAAACTCAAAAAATGAACAAAGAACTTGAATAGAATTTTTTCCAAAGATGATCTACATCTGGCCAATAAGCACATGAAAAGATGCTCAATATCATCAGAGAAATGCAAATAAAAACCAGAGTGGGATATGACCTCACACCCATTAGGATGGCTAAAACTAAAAACTCAGATAATAAAAAGTATTGGGGAGGATATGGAGTTCCATTTCCTCCATATCCTCATCTATACTTCTTACTATCTGACTTGGAAGGAAACTAGTACAGTCACTTTACAAAACAGTCTGGCAGTTCCTCAAAGAGTCAAACATGAAGTTAACATAGGACCCAGCAATTCCACTCCTGGTATATACCCAAGAGAAATGAAAACAAGTCCATACAAAACCTTGTACACAAATATCCATAACAACATTCTTCATAATAGCCAATAGTAAAAACAACCCAGATGTCCATTATCAACAAGTAAAGGTGGTATACCCATACAATGGAATATTGTTCAGCAATAAAAAGGAGTGAACTACTGATCCATGCTACAACATGGATGAACCTCAAAAACATTATACTAAGTGAATGAAGTCAGACACAAAAGATCATACATCATATGATTCCATTTATATGAACTGTCCACTGTCCAGAGAAGGCAAATCTGTAGAAAAAGAAAGTAGATTCATGCTTTCCAGATATGGCAGACTGGTATGGATAGGAATGGGGAATGATTGCTAATGAGCATGAGGACCTTTCTGGGGTATATGGAAATGTTACAAACTTAGATTGTGGCAATATTTGCTCAAGTCTGTAATATGGTAAAGGCATTGAATTGTACACGAAAGACAGGTTAATTGTATGGTCAGTTAATTACATTTCAATAAAGTCATTAAAAATAAAAGTACAGAGTGGGCCTCACTGAGATGGCTAGAACAAAATGCAGGTGAAACCTCAGAAGGGGCTCTCAGGTGGAACCATCTGGTGTACTCAGTGGTGACCCTGGCCAGAGCAGCTCTGATAGAGAGGCAGGGAACAGGTGCAAGCTGGAAGCTGAAAAAGCTGAAAAATAAGTAGAAAGGGAGACAGTAGAGGCTGCAGTAGATTACGTTTGTGTGGATTTTAGCTCTGAAGAGTTTATGTATGGAGATTTAGCTAAAGAAGAAAATAGAGAAGAGGTGTTTTTAAAGGAGTGACTTGATCATTCTTATAGGCTGTTTCAAAAACCAGGATCTGGGGAGAGAAGGAAGATGCCAACGGAGCAGGATCTCAGAAGTGGAGACAATAGAGTCAAGAACACAAGTGAGCGATTAGCCTCAGGAGCTGGGAAGCAGATACAAGGATGACAAGGTGAGGGCAAATACCAGTGGCAGGTACACAGAAGATAAACCAAAGCATAAAGAAAGCTTCATGTGCCAGGGGTTCCACAGGGAGTTAATGATTAATTTGATTAATTCCCAATGCATCTTGTAAGCACTTTTACAAGGTACTTTTCACATGAACTCTGTCATGCTTCTATGGAAAACCTGGCCTCTTTAGATCGATTCACACCTTAGCAAATGTGGAACCTTTCCCTTCTGACTCAATGGTAATGGTGTGGGTTCGACGTAGGAGGATCTGATCAATATCTTCTTCACAGAATTTAGACCCTTCATCCTCCTCATCCATGAGTGCACCATAGGCCCCTTTTCGTAGAAGATCCTCTATTTCTTTCTTGGAAAGCTGTTGTACCTGTTTTAGAGAAATATTTAAAATACTCAAAATAATTTAAAATTAAGAGGTTTGCAGACTAAACAAATGCTGCATTTTTCTCAAAGAGAGTAAACCTAAATTATAACAAAGGAAAGTGTTACAAAATACACTTAAAATATTGAGGTCGAAAAATAATCAAAGGCTGAGTAATTTCTTACTATTAGTTAAATAAAGGAAAGTGCCAGAATAAATAAATGGTTTGGGCAAGGGTGGTTTTACCCCATTGGTAGCATTTTCTCTTCCACTCATAGACTGTAGCACAGCTTTATCCAGGCCCAGTTTCAAACTAGCCTTGTCGAACATTTCCCTTTCATAGGAATTTCTTGTAATCAGCCTGTAGATTTTCACAGATTTGCTCTGTCCTATTCTATGACATCTAGCCTGAGCCTGGAAGAAAAATGAAATTAATAGTTACTGCAATGAACCTAATGTTTCTGTCTCCCCACCAAATTCATATGCTGAAACCCTCATTCCAATGTGATGGTATTTGGAGGTGGCGCCTTAGGGAAGTAATTAGGTCATGAAGGTGGAGTCCTCACGAACAGGATTACTGCTCATATAAAGAGGCGAGAGAGCTGGCTCTCTTTAAGCTGGGTGAGGACACAGCAAGATGATAACTGTCCATAAACCAGGAAGAGGGCCCTCACCAAGAACCTGACTCTGCTGGCACTCTGATTTTGGACTTCCAACCTCCAGAACTGTGAGAAATAAATGTCTGTTGTTTAAGCCACCCAATTTATGGTATTTTGTTAAGGAGACCTGAGCTAAGACGGCTACCAAAGAATGACAAGACTCATCTGCCAGTTCTAAGACCCTATCTATGTGCCAATAAATAGAGGTGCAGTTTAGAAGAAGGTTAAAACTAAAAAATTTCTTCTCACATTATTAATCAACAGATTACTAGTTGGTTATTTGCTCTGAATCATAGGACACAGCCTGAGTGACGACGCAACATTAATTTATGGGTCTGACTGGTACTCTCTGTCATAGTAAGCAGAATGACTTCCTTTTTAAAGGCATCAGGACTTTCTTGTGCATTTACCTGGAGGTCATTTTGGGGATTCCAGTCTGAATCAAAGATGATGCAGGTATCAGCAGCAGTGAGGTTAATGCCTAAACCTCCTGCCCTTGTACACAGGAGGAAAACAAACCTATCAGAATCAGGTTTGGAGAATCTGTCGATAGCTGCCTGGCGGAGGTTGCCTCTTACTCGGCCGTCGATCCTTTCATATGGGTACCTAGAAAACATCAGTGTGAACAAGGAGGCCTGACGCATAGCGACAACATACTTGCTCCTTTTTTTAATTTTTAATTATTACAATATGGAATATATATTAAAAAGACTAATATGACTTAACAGAACTAATCTCAGAGCAAATAGGGTTTATTGGCGTTTTTTATATAATTGATTGAATGACCAAAGATTAAATTTTATTTTACTTCCTCTCCAGGGAAATAGTTAAATTCTAAAAACAGCTGACACCTATAACAGTAAGATAACAAATAATTTCAATTTTAAGTAAGAACTATTCTCCCCTACTCAAATAAAGGCAATGGGGAAATAAAATTGCCTAAAAAAGTATGCAGTGTCCTCCTGTAGTCATCATATAAAATAATCATCATGTACATCTATAGTTTTAAAAATGACATGTGATGCACTTCCCCCATTCTAGCCCCTTTATCATAGATTCCACTTTTAGGTGGACTGCTTGGACCCCTGGGAAGGTAATTTTAGATTTCCTTTTTATTATTCTGATATGGTGGTCCTCACCGTCTTTGAATGAGGTAGTCTTCCAGTATGTCCAAGCAGCGCACCATCTGGGAAAAGATAAGCACCCTGTGGCCACCAGCCTTCAGTTTTGGCAGCAGCTTGTCAATCAGCACTAGCTTGCCAGCAGCCTGGATCATTGCCTGGAGCTGAAAATCTGGAGACTCTGCATTGTGTGTTTCTTTAAACTCTTCCAAAATTTTCTCTTCAGCACCTGCAGAGATTGGACAGCATAACGTGAATACTGTAAAAGGTTTTTATTACTAAAAACAATGCACTTGCTTTCAAAACCCATTGCAAACTGTAGGAACCAGAACACCAAACTCCTGCTTATGAACAAGAATCCATCCACTTACTCATAGTTGGGTCTATACAAAACTGTGGATGTACAAAAGGGGTAAAAGTTTTAAGCACAACACATTGAGGCATTCAGGGGGAAAACCACATTTTTCAACAAACAAATGTTTGCTGTCTGTAAAAACGGAATTTCAACAACAGACTGTCAAGCCAGAAGTGGCAGAAACAAGCCAAGGGCCAGATACCTACAGAAAATTTGGAACCTAAATTGCTAAAGAAATGAAGAAATGTTTACTAGCTGAACATAAACACAAACAACAAAATCTGTTCCGAAATGAAAAAACAAAGGAATAGAGTCCTAACAATTACAGCGTAAGAGCAATAGTAGTTTGGGTCTATAATTGCATATTAATATAGGCAAAGGAACTACAAAAAGAGGAATTTATTTCCAGGACAATTTCCTGGAATATTTGTGGGGGACCTAAGCATACAACTATTGTAATCTCTAAATCTCCCTCCACATTCATTCCCATCTGGTAATTTTTCCTAAGATACAAAAATTCTATCTTGAACTATCCAAATCTTTTAAAATTAAAAACAAACAAACCTTTAAGTGTTTGACATAAGACTTCTATGCTTAAACCCTTCTTTTCCCCCACATGGATTTTTGCTGGTCCAAAGACTTGGGTACATTGGAAAGAGGCCTCAAGAAGATGACATCTTCCTAAGGAAAGATGGCCCATGACATCCCTGCCTGACACACGCTTATTTAGGAAGCAGCAGGCTAAGCTTCCTTCAACTGCTTAGGTGGCTTAACTAGAATTACGCAGCATTGGTCTGACCTCCTCCTGCCTCTGGGGTTAATCAGGACATAGCTGTTGTGTTTAGCTCTTTTCCCTGAAGGTGGAGGATGTGCTCAACTATTCTTCAGAAAATACAAACACACACATTCATCTTAATGGGATTGTTTCCTAGACTTTAACTGTGCCAGAAACTTAAAACTACCTTCCTACCACTGGTTTTTAACATGTGAACTAACTATACACAAGATGGGGATACATAAACCTCAAAGAGGCTTTAAAGGTTGGGTCAGTGGGACAGACAACCACAGCCTCTCACATGGTACTGCTGCAACAAGCACAGATGTAACAAAAGTGCAATCCTATCTGTACTTTAAGGCTGCATGTAGAAATTACCTTATGACATGGTCAAATGCAGAAATACAGCCTATTAATTATTAATCAACAAATAATTTACTGAGAACAGATTAAAGTCAGTTAATGTCTTCCCAAGCACTAAGGCCTTCCACAAAATACACTGACTTCTTATGAAGGCAGACTGGCCCTCACTCCTTTTTCCAAGTGAATGAAAAGCTAATATTCAGAATGTTTCTTTAAGTATGGAAAATAAATGCAAGAGTAAAGAGCAAAATGCTGTTTAAGGGCACTAGCAAGAATGTTCTTGAATAAAGTTAAATATTTTTTAAAACATGAAATTTAGAAACCCAGCTTCTAGATTCAGGACAAGCCCCTCAAGAGACAGGGGAAACAGATTTAAGTGCACGTTACATTAGGTATCTTTCAAGTGTATTCTTGTTGTACAATACATCATAAGCTCTGAAATTCAGAATAAGTTTTACTCTTATGACATTTGGTTAATTATTTTTTGTCCATACTAAGTTAAAATCCACAATATAAAATATAGTATTTTAGCCATTTAAAACAAATTAATGGCCAACGAATATTTTTCAAAAAGCAAATAATCATTTCGACAAAATAAACATCAGATATTTGGGTTTCAGTTAAATTTTTTTAACAAATAATTCAGTCAAATTTGCAGAGAATTTTAATTTTAAATTTATTCAGAGATTAAAAAAATAATTTTTGCCTTTTTTATACTATCAAAAAGAATAGTCAGAAAAAAAATGCATTCTTTCTTACCTGACAAAAGCTACTTCTGAATTAATTAATTCAGCTCTCTGTTATGAATTCAGGTTCTTACAACTGGCAGCCAGTTTGTACTAATAATATTTCATTTAAAAACAGTATCAGCAAACACCTTTCCTATATGATTGTCTTGACATTTTATTGTGGCAACATTGAAGGAAAGAGGGTGGGAAGAGTGTTGGGGAGGAAAGCAACTGCTCCCTTGTGATATCACAGCTAAATTTTCAAGATTACAAATTAATGTTTGATACCCAATTTGTAAACATCAATCCAAAAATTAACTGGAAATAGGTCATGCCAACCCAAAACACTTTGTTGGTTCCGTCCTAAATTAATGTATGGCTGGCACTACACTGGAAAGTGTGTATATCAAAGACAACTTGAAACAAGTGTGCATTCACTTACAGCTTGAAGTCTTTTCACTTCAACAGATGGTCACTGTCGGGACAGTAACTGCAATGTCCTCTAGCTATATAAAAGCCACGAACAAACAAGAAAATATTTTGTTCTTGACGATTACCAGAAAAAAAAAGTTACTATTTTCTCTCTGAAATTCACTCCATCACGTAAGCCTCATTCGTGTTTTCTTTTTGCCCACTCTTCCTCTACACGCCTCCTGCCTCAAACAATAACCAGCAACAACTCTTAAGTCAGCTCTAACCAGCAGGGTACCTTGGACATGTTTTCAACATTATTCTTAACTTCACATTGCAAAACCTAAAAATTGGAAATTCCATTGAAATAAAGCTTGAGCTAATAACTCATACATAAGCTTTCAACTCATACATATAAAATTGCTTCTATTTTTCATAATCCTGGAAATGTGTTTTGTTGAATGTTGATTGAGGCTTCTTTACTCTGCCACAACCAATTCAAATTTCAATGTAATCTCCCAAATTAAAGAATTTCCTTTTAAATGCTGGATATATGTTTTTACTCCAGACTGTGGATGAGAATGAACAGTACGGGCCCTGGAGCAACCTCTACACAATACAATGTCTGCGTAAGTTATCTGGGCAGCTGCGTGCGCTTAGTTTGTATGTTATCTACACTTTTTCACTATAACTTCCCCAAATTTAGGGACAAAGACACCTGCTTAACAGACACTTCTTGTCAGGACAGAAAAGCTGACCTCAAGGTGTGACCAATTAGGACAACTGCCACATCTGCCAAGCCTTAGGGAGTCCTAAGAGGCTCCTCGCGAACAAATATGCTATACAGGATGACCCTGGAAAGCAATCATCAAAGGAAGAGACACACCAGCTGTGTTTTGGGGGAAAACAACCCACAATGTTCAATGCATATAATTAACATATGACCAAACAGGGTAAACTTGATGGAACTGGGGGTGTCAATCTAACTACCATTGCTGAGATCTCCCCTTTCACACACATCCTGCTGGTAGCATTCAAACCCTTTTGTATCTCCTTTTCTTTTCTTTCCCCTTGGAGGCTATTATTTATTTTCTTTTGTACCAGCTATTAAATGCAAACACATGTATGTGCACAGTGCATGCACACACGTGTCCTCATCTCGCTCCATCAGTTGCCCTAAGCTCTGTCTCGCCAACTCAAGACCTGGCTAGTTAACACTCACCGTAACGGCTGCACAAGCTTCTAAACATACTGTGATTAGCAGATTGGCAGTATCAGATACATAATCATCACACATGATACTCTCTTTAGAAGACAAAACTAAAAGCACAAAAAGAAATTCACTGGCCAGGTGCAGTGGCTCACACCTGTAATCCCAGCACTTTGGGAGGCTGAGGTAGGCAGATCACTTGAGCTCAGGAGTTCGATACCAGCCTGGGCAACATGGAGAAACCCCGTCTCTACAAAAAATACAAAAAAAATTAGCTGGGCGTTGTGGCGCATGCCTGTAGTCCCAGCTACTCAGGAGGCTGAGGTGGGAGGGATGCTTGAGCCTGGGAGGTCGAGGCTGCAGTGAGCCGAGATCGTGCCACCGCACTACAGCCTGGGCGCCAGAGTGAGAACCTATCTCAAGAAAAAAAAACTGTGTATATATATATAAAAAAGAAATTCACTGATTCGTCGCATCACACCAATGATCCCAGGTGCAACACTCTAAGACTATCTTCCAGGAGTGGACTACTCTGTCCATTAGTAACGGAGACTTCTGAATCTAGGGTGGCCGATGAGTTACACGTTATTAAAAGGGGAAAGATTAGAAATTCTTTAAATTAGCTGTCCTTGAACATAAACTGTGATAAAGACAGACCAGGTTGTGCTCCCTTTTCCTTGGAAAGGAATCTAATTGCACTGCTGGCCAACTATCATCGTGTACAAGTCTCCCAAATTAGCCTGCCACCACCTTTCTTTAACCCACATTAACTTCTACCCAGAATACAATAGCCTCTGAGCTGGTTCTTCTGCTTGTCTGTCTTTCCTCCTCCCATCCTTTTTATGCAGTGTTGCCTGACGCATCACCCTGAATCATATTTCTAATCAATGCTCAGCTCAAACACTAGTCATGGTTCTTCACTGCCTGCAGAGTAGAGTGGAGGTTCCATGCACTAGCCTTTAAGGAATTCTGCAGCAGGATCCAAGCATGTCTAAGGTGCATTTCTTATGTGTGCCTTTTACTTTGGGAAAGTTCCTCATTGTTTTCCTGACCCCCTCTCTTTGCTTGTATCGTTACTTCAGCCTAAACATCTTTTCTTTTTCTAACTCTGCCTCGCAAAATCCTTTCTACCCCTGCAGACTTGCCTAAAAAGACCATCTCCTTCTAAAGACTCCCCCAATCTCAATCCCTCAGCTAACTGAAGACTGCTTGTGGCGAATGCTCCCTTCTTATTTACCTTTGCATTCTCCAGAGTATCTTATACAACATAAGCATGAAATATTTACTACCTTAATGATTTCCAAAAATACATAATAAAGGTTTTAAGCCATGAGTTACATAACACTATGAATTTAGTTAAGAAAAGAGGAGGGCCATAAATTATCAAAGCTTTAAGTTAATTTTTTTGTTCTCAGAGGATAGAGGTGCTAGATGACTCTGGACTGAGAGGAAGATGAGGACATTTGCTATCAAAGGCTTGAGACAGCTGATAGCTGTCTGCTCACACCTAAGTTCCTCTTTAACATCTCTGATTTAAATACACACACCCCAAGAAAACCTCCATTAGGGGCTCATTTCTCTTTGGCTGTTAGCACTTCAGATGACTTCTAGCCCTGGAACACTAACGCCTCTTTTCAAGCACAGGGAGGTCAGGAGAAAGGCAAGGTGAGATTCCACTTCAGGGATTGCTGGGGCAATGGTCACTCACCTTCAGCAACCACAGAAGGAGGCATCACAGAAAGTGGGAAGCTGGTGAAACCCATGCTGAGTGGACAGGAGACAGGAATGACTATACACCATGAAATCCCCAGTCTGGGGGCAGAAAGGGATTTCTGGTGCTTCAATCGTCACTTAAGCAAGTTCGCGAGCAGGGCAGCCTTACCATTGATAAGGTACGGATGATTGCAGCACTTCCGCAATTCCATCATAGTGTTTAATAGGTTAGGTACGTTAGCTTGACCACCGCCTTTGGAAAGAAATGTGAAATTCTTCTCAAGGATGGCTCGGTAATATTTCTTCTGAATGTTTGTTAGCTCAACTTCAATAATAGTTTCTTCTTTGGGGGCCAAGTTCTTTTCTACATCCTCTTTGAGACGTCTCAACATCATTGGCTTTAGAATAGCTTGAAGTTTTTGCACCTAAAAAAGGACCTTAAGTAAATACTAGTGTCATGATTTGCTTGCAAGTTAAAACATATTTTAACATGAAACATCAGGATTATCTCATTCATTAAACATCCATTTTCATTTTTCAAAGCCCAGTGAGAGTATGAAGGAGCTCATCTCTCAGCTTTCATAAGAGCAGTGCATGAAGGTTGCATAATTTTATGTCAAATGAACTATTTCACCCATCCAGGAGCCCTGAACAGCCAGAAGGCTTGAAAAGTACCCAGCAGGAGAAATCCAACTGATTCATGTAGCTTTCCCTTCTGTTTGTCCTAAGCCATAGGGAAGATAGAGAAGAGGGACAAGACAATGTCATGGCAATGCTCTGTTTCTATTCTCTTCCTTTCTAGGGAGAGCTAAAGAATGAGAGGAAGTGAGCCAGGAGCAATCTAGTCCCTGCACTAAGGAGCCAGCAGAGACGTCTCTCCCTGGTTCTCTTTTCTATTGATTGGCAATAGAACTGAGTAATCCATACAGTTTTTATTTTAGAAAAGAAAAACAAAACAGACCTTACTCTGAACTGAGCTAACAGGTTTTAGACAGTAAGTCAGTGGAGGGGGCACGTAAAAACCAAGATTTCAAGTCTATCTCCGTTATTTATTTCAAATACAGCACACAAATTATAACTAATGCCCACATAACTCTTACAGCATATAAAATAGCCAAGCACTTTTCTTTTCTTTTCCTTTTTTTTGAGATGAAGTCTCACTGTGTCACCCAGGCTGGAGTGCAGTGGTGCAATCTTGGCTCACTGCAACCTCTGCCTCCCGGGTTCAAGTGATTCTCCTGCCTCAGCGTCCAGAGTAGCTGGGGCTACAGGCGTGTTCCACCACGCCCGGCTAATTTTTGTATTTTTTTTAGTAGAGATGGGTTTTCACCATATTGGCCAGGCTGGTCTCAAACTCCTGACCTCGTGATCCGCCTGCCTCAGCCTCTCAAAGTGCTGGGATTACAGGCGTAAGCCACCGCGCCTGGCCCAAGCACTTTTTATACACAATGCTTCATTTACTTCTCACAGAAATACTGTGCAGTGGTTATGCCCTAAGTTTCTAAAGTGAAAATACGTAGGCTTGAAGAAGTAAGCGGTGTGGCTGAGTACAGATGCTTCACAAAGAACAGAGACTCAAAACTGCAGCAGGCAAACAGGCCTACCAACGTCAGTGGCGTCTGACATCATCCCCAAAATTACACATACCTAGCAAAACTACCAACCTGCACAGCACAGCTATCTCTGAAAATTACATCAACAGGTATGTAACCTCTCTATAAATCTCAACAGCCCTTCACAAGAGCAAAAAGACAAACAAATAAAGAAGAAAACCTTTATGATGATGACCTGGAAAGTCCAAGGAAAGGGTATCTAAGGTTCTGTGTACTAGGTGGGAAAAACTGTAATATAATCACACTTTAAAATAACTTAATACTTTGCCATTTCATGGGCTAATCTTCAATTTTATAACTGAAATACAAAGTGGAGCTGATAAATACCTGCTCTTCTGTTTTTAGATCACCAAATTCTTGCATAAATGTGGTTTCTGAAGGGAAGCGACTTGGTTCCAAGAAATGAAGCAAGCTGAAGAGTTCTTCCACAGTGTTCTGGAGTGGGGTTCCCGTCAGCAGCACTTTGTGTTCCTGAGGTAACACAAGGAAAGCCACTAACCAAATTGTAACAAAAACACTTTCTTAAAACCAGAGCCTCTCACTAGACACCCATTGTTCTACTCCTACTCATCTACCCTATGCAAAGTATAGGAATCAGGCATGAAAACAGAGGTATTAGAACACGATTTCTGTGTCAGGTAGACAGATCCATGGACAGTCCTCTCCAGAACTCTACAGGGTCCTTAAATGTGTCTTGCCATTTTGTTTCTTCCTGGGGTTATAGGTCAGTATTTTAGTATCACGGCTTTTTAAGTCCCCCAAGTCTCAATGCTTTTATCCCCACCAGTTAAGTTTTTTTCCTAGAATCCCTAGACGCAGATGAAACATGCATGCTTCTTTCTGCTCTCTACATCAACAGTGCTCTCATCTCTCCATCTGCTTCCTGCATGACTCACTTCATAGAGACAAAAGAAGTTCTACATGCAACAGCATATGAAAAACTATTTTGTTCTGCAAAAATTTCCAACTAGCAAAGAGGTCAGCTTGGTTGTAAATACCACAATCACTTTTTTTTAATCAGATGCTATTTATAAATTTGTCTCTTTGAACCAAGTTAGGTATTTCTTTAATTAATTCTTCCTGTTTACGAACTCTTTCCCCAGCTTTCCTCATGCAGTTATACCCTGTCTTCCTATTTTCATATATGCAATACAGAAGAGCTGTTTTACAATGGCCAGTCTTAACAATAGTGAGATATTAATCTTAAGAACCCTATTATTTTCTACTTTGGCCATTTGGTACACAGCACAGCTAACAAAACTATTTCAGAAAGTAATTATACATCCCAGTAGTTGAGAAAGCAATATTCTGACTTAATTTGGAATCTGACAAGTCTCGGTTGCCAAGCAGAGTATACGCTCAGTAAATACTAGATGAATGAGGTAAGAACATGCTAATTTTCTTAATATCTACCATGTCATATCTGTTAATGAAGCTCTTTGAAAGTAGGTGAAGGAGTTCAATATGCTTGTATTCCTCCTTCTCTTCCCTTTGAATAAAGTCTCTGAGGAAGTTTCATGGACGACCATCATCTTCAGACTCAGTAAATTCATAAACAGTAAGGATCAATCAATCAATTTTTTTCTAAAGTATCACCACACTTGTGGATAGCCTGGGCCACAATCGCTGACATACCCAAGTCCTGGATTACTGTATGCAAGAACTTTTTTTTTTAAGTCCCATCACATATTCAGGAAAGAGTTACTGCAGTAGTTGAGCTGTATTGATATCGTGTCTCCCAGTTTTTTCATATCCTTTATTACGACATTAAATTAAATCTTGACTGCTTAACCAAATATTTTAAAAGTTAAAGCCTTTTTAACTTATTAATTTCAAAATAAACTTATTCGAAAAAAGGAAAGAACTCCTTTCTTTTTTTTTTTTTATTATACTTTAAGTTTTAGGGTACATGTGTACATTGTGCAGGTTAGTTACATATGTATACATGTGCCATGCTGGTGCGCTGCACCCACTAACTCGTCATCTAGCATTAGGAACTCCTTTCTTATGCAGCTTCCCTTCAATTAGTTACACCAAATGATTATACACAAAATCCTTTCATACAGTTACCTACAAATAGTGGAATAAAACTAGGTATCAATTTGAAAGTGGGTAACAATTAAAAAATACACGATTACTATGCACAGTCTCACAAAACATCAGGTAAGAAACTCAGGCGATGGAGCTTATCACCTCCACCTATGCTAGCAGATGTGCTTTTGCCTTGACAACGTTACCATTCTTTTTAGCTCTGATGAAGTGATGTCCATTTAATTTCATTTTAAGCAGACTCTTTTGTGTTAGGTTTCCTGACAATGAAAGAGATACTAGAATCAATGAAGAACTACCATGATCTCCACAGCATCCCCTCCTCGTGGATGGGGGACAACGAGATGGTTGCTTTCCCAGAGCTCCTGTGGAGGACTGTGAAGATGGTGACTGCCCCTCAATGTATCATCTTCACAAACATTTCCTTGGTGTCTGCAGAGCTGAAGACACTCATTGGTCGTCCTTTCTGGGAATGCACTTGGAGATAATCCCCATCAAGCGCATTTTCATCGCAACTGAGTCTAGTGCAGGTAACAGCAGTTCCCTATGGCCTGTGCCGTAGTTGGATATAGTTACTAACCACTATTTTGACTGTGACTTATTCTAGGAAAGAATAAAAAGTAGAAAGTGGCTAAGTTCTCAAGATGCTTATTTTAAGTAAGGATTTAAAGACCAGACAACGAGCTGTTCAGAATTGGACAAACATAATTATATTCTGAACAATAATGTGTTCCATCTTGAAAACATTTCTTCTCAAATAAAAATTCTTCATCATTAGAAAAATAAATATTTTGTTCATGTGCTAATCAGAGCTTCCCAGTTGGTGAGTCAAGGATGAGTACAGGTTATAAGTCCTTGGGGAAGGTCAGGACACCCAGGACTGGTGGTGTCCCGTGGCAGTGGGCAGCCTTCTCTTTTTACCTGAGTGTGGCATTCAACTACTATCATTTTCTATACGTGCCATTATGTGAAAAAGCTTAAGAACACTGCAATATGTAATAGGAAAATTATTTGGATAACAGATTCTAATCCATTTATCAAATGTTAGTATAAATAATAGAAAACTCTTTGAAATAGCCCAAAGATTGTGGGGGGCTGGGGGAGGGATAGCATTAGGAGAAATACCTAATGTAAATGATAAGTTGATGGGTGCAGCAAACCAACATGGCACATGTATACCTATGTAACAAACCTGCACATTCTGCATATGTACCCTAGAACTTAAATTAAAAAAAAAAATAGCCCAATGACAATCAGATTGTTTGATCTTGATGGAGTTAAATTAATGTGTACTCACCAATGAAATAATGTTTTACAGTAAGAATTTACTATCTGGGAACACATGAACTAATAATAGAACACAACTCAGATAAGTTCAGTCAGATGACTGTTTAAGCCTTCAGGAAATGGTGACATAACTGTCTCTTAGTAGAAAACTATGAAGGTGGATCCCTACTGAGAATATATATTTAGGTTATATCACAAGCATTAGTGTTTACCTGCAAATACAAGTTTACTTCATTTTAATGCTTAAGTATCACCTGGAGTGAACAAATACAAACACAGAGTTTCTCTTTTCCATATGCTTACCAAGGTCCCTGAGACTATTCACTGTTTCTAAGCGCTCTCACTTGTTTTGTGTATTGGCCACCAAATAATAGTCAACTGCTTTGAGACAGATCTTAGGATCGCTTTAATAATAATTCATTAGGAAGAAAAATGGGAAATCCCACCCTAAATAGGATAATTCAGTCAGACTTTTTCCTTTAAGCAAAACTAGATTTTGTTTGTTTTAAACTAAAAGCATAGCTGGCAATTCTAATCTCTTTAAGAATAAAATAAGCTGCTCTTTCAGAGAATCAGCTGCAACAAAAAGCTTTTAGGTGTTTTTTGGTAATACCAGTCTTCAGCTAAAAACATATGGCCATGAATATACAGAACACTCCTTCTCATCTCAAACTCTCAGTTAACAAAAGATCAAATTAGCCTGCAGAAATTAGCATTAAAAATACTTTGAAACCCTTTTTGTACTTCCGTGAAACTCATCAAATCATCCAAGGCATGCTAAATGACAGGAGCTTTGCTTTCCAAATGTACATTAAAAATAAAATATAAGTGATCATAACCACTATATAAACTATGGAGTGAAAAGAAGCCTGAGGATGACAGGTCATGTTGCAATTCCCACTAGGAAATCACACACAGCAGTATCAGACAGAAAATAAATCAAATCCTTCTACTCCTACGATATGTTATTCCATGATGCTCCTGCTGAAAAAAAAATCTAGAAAATCTAATCAGGAAGACCTGATCATCTCTTGGGAAGCTGGAAGACTATGGGATAAGTGTGGTGTAAAACTCCAGATCAAATCTGAGGCACTGTAATGCCCCAAACTTCTAAGCATCTGTGCGAACTAAACCAACCCCAGATATCCTACCCAACTCATTGAGAACTTGCATCTACAAGTCCTGCTGGCCACAGTATGGCAAAACCTATGAGCACTGAAAAATAACTGGACTATCATCACTGAAGTAAAGCTTGGCCCAACAGTTAATGAAATGGCAGTACAGGTTAAGTATCCCTTATCCAAAATTCTTGGGACCAGAGTGTTTCAGATTTCAGATATTTTTAGATTTTGGAATATCTGCATTTATACTTACGGGTTGAACATCCCAAATGAGAAAATCCAAAATCCAAAATGCTCCAATGAGCATTTCCTTTTAGCATTATGTGGGTACTCAAAACGTTTTGGATTCTGGGATTTTTGTATTTGGTATGATCAACCTGTATTTATGAACAAAGGGTAAAACAAATACTTGAAACTCACTTTAGTGAAACTATCATGATTACACTCTGCTATAATACAACTGTTTAACAGACACTAGCCAACAATGTAAGAATCCAAAAGGCAACAACTTTTGAATAACTGAAAGTGCCAGAGAATATATCACAATATTTGACAAGCTTTTCAAATACTGTTTACAGGCATCAAATTCTGAGCAACGGGACTATCAAGTCAGCAACAATTCTATTCAGGTTCAGTGCAATCACCAATATG
The DNA here is from genome assembly GCF_000001405.40 of Homo sapiens. NCBI lineage: Eukaryota > Metazoa > Chordata > Mammalia > Primates > Hominidae > Homo > Homo sapiens. Next base: position 60,824,025 of record NC_000008.11, on the reverse strand, counting down.
GTCACTGACCAAGTCCATCATCTTGAGTCCCTCCAACAGCTTGCAGTTCCTGTTCTTCAGCCTGTGGGCTTCATCAATGACTACACAGCGCCATGGAATATTCCGCAGCTCAGGACAATCAGTCAAAATCATCTCAAATGTAGTGATGATGGCATGAAACTTATAGGACCCCTTTATCACTCGACCCTATAAGAACAACTCTGAATTATTATTAAGCATTAATGGTTACATAAATAACTTTAAGGATGAATAAATAGCATAAAACATACGTATTTATCCCTTTGGAGATCTCTTTATTTTAGGTGACATACATTCTGTTTTCAAGTTATTTTGGCAGTTTTAAACGATATGGTAAAACAGAATTGGAAAACAAATGAGAAAACTGTCAGTAAATTTTGGATCTAATTTCCTAACAGAGCACATGCATCAATTACCACTAAGCGTACCCATTCTAGTCACACATTCACGTAGGACAGAATTTATAATAATTTCCCAAATCTAAAGATAAACACAGATTTCAATATTTTTTCTCCTTTAGTTATTTAATTGTAGGTCAGATTTTATACTTAGAACATGCACACACACATCTATCTATCTATCTATCTATCTATCTATCTATCTATCTATCTATATATAGCAAAAACATATATATAGCAAAGATCCTATTTACAGGACTTCCATTTACTACCCATAACATAAAACTATTTTAGTACATATTATTCTTCCTTATCATGTCATTTATAACACTTCACTGTTGATACACACTAATGGCATACAGGTAACTAGAGTAAGAAAAAAATTAAAGCAATTGCTACTAACAGCCAAAGCATAAATTCCTCCCTTGGGATGTGTTTCATTCAATGTGTCATATATTTCAAGGACTTTTTACATGCTTACTATTTTTCACTTCTAGCAATAGCATAATAAAATATTCTTTCTATTCACATTTAATATTACCAATTTTTGTTTAGTTTTCTCTTAGGCTTGCAAAATAAAACTAATTAACATATCAAAGCATTAAATGGATTTCAGTGATCATCCAAGGCAAAAAATTTCATTCCTTCTAATCTAATAATCAGAAAAACCAAAGCTATAAAAATGAAGAGCTGTTTTCATAGACACAGAAAGATAATACAAATGTAAATTGAGTCAGATATCTAAAGCAAATTTCTCAATTTGGCAAAATTTAGACCTTCCCAAGTCACCAAGACTTTGATTTTTTTTTAACACCTTAAAATGCACAGAGTAAGTACAAAGAATACAACCTGTGAAGGTTTACCTGGGGATCTTTGAAGTACATTTCATACAACTGAATGGTCCGACGACTAGCTTGACTCCCATGATACACAACCACGTTCAACTCTGTCCAGGTTCGGAATTCCCTTTCCCAGTTGGGGATTGTGGACAATGGGGCAATTACTAAAAAAGGGCCATGGATTCCTTTCAAATATATCTCATAGAGAAATGTAATGGACTGGATAGTTTTTCCCAAACCCATTTCATCTGCTAAAATGCAGTTTCGCCTTTAGGAGGAAAATGAAGTACAAAAGTTTAATGAGTATGGATATGACACACTGCTGTCATTTCACAAAATATATACCATTGTACCCACAAATGCATACCCAAAGGCTTTAGATGTTCTCTTAGATTCAACAAAATATATTTTCAAACAAAATTCTCAAAGAATAAAAATTATTTTTACACACTTATATCAATCTCTGTATTAATATTTATTAAATATTACATATATTTTCAATGCTTGTTTTTTGAAAAAGCTCTTATTAGAGTTAAAACATTAAGTTCTTTTTTATTATTTTCAATAACTAAAGGAAAGGAACTACAGATATATTTAAAAGTGAAGAAAAACTTGTTTTACATACATGTTGTACCAATTGAAAAGTAGCCAGTTTACTCCCTCCAACTGGTATTCCCTGAGTTTGTTATTGTTTTTATACTCCCTGGAACTCTCCGATTTCTTCCAATCATCAGCAGGAGGTCGCTCCTGTTTCAAATATAGTAAATCCCATTAGTGGTTTCCCAAAGACCACACCACTATGCTATTTTCAAATTAAATTCTCTACCATCAGCCAATTCTTACCACACGCTCTGTTTCCGGCTCCCTGGACATTAGTTTCTCAAACTCCTCGATCTTTGCTTGATCTATGTCCTGCCTCCGCTCCCACGTGCTGTCTTCATAAGGAAGTGAACACCACTTCACCAGATAGTGAGTCACAGGCTGGACCAGATTTAAATAAATCAGAATTGGATTCATTTGACCACATACATACATATACATATATATGTGTATATATATGTTTATACATATAGATATGTATGTGTGTATATATATGTTTATACATATATATGTATGTGTATATATATGTTTATACATATACATATGTATATATATGTTTATACATATGTATGTGTGTATATATGCTTATACATACACATAGGTGTATATACATGCTTATATATATACATATATACATATACATGTATATTTACATACACATTAAGGAAAAGCATGCTCTACTTCATTTATCAATAGACATTATCCCAGCATGAGTAAGTCTGAATTGACAGAAATTTAAAAACTATGGCCATAAACAGCTGTTCCTAGTTAAGAGTCTCAAGTCTAAACTGGAAACAGTATTATTGGGCATTATCAGAACAAATTAGCCTTTTATCAAAATCATTGGTAAGTGATGTTCGAAAGCCAAAAAGTATAAAGAAATAGCTAGCAAATAGCAAAGCTGAATTTGAGATTTTTTTTATCTGTACAAATCTTTCATCAGGAGTTTGATTCAGACTTACATGGTAAATCATCTTAGCATATTTCAATGTTTACATAATTGGCTGGTTTCTTAAAAAATGAGACATACGCTTAAATTTATTAGGATCTCTACCTTTTCCTTAAAAAGAGTGATACTGTTTGTGTCCAATCACATTAAAATAACATATTTGAGCTTTATAAGGGTGGAGGGCAAAATATTTCAGGTAATGCAGATCAACAGGATTTCCTTTGTCTTTCCTCTAGAAAACACTTGGGTTTGTTGACCTTCATTTCAGGACCAAGGAACACTGACCTAGTTGTGATGTGAAAAATATTTCCTGTACAATGTAAATATGCTATGAAACAATTTTTTGAAGTATAACTAAGGAAAATTAGAAAAGTAAAGATCATGTTACAGATATGGTCTTGGAAACATCATAGAGTGTCATGACACAGAGTTTGGAAGAAAATGAGAGTTCTTTGCAGACCCTCCCTAGAAAAGCAAGATCCAAACACTGTATATATAAAATTCAATTTACATGGAGAAGCCAGGAAGGACACAATTCATGGTGGGTGGGCACATCATTATCAAGACACAATACTCAGAAGTCACTACACTTGTCTTCATTCTTACTTCCCTATCAAATATCCCTTATAATCTTACAGAGTTTTGCAAAGCAAAATAAGAGTGTTGAGACTAGGATCTTTTAAGAGAAATAATGTCTATTAGCCTCTGTGTACCACATTAAATGAATTCATCAACTTCACTAATGATGCCCAATTCTAAATAACCTTAAACTCCATTCTGCCACAAGAGACACTCAATTATATAAGGATACTTTGTGCTACATGACAGATTTATACCAAAATGTACTGAATTCTTTATCATATTGTGGAATTGTGCAAAATGTCAATGTATTTCTTTCATATTGAAAATCAATTTTTTAAAAAAGTTCTCAGACTAAACATAAAACATATTTAGCACTATTATTAAGTCATAAAACTAATAATAAATCATTAAGTTTCAGTTAAATTTAGACCAAGTGTGTCACAGTCCAAGGCTCTGACCAAGACCAGGTCTAGGATTCTACCATCTTCTCTATAAACATGTATGGGTTGCCTGAATCACCACTTTGTAATACAAATGATCTCCTGTTACCTCTCCCCGGTCATCTGTGCTACGTGCAAAGTCCATTATCCGGTCAACCTCCACATAATCTGGATTAAAAAGCTCATCCTCAATCTACACCAAAGGGAAAAAAAAAAGTTAAAGGTTTACTTATTTCCTAAGATGAAATACTATTCCACTTTTCACCAAGCAATAATATTTTGGGTCACAGCAATATAAAACTTACATTTGGCAAATTCTATTATATTAATTGAAATGCTACAATTTAGCAAAATCACTCCCCATGAGGAAATCAGACTTCTCAGACTTCGTTAACTGGGTCTTTTAATTACCGTGTGAAACCTTTTACTGTGAGAGAATGTTTAAGAATATTTTAAATGAAGTGTGAAATTACAATTCACTAATGAGCAATCCAAAAGGCTTATGGCATGCGATGCATTTAGCATTCTCGAAACTACAGTTTGCAATGAAGAATCAGAGTCATGCAAAGTGTTACTTGGAATATTGTAACTCCTGGAGTTGTCCGATGCCTTATAGCATATCTACAAAATGTTATTCAAAAGCCAAATACACTGCAAGCAGCTAATTTCATATTTTAGCATGATCAGAGTTTATAATGTTTGGTAGTATTTGTCAACCAATATTAGTACCTCATTTAGAATCACAGTCTCATCATTAATCTGTTTTCTAATGATTTACATTGAATATAGTGTGTTTAGGCAAAAGTATTAAGGATAACGAAATGAAGCCTAAATAATTGGCTCATTTAACCAATATATTAAACAATCTTTACAAAAGTAAAGTAATACTGCTGCCTGCAAAGGTATCTCATATAAAACACTAGAATATGACTCAAAAAAAAGTTATAGGCTGGGCACAGTGACTCACGCCTGTAATCTCAGCACTTTGGGAGGCCAAGGCAGGCGGATCACGAGGTCAGGAGTTCAAGACCAGCCTGGCCAACATGGTGAAACCCCGTCTCTACTAAAAATACAAAAAATAAGCTGGGCATGATGGCAGGTGCCTGTAATCTCAGCTACTCGGTAGGCTGAGGCAGGAGAATCGCCTGAACCCGGGAGGCGGAGGTTGCAGTGAGCCGAGATCGCACCACTGCACTCCAGCCCAGGTGACAGAGGGCGACACTCCGTCTCAAAAAAAGAGTTATAGACTAAGCCATACCCAAAAGAAGTTAGGGTCAGACAAGTTTCAGATGTTAGAAAACAAAAGACACATTTTATTATGTGCACCTCTCAATTAACTTATCAATAACATAACTGCATTAAAATATTTTGCAAAAGGTAAACTAGAAGTCACTTAGACACCATTCTTATCCCTTGAATTGCAGGTGGAAAAGATAAGCAGTTCAGTCATCATCTGCTCAAGAACAACAAACTTTCTCTGGCTATTCGGCCCTCTTAAAACACCCAGTTGGGAAGCTTTGAACCATGAATTATGAAACAAAAAGCAGAAACACAAACATATGTCTCAAGTATCTCAGGCTTTTACACAGAGGTAGATTAGTAAGGCAAAAAAAAATCCATTGAAATGTTCAATTAATATAAAGTATTAGTGTATTAATGCACTGGCTTTTCAAAAGCTTCTAGACGTAGGTAAACACACGTGTTATCCATGTACAGCAGAAACACTTAAACTTTCCCAAAACTAGGTTTGGATGGCAAAAACTCTCTTTAGGAAAACTTGTTCTTAAACATAAGCTTTCACAGTCAGTGCTGAATTAAAATCCTTAACTTTTCCTACACATTTCTACCCTTTAAGTGAGTAATCTGCGGCATCACACATGTGACGAAATTTCCAGTCTAAATGATGTTTTTGAATAGACATTTTTAGTTGCAGCAGGCTTGTAAGGCAGCCTAAGGAGAAACAAAGAATGTAAAAGCAGCTGAAACTGAAAATCTCAAAGCAGTACAGCCATGGAACACCTGAAGCCATGATCATGTATGGGATGAAACAAACGGGGGCGTGTGCACTTTCATGTATAAAAGAGAGGGAGGAAGGGGATTGCTATCCTTCTCTGCTAACTCCCACTCAGGACAGAAACTAAGATTTCTAGCTGCCAAGTTACCAGGTAAATAATGTACATTCAACCTTGGTATGTGTAGCTAGGGCTAGGCACAATTTCCTAAAGACAGTGTGACTACAGGAGAGAGAATACAAATAAACTTAATAAACAGGACCAGGATTTAGGGATGGGGGGAAAGCTACCATTGCGCTTTTGCCTGTCTCCCTCCCCCTGGCCCACAGAAAAGGTCAGCAGAACACAGGGTGTCTCTTTCTAAAAGGAGGCTAATGATTTCAGCTCATCCAATGTCATAAAAATTTAACTCTGGTTTCATTAAGAAGGGCATGAAAAATAGAATCTCACAGCATTGTCCTCAAAATCAAATATTAAGATTCTTTCTTCAAAAGAATTTTCCTCCAAGTTCTTCTGAAGAATCTTCTTAATATTCTCCAAGATCTATGAATTGAGTCACATTCGAGTAACTCCATTCCACTCGGTCCTAAACACTGCACTGCCAAAAATGCTGCACACTCAGAGTGCCAGGGGTAGTGATGCAGACATGTGTCCAGTAAAAGAACAACCACATGATCTCCCATTGAATGCGGACTTTACCATAGGCCAGTTGGGACCATGGAAATCAGATCCCAGAAGAACACAGACTTGCTACCTGATAGTATAAGAATTTTATGACATAAAAGTACTAAGTGCTCTTCTGTCCCACTTTCCTTCATCTCCAAAAAGGGGTGGCAGTACAAAGTAGGTTGTTAAACAGATACTATTTTGCATCAAATTGTACGCTTCTTTTACATAAAGTCTACATTCTGTCAACTCTTTTAGGAAAAGAGGAACTAATAAATCAGCAAGTCTTATCTTTCAATGTTAGGGTTTTTCTTTTATCTACTTGAGGCTGTAAGTGAAACCAAATTGGCGATCCTAAGTCCAGAGACCCTAGTAAGCAGCTTGTGAAAGCACTTTTTAAAAAATGTAATTGACTATACTGAGGAGGCAGAGGGCAGAACTGGCACTTCTAGTAAATGCAGATGTTCTTCTCTGCCCTAGGTATTGCTGTACTTCTATACTGATACCTGGGATAAAGGGACACAGGCAAAGATATTATTACCAGTTTCTACACTACAGCACAGCATTTGCGAAAATGAGTTTAGTGAACTCTCTGTAATTAGGCATTGACTTCAACAAAAGAAATTTGCCACATACTTTCCCCAACAGAAGTCAAGCTTTTGTATCTTAGAACTTGTACTTAACATTGTAGATTTCTTAACCTGCTAAATCTCAATAGAACTTCTGTCCACTTACTTAATTTCATCATCTGCTAACTGTACTTTCATTACACGATTTTTATCATACCATCACCGCTATTTCCACATAATATCATAAGGACCCATATCTTCTAGCCTAAGCAACAGGAAGAATGAGAAATTTCCTGTTTACAAATTTGTTAGCAAGAACCAGTTACCAATATGCAAGTTGACAGCACCAAATGAGACTAACTAGTTTTTCTTAATTCATGGAACTAAAATTTTAAATTTAGAACATTTTAACAAAGTAAATACTTTGGAAAAGTAAGCAGGTATGTCGTACCTCTGAAAGGAACTTGTTCTGGCCCTGCTTTGCCTTAAATCGTTTAATTTTTTGCTGAATTCTCTTATCTTTTTCCAGATCTTCTATAGATGCCCACTGACAATGAAGATAAGAGCTGAAAGAACAAAACAATATCCTTGAAATATGTAGAATATAATTAATCCTTTATTATGTCTTATTCAAAAAAGTCAACTACACAGATAATTAAAATAACCTGCTTAATTACCCATTAAGGCTGCTGAGCAACATTTAATATACCCACCACTGTTTAGAATAAGAAGAGAAAATCAATATTAGTGCCTAAAATTTGCCTTCTGTCCTAAGCCTCCAGCTCTCTTACCTGTTACAGAGAGAGAGAGAGAGAGAGAGAGAGAGAGAGAGAGAGAGACAGACAGACAGACAGACAAAAGAGACAGAGAAGAGAGAGAATGGCCTAATAACAAGCTATTTCCATAAGTGAATGGATTATACTTCAATATAAAATTAGCACTACAGGGAGGCCTTAATTCTGAATTTATACTTTGAACCTCTTATCATTGAGAAATAGGTTTTTATCAAGTTAAAATAATTCAAATTTAAAATAGCAGTTTCTTTGGAGATAAGAGGTGTAGGGTGCCCTAGAGTCACCCAAGGCCTATCATACTGGTCCCAAAGGGAAACCTAACCTGGTCCTTCTAGAAAAATCTAGGAGGAAAGAACCACTGTCTGCTCCTGGAACACTGGGCCATGCCCCTCACCAGCTTCTTATCAGTTCCTGGTCTCCCAGACTGTGTTCCTCCAGGATTTCTGCAATGATATTCCTTGGTCCCCTGTGAATGTTTCCCTTGCTATCATCTATACCTGCACTGGGCAAACCCCCTCCCCTCAAGACTCCCCATCCCCTCCTCTGAGTATGCATGGTGTCTTCCCTCACCTGAACTGGAATACATATGCACTTCCCTTTTCTTCTCCAACACTCACAGGTACACAGTTAATGTTTTATGGCAACTCTGACATTCTTTTGCTTAGTTCTTCAATATTCTTTTGTCCCATCACCCTCTCCCTGCCCCTCAAACAGCCTTGAGAGCCTCTTATTTCTCTTTCTGATGACAATATTAAAAAGAAATTATATCTTGAATATATATACCCCTTTCAGAATCAACATACTAGTACTCTTAGAAATTGTGCTTTAGTTCACAGAAGTCAGAAGTTTAAAACAAGAAAAAGTAAAAACAAAAATTATACAACCATTAAAAATTTTTCAAAAATGATTCATGATATAGGAAATGCTTATGATATTAAGTAGCACATAACTGATAATCATGTCTAATATGATTTGCAAAGATAGGACTCATTTAGTCCTTCTATAATTGAGGGAAAAAAGGATTTTAAATACATATGACTTACATAGCTATGAACTGATATAAATGCTGTACATACACACACAGAAAACAGACTAGATGAAATTGCATCAAAATGCTAATACAGGTTCCAAATCTGAAAATCTGAAATTCAAAATGCTCTAAAACTCGAAACTTTTTGAGCACCAACATGAACTTGAAGGAAATGCTCAATGGAGCATTTTGGATTTCAGATTTGGGATGCTTAACCATTAAAGCATAATGCAAATATTCTGAATTTGAAAAAATCCAAAATCCAAAACACTTCTGATCTCAACCATTCCAGATAAGGGATACTCAACCTGTATTTATTATTTCTGGGTGCTAGGACTGCAAGTATTTTATTTTCTACTTTCAACTTGTAGTTTCCAAATTTCCAATAAATAATATGCAATACTGTCATAATCAGAAACACATATTATACGAGGCAGGCAGATCACCTGAGGCCAGTAGTTCGAGACCAGCCTGACCAATATGGTGAAAACCCAACTCTATTAAAAATACAAAAATCAGCTAGGCCGTGGTGGCATGTGCCTGTAATCCCAGCTACTCAGGAGGCTGAGGCGGGAGAATTGCTTGAACCCCAGAGGTGGAGGTTGCAGTGAGCTGAGATCACGCCACTGCATTCAAGCCTGGGTGACAGAGGGAGACCCTCTTCCCCCTGCCACACACACACAAAAAGAAACACATATTATAAAAATAATCTGCTCTAGTCTCCAAATTATTTGACAGAAAAAGGCACATGTGCAGTCAGTCAGTTAGTATTCTTGCCTTGGCTGAGGTGCAAAAGCCTTCAAAGCACCACCTGTGTAGCCTTGAACTGGACACAAGCATATAAGCAAGTGGCTCCAGCCCTGCTTTATCTGCTATAAACTGGGATGAAATTTTCAGTGTGACTCTGCTTTCTAGACTCTGATGATAACCCATTCTGGAGGCTTAGGAAGAAGAGGAAGGAAGAATAAAGGGTCAAAAATACGACTGCTTTGTCTGAATAGATAATTAAGGCAAGAAAACGTCCTAACTGGACTAGAACTAAAATATTTTTTAAAAGTTATGAAGAAGTCAATGTAAGAAAAATATTATGAAGCTAATAAGAAATAATCTGAACTAGGCCCTACAGATAATACAGTGTATGGTCACTTTGGAAAACAAAATTTCATTTAAAAATGTAACTACTCTTTATGAAACAGGTATATATTTATACCTAATCTTGACAGTTAAAAAAGAAAGAGCATATCCCTTACCCATATCAGTGCAAAGTAGTAAATATTTATATTTATAATACTTATAAATATTTATAGTTATAAGTAAATATAAGTAAAATATTAACAAACACAACTCCACATCACATTAAGACAATAATATGTCATGACCAAGTAGTTACTTATTTCAGGAATGCAAGGTTGGTTCAACATTAGGAAATTCACTAAAAATACACAATATTAATATATCTAAGGAGAAAAATCACACAATTATTTCTATTGACACTGCAAAAACATTTGACAAACTTTAACACCCATAATGGATTTTTTAAAGCTTAGGAAGATAGGAATTGATAGGTATTTTGTTAACACATATTTGAAGATTTTGGTTCTAAAGACAGGATCTTACTAAATGAAGAAACACCACAGTTTTCCACAAAAATCAGAAAGCATGGATACCTACTATCTCCACTGTTATTCAATATTGTATTTGAGGTTATTAGCCAATGTAACTGACAAGTCAAAACAATAAGAGACATAATAATTAGAAAATAATAAGTAAAGCTATCTCTGTTTGCAGATTATATGATCAGGTACCTGGAGAACCCTAGAGAATCAATTAGAAAACTAATTCATATAATAAAATAATCCAGCAATGTAGCAGAATATAAAATTAGCATACAGAAGCCAACATATTGTCTTCATTCACAACAACAATTACCAATAAGGGGATATGTTAGAGAAAACCTCTTTCACAATACCAACAAAGATAAAATACTTAGCAATAAATTTAATTAAAAATGTGTACAATTTGTATAAGAAAATATTTAAAACTCTTACAAGACACAAAAGTAGAACTGGACCAACTGAAAAGACATCATTGTCACACTGTGTAACTCAACATCATACATTTGTAAATTTAACACAATGTAAATAAATAAAATGCAAACAGGCATTTATATGGGGCTAAACAGTATTACATTTTATATATAAAAATAAACATGCAAGAATATCCCGGAAAACAATAAAACAGAAAAGCTACTAGGGAAATAGATCTACCAGATATTAAAATACACTATAAAGCCTCCCTAAGCAGTGTGGTACTGGCTTATAAATAGACAAGCAGTTCAAAGGCATAAAGTACAGATAAAGAAAAATAAAAAAATAAATAAAATAAATAAATAAAAACTTTAGGACAAAATAAAGTTTGGATCTCAAATCACTGAGTCAAAAATGGACTCTTTTTTTTTTTTTTTTTGAGATGTAGTCTCACACTGTCGCCCAGCTGGAGTGCAATGGCGCAATCTCGGCTCACTGCCACCTCTGCCTCCCGGGTTCAAGCGATTCTCCTGCCTCAGCCTCCCGAGTAGCTGGGATTACAGGCACCCGCCACCATGCTCAGCTAATTTTTTGTATTTTTAGTAGAGATGGGGTTTCGCTATGTTGGCCAGGCTGGTCTCAAGCTCCTGACCTCGTGATCAGCCTGCCTCAGCCTCCCAAAGTGCTGGGATTACAGGCATGAGCCACTGTGCCTGGCCAAAAATTGACTCTTTAATAATGGTGCTAGAACAACAATTGAAAAAGAATTAAATTAGAGCCATGACTTACACAATACACAAGAATAAACACCAAATGGATCAGGCACCTAAATAGATAAAATGAAACCACAAGGAAAGCATGGACAAATTCCTCTGTAATCTGGATATAGGGAAAGGCTTTCTAGCTATGACACTAAAGCTAGAAACAATAAAAGAAAAAATTGATAAATCTGACCGTACAAAAAATTTTAATGGGCAATGCAATAAACACCATGAAGTCAAAAGACAATCGAAACTGAGATAAGATAGTTGCAACATATAACCCAAGATAAAGAACTAATATCCCTTATATATAAAGAGCTCTTAAAAGTTGAGCATGACAGAAAATGAGCAAAAGACACAGACAACTGACAAAGCAAGATGTAAAAAGTGGCCATTAATCTTATGAAAAGGTGTTCTTATTCACAATAAGAGAAAATGCTAATTAAAACCTCAACTGAAATACAATTTCTTACAAAAATTAAAAAGTAAAACAGCACACTATATTAGAAAGGTTGTGGGGAAACAGGTGTTTGCATACTTTGTTGACAGGAACATAAATTCATACAACATGAAGGAAGGGAATTTGGCAATATCTCTTAAAAATACATACATGTTTGCCTTTTGTATCTAGTAAACTCACTTCCGGGAATTCACCTGGAAGCCATGCCTCCAATAATTTGAAAATATATAGATATGTATGAGAATATATATTGTAGCATTATCCGTAATTGGAAAACATCAGAAGCCACTTACACACCCACATACACAGGAGGCTGGTTGAATGGTTACGGCAGTCATGCAATGGAATATTATACAGCTGAAACAAAGAATGAGGAGGACCCCTATGAACAGATGTAGAGTGATTTCCAGGATGTAGTGTGAAAAAAAGCAAAGCACAAAAATGTACTAACAGTATACCAATTTCTTTTTTTGTAAGAACGAAGAGGAAATTATACCTGCATGCTCATGCCAAAAATTACAGAAAGGATAAACCTGGGATTAGTAAGGAAGTAAGCAGGAATGGGGTGGAAAGGGAGGACTACACTTCTTTTGTGTATAGTTCTGACTTTTGTAACATATTAATATTTCACAAACTTGAAAAACAATAAAAATCAACAAGCGGGGGCTAAAAGGGAATACAAATACAAACCAAAACTAAAGAAACATACTGTGTATCAAATAAATCATGAGGCCCCAACCTTTTTGGCACCAAGGACCAGTTTCGTGGAAGACAATTTTTCCACGGACTGGGGCGGGTCCTTGGTGGAGGGCAGTTTGGAATGAAACGGTTGCACCTCAGATCAGGCATTAGTTAGATTCTCATAAGGAGCACAAAACCTAGATCCTTCGCATGCACAGTTCACAACCAGAGTTCACGTTCCTATGAGAAACTAATGTTACGCTGATCTGACAAGAGGCAGAGCTCAGGTGGTAATGCTCAGTCGCCTGCCGCTCACCTCCTGCTGTGCGGCCAGGTTCCTAACAGGACACTGACCAGTACTGATCCATGGCCTGGGGACTGGGGACCCCTGAAATAAATAACAAACCACACTGGTGGGGTAGGAAAAGAGAATAACCAACCCAAGGACATTTTGGATAAAGTTTTAGTCCCTATGCCCTCAAACTAAAGACAAAAAGCTAACCAAATATAGGCTTCTTTGTCACAGAAATATGGGCTAGTAACTCTGAAATCACTTCCTATATATGTTAGGACTGAAAAAAAGCAAACATAAAAAATAAGAGAGCCAGGTTTATTCTGGTTGAAGAAGGGAATTACTAATATTAAAGGGGAAAGGAGAGAATGAACCCTGGGCTGCTGGAATAATACTGGAAGTATCAATATATACACATTGTTTTTGCTGTTGTGTTGGAGAGGTAGGTAAATATGTGTGTGTATATAATAAACAGATAAGTGTGTGTGTAACTCGATACACACACACACACACACACACACACACACTCTCTCTCTCTCCCAGTCCTATCCACTGAGAGGGACTAGAAGCAACAATTCCTCAGCAACGAGGAGCACACCTAAAGCCCCAATCTTGGTTTCTCAATGCCCCCCCCTTCACTGAAAACAACCAAGCCTTCTTGGAGAAGTAACTGACTCCATAACTAAAACAGGGAAGTTACGAGATGAGCCTGGAACATCCTCTGGTGCCAGAAAGCAAGAAAATGTTCAAAGAAAAATGGGGACAAGGCAAAAAGACAGAAGAGCCAGTCTGAAGGGGCTCCCACTGACCAAATCTGGGATAATGTGGGCAAAGTAAATACTACAACAGTAAAGAGTTATAATCCCTTGAATAAAATGAGAAGCCACAAGTCCGCTCAGCTATAAATTAACAAATAGACAAGAGGGTAAAGCTCTTCCTTACGGTAAAAACCCAACCAATCAATGTAGAAGAAATGATGGAATTAGTAAATCACCCCTTAGCAACCACAACCATATTTAAGTCTTAAAGTATCTTTCCGGAAGATACACATTAACTACAAAAAGAAAAACAGAAATTCTTTGTACTATTTTTTACAATTTTTCTATAAATGTGAAATTGTATCCAAATATAAGGCTAACAAAAACTCTTAGTTTTATGGAAATCTTAATTTCTCTTAGCTCTCAATAATGACAGTCAGAAAACCTTTTTTTTCTTTTTTTTTTTTTTTTTTTTTTTTTTCAAAACTCCCTTTACCTCACCTCAAATGACTTTTGAGGAGGGCTAGAGTCTCCTGGTCTGGCACTGGCACCTGGTCAGGAACTCGGAGCCCATCTCTGGGGTCACTAACAGGCTGACTGGAAGGAGGCAGCTCAGGCCTCACTGTCACACACTGATCTGGAGGTCTCTCTGGTAGTGCCATTATTTTGGTGATTGATATTTGAACTCCTTTGCTCTTGTTTCAATTTGGTAAATCTACAAGGGAACTCTCTCCCTCTGGTTTACTTAGTTTACCTCCTCCTTACCATAGGAAATCGTGTTGTAGGCATAATTTCCACATGTGTAAACTGACATGCTCTGAGGACAAAAGAATGATGACAGTTAACATTTTCCGAGCATTTTTAAAATTGTCAGACTGTATTTCATTGAACTCTCATGATAAAACTGATAGAGACTTCTTTATCTTTTTACTTGATAAAAGGTTTTACTCACAACTTCTTCAGAAGTGCATCAATTTATTAACAGTGCCAACTACAACAAGAGAGAATGACAGAAAACCCATGGCACCTGATGCTTTCATTTTCTAGGGTGGGGTAAATTTTCTGAGGCTGTTCGCACAGCAACTCACAAAAGCCTCTCTTTAAAGCCCTAAGAATGTATTAATATGGTGGTTTAGTTCTTTGCCTTAAAAGGGGTAAAAAAGAAATTTAATGTTTACATTATCAATGAACATTTTTGTCCTTGTTCTATGATTGTTATTTAGGTTACAAAATGGCCTCAGTCTTCTTCAGCAGAATGATTACTGACTCTGAAAACATCCTAGCTCATCACAATATCTGTCTGGGCCAGGTGTACTGCTTACAACAGAATCTACAAGGACAACAACTCACCGTGTTTTTCAATTCAGATTTTTAAGTTATGAATTCAAATCTACTAAATAAATATCAGAAACAAACAAAAACAGATAAAGCTATAGCTCACTGCATTTTAGAACCTGAGTGATGTCATGGTTCTCTAGAGCTTTCATTCCACAGGAGAGTTCTTGTCTCTAGGGCCTCGCACACTATGCACAGGTGAAGGGACGAAGTGTAGCCCCACAGGGTAGAATTCATGATCAGAGGACAGGGAAATACTGCTTTATTCATTTTTCTATTATTGTAGAAGTTTTTATCCTCTCTAAAAAAATACTTATTGGTTATACACAGAAGTTAGTCAACTTTTACACCAATTACACATTTTCCAGAAAAATTCATAAAATATCAAACATACAAAAGTTGGTTAAAAAATGGCCTCCCAGGCCATGATGACTAAAGAAATCATACCAAAGTTTCTTAATTTCCCAACTTTAAAAAAAAATGGTCGTTTACTACTTGGAAAATATAGCCCCCCATTAAAAACAGAATCACAATTTACTTACAAGTTTTTGTATTTCACATAGAATTCCTCAATTTCTACCTCCTCTCCAGATTCCTTCTGCAACAAAAGAAAATTTCAGGCATGTATTTAAAACCATCTACTAGAATATTTTAAAAGTAATGATTTACTCCCATATGAGCACAAAATAGGACTGAAAAGAGCAGCAAAGGACCTTCACGTAAGATGAGCACACCGTGTGCTGGGAGGTGGCCAGGGCCACGAAGACTGCCACGCTCAGGCCCATGCACGCACCTCTGCTCAACGTGCGAGAGCTTCTAAGACATGAATCACTTTAACTCCTCCCTAACCACATGCAGCTTCATTCACAACAACCTGACCCCAAATTTGGCCTTCTGCCAAACCCACAGTGTTAAGTAGACGCCAAGTGTACCATTTTCTCAGGCAGCAGCCAATTAGCAACTGCTCTCCTGAATGCCATATGTATTATTTTTGGCTGCCTCATGGCAACTTTACATTGTGGGTTTTGTAATGTTTTAAAATATTTAAAAGACATTTATTTCTCCATATACTTAATAACTCTAAACAAGAAACCATATAAAAGTAAACCTTGTTCTTATGCTGTAATTTCAGTGCATCACTATTCATAGTCTTAGTTTCACTCAATGGTACAATTAAAATCTCTCAGACAAGATGTCTCACACACATAGCAGCCAAATAAAATTAACACTCCAAATACTACATTTAGGTAAGGTTAAAATTGTGATACATGTCAGCCAAATCAAGAGTTTTCAGTAGTAAGATTATCTATAATGTCTCCCTTAATCCTATCTGCTGTAGTGTATGCAGAAGATGATGTTCAGATGGTATTTTAGGCATCTCTTTTTATTCCCCTTTTGGT
Source organism: Homo sapiens (assembly GCF_000001405.40). Taxonomy (NCBI): domain Eukaryota; kingdom Metazoa; phylum Chordata; class Mammalia; order Primates; family Hominidae; genus Homo; species Homo sapiens. The sequence goes on along the minus strand of NC_000008.11, from coordinate 60,807,414 downwards.
TTTAGGCTCTTAAACAAGTCATAATATGTAATTTCCTTCTGGAACATTTGATCAGATAAATCAGGGATCTAAAATATAAACACCACTTACAGATGTTTGGGGATTGCTTTTACACTCTTACAAGAGACCCCAAGCCTGCCTTGAGGGTCATGTATGGCTGTTCAGCCACCTCCGAAATGCTTCGAAGAAAATCAAGGCAAGTAGGAACATGGCAAAGAACAAACAAAAGAGCAAAGGCTTCTACTGGATAACAGACTGGCACAGATCTGTTCAAAGGTACTAGTCCCCTCAATCTCCAACCTTCAAACCATTTTCAAAGATTGTGAACTTAAACTTTTCTTTGAAACTCTCACTTATAACAGTTAAACCTAATTTTTTTTCTTTCTTTTCTGAGATAGGATTTGCTTTGTCACCCAGGCTTGAGTGGAGTGGTGCAAACATGGCTCACTGCAAACTCAACCTCCCAGGCTCAAGCAATCCTCCTGCCTCAGCAACCCCTGCCCCTCCCTACCACCTCCCCAAGTAGCTGGGACTACGGGCACACATCACCATGCTCAGCTAATTCTGTATTTTCCGTAGGCTGGGTTTTACACCATGTTGCCCAGGCTGGTCTCAAACTCTTAGGCTCAAGCAATCCCCCCGTCTCAGCCTCCCAAAGTGATGGGATTACAGGCATGAGCCACCACACCGAGCTAAACCTATATTTTAAACAGTTTTGGCCTGTCTAGAAATCATCAAGAAGGAGTCTGGATATGCAGGAGTGGTCAATATCTATTAATATCTGGTTGTGCCATAATGGATCTATGAAACGTAATAACTATAAAGCACTATTTTAAACCAATGTATCAGAACACCTTCTATGTCATAAACTTTTAGTTATCCAAAATAAAAAGAAATGTTTGTTGGATGGCTTCAAGAACCAGCAACATAAATGGAACATGGAATTAATTTATAAATAAATACTACCAAGTTCAAGTGGCCATCCATCCAAGACCCACCCTACCTTTTTCTCTCTAGCCTTAATATTTCCCCATTCTACTCCCTTTTTTTTTGAGACGGAGTCTTGCTCTGTCATCCAGGCTGGAGTGCAGTGGCGCAATCTCGGCTCACTGCAAGCTCTGCCTCGCAGGTTCACGCCATTCTCCTGTCTCAGCCTCCTGAGTAGCTGGGACTACAGGCCCCGCCACCATGCCCGGCTAATTTTTTTTGTATTTTTAGTAGAGACGGGGTTTCACCGTGTTAGACAGGATGGTCTCAATCTCCTGACCTCATCATCTGCCCACCTCGGCTTCCCAAAGTACTGGGATTACAGGCTTGAACCACTGCGCCCAGCCTCCCATTTTAAGATATATTATCTTTATATAGAACCAGACTTCCAGCAGAAAGACAAAAAGATGGTAGATGATCAGGGAAAAAGAGAAGCAAGGATGAAACTAGATCCTTTGATTCTTCACACAGCATTATCATGAAATTCAAATCAAGAATGGAACTCAAATGTCTGAGCTTTTGCCCTTCTGATAATAATTATATTTTTTCAATTTTGAAGGCATTTTCAATGCCTTCAAATGTATCAAATGTATCATTTATATAACTGATATATATGTTATAAATCATAAACAAGATTTATCATGTCTATGCTCGTATTATTTCTCCTGATTCTTCTGTCTGATCTTTTCTCCCATACTGTCCCTTTTCTTCTCATTCTAAATGGTCTCATCATCCCATAATTCTAAGTGGGCACCAACACATACAGGATCAAATCTTGAACAGTAAAGACACTTTTTATTTTGTCTCAAGTCTGTTCCCAGAAAGCTCTGACTCTTACAGCCATCTGTCCCCAACTCTCATTACTACCCATTTTCTTGTCATGATCAGCTATTCCTCTGGGAACCTGCTGTGAAGATGCCTGACAAGAGAGTCTAGGGCTGCCTAGGAGGAACCAACCAGGTTCTGAAACTTCATTTAGCAGCACCTGGAGCTGGTACAGAAGTGTCCCAGGGCCTGTTATCTTTTGGATGTTTCAGAATACAACACTTGGTTCTGTTTAATGGACCACACATATTGGATCACCACCTTCTTGCCCCTAAAACTATAAATAGAGCTGTTTTTCACCGTTCCTTTCATATAAATATGATCATGCTGACCTCTTTTCTTTTACTGAACAGTAAAACAATTGAACAAAAGTGTGTGAATTCATAAGCCCTCAGAAACATCATTTCAATTATTTACTAAATGGGAGGCAGTTTGACCAGCCTCTGTTGACAGCTTCAAACAGCCCCTACCCTAAAACCTCTCACCTCTAAGCCCTATTTTCAGAAGCCATTCTACAACAGGCATAGGCAATGAATAACTAAGTCAAAGAACTATTCCCATACATACACACAACACTCAGATTTATTTCTTGAGCAGCTACCTTTAAATTTGAGAACCCAGTAATATTATGAATTAAATAGAATTTTTCTGAGAAATGTATATATCTTTTCATTAGATCCAAAATTAGTCTAGGGAAATCCTTATTATTCATATGACACTTAAAGTTTCAAACATATTAAGCCATACTTGTCCCACTGTTCAAACAAACCAGAAACTTTGAGAAGGCAATAAATGAGTTCTCCAGCCACCTGGATTCTAAATAGCCACCCAGAGTCTAGGCCTAACTTAGGCCTTTCCTATGCATCCTACTACTAAATTAAGTAGTCACAGTCAAGAAACTAAAATACAGAGCAAAAAAACAGAACACTCTGTCAAATAATACACAAAAGAATGAAAAAGCACCTCAATAAAGTTATCAATAAGGCGTGGGTATGAATCCCTTTTCACTTTTGGCCCTATCTACTGTATACTTTACTAGAGACACCAAATCACAGTTCACTTAGGGAAAAAATAAGGACATGACAATGGATGAGATTAAGAGTTTTGCCTTCTTTACACTCTAGGAGGCTCAGCTACATACTTAAAACACACACTCTGAAAATACGTCCTGTAGTTAACTTAAAGAAAAATAAAGAATTTTAGGGAATACAGTCACAATTCACTTTTAAAACTACTTTTGGCCTTCTGATACAAAAAAAAAAGGATTTGAATTATCCTCCAAAGATGAATGGCTCAAAGCAGAAACAGCTACAAGCTGACTAAACAAGGAAAACAAAATAATTAGGCTTTATACAATCCAAGTATCTACTCATATATCTACCTCAAAATTCAAATAGGCACCAACTATTTCATGCAACTAGGTATCATAGACATTAACCTGGGTTTAGAACAACATAAATGCTTGAGCCACCCCTATTTAACATGAGGTGCTGACTTACGGTGCCTCTGCCAGGTGAGTTTTATGTTTGCACAACTCCATCATAATGGATCATGATGCTTCTCAGGCCACAGTGATGAGGTCAACTGACTTTGAAAAACATGGAGTCTCCACTCTGGGTCAACACCATGCAGGGACAGGCTCTGAGAGCTCATAGCCAGTTTCTACAGTGCTGCCTGGCAGAGATAAAGACACCTTCTCACTGCCAATTATTAAATTATTCATGGTAATAAGAAACAGACCAGCAGGCATAGATTGAATCCACAAAAAATCTCAAATTTCCTTTTGTTTCTATTTGCAACACTTTCTTCCAATGTTATTAAAGGTGATAACTAAAGTATCTACTTTGAGAATATTAGCAGTTTAAAAAGTTAGCACCTGTTAATGTTTAGTACCTTCTAATGGATTTTTTTATTGCCCTTTAAGAAATACCAGTAACTGACAAGCAATTCCATGAGCTCCACATCTCTTCTTTATTTTAAATCATACCTCAAAGCATATCTCCCTTCCAGAAGAATTTTTTCCATTAATTTTCTCCAGCTTCAAATTCATCAACTCAACAAATGTCCACCCTCCTGTACAGTGATTTTTAATCTCCTATGATAAGACAAACCCAGTCATCGGTAAATGGTTAACAGTATCTATTCCTAAACCATGGGTACCTATTTTTAAAAGGTAGCTAAAGAGGAAAAGAAGACAAAAACCCTAAAGTGGGCAAAACAGAAAGAAAAAGCAATGTTCTACATAATATATAGTCTAAATAGCTCTGAATAATAGAGCTAATTATAATTTGCAACCCCTAAACCTGCTGAGTATGCCTGCTGAAGCACTACCAATTGAATGAAAATTAATATATCCCATCTAAACGACATGCTATTTACTCAAACAAGTCACTTCAATTCAGTGAAGGGGATTGTTCTTCAAAGCATGTCAAGTATTTAAATTTTACTGTATATCTACAATTCATAAATTAGCAGTTCTAGAGTCATTAGTAGGACAAAAATGCAACCTTCTAATGAGTTAAATAGTGCTTGTTTCCTACTTGAGCAGGTGGGAAATTTAATTCATCAGGAAATCTTCACATTCAAAGAGTCACCAAGATGGCCAGTCACTCCATACCCCGTATCCCCTATACTCAACTGGAAAACACCTTGACATACTGCTCTAAATTATTTTCTTATAAACTAGAGATGTATATTCCGATAAAAATTCATACCTTGAATCACACAATAGCAAAACAAACTAATGAAATGAAAGTAAAGAGAAGTTTACTGCTGGTGCAATAACATGTTCAAGGATCACTCAATAGCAGTATTTGAATAGTAATGGTTTCCTATTTGATAAGCCTGGGATCTCACTTTATTATAGGACTCTCACTGAGTCCTGTAAATCCTCCATTCCTCAACTCTCTTACTGGGAGATACTTTGTATACATTTTGCTAAAAATAAACAACTTTAGGCAGGATGGCTCACACCTGTAATCCCAGCAGTTTGGGAGCCCAAGGCAGGAGAAATGTTTGAGCCCAGGAGTTCGCAGCTAGACCATGTCTTTATTATATATTATTTTTTAAAGTTTGTTTTACATGCTGAAACATGAACTTGTAGTTCCATCCTTCTTGAAAGCAAATAAAAACAAAAGAACTGTGTGGAATTGATAATGACTGAAGCTGCGACACAGACACCTATGTCTAAAGGAGACTACTTCCTAGAGACACGAAAAACTGCATGTTGTAATACCTAATGCACCTGCAGGTTTATGTAATTATTCAAACTAAGCAAAGCATTTTCTCAAAGTGGGCTGTAAGAAGGGAGTTAGCTAAAACAGGGAATTTTCATCAGGAAAAGAAAACACGGTATGTCACTGGCATTTTTTTGTTAAAGAGCATATGAGTACCTCAGTGACAAAGCTAGCAGGCTAGTGACAGATACTTAGAGCTCACCTTTGCAGATGAACAGAAACTTTGAATAACTCTGAAGTATTAAGTCAAAACTATTTTTTAAAATTACACTGAAAATAGACCTGTATTTCACCTTTGCACTGGCAAGAAAGACACTAATGAATAATTCAATTGTATATGAGAAAATGTTACAAAACACATGAGAAAACACCTACTTGCTAAAATGACAAACAGAATTTCCATCCTAACATGAAAGAGGGGGGAACCTTCCTGAGAGAGATTAGAAGTAAATTCATGTTTTGATTTTTATGAATAATATTTATGAAAAAGGCAGTCTACAACTCTGAAAGTCCCATACATTTATTTGGAGACTTGTGAGTTTCTAGTCCACTCTGAATGGTGTAATAAAGCACTGACTGCTTGATATATTTTAATTTCATCTGGGGTCAAATATCCCAAAGATTCATATTGGGTTAATAAATTAGACAGGATTAGAAATATTACTGGAAGTTTTATTTTATAATATTAGAATTTTAAAAGAAAATTACAAAGCCAACAATCCTGTAAGAGTCACATACACCTCACAGATTTTAATGGCTCCAATGGCACTCACCTGCTTTTTTACTGAACGACTGCTCATAATTTTTTCTACCACTGGGCCTTCTGCATCAACAGATTCCTAAAAAAAAAGGCATGTGCATCAATCCAAATAGAAAACATCTCATCCTAAGCTATAAGAGCAAGAAATCATTCCCCTTTGCTACCACCTCCACACCTTTTAAGTCACTGGGTACAAAGTTATCAGTGAGAAACACGATTGAAAGGAACAAAAATCTCACTCTACTGAAAGGCAAAAAGGAGATCTGTGCTTAATATTACTTCATGATTATATGGTTTAATTACGTGGACCAGCCTAGGTCCCTAAAGCTAGAGAGCAATCAGAAATTCTAGCCACCAAGACAAAATAATCTCTGCACGTTAGCAGTCAAAAATATAACTTTTCTTCATCTATACCCATGGGGTAAATATACTCATCATTCTGCTATAGTAGGCATCTTTTATCTATGGAGGTCACATAAAACATTATGTAACAACTTAACATAGAACAAATTACCAAATAAAATGCAAAGATGCATTTAATATACTTTTCAATAAGAAAAAAGCATTATTTTTTTAGAAAAGATCTTTACAATAATCAATCCTACACTACCCATATTTTATACAAACTGTTTTATCCATCATTTACATTGCACAGAGAATAAAGTACACCCTGCTGGGTACTACAAGGCAGTAATTTCATAAAGGGGTTCTCACAGTGCCTAACAGCAGGAGACAAGCTTGAGTGGTTTATTAAAGTCCCAGAAGCCACAGCACTGAATTCTCAGAGGTATATTCAGCCTCCTTATATTCCAACTCTGACTCTTCCTCAGCATAGAACATTAATTCTCCAAAATTGTGTCAAATTACATATCACAGTCTTATATAAAAATAAATTGCAGTGAACAGGGCTTTTTAAAAGATATTGCTAAACAACGAATTTCCCATAGCACATTATCCAACATTAGGTGGATGTTCCCCTGCTGAAAGTCCAATGCTTCCACTGCACTTCTCAGATTGCAGCAATGAAATTTCTAGTCCATCTTTAAAATGCATCCATAAATCCCACAGATCTGGTACTAACCTGCTGTTCTGACTGGGAGGTGTTGGAGGGGGAATCCCTCCCAGCAGCATCTGCATCATCTGCCTCCTCATCAGAAATCTTGAACTCCAGGTCTTCAGTGTAGCGCTTTCTCTTCACCTGTCTGCTGGACCGTCTCTTCTAAAACAAAAACCCAAGACAGTGGCCTTGAAATTAATGATTAAAAAGAAAAATGTGGCCGAGCGCAGTGGCTCACGCCTGTAATCCCAGCACTTTGGGAGGCCGAGGCGGGCGGATCACAAGGTCAGGAGATCGAGACCATCCTGGCTAACATGGTGAAACACCGTCTCTACTAAAAATACAAAAAAAATTAGCCGGGCGTGGTGGCGGGTGCCTGTAGTCCCAGCTACTTGGGAGGCTGAGGCAGGAGAATGGCGCGAACCCACGAGGTGGAGCTTGCAGTGAGCCGAGATTTCGCCACTGCACTGCAGTCTGGACGACAGAGCAAGACTGCGTCTTAAAAAAAAAAAAAGAAAAATGTTCTTTATAATGGCGCAGAGTGGAAGGATGAATTTTTTTAAATTAATCTTAAGGAAAAGGTGATAATGCTAATCCTATATATGATGTGAAAAGATCACAGTGCTAACAAATACAATAGAAATGGGTGGAAATCTGGAGTCAGACGCCTGGGACAGCTGTAGCCCTGCCACTCCCAGCTACATGTCCTTCAACTGGGAAAATGGAAATAACAAATCTAGTTCCTCAGTCAGTCAGTATGTCCATCAAAAGTGGCAGCAATACTGGAGCTGGCTAATGAATCTATAGGGGTTCATTATACTACTCTCTCTACCTTTGTACATTTTAACATTTTTCCCATATAAAAAGTCCAAAAAAAATCAGTGCTTTAGAAAATAATCTGTAAATTACAAAGTTCTATACAAATATTGTTATAATACTAACCAAGGTGCCCCAGATATTTCAGGCCATTTTAAATAAAAGGTTTTTGTATTTTAATCTTGATCCTAAAAGAAATACTCTGAAAATTTCTGAAGAGATGAAGGGTTAAATGGCAAAATTCATAATGAATGACTATGGACAGTAATTTTACTTTTTAAAATATAATGTTTTTACCATAGTGGTTAAAATTAAAAAGATTGGTAATAGCCAGTATTAGCAGGATCACTGGCAAACTGGGTATTCTCACAATCCTGTGGTCAAAATGCAACCCACACAGTCCTTGCAGGACAATGTGGTCCTATCTATCAAAACTTAAACATGCAGACCTTTGACTCACTACTTTCACTTCCAGGAAGTTTGGGAATATCTGCAAGACTAATTGTAAAATAAGAAGAAAAACAAGCCACATAACAAGAAGTAGCTTAAGATTCTATTTAAGATAAATAAAAAATGTTGTGTATCTATTTAGACGTGCAGTTCATCGATATATTAACTTCTTAAGACAAAAAGACTGTATATCTTGTTTACTTCTCTATGCCTCAATGAGTATTTGCTAAAAGATGAATGTATATGTACATGGCTTTAAATAAGGAATGTGAAAAGACAGACAACAGATTATTAATAGCTATAAAGATGGGGAGAGAAGCAAATGGAACAGAACAAGAGGTTCTGAACTCTGTTCAGAGTAATTCTATATTATTTAACTGTTTTGTCAAAGAATTCATTTTGGAAGCTAATTAATAAGGAGAAATAACCTTTTTATTCATATATGTATGTCAAATCTAAATTTGAAAATGACACATGTAAAGTTTTAAGCTGCTAATGAATTCAAGAATATTACAACCTATGGAATGAGTTTGCAAAGCACAAAGAAGAAATAAAAATATTGAGGAAAATTTTGACACAAAATTTTTTCTAAGAATTATGAAATAACACTTTTTAAAGAGTCTCAAGAATGTTAAAGTTGAGAAAGTAAGGCAGAGAGAGGCAAAACATTCATTGTGTGCACCTAAGGCAAGACAGGCACTACCATTTCTCAAGTCAGGATGAACACAATCCCAGTACTTTTCCCCAAAGAGTGGGACTGATTGATTTTAATCTTAAGTTTATGTTCTCCCTGCTCTTAAAAAGGGATTTGAGACAGTTCACGATACAAACTCGGTATAATATGACCATCAAATAGATAGTTAGATATTGTTAGCTCCAAGCCACACACAGCTGTGGCCACAGAGGTGCAAAGTACTTTTCTGATGTGAGACCATTCTAGAAAAAGTTTATTAAGAGACTTCCTTGTGGCTTACATGGAGGGAGTAGTGACATGGGCCAGAGGTTCCTCCTGGGACCCTCCTCTACAGGACAAAGCTTTGGCACTGCCCAGATCAATCCCAGGTGGAGGAAACAGAGATTCCAGCAGAGTATTCTGCCATCTGCAATACTTTCCCACATCCCAGGTGGCAATTTGACCTTGTAAGTCCTAGAGCTAAGTGCTCTTGTTTGAACTTGCCCCGACTCTTATCATGTGACCTTGGACAAGTAATTTTGTGGACCTTGGACTCCTGGTCTGTAGAATGGGGTTAATGACAGTAACTACCTCATATGAATACCATGAAGATCGCATAAGGGAATTCATTCAAAGCTTTTAGAACAGTACATGGTACATAATGTGAGATGTAATTAGTAGGACTAAAGTCATCATTAATCAGCTCCAGCTTTCCAAAGAAAAATGGCCCAGTTACCTTGTACAGCTTCCCTTTTCTTTCCAAAGCTGACCTACTTACTCCTGCTCTCATGCCCACTTTACCATTCCTCACTTCTGGACCACCAATTTCTTCAAGATATAAAAGGCCATTATCAAGAACAATTTTAATATTGCAAAATTTAGCATAACATGTTGTATTTCATTTGATATGTCAATTTAACTCAATTTAAATGGATTCATTTATATTTCCATCTTTATACCATTCCAGTAAGAAGCAATGTGCTCCTAGTGATCTACCTGCCATGTTTCATCAGGTTTCCCTGCTTAAGACCCCACTGTCACAGTGTTGTGCCATATAAGTAACTGGATAGGGTCTAAGACAAATCCACTTTATGCTAAATCCCACCCTGATGTTAAAGAAGGGTTCCATCCAGTACAATAAGACAGTGTGCTTTCTTCTTTTTAAATAGAAATTTATGAGTTGGTAAGTATAACTTTTAAAATGTAAGTTCCTCCTGATATCAACTTTGTGATATAAATCTGTGCAATAGTGATGGGGTTAGTTAGCAGTGGATACGAGGTCACTTCCTATGTAAAAACACCCCAAAATACAATTATAACTCAATTTGATAAAAATTTTTAATGTTACGTGGCTTCTCTAGTTTTAAAATAATAATTGATCTTACATTTATTTTGAGTATCAAGGTTCCTTTTACAATTCCCCAATGTAAAATTAAATTATTTAATACATAACATGTTTCTATTGTGATCTGGTAAACTATTATTATCTGAAAGATTTTTGTGAGTCAAAATGAAATGTAAGAACTGCCTTTAAACCATAATTCAAAACTTTTGAATTGACACTAAAATAATATATCAACTTTTTAAACTTGGATTGCTTTAGAAAAGATACTTAAAACAGGTATAACAAATAGAACATTTAAATGTTTCCATGATCTCACTGTTGCAGTACCTTGTGACACAATTTTGAGTTAGTTAAAATTATATGACATGTACCTTAGTAAATCAATCACAAAACTCAAGAATTTTAATGCTAAGCCCTTCATGCATGTGTTACAGGAAGAAACATAATAAACAACCAGTCAGCATCACTTCCTGTGTCAGACATACCAAGAAAACACAGCTTTCAAAGTCAGATCTTGTGTGGTTGCTTATATTAGCTATTGAACACGTAACAGTTAGGCCCTAGCCAATTAGAAAGGATACATCAATGTTCACTTGAATTGATTAGCAGTTTTCTATGTTTGAAATGCAGCAGGAAAAAAAAAAAAAACCCTAAAGCTAGTATTTCATAAGGTCCATCTGAGTCTGAATTAATATAAACAGACTTTTAAAAAAACAATAGCAGTATTTGTGAAATAACAACATAACAGAATTTCCTCTACTGATGCAAACAAATTCTTAATGTTGTCCAAATACTATTGACATAAAGGTCCTGCTTTAAGCAAACATAAATCAGGAGAAAATACCCTTACGGATAAAAATAAAACTCAAAATCATTAAAACACTTGATTCAGTAAGACCAGATCTCAGTAAAAAAACAAAAATCAATAAAACACTTTAGTTGTAAAACAGCCTACGCAATTAAAAAATGATATCTACTTACCTTCCCAATATCTTTCCATTGATGTATAAAATAAAATTACATAATAACCCACACTGCCAAAGGTATCACTGTTAGTTACACAACCAAACCGAACTAAACCAAAACATATTCATTCACTTCATCTCTCTCTCCCTCCCTTTCAGGTCTAGCTTAAGGCTATTCTGTGAAGTTATAGGTATCAGGGAGTTCTACTCTAACAAACAAAAAGCCAAAGCCAAAAATATCTGAAATTCTTTGGAACAGAGCTGCACACTACAAATATTTTGTTTCTGACTGGTGGGGGTACAGGTGCAAAGTCCTGAGTGTGTACTAAATAAGAAAAAGTCCAGTAAGCTTCTAGAGGCTGGCTTCCTACTCCAGGACAACTCTTCAGTAACTGCTCCTTGACAACTTAGATGTCATTCACATAAGTTACATTCCCAGCCATCCCAGTGGACCACACTGGCATGCTTCCAGGGAACCTAACAAGGAAATAATTTTTAACTGTCACTTGTAAGGGTCCTTCTCAGTCCAATCAGTGAAGGCAGTATGCTTTACACACAAGAACCTACATTCCTCACGTTTACTTCAGGGTTAGCATTTCAACTCATTCCTATAAAACTCTCCTAAAGTCGGGAGAATATTCTGCAGAGTTGCCATTTGGAAAGTCACTGGCTTGTTCATAGAAACTTTAGTATTACATGAATTAGATTACATGACTATATCTCAACTTTGAGTGCCAGATGTCAGAAACTTTAGACAGGCTACTACAAATTATATCTTGATTTTTAATTCTGCAAAATTCAAAAAAGTGACAATCAACCAAACTTTAGAGAAATTTAAAAATGTGAATGAAGCTTTATATGAGCCAGTATATTAACAATGTTAATAACATAAACAGCAAAATATACATTTACAGAAATAAATGAAGAATCTTTGCCTTATTAATTATAGAGTCAAAGATAGCAAAACCAAGCCACTCTTGTCAGGAGTATAATTTCTTGTTCCACGCCCGCTCCCCCTCCCTACATCGCTATGGAGATAATGTTCCAGACTACAATAAAGACATCTCAAGAGCATCTCTATAACAAGATAGGGGAGGTCTTGTGTACTTCATACATGGCTAAAGTTACCCATGCCAAATAACCAAGGCTCGGGAATCACAATAATTGTATTACCTGAACACCTGGGTCCTCATCTTCTTCAGGAGGAGGAGATGGTGGGGGTGTTTTGTCTAAGTCTGAATTTTCAGAACCTTCTGTTTTTCCCTTGTTGACCTTTTTCTTCAAAGCACTTGCTTCTGAGTCAGGTTTCTTATTACTAGAATTCAAAGTGGATCGCTTAGTGTTCACTTTTAATGTGTTTCTGCATGTCTCTTATATTTCCCACATTAATATCCCAAAAGTATCAATGACAACTGATAAATCCATACATATTGGCTATTTACAGTTAAATGCAACTCCCAATTAAGTTTTCCTGGCAAAACTCCATATTAATGACTTTTAGCAAATATATGACCTAATTAAAAATAAACTGCATGCAAAAACTAATACCACACATAGTACATTTGTGCAAAATGCCTGCCAGTATATCAAGCCATAATAAAAAATCAGATTAAGAAGTAGTTTTGCTATCGAATTTTTAAGGTACAGAACACTTTTTTTTAATTGTCATGAAAAACGATATCATGATCTTCTCTTTGTGCCTTTTGTGGATAGTTTTACATACTTAAGTATTCTTTTGACCAGTACTAGAAGGTATCCTCTTTTATACCATCCAGTTACATTTTTGTTCAACTTATAATCTTTTAGAATGTAATAAAAATACATAGCAATTTCCTGTTGTACATAATTTTAGTAGGTACTGTGTTCTTAATTAAATATAAGCTTTATTTTGGTGCTACGTGTTTTTTGAGATAATCACAATTAGCCCTTTTTTTGAAAGACAGTTCTCTGAAATATAAAAATACAGTAAAGCAACCCTAATAAAGTGCATGTTTCATAGTATGTTGCTGACAAATGTTATTAGAATTTGAATATTATATAAGACAAAAGACATAAACTTCAAGAAAAAAATGTTTTACATTTGCCATTACCTCTAGAACCTTTACCTGACTTTATGTACATTTAGCGCTACCTTCCATTTCTATTTCCAAATCAGCTCCAGTTTTTTTTTTATTTTTTGAGACACAGTTTCACTCTTGTTGCCCAGGCTAGAATGCAACGGCGTGATCTTGGCTCACTGCAACCTCCGCCTCCCGGGTCCAAGCGATTCTCCTGCCTCAGCCTCTCAAGTGGCTGGGATTACAGGGATGCACCACCATGCCCAGCTAATTTTGTATTTTTAGTAGAGACGGGCTTTCACCATGTTGGTCATGCTGGTCTTGAACTCCTGACCTCAGGTGATCCACCTGCCTCGGCCTCCCAAAGTGCTGAGATTTCAGGCATTGAGTCACTGTGCCCGGCCATCAGTTGCAAATTTTCTAACACCAATTACTATTTGTTATCCAACACTGAAAATAATCCAACCTCAGTAATGATTTTTTAAAAAATATTTCTAGGGAGCCTCAAATTCCAATAAATTGTGAAAAACAAAAGCTGTATTTCAAAAACCTTCAAAAATTTTATTTATTGAAGTTTGTAAGTTCTCAGGAAAATGTGCTGACAGAATGCATTAAACAGCATGTTTTTACCCTCAGCTACTACAAAAGGAAGAAGCCAAGATATCTATAGGCTTTTAGAATAAAGCATATGTCATGTAAAATATTTCAAAAGTATTGTTAATAAACTACCCATCACACACCTAAAATGTATTTTTTCAACTAAATAAAATATTTGATCATCTTAAACTAGTTATTCTTAATACTCAGAGTTTTATTTTGTTAACATTTTAGCATAGTAAATAGCTACATAAGAAAATAACAATTCAAGATTATAGCAAATGGCAGTTAGGTTTAAAAAGTTATTTTTATTTAAAAGAAAAGAAAAAAGGCCGTGCTCTAAAAACTGTCTCCGAAAGATCCACAGAAAGCATAATATTTTTAAAATTAAAAAAAAAAATCCATACAACCGTTCCTCATCCAACTGTCCTAGTGTTTACGCTACACATGGACAGAAGTCTCCCCTACTATGAGGTTCCATTTCCAGCATTTATTTCCGCTCTAACTGCCACAAATTATACAATACTACAGCTGAACACTGGGCCCCTTTCCTTTCATCTGCACGCCAAGAGCAATCAGATTACCCTGGTAACCAGCGGTCACATGACCAGCACCTGCTCTTTTGGCTGGATGCCACTGACTAAAGCCATCTGCTTCCCTCAATCAGCTTTCAAACATTCTCAACACCTGCGCTGCAGTGTTTTGTGGTTTCTTTTATCAAATCAGTGCAAAACTGCTTCCAAAACTTTACATATTTCTCAAATTTGTTTAAATCAGAGGTAGGCCTGTCAAAGAGTTGAACCACTGCCAGGTAAAGTGAGTTGGCAGCTCGCGCTTTTCACAGTGACCTCTCTATACCAGAGCGATGTACACGGTTTAATTTAGAGGGCTGCCAGGCCCTGCATGCGTGGTCCTACAGGAGTAAAAGGCTTACTATCTGGAAACCGACCAGAGCCCAGGTTTGAGGAAACATCAATTTGCTGAAGGAGAGAAGTGCTAATGATTTTCCATCTGCCCTTCCCAAGAATGAACTGTATGGAACCTCCAAGATAGCTGAAAGTCAGACAGTCCCTCTCCAAATGTTTAGACAAAAAGCCTGTAGATAAGGGAAGCACTTATCCCAGATCTGAGTATGGAAAGATTTCTAAACTCATCAGACCTTTCACTATTCATGTTGTTAACGGACAGCTAAGCATTTCCATCCATCAATATACAAATCAAAGAACACCCTAGGAAGTCAAAAAAAAAGCAACAAAATCTTCAGTGTCCACCCTCCAACATTTCCATCAAGGACAAAATTAAGTTATGTAAATTAAATTGCCTTTGCTACTATTCTGCAATAAGCTAATTGAGATTTTTCAACTAAGTGTTGTATTAAAACTGCTTTGTCCAAAAATATCCAAGTCAAGATTTTTCTTTTAACAAACAAAGGTAATCTAGAATGGTGGATATGAGCACTGATATGAGTCAAGACAAACCTTAGTTCCAGTTCGAACTGTCATTTATAGGCTGGGACCATGGATAAGTTACTTAATTTGTCTGAGCCTCAGTTTCCTCATCTGTAAAATAACGTTAATATTTTATACAGTCTTCCAAGATTTATTATGAGGTTTAAATGAGAAAATGGCACAGATAGTTAACATCCACACCCATGTGAAAAACAAGCAGCTGAGTCTGGAAAGTATTCTCTGGTCATGGCTCAGACCCATTTGGGCCGATTCAACTGCAGAGACTTACAGACAGGACCCCCTTCACTGAGGATGACTTCATCCAAGCAACATACATAGAAGGAAGAGCCTTCATCGACATTCCTAAGCACTAGCTAAAAGAATAAGCAAGCAAACAGACCCACAGTGCACTCCTCCCCATGCCCATGACCACTGCTTTAGTTCAGACACATATCATTTCCCGCCCAGGCTATTAATCACAACAGCTCCCCACTGCCTCATCACCCTCACACCCCACATGCAGGGCTATACAACATCAGACCGGTGGAGAAAGGACATAGAGTCCACATGCATAGTTATCATTTATATCCGTAAGGGTCAAAACTAGTCTTTTATAATGTCAAACTCAAAACACAGACATATATTCCTCTTCCAAATTACAACAGAAGCTGGAACGTATGAAAAGGGCCACTGTTCTAGGTCGGGGGGATGAGAATGTCTTTAAGAAGTAACATTCCTTAAACCAACATTGCAATATTGAAGATAAGGCCACTGAGCTGCTTGACGCAGATACAGAACCACAAGACTCCTCTAACAGCTGCAGTGATGGCTACTCATGGGCCTAGCTCAAGCCGACAGCCACATGGCAGCCTGTGAGTTGGAAGAATAACTAGGCCATGTGCAGGGAACACCTGTAAATTCCAGCCCTGAATGGCACCAGCACTGAAGAAATCATGTCTGCCCTCATTCCTCTCCTAAACCTGCTCTGTCTCCTGTATTTCCCACCTCAGCATCATGGTAATGCCACCAAAACATCACCTGAAAACTCATCTCAAGTCACCAGAGTAACCAGCTGGAAGGCAAATCTGACTGGGGCATTCCTCTGTTTCAAACCTCTACATATAATGTCTGAGATTCTCCATATGGGTGTACCAGAACCTTTGCCTCTTATGCTTCCAGGCATACAGAACTATTCCCCAAAACACACATGTATCTCTTCTACTTACACTTTTATCCCAACCTACTCATCTGCAAGACCCTGCGCGGACACCACTCATTCCAAGAAGCATTTTCTAATCACCATGGTCTAGATCAGACATGATCTCCTCACTCCACCCACATGTCACATGATGTACCCCATACAAGGGATATATAAAATACACAAAAGTTGGTGGTAACATTACTGCAATGTATTAAAATCAAAGCACTATATGTGTGTCTTTCTCCAACTATCATGTAAGCTCAAGCAGAGAAGAAACTGTGTCTTATTACGTTTACATTTCTAGAGCCTACTCTGGTAGGTTACTTATAATTGTTAACTGGTCTAGTTACAACAGTACAAGTAATAGCAATAACAACAGCAGAAACATACATAGCCCTGGGTATGTACCAGGCACTACTCTAAATATTTTTCTCATTAACTCATATAAGAAACCCCCACATAGCGTCAACCTTGATGAAACGCCTATAAAGCTCAGTAAAATCGGGCTAAAGTTCAAAAAAATAGAGTGAAACCTAGCATTTTTTAAAAAACCAACAGAAAAGAATACCATCTACATACCTTGCCTCCATACTCACAAACCTCTTTTGTGACCATTATCTCACATCATTACTGATAATGACCAAAAAGCAGGCCATCCCTCCTGAGGCTAGAGAAGCTAGAGAGACACAGAGCCATCCACTCACGAGGCTAGAGAGACGTAGAGCCATCCACTTGTGAGGCTAAAGAGACACGGAGCCAACCACTCATGAGGCTAGAGACTGAGAGACAGAGCCATCCACTCATGAAGCAAGACAATGAGATATAGAGCCATCTGCTCCTCATTTTAGACAAGCCCTTGTAATCAGATGGAGAACATTTTCTGAGGATGCTGCTGGAGGTCTGAAGGGCCACTGCTCCTCCTCCAGCCTTACTTACATTTCACATTTCATGATGAGAATTGGGTTACACTGGTGGGTAGCTGGATGTGCTCAGGGTCCATAGCTAAGTGACCAAGGTCTTAAGTTCTGCAATCACCCCCAATGGCACCAAGGCATACACCAACTTAATGCAAACTCTTAGAAGCAGGCATTTGAAGAACACAAACTTTATATTCAGAGAGCAGTATATGTCACATGGAGAGATAGTCTAGGCAATCTACCTTTATGCAAGTAGTCATGTTCAGCTTACAACTGTAAGTTCGTAAGGACGGCCTAGTGCTATTACCTGAAATGGGGTTGGATGGATTCAGTATAGATAACCAATTCCTTCTGTTGGCTTTCTAAACAAAGCTTGATACAAACGGCCATAATTTACTGGAAAGCCAGGTAGCTGCCCTGATTTATTACAAAAGAGAACACAGTTAAACATTGATTAGTGTCGGCCTAATAGATCTAAGTCCTGAACAGAAAGAAAACTTGAAAAAGAACCACATTGTGGACCCAAATGTGATGGGAATATGGTCAGCTAATGAGAATGTCTGGACAATGGGAAGGAGTTCTTAATCAGTCTCTTCAGATGGGATAAGTTAGTGAAGTTTCTCACCATATTGGGAAAAATTAACCTTGAGGCTTAGGTCATGAGAATTAATCAGGTTTGTTTTCAGAGACTCAAGCTTCTCCAAAATGTTACATTATAATCTTTTAAAGACTGAAAGGTATTAAAGCATATTCTTACACTTTATATCCTGAAAAGACTTCTGAATAAAGAAATGAACCTAATGGATAAGAAGTAAAAGAGATGTTTTTGTGGCATGGGATGCCACACAGAATGTGATGCAGGGTGTTTGTGACAAAATACAACTCTAAAATGATCTGAGCTGCCACACTAAAATACACAGCTAGATGGTAGAGGCCAAGGGCTCAATACTGGCAGAGGAGAGTGTCTAGCCTCTCAACTTAAGAGCAGAGCATTTCCTTTAAGCCCTGTCTACTATTTGGTTAAGTTTTTTAGACAATGAAAAAGAAAATTAAAAGACAAAAAGGCAAACTAAAAAAGATAAAGTATGAAGTTCTAAAAAGCCAATTAAAGCAGCATAAAATCTGGTACATCATAGAGTAAAATCAACCCCACAAAATAAAAATTTTAAAGAAAGTTCTAAGACTAAAATTTAACAGCTAAACTAGAATGTAATAAAACGCGGACAACAGAATAAACTAATGAGGAAGGGGACAAATCAAACTCTGAATGGCAGATAATAAACCCAGAGGTCAACAACTTCACACCAAGATATCCAGTACCCTTTTGGCGAAGGCCCCACTAGTGCTCAGTGCGCTGCCCAGATGTCTGCAATCCTGCACCCAGCAGCCTCAGGCACCCTTGGTTCTCAGGCGTCTGGCCTGGCACCCACATGCTTCACTCCAAGCAGGTGCCTCGCCACCCTCAACTCCTAAGCCCCAGCCACAAATTCTTTACCCTACTCTTCTAGTTGAAAAAGAAAGAGGAGACCTGTTAGCAGGAAAGGAAGAGGGAAGAATTCTGTTTTACTGATGGACAATAAATGTTCAAGTTCAATGAAGAATTATTAATAAATGTTTTAAGTTCTTCAAAATTAGTCACCAGCTGGGTACATTGGCTCAGGCCTGTAAACCCAGCACTTTGGGAAGCCAAGGCAGGTGGACCGCTTGAGGCCAGGAGTTCGAGACCAGCCTGGGTAACACGACAAAACCTCATCTCTATAAAAAATACAAAAAAGTCTCTGTAGGTCTGGATCTGAAAGAATCAAAAAATAAAAATAAAAAAAAAGAGAGACTGAGGTGGGAGGAGGGAGGACTGCTTGAGCCCAGGAGGCTGAGGCTGCAGTGAGCTGAGACTGTGTTACTGCACTTTGGCCTACACGACACAGCAAGACCCTGTCTCAAAAAAAAAAAAGTCACCTGGGGCTGGGTGCAGTGATCACACCTGTAATCCCAGCACTTTGCGAGACCAAGGTAGGCGGATCACTTGAGGATAGGCGTTTGAGACCAACCTGGCCAACATGGTGAAACCCCAACTCTACTAAAAACACAAAAATTAGCAGGGCGTGGTGGTGCATGCCTGTAGACCCAAGCTACTAGGGAGGCTGAGGCAGTAGAATCGCTTGAACCTGAGGTTGCAGTGAGCCGAGATCGTGCCACTGCCCTCCACCCTGGGCAACAGAGCGAGTCTGTTTCAAAAAAAAAAAAAAAAAAAGAAAGAAAATCTACAAGTTACCGAGTTTTATGGATTAAATTCAGATCTGCCAGAAGTAACATGGAAAAGAAGTCTAGTTAGCTAATGTGTTATCTGATCACAGAAGCTTAACACAGACATTAACACTTTGGCTATGTGGCATCACCTGGCATTATAATGGAAGCCTAACTCCCACAAAATTATATTGTTCCTATAGAAGTCAGGGCTACAAATAAAAATTAGTATTCTAATGGAAGTTTAAGGGTGTTGTCTTACTTAAAAAAAGTGCCTTTTTTCTTGATTCACACTCTCCACTTCCTAGATATAACATAAAGAATTAAACCAATTAGACACTACAAAACTATATAAAAAATAGGCCTTTCAATGGCCTTTTATCATAGTGTATCTTTCCAAGTGCCAAACTATAGGGCACACATTTGACTCCCTGTGCCACATTTTAAGATGCCGCTCTTATTCACGCACAGCAATCCTATGAAGTAGGAAGGGGGACTCTGGCAGTCAGAACCCCCTCCCTAGATTCATCATTACGGTCTCTAATCTGCCAGGGTGGCTAACACAACAAATGAGCCATGCTGCCCACCCACATTTCAATCAGGTGCCTCAGGTGAGATGAGACTTTGGCAGATTAAATAAATGGTAAAAACAACAAAGAAGAAAATATCACCATCCACCCCAACAGGAGAAACCAAACTCCCACAAAATTATATTATTCCTACAGAAGTCAGGGCTACACATAAAATTAGTATTCTATGGAAGTTTAAGGGTGTTGTCTAACTTAAAGAAAAAAAAAGAAGTGTCTTTTTTCTTGATTTGCACTCTCCATTTCCTATTTAACGTCTGAATGCTAAGTCACATAGACTTCTACATAAAGGTGGCTGAAGTGAGGGCTGGCATTTCAGATGACTGATGCTCTGCACAGTGGCTTTGCACAAGCACCCGAAGACTGCCTTCGTCCACGCAGAAGACAACTAACATAAAGATCTTTACATATCAGGTGCAAACTGCATTTGTACAGAATTTCATTTTTCAACAGCACTTCATTTTCACAAATATAGACTTATTTAAATAAAAGATAAAATCAGCCTATGATTCCTTCTGCTCTTTACCTGCCAGCCCTAACATCATAACCACATCTACTGTATGGCAACATACGCTCCATCTGAAAATTCCACTTAGGACTTTCAAGGAATGTGTCTCCAGAAAAATCTCCCTTTAACATCCCACTGCGGCTCACGGCCTCCTTACACCTGAACTTCCATTTGATAGGTGCAGTGGAAGTTGAAAGTGGGATCTACACCACCTTCTCCCATATAAACCAAAGTGGGAACAAGGCCACTGCTTTGGAGTCCACTGCAGTTCACTGGATGGGCAGAAACAAATTTCCAGCAGGCCCAGTGTAGCCCACCCTGCATCTGGCACAGACCATGAGTTGGCAAACTTGCTTTCAAGGTCAGTATTATTAGGCAATCTCTTCCCTTGATGGATATGAACTGAACCACACACGTCAAAGACACCGGGGTCTGTACTAAAAGCAGCTGATGACTCTCTCACCCTGCTTACTCAGCCAGTTTAAGATGAAATTAAATAGAGGAAGGGCCACAATGGGGCCACTGATGCTGGCTAGCAAAAGGAAGGCCTTGAGGTGGTTACCCTAAAGGAAAGAAGGATTCGGGATTTAAAAGATGCTATGGTCCTTTTGTTGAAGAAAAGACAGCCTTTGAGGCAGCAGGAAAGGGAGCACAAGCTTGGATTTAATGAACCAGAGACTGGGTAGGACAGGTCGGGAGACAAAGCCACACTATGTCCATGGGCACCAACACTGAAAGGGCTCAAAGATTCATTTATCATCACACACATAAGAAATCTCTACCCTCTTCCACAGGCACAGGGTGCAAAACATTTAGTTCTGTCTTTTCAAATGTCCAATGTCTTCCACCAAGAGTAAATCATAGCATGTGAGTAAAATAAAGAATAAGAAAATCATCAGGACAGCTACAAAAAAAAAAAATCAAAGGAAGGCTGAGGGTTTAATTTATTTTATTACCCATGTACCTGACAGGAAGATATCTGACTATTTAGGTTTTTGTACTTACTACCAAAACTAGCATAATGGGTTACTTTTGTGCCTAATCTCTATTAAGAAATTTTACATATACAAGAGTACACCATAAAATATGTATTAGTTTATAAAAATACACCACCATTGGACTTGGTGGCTGAGTAAAAGTATTTCTCAGGTAAACGTTGCTACTCTGTAAGCTCGTAACTGAGAAAACAATGTTTGAAAAGCTGAGTTCCTCAGAGAAAGCTGCTATACAAATACTACTACTATTAATGATAATGATAGTATGATTTGCAAAAAGCACCCTCACATGTTTCTCGTACTATATATGTTTTTTTAAAATAAGAGTAGCATGTAAAAATAAAACTTCACTCTTAATTGAAAAATAACATTTTAGTTTTCTACTAAGTTTAATACTAGGGACAGAGCATAGAGCAAGGAATGAAAGGCATTCCTAGAAACTGCATTAGCAGCAAGTCTGTGTTGTTCTACTTAACTTAAGCTTCAGTAGTCAAGTCACAATCTTTGGCCAAGTTCCCTTCTTTCTGTACATTCAAAGAATCTTTATATAGCTAAATGGACCATTAAATCCTTCAAGAGTCATTCAAAGGAAGCACTTCCTCCAAATTCTTTCTCATCTCACAAGGCACATGCATGCACAACAGAAAATGCATTGAAAAGGATGCAAATCCTCATATTCCAGCTCCATGAATCCTTCCACATGCAAAACGGTATCCTCTCCAACCCACAAATGTTTTCGCTGTTATTTTCAATATTAGCAACGAATATTTGAAAGCTGTAAGGACAACTGGGGAGAACACTAGAAAAATCGATACAAAAAATATATATTTAACATAAAACGGGAAAGGGAAAAAAGATACAGCCTGATTAGAGAATAGGAATGTGGCCCGTTTTTCTCATCAAGGTTTTACATGTCTTTTTCTGTGATGCTGAACATCTTTTCCTGCTTCACCATCACTCTATGTAACAGTTTCTGGGCAGATTCTTTTAGGTCCTCCTGCAGAGGAAAGACATGTATGATCATATTTTAGTTGTCAAAAAGGCCAGTTCTCTGGGAATGGTCACAAATTCAAGCTTCTGCCATTTTACAGAACAAGATGGGGTGCCAGACAGTGAGGAGACACACAAGGAAAATCAGCCCCTGACAACGGCCAGCCTTCACATGTCCTTTACCATGGTGAGTGTAAGTGATGCAGACCAAGCTCTCTCCCTGACAGTGACACAGCACAGAGAAAGCTAGAGCACCCTCGGGCCGATTCCTTTACCTCCAGCTCAAAGAACAGCACACTTGTTTGTACAACACAGCAATGATATGGCATACAGGGCTGCAGAGTAAAGATGTCAGCAGTTCTGTGCTAAATTTTTCATTTCGGTTCTGTTTATTCCCTCTATTTTAGCTCTCTGTAGGAAAATTATTTTCTGTATAAACAAATTCATCAAGTTAACTTATTCAAGGATGGAAATAACTGGTATCACATAACATTTTGCAAAACAAAATTGCCACTGTTGTATTCCAGTGCTTAAAAGCAAACTGCTACGGCAATTCAAACCCAGTACTAACATAACCCAAACCCCCTATTACCTTCATCACTGCATATTCAATTTACATAATTATTCTACTATGCTATTCAGAATTTACATGTAGTTGTATGCACTCTAGTTATCCTTGCTCCAGGGATGCTGTTTCCTTTCTACACTTAGTAGAACAACGAGACCACAATGCGACATACTCAATTTATCAGATCAAGAGAAACAATGAGGTTCAACAAAATAATGGTCTGGTTTGTTAATTTACTTAAAACCTCAATTCAACTACCGTATGCTTGGACAGCCATCCCTGTTTGACTGTCAACAACAGGGAAGTTCAGGAATGTCCTTACCACCCTTCATTGTAAATCAGAGTGGCCCTATAAGTGGTCAAGTGACCAGGGCCAACAGAGGTGCCACCAACACTCTTTGTGCCCCGCCCCCCCCAGTGTGGCATCCT
This sequence comes from Homo sapiens, assembly GCF_000001405.40. NCBI lineage: Eukaryota > Metazoa > Chordata > Mammalia > Primates > Hominidae > Homo > Homo sapiens. The sequence goes on along the minus strand of NC_000008.11, from coordinate 60,783,759 downwards.
AAGTCTTTGGGCCACACTGCAGCAGCTCCCGTTTAACCTGTAAATCCGCAGGCTCATCAGACGTGTTCCATCCAATTATTTTCACACCACTTAGGGTAAAAATAACTGTTGCCTATAGCAGGCATTGACTGAGACTATTAATCAAAAGCCGCAGGAGGGGGGAAGGTACTAGACACTTTTTCAGAGAAAATACACCCTTTTCTTCCTACCAAAAGCTTGTGACTCTGGTGCAAAGCCAACACTCAGATTCAGCAATGCCAAACACTTACTCTGCACAGACTCTGATTCATACTTCAGGGTGGACAGCAAGCCTATGAGGCTTGCACTGAATGTTTCTCTAGTGGATAAACACAGGGTCTATATTTGCACCAAGAAGACATGGCATGCCTGGGACTAACTAGATTTGGTGCTCCAACTTTCAAACAGTTTCTTACAGTTGTTGGGAAAATTTTAACAAATTTCATTGTTAAATACAGCATTTTAATATCTGCCCCAAAGGACTCTACAAGAGGTAAGGGTATGCTAAGTAAGTTTTTAAACATAGAGCCAGTCTGATGTAGATTCAGAACTTAAAAAGACATACTTGGAAATTCATAACAATATCTAATATAAAGTGTTATTTTCTTTTTTTAATCCATTTTTACCATTAGGTGATAAATTTAAAAATTAAGATGAAAGCTGGAATCAGATATATATCTTGATGCTAAGATTAATATTAATGATGTATTTCCTGAGCTCCAAAAAGCTTCTTTAGAACACAGACTCCTATGTTTTAAGTTAAAGAAAAAAGATTATATTCTTTTTAAGATTTTTGCTTTGATTTCTTTCTCCTTGGGAGAAATAAGCTTATGCTTTCTCCTACCAAAAGCATATACTTAGATTTAGGTAATTACTTATTTTTTAAACTACCTCATAAAGTCACACTAAAATTCTACCCATGTCTTTCTTCCTCATCCTTACATCCCTAACTCTTAAAACAGTACCTGCAAATAATAAGCACTTAATATTTCTTAAATAAAAACAGATTTTATAAAGTGTTAAGTTTAAAAACATGTTCACAAAGAGGGGGAGAAAAGTGATGGTTTTCAATTAGGAGACCACACACTGAGGCATCAAAGAAAATTCACAAGTAAATGCAAATATTAAGTTATCTGTAAGACTGAGCTACTGAATGTAATTCAGTTACTTTGGCACCATAAAAGGTGTTGAGGGCAAAATTTCCTAAATGGCTATGATCCAAACTTTTAAAACATCACATAATAATGTATTTGGAGTTGTTTAGATTATTTTTAGCAGGAAGTTGCAAGTCCAAGTTTGTCCTTTCACTTCAAGGCAACATCTTTCTAGCCACAAAATTAATCTCCTCTGTTTGTGTACTTGGGCATGCACACACAGGGCAGCAATCTCAAAAAGTTCACAGCAAATGCAGAACTGACTGTGTACATGCACAGGTGTGTGTTTACACGTGCACATGAGGGTATGGGGTGGGCGTGTTTTCTAATGGAGTTTGCAAACAGATTCGGATTAACCAAGGCTGACCATAGTTCCATCTGGAAACTATATTTTCTAACATGAGCCACATTCTGAAAAACAGATTCAGATGTCTGGAACTGGTTCAGAACAGTTGTAAGAAACATTCACTACAAATGAAAAAAATTAGTCTTCAATGTCTTCTCCTCTCAGTTTTTCTTACCGAATAAATGGGGTAAGAAATTGGGGGAGCGGTCAGAGAATTGATGGGGGGAATATGGAGTGAAAGAGGGTCTTCCCTAGAACCTAAAATTCATGCTACTCTTGAATGCATATCCAATGGACAAGTACTATTTGATTTCTCTTGCGCTGCTCACTAGGATTTCAACCCTGCTCCTGGAAGGCTTACTCCGCCAAGTGGAGAGAATTAACAATCCTGGTTCAACCTCTGGGAAGAAGGGCTGGAATGCTTAGTGAAATATAGTGACCTTTCTTCTATAATCCTTCTTATCCAGTTTTATATCATCACTGAAAATGAGGTTGCTGGTCTATTCTTATAAATAATTATACTGCTAACTTCATTCCATTTGCTAAATGATAAGTTTTCATAAAAATATAAAAAATTGATTTTTAATTTGTATCCAGTAAGGTCTGTAAATCAACAGTTCACAACAATAAGTCCTAACTTTCAGAATGCGTAAAAGCCTTAGCTTTTTAGTTTGGATATTAGGGAAAGAAACTCAATGATGACAAAAATCATTGTGTCCCCTCCCACCCCTCATTTCATAGGCTGTAACTATTTGGCGCTAATTTCTGTACTCTCAATGTTTTGCAGTTGTTTTTTCTGCCCACAGCCTACCTTGACTTTTTGCTGGATTTGGGTTTTGGCGTGGCAGTTTTTGCTTTCTTTTCCTTTGGCTCTTTGGGAATCTTAGGGGCTTTCGGGGTCTTGGGTTCCTTGGGCTCTTTTTTCTCCTTGGGTTCTTTCGGTTCCTTCGGGTCTTTTTTTGCCTTTGACCTTTTCTTTTTCTTTTTTTCTTCTTGGGACCCATCCAGTGAGTTCCTATTTAGTTCTTGGTTATCTACCCCACCAGGGAAGTCATCTTTACCAAAACCTTTACTGGGATCCTCTGCTACAATGTGGTTGTTTTTCTTTTTCTTCTTCTTTTGTTGTGGCTGCTGTTCTATTGATGGCAGGTAATCATCACTCTTCACTAGCTGAGCATTCGGTCCACTAACCTGAGTCATATCCGGCACTGGTTTCTCTAGAAAGGGCTCCGACGGGGAATGCTGAGAGACACAAATAGGAATTGAAATTAGTTTATCATTCTTCACAGTAAAGAAAAGAACTGAAAGTTAGTGGCTGATGTTTCTGAAACTTATTCTATACTCAGGTAGCAAATATTTTTCCAACTATACAGTTGTAGAATCTATCAGCTTCTCTCATCCAAAAAAAATGTATGTTTAAGAGAGAATCTTTTAAGAAAGAAAGTTTTAAAATAGCACTTTAGTTAATACAGTAAAAAAAAATCAGTTCAGGAAGTAAAAACTCACTCAACTGAAGACACTGTCTGTTTTTTAAACAGCCTACATGAAAATGGTGAATGGCAAAACAGCACCAAGACTAAGCCACAAAGAATACATCTAAGTTGAGTTCTAGCCCCATGTGGGAATGGGAGCTCAAATAAAAGGTATATAATTTAGCCATTTTTAAAATGAGCAAGTATACTGAACATTGCAAGATTCTAGTACTGTGAAAGTCTGAAATAAAAGTGTAAACATAACACATAAATCTAATACAATACAAGTCATTTCTGGTTTAAACAACATTAAAATATCAAATTAAAAGCACATACCCAAACTTGATGATTTTGGATTGGTGAAATTTCTTGCATTGACATGAAAGGTGGAACATGTTTTTCTTAACCTCTTTAAGGCTTTATATTTCAAAATTTCACCAAGGGAGAGATAACCCAAATAAATTAATGTGACATGCCTTTGGGAGGTTCTTGACTTTCACTAGGGATACACCCAGAGACTATCTTAAATAGAGTAGAAAAATAACCACATTTAGAATGGGATTCTGAGTGGTCAGCCAAGATCAGAGGAAGTGACTCCTGCATACAACAGCCTCCCTCATAGCTCACCATCCAAACCAGAGCAGGGCTGCCTGGATTATCATCTATACCATAAATTATGACATCTAACGAACATTTATATTTCAACAAAATACTTGAAAATATTAAATCTACATATGTCTCTCATTTCCTGCCTTTCTCATATGCTTCTTCTGGCATGTAACACTAACTGTAATGTAAACGATCTACTATGTGCCAGGCATATATGCTTTACACCGTGGTACCATTCAATCCTCACACCAGCCCTAAGCGTTAGGTGATTCTTCAAATTTTATAGTTGAAGACACCGCCACTCTAAGATGAAGTAACTTGTCCGAGGAGGTACAGATGTTAAGTGACAGAACTGAGACTGCCATCAGAGCCAATAGCTCCAGAGTCCTCACTCCTCAGCACATGACCTACAGAAGAGGAGCAGGCAGACGAGCCCAGGCCCACATCTCCAGAGCCTCGTGACTACTGTACACGCCAAGGCTTACTACGAGAAAAGGAGGAAGGTTAGAATCAAACATTAAAATACAGGTACTGTAAATTCGATTCCAATACACCTAATATTGACTGAGCGGCTATTTGATGCCATGCACCAAGCTAGGTTATGTTTGCTAGATGTGTTAATTCCCCTGAATCTCATAACAAAAAAGTGATAATTTACCCCCAACTTTCAGAAAGGAAAAGTCCAAGAAGGTGATGTGGCCACCCCAGGTCACACAGTTAGTGACGGAGCTAAGATTTGAATCTAGTTTCCTAACTCTAGTACTTTCTGATTCTGTCCACCTCTTCCTAACATCTTCTACACAGCATCTTTCTGGGAAAGGCTCACAGGTTTCACTCAATTGCACTGGTGTAAGAGAAAGAGCCCAGAACTCTGAGTTAAGAGATTAAAATTCAAGTCCAGGCCCTACCGTCAGCTATATCATCTGGGAAAAAATCACTTCACCCATCTGGGGTTAGTTTCTTTTTCTGCAAAATGAAGGTTTTGGGTTAGGTGATTGATAGGTGATTTCCAAAGTTTCTTCCAAAATCCTGTGGCATTAAAAAATCTTAAAATACTTATTGCCCTTTGCTGGTCATAGCTAAGGGAGAATGAGGCTGAAAAAAGAGTAACGATATATAGGAAACACAGAGGCAAGGTCAAAGTTTGAAGAAGAATACACAGATGTAGATCTACATGAGCAGATTTCCATGCAGGGATAACACAACTAACTAAACACTGCCAAAGTTACCCTCTGCCCCTCTATCCTTTCCTCACAAACACTCTTACACATCAACAGAGGCACTGTCCAAATTATCACTACCTAAGTATCAATGGACCTGATTTAACTGTTTTATATTTAGTTTGCATAAGTTGAGTTAGTTTGTACATATTATTCCTTAATGTAATTAAAAAGGAAAAAGCCCTATCTTTTTTGCACAGGACACGGAGATCAAACTTATTTGGGACAAGCTATTTTTCAGGAAATGAAAGAAAAAGCTGTTTCTGGAAAGAGAGGAAAAGAGGAAAGTCTAAACAATGATTAAAACTTAGAATGGAGAATTAATACCAGGTATGTTTACCTTTCTTTAATCTGCATGGCATTTGCTCCAGTAACAGAACACCAGCTTCTAATGAGAGATTCCCCAGCACACAGTAATGAATTAGAAAAAGCATAAAACATATAACACAAAAAGATTTAAAGTTTACACACTTTAGCATGCAAATCATGTTAGATGCTCCTTTTAGTAATAAATGAAGCAATAAATTAGTAACTCAGTAAAAAATTTAATCTTGCATAAGGAGGAAAAAAGTGAAGATCAAATACAAAAAAGTATTAATTCTGTTTGATATGCAGCAGAATTATGTTTTGGTACTATCTGAAATAGGGTGAAAAAGGTGCTCAGAAATATTACAGTGTTTACCAGACCCACATCTCCTTAAATCTTTTAGAGAAAAGCTGTTTTTGTAAACATTTAACAAAGAACAGATGGCCTGCCTTAATCATGTGGGGAAAAAAACCTGGAGCTCCCAGTAATACCCTGACAAAGTCTCCCAGGCCCAGCCATGTCCCCCCCTCCACCCCCCACCCCACCAGATGCATGGTACAGTCTTCTCTAATACTATTTAATTTTACAGCAGACATTTTCCCATCAATTCCCACTGCCTGACAGGTAATCAATGCCATTAACATCTGATATTACCATGTAGGGCATTCCTAAAACCTCTCATTTATTAGAGCAAACATGGAGAATGTTAGATACCAAAGGTATTTTTAAATAACATCCTGTCAAACTTTCTGCTTGACATATATTCTACTATAATTCCATATCCCATTTGGAACATTATGGAATATATAAAGACTGCCATGAACTTTTGGAACTTAAACAGCATAACTGATACTTAAACTATAAATAAAAATGATCTAAGGTGAGTGTGTTTTGTTGAAAACATTACCATAAGCTACAGACAATTGTTCTTTTCCTTAACTCCATTGTTCACAACATATAAATCAGAAAAGACATACAACTAAATTATCGTATATAAAACAGCAGAATGGACAAGATGCAAATTTAACCAAAGGAGACCCGATGGGGGAAGTGAGAGCAATCCCTCTGCTTCTTTTAAGCAAATCCAACCCAAAATGCATAGAAGAATCATCAAAGAAAATGAAAAGATATGTAAAAAAGCAACTTTTTATTTATCTCAATGTGCTTTTCTTCCACAATTCATCAGCATTTTCTGGCTTAAAAAGCTATCTAATTTCATCATGTTTTGCCTTAATTACACTGCTGAAGCCTCAGCCTGTTAGCAATTTTGAGTATAGCATGAGCAAGTGATGCAATGTTAACAGTGTGTGCAATGCTTCCACATGTATGATCTCTGCAAACCAACATTTTGTCATACAGGGCACCCAAGGATAAACATTTTATTTACAGACAAATGTATTTATTTACATGTTTATTTACATACAAACAAGTCTAAAATCAAAACAATGCTTTATAGGAAAAGAAAAGATGGTACCAAGCGGACCAGAATAACATGGTACTTATGAAAACAAAAGCCTCCCCACAAATTAAGCTAAAGGGAGGCAATGAGGAGGAGGCACTTGTGCTCTCAGAGAAAATAAGATTCTGGTGAAGAAGAGGCAGGCCAATTAAGTCCCAAGTAACATAAATACAAGCTTTTAGAACACTAAACTATTGCTTAAATGGCTCATGAAAATACAAATAGCAAGTAGTCATTTAAGACTGAAACATACTATTTGGTATCTTAAAAATGGCTTTGGAGACACATTTTTATTACAGACATTCTTAACTTTTATTTTTTCCAGTATTCCCCAGGTTCTTGACCCCTCTACACTCTTCAAAAAAGGAATTCTGGTATGAAAAGTGAAGCTCGATCTTCAGCCAGAAGAGTGTGCAATGATTCAAAAGAGCATTTAGCAACGTTTCGGCAAGTCCTATTGAGATTATAACAATGACACTGATAAAAAAGAAGATGCATTTGGTATCTAGTACCCAATTCATATATTTATTCAACAAATATTTGAGGCTCTAACAGTAAACAAGGCAGCCATAGTACCTGCTGGGAAAGAGTGCAGAGCACCTAACCCAGGCTGAGACCAGGGAGGCTTTCTAAAAACTGTCCCAGGCTGAGAGAGAGGGGGAGGCAGAGGAACCAGCTTGAACAACAAATCCTGCCTGAGACTGGGTGGCTGCAGGCATGCAAATGCTTCACAAGCAAGCTTTTAAAATCTGCTTTGTAAGGGAGGAGATCAAGATGAGCGGATAGTAGTTTGAATGGTCAACTGGGGTAATAAACTTTAATTATTTGATATAAAATAAAAAGCACAAAAATATTCTTAAGAGAATCAAGGACTGAAGTATTTTCTGCTTGATTAAAATCAGTATTAATGAATTCAGGGCCCTGAGTTCAAGTCTTTTGATATGCCAGTTAGTTTTATTCAGCTCATTCTTAACAATTTCCAGGAAAACATATTTATACTGAATGACTATATGAATTAATTGAGAAGGCAAAAAGTATAGAACAAGTTAAGGATATTCAAATGTGTCACATAAAAACAGGTCTCAGGTAACATGAGTTTAAAGAATTCTGTGATAGGCTAAATGCAGTGGCTCACGCCTGTAATCCCAGCACTTTGGGAGGCCAAGGCAGGCAGATCACCTGAGGTCAGGAGTTGGAGACCAGCCTGGCCAACATAGTGACACCCCGTCTGTACTAAAAAATACAAAAAATTAGCCGGGCGTGGTGGTATGCACCTGTAATCCCAGCTACTTGGGAGGCTGAGGCAGGAGAATTGCTTGAACCCGGGAGTTGGAGGTTGCGGTGAGCCGAGATCACGCCACTGTACTCCAGCCTAGGCAACAGAGCAAGACTCCGTTTCAAAAATAAAGAATTCTGTGCTAACCAAAATTCAGTTTTCTTCACTGCAGGACTTTCCAAGCCCTTAATAGACTGAGGAAAGGGGGCACTGGAGACAGTACAGAGAGTGTCCTAAGGGTGTTTAGCCATGGCTTCCCTTCTTTCCATGAAGATCTTGAATTAAAATGTCCTTCAAAATATACTTTTGATTATACTGATATAGTGATAGCATGGCAAATTCATCACCTTCTCTAGCACAGGGGTACGTAAGCATGTGTATCTGTCCATCTGTCTTTCTCAAAACATTGATTATCAAATGTTTCAAAAGATAGTATATTACACTATGCACAAATATAACTTTATATAAAATGCACTGAAACAGCTCACTGAATTGGCTGAGTTTATTTTATTCTCAATTTAAGTTACTGGTAGGAATAAAGTAGTATAAGCATATAAGAATGACTTGTATAATTTTTGTTACATATTCCTATATGTCAAGATAATTACAAAGTAAAATAAAATGAATTTTGAAATAGCATAATGAAATAATTTATCTTAGCATGTACCTCAGAATCATTAAATTTTAAAAATAAAAAGTTTAAATTACTGTTGAAACATCTAGCTGAAAAATTATCTGAAGGCGTTTTTGAACCTTTGCCTTTCTGCTTGTGTTTTAAAGCTGTCCTTAGAACAGATTCACCATATAAACAAAATCTTAAATGGCTACAAATTAACATGAGCCACCTTTATGGCATCTAAATTATAAACACATTCTGAATTAGTAGCATCTGAAACAATGGAAATAATGAACCAAGCAGTCATGTTAGATTTACTGTTGAAAAGTTTCACATCAGAAACAGCATACTAAGCATGTTCTCCATATTTAGGAGTGGAGTGATACCACAGGAACTGTCCAACAGCATTCACAATGTGTAAAACACTATGCTGTGGTGTTTCTATAGTCAGATTGACTGGGATAACATAAGCAGTGAAACTCTGCCAATGCTAAACCCTTTTCTAAATGTCTGAGAAATTCTAAATGAAACAAAGCTCCCCGCAAGTGGAGGAGAGCAAGGTGTTTGCTCCCAGCTCCTTCACCCTCCGCCATACCCACCACTGCCCTTCCAGCCTTCTCCCCTTTCCTGTCTCTCTGTTTTCAACCAACATGACTCTGACCAGTTGTCCACCCTTGGTTGGGTGCTGCCCTGCAGGCCCAGGGGTACCAATGGGCGAGGGTCAGCTCTGCAAGCACAGAGCCACGCTGCTGGGCCAGCAAAGCTGCCCCAGCCTGGCCCTTCTAGGGCAATGGGAAGAGGGTGCTGAGCAGAGAGACAGCACCAAAGTACCAGTCCTAAAGCCATCCTGCAACACTGTACTGAATGTTTCCTTTAATCATCTGTTGTATAGTTACATGTGGCATGTGCTCTGCTAAGCATTTTACATACCTCATCTTCAGTTCCTGTAATGCCCTATGAGGCTGGTGAGGTGAGTTATATTATTGCTGCTTCATAAATGATGGAACCGAAACCTTAAGATTAATTTACCCAAAGTTACACAGCTAGAAAATGGCAAAACTGGAATCCTAACATAGGAGCTCTGCTACAAAATCCACATACTTTACCAAGCCTCTTGTGAGAAGGTCTGGAATGTGACCAGGACCCCCAACAGTGGTATCCTCAGCCAGAGGGAGTGGCTGTGGAGTTCTCCAACCCTAGTTGTAGCCACAGCACAAGCCTAGGGAGTAGACTGCTGTCCTTCTCCAAAACCATAAAGGCCTTACTTCTATTTAAGATCCTAACCCTAATCTGCAGGTTAAGATGGCTAAAAAATTTAATACAAATTTGAGATTTTTGCCTTCAAAGGGTCAGGGAAGAACTCTAGTTTAGTTCCGAACTAAAGCTGTAGAGAATCACTAACCTTTTACCCAAAGATAAAAATGTAGGTAAGAACTGGCATTCTTATTGTGTTTTGCAGCCAACAAACATTATCCACTATGATTCTCAAAAATCACTCCACTAGCATAATTCAATGCAATCAATATCGAGGCCTAATTTGTCCCAGGGACTGAACCAATTCCTCAGGAACCACAAAAAAATTAGCCCGCTCCTTGCCCTGCCTTGAAAACTCTCCCCACCCCAAATCACCATCTACTATATTTCAAAGACTGTAACTAAGCCAGTTTTCGCCATCTTTGTCACAGATTCATTGCTACTTCTTAGGAAAAGTACCAGATGAAGTCACAGGCTTGCACTTAGGGGCCATATAGTTGAAACAGCCTGTTTATCTACACACACACCCCTAGGGCACAGAGTTGAGCTAATGCTAAATTGAACATGCTTTTGATGTGTCTCTGTTGCTTCATAAATGCTTGCAAAAATTAGCTTGTTTATACAAGACTTGAATGATGTTTTTACATGTGCCAGCCTTCTAAAAAGGGTATGCCAGTATTTAGACTGTGTTCCTGATCTTACATCTCCTATCCCTGAAGTAATTTTGTGAGAAAAAAGAGGGCCAACAGAAACCATCATTTCTCTGGGCAGGGAAGAAACAAAAACCACCACAAATGCAACACAATACAAAGTTTATTGCAGTAAGAGTGAGTAACTTCCTAGATCTCCCAGGCCACAAGCAGAGGGGTACCCCCCTGAGGCAGCAGGCCTGCCCACCTATTTTCTCTGTTGAACATTTTACATACCTCTTCTCTTGGATTCCTATAATAACCCTATGAGGTTGGTGAGGTGGGTGATATTGTTGCTGCTTTATAAATGACTGAATGGAAATGACAGAACAAGAGCAATAACCCAACAAAACGCAGGGTCTCCAATGTGAACATCATGGTGCCTCTGACTAACCATAAGCAAACCAAAATATGAGCCCATTAGAGGAATCTGAGACACAGTCATACTTTCACCCTCTTGTTCTAAATTCCTGAGCTCCTTATGGCAGTAAATCAGCAAATGTTCTTCTACTGGACATTATTTTCTAGAAGTAAAAATGACAAAGACAGTATGTTCATGGGCCTTAACAAAGTAAATTTCATTCTCTCCCTTCTCTCTTTTCTTCATCACCTTGCATATTGCCCTTCCCTTAGTGGGCTCACCTTAGTAACTATACAGGAATGAGAATCTATAGAACCTATTTCAGTCTCAAGGCATCTGTCTTGTTTCAAGTTGGCCCTAAGGTCCATAGTGTTCTCAAAGAGGTGTCTGGAAGTTTGAATTTGGCAGTGGACACCCACACCTGAAGCTACCCAGCTTACTAAGGATCAAACTTGGCAAAACAAAAGACAACAGCAGTGCTTCCTGGCTGGTCAAAACGCTTTGCATGTTTAATCTTTAAACTGGAAAGAAGAAATGCAGAATTTGGTTCTGGAAAAGCAATTTTTACCAAATTTGCATTTAAGTTTCTACTACCTTAAAAGGATCAATATTAAAAGTAACTTACTATGCTGTTCCTAAGAATTTTAAAAGTCAAACTTCAAAGACTGTCAAAGGTGTGTCTGCAACACTGAACAATCCCAGGGGTTTGTGCAGAATTGGGAACAAAACAATTTTTGAAGGGAAAAAAAATCAATTTATAAGGAGCATAGTGATAAAGTTAATTTACACACTCTAGGCAAGTTCTCCAGGATTCAAAGATTGAGAGTCTGGCAAATTTAGTTTTCAATAATTGCTTAATGACAGACTACTCTTGTCCTATAAAAACTCACGTACATCTTGTGGGGAGGCAGAATTCCAAGATGGCCCCATTATCTCTATCTTCTGACTATGGAGGGACCTGCGACCCTCAAGCCAACAGAATACAGCGAAGGTAAAAGGATTTCACGTGTAATCAAGATTTCCAAATCAATTGGTTTGGAGTTACTTAAAGGGCAATTATTCTGGCTAGGTCTGACTGGGGGACACTTTTAAAGAGGGTGGGGACCCTTCTTGAGGGTGGGAACTCTACGTTGCCAGGGAACCCAACATGGTGCAGAACTTCAGGCAGACTTCAGGAGCTGAAGGTGGCCCCAGGCAACAGCCAGCAATTACTGAAGCCCCCCACCCAAGTCATATAGCATAGGAAATGAATTCTGTGGACAACCTGAATGAATCTGAACATGGATTCCTCCCCAGTCAAGACTCCCCAGTCAAGATGAGAACACAGTCCTAATGACGTCTGACTACAGCCTTGTGAGGCTCGAGTAGAGGACCCAGCTAAACCATGCCCAAACTCTGATCTACGGAAACTGAGAGAGGAAATAGATATTGTTTTAAGCCATAAAGTTTGTGGTACAGAGTGAGTATCCCTAATCTAAAAATCTGAAATCTAAATGCTCCGAAATCTGAAACTTAATGAGTACTGAAATACCACTCAAAGGATATGCTCAATGGAGCATTTTCAATTTCAGATATTCAAATTAGGGATGATCAACAAATAAGCATAATGCAAATATTCCAAAATCTGAAACAAATCTGAAATCCAAAGCACTTCTCAATCCAAGCATTTTGAATGAGAGATAGTCAACCTGTAAAGTGTCACATAACAATAAATAACTAATGTATACTTTAAAATCTTCTGCAACTCTCATCTGAAATTGTTTTTCTACCTAGGATTCCCCTTTCCTAGTGAGATATTTATCCTTTCACATAAAGACAGCACAGCAGGACTTCCTTCATTAAGCCTTTGTAAAGAGGCCACTGCTGTGATATCACTGAGCACCTCTGTGCCCAGCACTGTTCCAGACAACCAGTGAAGTTATCACCATTTTACAGATGGGGAAATGAAGGCATTCAAAGAGGTTAAGAAATTTGCTGCACATCACAAAAAGCTGGTTATAAGAAGAATCAAGATTCAAACCAGGCAACCTCTGGCAAAGCCCACATTCTCAAACATTATGCCTACTACCTAATCGTTGTTGCTCACACAATTCTGCTTAAGTTTCTCCAAAGAAGTGGAAGATGTAATGGCAAAGAGAACTTGGTGTAAGGTAACAGCTGGGCAGAGGTAGGACCCGTTCAGACAGGAAGAGTCCAGGTGAGATAAAGGGAGTGCCTACGATAAGCAAAAGAGCATTTTAAAAAGCTAGAGTCTAACAAGTTAGATAGTTAACTACCATGTAAATCATCACAGGGAGATTAAAAAAGAAAAAAAAATTAAAAACCTCTGCATTTTCAAGCAAAAATATCTAAGCAGCTGTGTTATAAGCAATATTAAAGGTTCCTGATACTTACTTGGAAAGAAAGTTTGCTGCATATTACAAACAGTCAGTTTAACACTTAGAGGGGACTGTGTCCCCATGACTCCTTCCAGCTGGAACTACACATGAAACAGAAGACACCAAAGCAATTAAGTGTTTTATAAACACTGCTGAGGGGTCAAAAAGAGGGAGGTTCATTCACTAACTAATAACGCAATAATAAACAAACAGCAGTGTTGTGCAAGTGAGAAAATTATTATAATTGAATCTACACAGCTGGGCAAGAATAGAAGCCTGGTTATGTATATCAGCTCATAAATGTTTTGTGTGAGTAGGTTTTAGTTTTAGAACTGTTCAGATTTGAGTCCCTTTTACAGTCAGATTTTCTCTCTTATCTGAATACAATCCCTCAATAACAACTGCAGAACAGAATAACTTAATAAACTGTCCCACCAATTATTTGCTAATTTATTTTCACAACAGAGAAAGCAATGTGTATGTACGCAGTGGTTAGGCAGTTAAGCTTTCCTGAGATGTACTCATTTTAGAACTCTTCTAGAGTCACTGCACCTTGTTTGCATAGCACAATATGAATAATGAATGGCTGTGACATGCTCAAATACTGGAAGAAAAAGCCCAGAAAGAACTAGCTTTTCACATCTTAACATTTAGTTTCCAGTGTGTTCTTGAAGTTTCCTTCACACTTTGGTATTTTCCCCTTTGCAGGGCTTTATTTTTGTCTACAAGTATACACCAAAATACAACCAGAGAAACATCTCCAATTACCACACTTAAACAGATGTGTCAAATAGGGACAGAAGAGTGGTTCAAGTATTTCCTTGAATCACTGAAGTCACAGTATTAGAATCACAAAAAAAACACTATTCTCTTTCAAGAAAGAGACTAGTAAAAATTCACCATCGTTCCGTCAATTAAATGTAGTTAAAAGGCAAACCAAAACAAAATAAGTTTCATCTTGGAAGACATTCTAGTTAGATATTGCCCTTACTACTACATGGAATTTTTTTCTTAATTAAATGACTAAACCTGAACAAATCTGTGATCTATGTCATGTTCCCATCTGCATAAAACCTAACTAACTTTAAACTCAAATGGTTGATTAGCTAACTATAAGGGCAGAGGTACACACGTATCTTCAATAGGCACACATTTTACATCAATGATATCTATTTTTATGAGATAAAAGTACTAAAGCTTTAATGGTGGCAATTAAAACAGCCAAGAGTTTGAGTAGCTCGATGGCTGAGTCACAGACCTTTTACCTATAATGGGATCCATTATATCCCTGAACCCAGTTTGAGGGAGTAAAAGAGGAACACATTTTTAAATATGGTTATAAAACAGCAGTACCCTCTGAACTGAGCTGTTTCAGTTTAAACGGCTGTGTGATTTAGCCTGGCCTTAGCATCTATTCAGCAGCCTTAGTTAGAGTTCTTAAACATGAGTTTATTTGGAAATACCTGAACGCTTTGAAAAATGCTACAGAGATGCTATTACAAAAGGATTTATACTTGAGGTTTTTTTCTATTTCAACTTCTTTATATCAAAGATTCATCCCTACTTTGAAAACATATTACTTTAGATGACTTATGACAGAATATCTTCATTTCAGCCTAAAATACAAATACTTAATGTTCTGATATTCTCATTTAAAATACAATTTGGGGTGATGAATAAGAATGTACTTAGTCACATAAGATGGGGTGTTTTAGCAGTATTTATGTATGAATTATTGCAAACAAAGGAGTGCAGGTTTTTTTTTTCATGGTAGCTTAACGTTATTATTCAAAATTATTTGAATGAACTCTGTAGTACCAAAATGTAATAGTCGTCTGATATCTAGTCCAGTACTGACCAAGAGCCTAAAGATTTTCTCTTCAGTTTCTACTACAGCAAATTCAGAAATGTAAATAGCAATTA
This sequence comes from Homo sapiens, assembly GCF_000001405.40. Lineage (NCBI taxonomy): Eukaryota > Metazoa > Chordata > Mammalia > Primates > Hominidae > Homo > Homo sapiens. The sequence continues at coordinate 60,768,677 of NC_000008.11, read as the reverse complement.
CTTGAGGAGCAATCTCACAGGTTTTTGAATCTGTCACCACCCCCACAATCCCCAGGGACAGCTGGCAAACAGGAAACAACATGCAGAACGAATTTATCTCAATGAGGAAGGACCAAACTAATACAAGTTGGAGGGCAGGGTCTGAGCGGTGCTGGCCCAGATGGCCCTAACACTGGGCAGCCCATGGTATTGCAGGGCTGCAGCCACCCCATCCAAGTACACCAGTCACTGCCTGTGAGTGGCTCCTTTTAGAGAAGTTGTTAGAAGGAAGGATAGTAAACCTTGAAGGATTTAATATTAGGTTTGGTTTCTGATCATAATAATCAAATGGGAAAACAACTCAAGATGCCTCAACTTCCTCATCTAGAATGGAATTGGATGAACTGATCTCTATAAAGTCTCTTCTAACTCTCAGACCATCTGGGGGTCTCTGCTCTGGTCCTGCTTCAATAATAACTATCTCCACACTTCGAAAATGAAAATGGAGTAAGGAATGAAGTATTTGTAAGACGGGGTGGGGGAAGTAAAAATGATTTCAGAGGGGAGTATTAAGGAAGTTTCTCAGATACACACAGAAAAATAAAATTGATTTGAAAAACTATGAAATGCCAGAATAAAATAAAATATACTAGAATACAAATCTAAACTAAACCTTCAAATACAATTTACTTTTCCCATAAAAAAACTTTCAGAACAACATACCTATAATATACCATCTCATTTCAGATACCTAACTAACATCTGTGAGGTTTTCTCGCAGTAACTTTAGTCTATGCTGAATATATGTCATAAAATAATAATTATTAGACAGTTCACCGTGCACAGAATAATTATGCTTAAGTATAAAAACTTCATTCATGTTTGTGAACCTCTGAAGTCCTAGATCCACAGCAAACAAACCACGAAGAGAGAGGGGAGAAGAAAGAGAAAGCAGAAAGGACAAGAACCAGCAGTCACTCAGAGTGAGTCCCAGCACCGTGAGGAGTCCCGCACAGAGCTGCTGGGCAGGGAGACAGCATTGACTTCAGGGAGTTAAGGACAGGAAGCCTCTGGGGACCCAAATTCTTCCCAGCACAGCTGAGCATGTGGCTGCAACAGCACAGATATCCACCACCAGAGTGCCATGAGCTTCGGCAGCCACTGAGCACCAGCCAAGGCAAGCTCTGCACTGGCTTTCAGTCACTCTAACACAGAACACCCTTGTAGCAACATTCTTTCAGTCATTTAAAACAAGTCTGCCTCAAGGACTAATTTAAATAGCTATCTCCTCCAAAGTGACCTACCAACCTACTTTTGAATTTGTCTCCTACCTGACCTTCCTTCCTGCTGCACATCCTTCTACCTCACCTTCTTCACTTCTTCAAGCATCTACTGAGCCTCTCAACACATCTTCCTCCAGCACTGCTCCCCTTTAGAGCAGAATCCTTGAAAGAGCAACAATATTTGCTGTTTTCACTTCCTCTCCTCTCATTCATTCTTGAACTTGCTCTGACTGCACACTAATATTCCACAAAAGTTGCTCTCACCAAGGTGCCCTCCAAGGCTCTCCTTTCTCATCCCACCTGACCTATCAGCAGCACCTGTCACAGCTGCTCACTCCTCGCTTCTTCGCATGACATGCAGGACAGCCCTCTCTCCTCCTATCTTCCAGGCTCTTCCTGGTTCTCGTCAACTTCTCGACCTATAATTTCTGGGGCGCTCCAGGCCTCCGAGTTTGGATCTCAACTCTATCTGTGCTTTTTTCTCTCCCAGCGAGAGAATCTACCTATTGCTTTAAATACTACCTATATGTCAATGATTCTTAAAGTCCTTTCTCCAGTCCACACCACTTCCTTCAACTCTAGACTTCTCTATTCAGCTGTATAGTCCATATACCCATGCAGATATCCCAGCAGGCACCTCAAATTTAAGGCATTCCAAAACAGGTTCTTGATTTCTCCACAAACTGTTACTGCACCAGTAGCAGAAGCCAAAAACTTGAGTCACCCTTGACCCTTCACTTAGTCTTACATTTGAATCACCTCTAATCCATTCTGTAAATCACGCTGCCTCCACCTTCAATGTAGACAAAGGACACACTCCTAGTGGCCTGTCCCCACTGCTATCCTTATTCAGGTGACATCAGACCCTGCCTGGACTACAGCAGTCACCTCTCTACCTGACCTCCTGTTGCTAGCCCTACCGTCTACCCTGGTTAATCTGCTACACAGTCTGAGCAATTCTTTCAAAATGCAAATCAGATCGCATCACGTTTCTCTTAAAGATCTCCAGTACCTTCCCATCTCCCTCACAGAAAAATCTAAAGTCCTCACCTCACCATGGCCTGCAAGGCCCTCAATCATATGGACCTCTGCTACCTCCCTAACACTTCTATAATTCCCCCCCTTTCTCTCACTTCAGCCACATCAATTCCTTACCAGCAGACAACAAGCTACACATCCTTCTACCTCAGGGACTTTGCACAGGCTGTCTCTGCCCTCAGAGTTCTTGCCAAAATATCTCCATGGCCACCCTTGCTTCCTTTAGGAGGGCAATGACAGCAACAGATTAAAGCAAAAGTGACAAAGTGTTAGCAACTGTTAGTTCTAGGTGAATGATAAGCAGGTGTGCACTGTATTATTCATTTAACTTTTCTGTGGATTAGAAGTTTTTCAAAAACCAAAGTTGGGGAAACCCTTTGCTACTACACCACTACTCTCTGTTATATCTTGTCACTGACCATTCTTCCCTCGTCTGTCCTTTCCTGACTTGGTTCCTCTATGTTCTCCCTTAAGTCTGGGTGGTCATCAGGATTCCATGTCTGCATGGCACAGTCTCCTGCTAGTCTCATCTTCGTCAGCAAATCTTCTGGTTTTAGCAAGATCATTCTAAAATGTAAAGCGCCCATGCTTCTGTACAACTGACTGGTGATTCCCTGTGAACCACACTGAAAGCTGAAACCCTCAGCACCACTGGTGCGGGGCTGCCCCCGGCCCTCCTGGCCCATGTCCTCCTCTCCACCACACACGCTGCACCCTACCAAGCTCAGCAGCAGCAGCCGCACAAAGGCACTTTGCTCTTTCCCAATTTAGTGCTTGTGGATTTATCATTCCTCCTGCCTAGAATGTCCTTTCCCACTCTCTTCTCCAAGTTAATTCCTACTCAACCTTCAAAACTCAGTTTAAATATAACCTCTTCCCAAGGCCTTCCCCAATCTCTCCAGGTGGAGTCAAGTGCTCCCACAAGGCCAAGTAACATACATCATGTTGTCTGACTATTATTAGGTCCTCTGGACTGTGAGGGGCTGAAGGACAGCAGCATGTTATACTCTTGTCATTTATATATACATACGTGTGTGTGTGTGTATGCATGTATATAAATACACGTGCGTGCATGCATGCATATGTGTGTGGGGTGTGTGTGTATGCACATATATAAATACATGTGTGTGTGCATGCATGCGTGTGCGTGTGTGTGTGTGTGTGTGTGTGTGTATGCATATCCCCAACATCTAATGCAGGGACTGACACATACCAGAGGCCTATTGTCTGCGGGTGGAATATCAAAGTCCCACGACACCTTCAAATGTTAATGTGGATGTCACATCTCCTCAGTCTGGGTACTGCAGCTGCTCATGTGCTCTCTGCTCTTGAAAAGGGCACTCATGCTGCCTCGTGCATTTACACCTTAAAGCAGCTGCACCTCCAGAGCGCTCAACACAGTGCCTTGAACCTTTTGTAGAACTAACAAATGCACACATAAATGAAAGCACATTTTGAAGACTGTTTCAAGGCAATATTGCAACATTTGCTGTTCTATGAAAGCTACATGTTCTGTACTATGTCTGCGTAAGTTTCTCCTTCATCACCCCTTTCACCTGGCTCAAGCTTCACCTTCCTTCCTGGCCCTGCATTTCTTCTCCCATACAAGTCTGCATTTATCTCTTTGTTACAGTTACATCACTACATGGTAACTGGGATTTTTAAAGGGGAGAATACCTTCAGGACCTCACATAGCATCCAGCACATTGTAAATGCACAACAATGTTGACTGGTGAATGAATGAATGAATGAATGGCTGAATAGATGGATGAGCTTCTTACCTCATCTTTGAATATTCTAAATAAGAGTCAACAAGCAACAAATATTCCCTTTCTGCCATGAACTAATTGCAATCCCTCATCTCATTCCCAGAGACACTGCCAAACAAAAGTACTGCTAGAAAGAGACCCAGAAAAAGATCTCAGAATTTGATATCAAAAATAAAAAGGTACAGACATTTTCCAGTAGCAGTTGAACTATCTCAATCTTACTTCTTTTTAATTCAAAATGGCTTGTGATTTCATTGTACATAATTTTTAAATAAACTTTAAAATCTGAATGGCTCATGAACTGTGAAATATTTCTGTCAGGCCAGGCACGGTGGCTCACACCTGTAATCCCAGCACTTTGGGAGGCCGAGGCGGGCGGATCACGAGGTCAGGAGATTGAGACCACCCTGGCTAACATGGTGAAACCCCGTCTCTACTAAAAATACAAAAAAAATTATCTGGGCGTGGTGGCGGGCACCTGTAGTACCAGCTACTCGGGAGGCTTAGGCGGGAGAATGGCTTGAACCCGGGAGGCGGAGCTTGCAGTGAGCCAAGATTGTGCCACTGCACTCCAGCCTGGGTGACAGAATGAGACTCTGTCTCAAAAAAAAAGAAAGAACAAAAGAAAGAACTATTTCAGTCACTGCAGATGAAGGTTAAGGCATGTTTGTGAAGTCAGACCCATCTATGCTCCTCTTTTCCTCTCTGACCACAGCCCACTGACTGGTCGGGGTGGGAGGTGATTATCTATCTTCCACTGAAGCCCAAGAAGACAGCCCTCAAGCCAGAGAAAGGATGGGAGTAGTGACAGGATGTCCAAGTGAGTGGTGGGCTCAGCTCAGGAGGGGAAGGGATAGGCCAGGGAGTCTTATGCTGGGCTTAAAGAGCTTCTGCTCCTCTTCCCAGGCCTCAAGATCATAAACTCTCTACTAAGCTCCCTATCCACAAGGTCCAATGTCTCAACGAAATCTCAAACTCTAAAACTTAACTCATCTTACTTCCTGCCCCTTTATTCCTGAAAAATATTAAAGAAATAAACCTTGCATTGTTTTCCTAAATTCTTCCATCAACTGGGAGGTCACCACTCATCTAGTAAGCAAGAGACATGGCAGTCATCCTGTAAAGTTCTACTCCCCTGACCGCTCCCCACCCACACTGTCTTAATTCAAAACCCATTACCTCTCAACTGTCTTCTACCAAGCCATGCTGTCTGACGTGGCAGCCACCAGCCATGTGTGGCTACTGAGTACCTGGAATGTGGCCAATCCAAACTGAGATGTGCTACAAGTACAAAAGCACCAGATCTCAAAGACTTAGTACAAAAACAATGTAAAATATCTCATCAGTATTTCTCTATTAAATATGATTTGTTGAAATGGTTAAATATTACATGTTGACACAATCTTTTGGATATATCTTGCATTAAATGAAATATATCACAGTTAATTTTGCTTGTTTCTTTTTGCTCTTTAACATGGTGACTAGATAATTTTACACGGCACATATGGCCACACCCTGCTCCCCTCACTGGACCGACCTGCCCAGCATGACTCCCATTTCTTTGCTGGCCTCACCTCTGCAGTCCCATCTTCTCCCACCTCCCCCTGCCGCCCCCCCACCAACCCTCGGGGCCTCTGTGCTACTGTCATGTGATCCTTGGTCCTGGCTAGCTTCCAGCCATCAGGTATAGCTCAGCCCTGAAGACACGTCCTCCAGCAGGAGGCCTCTGAATGCCATTGTCTCCCCACCCTGCAAGATCCCTCTTCGCTCCCACTCCTCTGTCCTAGCATATCACACATTCAACAAGCACCTATAGAATGTATGTGCCCACACACTGAAGCTACGACAGAGAAAATGAGGGACAGGAACCCTGACCTCACTCAACTCAGAGTACAGTGGGGGCAACAGAGTATACTAGCAAAAACAGAGTCCTAGTAGCAGCAAAAATAGTAATAATGTGGCATCGATAGCAGTAATAATTTACAGACAACTTACTATGTACCAAGCACAATTCTAAGCACAGTACATGTATTATCTCAGTCTTTCTAATAACACGGTTAAATAGGTCCAAGTATGATTCCCATGTTAGAGGTGAGAAAACTGAGGCACAGAGAAGCTATGTAATTCACCCCAGGCCACACAGCTCACTAAGTGACAGAGTCGGGACTCCAGGGCCATGCTCTTCAACATTGTGCTGTGCTGCCTTCCAAAGTGTGCAGAGGAGCAATAATCGTAACAGAGACAGCAAGACTGGTGTGGAGGAGAAGCCCAGACCCCACATTCAGCAGTGTCAGCAGAGGCTTTGCAGACATAAGGATTTCTAAACTAGGGGTGAGTGTTATGTGCCAGAAGCTCAGGGGTGAAAAGGTTGTGAAGAACTAAAATCAGTTCACTGTGCCTGGAGCAGTAGTTAGAGGAAGATGGGGCTTTTGTTTATTTGTGCTTTAAGAAGGACTTTACTGAGAGGACCTACACAGACAGAACATGCTAAGGGCCCATGAAGAGATGACACAGACTAAGACCCAAGAGTCTGGTGAAGGACTGGTTAAAAATGTGGGGCAGAGACTCCCCTCTCATGGCAATTGGAAAGGAAGTAAAGAGAATACAACAGTACTCATATCAGATCCTGACCAGCCCAACCAGAACCTCAGCATCTCTTACCAAGGGGAAGCCCAAGTGGGCCCAGTTCTCTAGAAGAAATTATCAGGTAGATGTTCTATACTGACACTGGCCAAGGGCTCCTGAAGATCTTACTTTATCCAACTTAGATGTACATCTAAATTTTAAGAAAATTTCTGATTAATTAATTAATCTATTTATTAACAGGAAGGGCAGGGTCTGGTAGCACTCCAAAAAACATTCACTTAGCCATTTAGCCAACAAGTTCTAGAAAATACATGGATTATGGAAATCCTTCTACCAAAAAGACCTCTGCTGTCTGGCAGAGATATAGGGAAGCCTGGATGAACATCCTAGATAAACCTCAGAAACATAAACCCCCTTTGCCCCCACTCTATTCGCACCAAACATGGTCTGATTATGAATTTGAGTTCCCATGTACCCTGAGAGCAGAAAAAGGCAACGGTGGAACTGGGAATATATTTTTTTTAATTATTATTATACTTTAAGTTTTAGGGTACATGTGCACAATGTGCAGGTTAGTTACATATGTATACATGTGCCATGCTGGTGCGCTGCACCCATTAACTTGTCATTTAGCATTAGGTATATCTCCCAGTGCTATCCCTCCCCCCTCCCCCCACCCCACAACAGTCCCCAGAGTGTGATGTTCCCCTTCCTGTGTCCATGCGTTCTCATTGTTCAATTCCCACCTATGAGTGAGAATATGCGGTGTTTGGTTTTTTGTTCTTGCGATAGTTTACTGAGAATGATGATTTCCAATTTCATCCATGTCCCTACAAAGGACATGAACTCATCATTTTTTATGGCTGCATAGTATTCCATGGTGTATATGTGCCACATTTTCTTAATCCAATCTATCATTGTCGGACATTTGGGTTGGTTCCAAGTCTTTGCTATTGTGAATAATGCCGCAGTAAACATACGTGTGCATGTGTCTTTATAGCAGCATGATTTATAGTCCTTTGGGTATATATCCAGTAATGGGATGGCTGGGTCAAATGGTATTTCTAGTTCTAGATCCCTGAGGAATCGCCACACTGACCTTCCACAATGGTTGAACTAGTTGACAGCCCCACCAACAGTGTAAAAGTGTTCCTATTTCTCCACATCCTCTCCAGCACCTGTTTCCTGACTTTTTAATGATTGCCATTCTAACTGGTGTGAGATGGTATCTCATTGTGGTTTTGATTTGCATTTCTCTGATGGCCAGTGATGGTGAGCATTTTTTCATGTGTTTTTTGGCTGCATAAATGTCTTCTTTTGAGAAGTGTCTGTTCATGTCCTTTGTCCACTTTTTGATGGGGTTGTTTGTTTTTTTCTTGTAAATTTGTTTGAGTTCATTGTAGATTCTGGATATTAGCCCTTTGTCAGATGAGTAGGTTGTGAAAATTTTCTCCCATTTTGTAGGTTGCCTGTTCACTCTGATGGTAGTTTCTTTTGCTGTGCAGAAGCTCTTTAGTTTAATTAGATCCCATTTGTCAATTTTGGCTTTTGTTGCCATTGCTTTTGGTGTTTTAGACATGAAGTCCTTGCCCATGCCTATGTCCTGAATGGTAATGCCTAGGTTTTCTTCTAGGGTTTTTATGGTTTTAGGTCTAACGTTTAAGTCTTTAATCCATCTTGAATTGATTTTTGTATAAGGTGTAAGGAAGGGATCCAGTTTCAGCTTTCTACATATGGCTAGCCAGTTTTCCCAGCACCATTTATTAAATAGGGAATATTTTTAAGGTCTATAAAGTACTAACTGGCCTCCACCGTCTTCAGATACCAACTCCTAGGACCATCTTATGAAGTCAATCCCAAAGCCTCATCAACTCTGAGTATATGTATATTTCAGATTTCCAAAGCTGAAAACCTCTGTGAAGCCTTGTCTGACCCCAAACTGAACAGTCTACCTCTTCCCTGAACTAAACTTGTGCTCATTCTCACCAACATTACTACACAGCAATCCAAATGCATGCTTACCACTCAGTGGGAGCCACAGCTGAGCTTCCTGGCAGCAAGAAAAATATAGCATTTAACATTATATTCTCAGCACGTATCACATACTAGGCAGTCACTAAACATCCGATGAATAGATGGATGAATGAATGAATGAATGACCTCAATAAGACCCAGCCGTCCTCCAAGACTCACCCTACATAGCTGTCCTCCGTTCTCAACAACCTTATTTTTCACACTCCAGCTTAAACTCATTATTTAACACATGATTTTCACTAAGAGAATTTTTAAATCCCATACTAGAGACATGAGTAAGAAGAGGCTTACATGGTGGGTTCTACTTCCCTGGGACAGCAGAGTCTAGGCATGACTGACGGGGGCTTACCTCTGCAGAGCAACAGGAATACCTCTCAATTACGGAGTACCAGGCCTCAATTTAAAGTGAGTTGTTTACCATAAATGCTCTCTCACCAGAAGGTGAGAGTGAGAGAGACTGAGAGAAAGAGGGAGAGAGGGAGGGAGAGGGAGAGGGAGAGGGAGAGAGGGAGAGAGGGAGAGAGGGAGGGAGAGAGAGAGGGAGACAGAGAGCGGGAGAGAGGGAGAGGGAGAAAGGGAGGCGGAGAGAGAGAGAGGGAGAGGGAGATGGAGAGGGAGAGAAGCAAACAGCATCAGAAACAATAGGTTTGCTTAAGAGCAAAAACCAATCCATTCGCTGCCTTCTCTCACAGGCTATCTGACTCATTCCTGCTCAAGACATGACCTGGCAGTGGTGGCCAGCACCCCAGCTGCACTTTACCTTCCCACTCCCAAACACAGTTAGATTTTTTTTCTAGATAAAAATGGGTTTTCAATTTTGTAAGAAAAAGTTACTGTTTGTAACTTCCCTTTAAACCAGCAGTGTTCAAAGTGTGTTCTGTGGACCCTCAGGGGTCCCTGAGACTCTTTCAGGACATTCACAAAATCAGCACTTTTTCATAATATACTAAGACATCGCTGCCCTTTTCACTGTGTTGACATTTACATCAGTGGTGCAAGCACAATCAAGGCAGTGACAGAAAAATACGCTGGTAATTGTTATTCTTGCAATGGCCACCAACTCACATTAGGAAAAAAAGTAAGCCAACTCATTTAAAGATGTCCTTGACAAAACAGTAAAACTTGATATTTGTTATTCCTGCCCCTTTTTAATCTTTTCTGTGAGGAAACTGGAAGTGCACATGAAGGATATCTGCTGCTCACCAAAGCACCAAGGAAGGCTATCACCAAGAAGAGCGCTCGCGCAACTGCCTAGAGTTGTGAGTTGAATGGGCCACCCTTTTTGTTTTTTTAAGGAATATTGTTTTTACTTGAAAGTCCAACTGAAAGACAAGCCACAGATATTCAGACTCAAGTATTTGGCAGTAATTCTCTTGAAATAAAGTGAGCCAATCACTTCAACGAAAGTAACTCATGGTGTTTATTTACAATAATAAAATATGAGCTCTCAAACAAAAGTGAGAATTTTGAAAACACCCATGAGCTCAACAACTTCTCAATCTTTAAAGACTTTTCTGAGAAGTCAGTGGTAATACCAACAAATGTGATTTTTAAAAAATATTGTAGACTGGGTGCAGTGGCTCATCCCTGTAATCCCAGCACTCAGGAAGGCCAAGGGGTGCGGATCAGTTGAGCTCAGGAGTTTGAGACCAGCCTGGGCAACACGGTGAAACCCCATCTCCACAAAAGATACAAAAAAATTAGCCAGGTGGGTAGTCTCATCTACTAAGGAGGCTGAGGTAGGAGGATTGCTTGAGCCTGGGAGGTAGAGGACGCAGTGAGCCATGATCATGCCACTGCACTCCAGCCTGGGTGACAGAGTAAGACCACCTCAAAAAAAAATGTATACAAAAATCAGAAGATTGGCATAATTCAATGAACCAATAAGGGGGTTATTATTATTTTTAAATGAATAAATGTATTTTTTAAATTTCCTAGTTTTCATTTCTGATATGGTAAATAACAACAGATAAAACCAGAATAAACAAAAGCTCTTTGGGGTTCTCAATATTTAAGAGCATCAGGATTTCAAAACTAAAACATTTGAGAACTATTACTTTAAATAAAACAATTATAAACAGACAAGCAGTTACCTGAACATATTTGTCTCACATATTAAATAATCTGGATGAATGCCCCCACCTGCCTTAGTAGCAGGAAGGTTAAGTGTTCTTTCTTATACTAATCATGCCTCATTTTATTAACTAGAATAGTTCTGGTATCTAAGTATCAAATCAGAGTGGCTCAAAATACATTCTATCAGAACTAACACTGTCATCTTTGGTATCTATTTTCTAAAAGTCCCCCTTTCCACCTTCCTTTTTACAATCACTTCTCTTTACCAAAATGGCTTTCACTCATCCCAAATATTATTACAGTGTGTTGCCCTGGAGTATAAAAACCTCTGGGACACCAACCTCTTTAGGAAGAGTCACTTGGCAGCAAAGCAGAGAGTTAATAAATATCAAGAGGGCAGTCCTTCATTTCATCCAGGTGACAAATGCCTGTTTAGTGAGATAATTGTCATGAAGACAAACACATTTTAATGCATGTATTCAAACTGAAAAAGAGAATTTTTTTTAAAATTCTCTTAGGAGACAAAAAAGTTTGAAGACTACTTCTCTACCAATTATGATTCTAGAATTGCACTGTCCAATAGTAGTCAGTAGCCAAATATGGCTGTTTAAGTTGGTTAAAATTAAAATTTAAAATTCAGTTCCTCTGTCATACTAGCCCCATTTCAAGTGCTTCCTAACCACAAGGGCCTACAGGCTACCATACTGGACACCAAAAAGAAGACTTCTATCATCCCAGAAAATTCCACTGGACAGAGCTCTCTGGAATCTTCATTTAATAAAGGGCTGGATTTCCTACAGTCATTTTTTAAGGCCCCAATCCCAGCAGAATGTGGGAAATTTCCATCCAGGTGAGGACAAATGTTAGAGACTCAATATAGAATATTCATCCTACGATCCTCTTTTCTGGTTTTCAAAGAATGGAGCTCTTCTCTCCAGCAATAAGATGTAAAATTAGTACTTTAGACCCTTTTTAAAAATCAAGTTGAGATTCATGTAACATAAAATTAAGCATTTTAAAGTGAGCACTTCAATGGCATTTAATATATTTGCTTAGACTTGATGACTTAAAGGATTTGGCAAATTATTTTCTATCAAGGTCCTACCCATGACCTAATTAATAAACCAAAAATCTAGTGGATATTAACTAAGATATGCAATGCACCCACCCCATCCATTTTAAATGTGTGTGTGTGTATGCGCGTATGTGTGTGTGCATTTAAAAGAGACAGTCTCACTATGCTGCCCAGGCTGGAGTGCAGTGGCTATTCACAGGTGCAATTATGGCACACTGTAACCTCCTCAAACTCCTGGGCTCAAGCAATCCTCCTGCCTCAGCCCCCCAGATAGCTGGGCTACAGGTGCACACCACCGTGCCTGGCCTTAAATATTTTATATGAAGCATTTGTGACAGGGACTTTTTTGGGATTAACAACTTTCTAAAATATCACTTATACCATAAAACAAGATGCTATACTTGCATTAGTTAAAACAATATGCTGTGTTTAACAATTGGCTGATACCCAGCAAAAATTTATTCCAAAAAATCATGAAGTGACTTATGTCAGCATTACCATGTATAGATGACTATATCCTATCACTACATCACAAGGCCAAAGACACGAGATACCCATGGTTTCAGGGCCACCTATTAAGAGGTGAGAGAGAATAAAAGTGGAAACACAAAGCTTACACTGGCTACATATGCAACAAAAAACTCTCCTTTCTATTTTTAATTGTGCTCTACATCTTATTTTCTGATACTTGAAATAATTTGGCTTGTGTGGTTATACTTCAGTGGTCCTATATGAAAGTCACTAGCCTCATGGCTATTTAAATTAAAATCAAATAAAATTAAAATTTCAGTTCTTCAGCCTCACTAGCCCCATTTCAAGGGTACAGTAGCCATTTGTGGCTAGTGGCTACCATATTGGACTGAGCAAATATAGAACATTTTCATCATGACAGAAAGATCACGGACAGTACTAGGTTATATATTTTCTACAAACACTCATTATTAGCATGATATCAAAGAACACGGCAAACCTTCTTTAAAAAATAACTTGGAAAATCCTAGATACTTTCTGATACATTTCAGTACACGGTTATATTTAAAAGGGTTTTCTTTCCTTAAACCTTGAGTTGACTGAACATACATGACAGCCTGGATTGCAACCACTCTATAGTATAAAATTCAGGAAACATTTCATTTAATACACAGATTGTATATAGATTACAATTCAATAAAATACATATAAAAATATACACAATATTTAGTAAACATATTACAACTGATGGACATTAGATAAATAGGTTTTCTGTTTACTTTTTTCAATCTCATTTTTACCAATATTTTTATTTAAAAATACATTAAAATATTGTTAAAAATATTTAAAAACTATAGTGTATAAAGTTGGAAGATAATAAACAAAAGGGTCTTCTCCCTATATTTAAATTTGAGCAAAGACAGAACCACTCTTTCTTGCAGAGAAAACCTGGCTCCAAGCTCAATTCTTACACAAGTCTCTTCTCGCTCTAAATAGTAAATTCTTAAAAAAAATGGCAATGGTGTTACAGTGCTGCCCATAAATGTTTTTTATGGATAAAAACTGTCTCCAAAAATGTAAACCTTCCTTACTTATTTGAAAAAATGTGAACTGCCTTCTTATTTTTTAAAATTTAGCTACTAAATTACACTGCAGCCAACCTTTCAATTCTTTTGTGTCTTCCACACTTTAAAACCTATGAAGTTACTTTTTAAGAAAAAAAAACAGATTAGGATAAAGAAGCATTATAAAAATCTTAAGTGGGATAGCCTTCATAAATCAACTGAGTTCACAACAGGGCCTTCAGTGCCAGTCAACAGGAACCCATCCACTAAAGTATAAGTTCATCTCAGGGTTTTGGAGAGCACACCATGAAAACATGGTAAGATGCTAGTAACAACAAGGGCATGAAGTGGATCACTGGATTTAAGGTACTTGTAAGTTTAAAATTATACTTAACAAAGACTTAGTACTACTGAACTTTCTCTATGTAGAACTACATATATTATAGGTCAGTGGATGAACTTCTTGCATGCTAGAGGGAATACCAGCGACCATCCCTAGCAATATGAAACAGGACGTCAACTTAACCTGCCATTTGAAGTTTCTGAAAACTAAGTGATGGTTTTCACCTTGGTTGAAGTTAGAAAGAAACACTTAGAAAGCAGCTAGTATTTTATATACAGTAATATTTCCTAGAGATTCAACTGAAAAGAAATACAGTAGTGTGATGGTAATTTTTGCTCCCCCCTACAAAACATTATGAATTTTTGTCTGCCTTATGGAGAATCTAGTAAGTTGATTTTTAAGGCACTGATAGATGATGTCCTGTTTTCCAAAATAAGGGAAAGTCAGTCTACTTCAAAGTGAAAGAGTAGAAGGTAAAAAAAGAAAGAATTCCAAAAGCTCATTTTGATAATCACTACAACAGTAGTTAAAATAAAAAATATTTAACATTTATTGGGCATATACCACATGCTGTGCTAAAAATTTTACAGTCATTATCTCATTTAATTCTCATAATTCTGTATAATCGGTACAATCACTGTATCAAGAAACTGAGGTTTAGGGAAGTTAAGTATGTATCATTTAAGATGACTTAAGAAAAAAATGGAAGAGCCACATTTAAATGGAGTTCTCAGTGTATATGAAGCCTGTGGTCTTCACAACTCTGTGCTCTTGCCTGCCCAGCAACCTGTGCTAGCAGTGAGGGGCAGAGTCCTGGCAGCTCCACCTAGTGTGTGACCACTACACAGAATAGTGGAGGGGTGAGAGGCTTAAAAAATGACAGAGAAAACATTAAATGAAAGAAATAAACTGACACTTGTCTCTTTGCATTTACTTACTTTGGAATTAAATTTATATTCAGTATGAAATACCACTCTAGCATCTAACATGGCTCTTTGACGTGGGGAGCTTATTAAAACTGATTTAATGATTTGCAGCAGGGCGCGGTGGCTCACACCTGTAAACCCAGCACTTTGGGAGGCTGAGGCAGGTGGATCACCCGAGGAAAGGAGTTCGAGACCAGCCTGGCCAACATGGTGAAACCCCGTCTCTACTAAAAATACAAAAATCAGCCAGGTGCGGTGGTGGGCGACTGTAGCCCCAGGTACTCTGGAGGATGAGGTGGGAGGATCACTTGAGCCCAGGAGATGGAGTCTGCAGTGAGCCAAGATCGCACCACTGCAAACTCCATCTCCTGGGCGACAGAGCAAGACTCCATCTCAAAAGAAAACAAAACAAAAGAAAACAAAACAAAAAACTGATCTTATTATTGGGCTCATTTTTATTCTATGAATGGCTAGTCTCTTACTGTTGTTGTTTGTTTTCTTCATCAATGATATCCTAGCTTAGAGACCTTATTTATGTGTGAATATTGGTTTTGAACTTTCTTGCAAAAAGTAAAACTGCAAGCCTTAAGCTCACATCTAAGGAAAGATGTTTTCCAAAATTAGACTGAATTATTTCCTTCTTTGATCTAAGTCTTCTACCATGATTTTCAAGTAAGAAAGACACGTTGTTGCATCAGAGGTCAGGTTAGGCAGGACACTGAGCACAGGGGTTCCCACAGCGCCTTATTCCAGTATGAAGATGACTACTCCCTTGACATGTTCCACTGTCTGGATAAATATATTTAAAGTGAACAGAAAAAAACATTCAGAGAAATCGATGACAAAAATGAAATACTACTTAGCATCTTACTTAAATAAAACACTTTCCCTAAAAAACTCTGACTTATCTCCTTTAATCCAAGGGATGTCTTCATGCATTTCAATAGCTCTCATTCAGGGAAATGTCTCTGACATATTTGAGCAGCCAAAAATGGAGTTAGCTTAGTAATGGGCCAATTTAAAGCAAAGTCAGCATATTCTACTTATTTATTGTCCCAGTTCCATTTCTCCCTGTGGTTACTTAGATATTATCTATAGATTTACAGCTGTAACTCCAGAGAATGGAGAGTAACATTAAGATGTCAAGATCAAGGTAAATTCTCCAAGTTAGTTCCCCACAGTTTATTTCTAGCACACTCCAAAGTGGTTAAACTTGGTATCTCTTCATGCTAGACTTGTTTTTAAAAATAACAGTGAAAACAAACACATCACAAATTGCAAAAATCCCACAATTTTCTATTATTGTTTTTTAATGGAAGAAAATCTTCAAGTTACAAGAGTCCATCAAGAAACATGATCTAAAAATCAAACTTTAATGTCAAGTATTTCTATATTCAATAAGAATTTTAAGTCTATACCCTCCCCTTTCATTAAAGAGCACATTTAGATACATACCTTCAAAAAACAAAAAGTTTTCAGAAAAAGAATGATCTAAAGTTCTTTGCCTGTTCACAAGAAAGGATATGCACCCTGCAACCTCCCAACTGCCTAAACTGAGCAGCCGCTGGCAAGAGGCCAGAACACTTCACAGCCCACCAAATGGGTGAGAGTGGAATTCCTATGCTAATATTGCAAACCTGTTTCAGCCAGTCTATGAATAGATTAGACAGGAAAGGCATAAGTTAAGCTAGAACACTTGCCATTCGAAAAACCCTCCACACAGTCTCCCAGCACCACTGCTTGCACCTCCTCAATATTCTCCAATGCTTTCTACCCATGGCCAAAACAAACAAAAAGACTCTTTAAGATTAATAACACTTGCTTACACCCTAAAACAATTGTTTTTTTGCTTTCACACAGTGAGCCAAGTTACACAGTTAACATAGTTAAGGTTAACGTCTAGGACTCCCGAAACCTATGGTACAGAATGATTTAGAACTAAACACAGAAAGCAGTAGAGGAAAACAGGACAAATACACTTTAAAGAATATCACAAATATTATAGTCTTCATTAATATTAAACAGCATCAAAAAGGCATGTTTTTGATCCAATCTTTAAAATAAGAGGTAAGGAAGTGCCTTGCAGCCTTCCCTGGCCATCACTCCCATCGTCCTGGAAATTGTCCAGGATAAAAAACAAGCAAGATGATGCAGGTAGTCCTGTATCTACGTTGACTTTTTTAAATGCAACGCTGTCAATTTCTTGGCATTTTGCCAACTTCAAGTTCTCCATCACCTGTAATCATGTCCTAGCCCTCCACCACTCCTGCAGTCATGTCCTAGCCCTCGAAGGTTCTCCTCCATTTTTTACACTAAGTGAAGGAAAAACAAAATAAAACCTCACTCCTGGTGACACACCATAAACTACTAAAGTTTTACAAGGCAAAAGGACAAGTACAAGTTTGCTACTGACTTTCTTCACTGATACAAGAGCTGCATTCAGCAACAAAGGAAATACCAGGGCCATCTCTGCATGGCTACTTAAGGATTATCTATAGATTTACAGCTGTAACTACAGAGAATAGAAAATAACATTAAGATGTCAAGGCTAGGGTAAATTCTCCAGATTAGTTCTCACAATGCTGTTCCCTTAATTGTCCCCCTAACCCACTTCCCAATTCTTCTTCCTCAGCCAACTATTGCTCTGCTGTACCAGAGACTGCCGTTCTGAAAGATTATTATAACAGGGAAGAAAAAGGCAGCACAGAAGAAAAAAGTGAAAGAAATGGGGAGGGGGGATCATGCATATTAATAAAAATGAAGGCTTTTTCCCTTATCCTGGAGAGTCAATTTCATGAAGAAACAAGCAATTGTATTAGAGACAGGCAAAAAGCTAGGGGATAGAGGTGAGGAATTAACTACCAAAAGTATCCAAACGCCACTCAAAACTAAAATCTTGAAAATGTCTGTAATCCACCTTTCAGACAAACACGCTATTTTTTCCCACAGGACAAACACCATTTATGTAGCCTTCTTTGAAACTCAAACAAATGAAATCAAACTTCAATAACGTATCTTGTCAAGAACTGATACTAATATCCCTAACACAGGCACACCCCCTAGTACTGCATTTATTCATTATACCTAAAAACACCGCTACTACTTCCTTAACCTTACAGCAAAGGTGGGTAACACCTGTCTTGGAGGATGACTGTCATAATTACACTAACAATTTTACATTTATTTACATGTGAATAAAATTATTTATACTCTGACTTGTTTTTAAAAAGAATTTGCAGCAACTGATAGGGAAAGAGTCTAGCATGTGCTGTTTAATATGCAGCCACCAGCCATGTGTGGTCACTGAGCAACTGAGATGCAGCTCACGCAATCTGTGTAAAATACATATCAGGTTTTAAATTCTTGCGTAAAATATCTCACAAGCAATTTTTTATACTGACTACATGTTGAAATGTCTTGGATATGTTGGTTTAATTAAATGTATTACTAAAATTAGTTTTACCAGTTTCTTTAATGGTAAAATGTGGTTACCAGAAAATCTGTATCAACATAAATGCGTTGTATTTGTAGCTCCCATCATATAACTGGACAGTTCTGGTCTAGAACATAGTAAGTACACAAAGATAGGACAGCCAGAAATGTTATACTTAAATAACAAAATTCCCTTTCCACCTCGGTGGAGGTTGCTGTCTCCTCCCTGCCTTCCACCATACCAGCAATCTCTCCTTAACACAGTCCTTGGCACATAACAGGCACTAAATAAGTATTTCTTTCATGTGGTACTGCCTTTCATGAAGGTACCTAAGACACCAAGATGAAAATGCAGCACCAAAAGTGGCTTCTTTTAAGAATATCAATTGGGACACCTAGCAGAGGCCTAATATCCAGGCTTCAAAGGTAAACTAACAAACTAAATTCTTATCACCTACAAAATTTTTGATGTCACATAAAACAATACTCTTTTACAAAATAAAAGCCATCTAAGGAGCGAGGCTATCAGCCATTCATGCTTTCAGACTATGGGGTGAAAGGACAGATGGAGTAGATTTTTCCCTGTGCTTTAACTTGACACCTGGTATAATTCTGACCTCTGGGATAAACCAGCTTGTTGGATGTTGAGGAAAAACGCAGACAGGTTACTCAATAAGCTGTAGTATATATAAATTGAAGTAGTCAAAAGAAATACTTTAAGAGTCTTCGTGAGAAACCACAGGCTGTTGAGAGCAACCTATGGCCCAGGAAAGAGAGACCAGTAAAGGCTGGATGGTTTGCTTTAACTAAAGATGTCATGAAGAACTAGCAGTGGGCCACAGCAAGTGAGAAAGCAGTGATTTCTTTTGCCTTCCTTCTGTGAGCACCAGATGGGGCAACCTGCTCCAATGAGGTCCAGCCTGGGTGCCTGTTTTCTGAAGGTGCATATACCTGCAAAAGCCCCTGAATACCACTTAGGTAAAAGCTGATTTTTTTTTAGAGACATTTTGTTTTCCCATCTTTCCCAGATGTCTTTAGAAGTGAGAAAGGTAGTATTGACAAGATACATCTGCTCTCCATTAAAAAGGTATTTTTGTCTATTTCTGATTACAACCTGCATACGTAATCCTTAAGAAACACAGCCACCTTTTTCCATAAATTTACTTAGTTGCCAATTACTCTGCCCATGTCTGTAATTTGTAATTCCTTTTTTTTTTTTTTTTTTTTTTTTGATACAGAGTCTTGCTCTGTTGACCAGGCTGGAGTGCAGTGGCATGATCTTGGCTCACCACAACCTCCGCCTCACGGGTTCAAGCGATTCTCCTGCTTCAGCCTCCCAAGTAGCTGGGATTTCAGGCATGCACCACCACGCCTGGCTAATTTTTGTATCTTTAGTAGAGACAGGGTTTCACTATGTTGGCCAGACTAGTCTCGAACTCCTGATCTTGTGATCCACCCACCTCGACCTCCCAAAGTGCTGGGATTACAGGCGTGAGCCACCACGCCCGGCCTTGTAATTCTTTATTTACTGGGTAAACTTAAAGAATCTCAGTATAAGATTGATGCTACTTGAGATTTACCAATAAAAGGTTTTCCCTGAAAGGCTATTTTTTTAAAAAAAAAAAAAAAAATTGTACCACTGATTCTTCCAGGTTTTTTTTAATCTCAAGGGAAAATGAGGAGATGGGAAATTATTACCTATCACCTCAATCTTAGTAGCTTTTAAATTTTTTTTCTACTTCCGTTTCATGATGACTGTTATTTCAGGACCAAATTAATGAAAAAGGTACAAATGTATCCAAAATAAACTTATTTTAAGGACACCTTGTTGCAGATCCTAAAAATTCAACTAGAACTTTCCATTTAAGAGCATAATCCATGATCTGGGACACGTCTATGGACTGTGCAGTGTAAATTCTATCCAGAAACTCAGGGACTTGCCTGTAACCTTAAGAACAATCCACTTAATTAGTCTTTCTTTAGATAAGCTCTTCAAATGAACAAAATGTTGCTCTGTGCCTTCCTTGCAGATTGTTCTCATCCATGTTCACAGTGTACTGATAAACCTTTCATTTTTGGTTCCACCCCCTCTCCACCCTCTTCGTACTCCTGGGTGCTGCAAAGAGCCCCATGGTGCTGTGTCCATGCTGAAAACACCTCCTAGTGCCCTCCAGTGCCATGGGCCCAGGACCATGCAGCTTTCTGTCCACTAAGCCCCAGACCTACATTCCAGCAATACTAGGGACACTCAAGGCCCAAAGGGCTTTCTGATCTTTGCACTCATTGTTTCCTAAATCTTAAACTCTTTTCCCTCCTTTATCCATCCTTCTCTCAACTTAGACTGATCCTTCACATCTCAGCAAAGACATCACTGCCCCCAGAAAGCCCTCCCAGACCCCCACCTCGCCCACTTTAAGAATGACTTTAAAGATCAGTGCTGATCTCTACAGTGTGCTTTTCATGGCATATTCTTGCCTGCATCTTCCTGCTCACACAGCAAGATTGTTCTCCCTCCCTCAAAGAAAAGCACATACGAAGCCTCAATATTTGATAAGTGTTCACTAAAACCAAGGATGTAAAGTCAAACAACTATGAAAATGTTTGACATTGAAATATGTAAGATTCTTCTTAAAGCTCTGCAACAGGCAATTCTGAACACTTGCTAGATGTATTGTTTTTGAGTCCCCACTGTTAAGCACTTAAAAGACATTACTACTAATCTCACTGAGCCTCTAACCAGGAAGGCATATGATCCCTCACTTCAGAGATAATGAAATGAAGTCCTGACACCCTTACTAACGTCAGGTGGTGACGTTAAGCGGTGGTGCTCCTATTCAAAAACTCAGACTCCAAAGCCTGTACTCTTTCCTTCATACCAGTGGTTCTAAAATTGTGGGCCAGGGTTTCTGTAGGGTCTGTGAGACCAGAACTATTTCTACATGATCCTGAGATGTTATTTGCTTTTTCATCCTCATTTTTTCCAAATAAGCTGTAAACTTGTCCAGAGGCTTATGACTAGCACATAGACTACATTCAGAAGCAGATGTGAAAATCAATATTTGATAAATATAAAACAATGCCACTAATTTTGTCTTGCGAAAACTTATCTTTCATTTTTTAAAAAGTTATCTTTCATTTAAAAAGTATTATGTATGTTAACACATAATGGTTTATTATTTTTAAATAATTAACAAATCAATATTTTAAACTTTCATCAATATTTTAGCCAGGCAGGGTGGCTCATGCCTGTAATCCCAGCACTTTGGGAGGCCACAGCGGGTGGATCATCTGAGGTCAGGAGTTTGAGACCAGCCTGGCCAACATGGTGAAACCCCATCTCTACTAAAAATACAAAAAAAAAAGCTGGGCGTGGTGGCGGGTGCCTGTAATCCCAACTACTAGGGAGTATGAGCAGGAGAATTGCTTGAACCTGGGAGAAGGAGGTTGCAGTGAGCCAAGAACGCGCCACTGCCCTCTAGCCTGGGCGAAAGAGTAAGACTCCGTCTCAAAAATAAAGAAAGACATAAATACATAGGTAAACAATAAAAAACTTAAAACTTTCTGAGACAGTAAATATCAATACATATAACTCACATAGCTAACACACACTCTTTGGAGTCCCCAGTAATTTTTAAGAATGTGTAGAGGTCTGAGATGAAAAGTTTGAGAAAAACTGTTCTAATTAGCTATTGAAAAAGAAATATAAGCTAGGGTTTTTCCCTTCCCTGTAAATCTTATCAAATAATCGAAAAGTCTAGCACTTCCATTAAAGAAATGTCCATATACCAAAATGTGTAATTTTTCACATTGTGATCTGATGAACTGTGGCCTTTTTGTTCTAACATTTTTCTTTGTTGACTTTTCAATATAAAGTTAAACTTATCTTTAAAGATACTTAAATGTGTTCCATAATCTAGAAAATATCCATTCAGAAGCCAGGAAACACATAAAGAACATAATTTCTATTTTTAAAAAGCGAAAAACTCAAGAAGAGTTAAGTCTACCTGAAAGTGATATTTTCATTATCAAGTTAAATGGACATTTCAACCTAATCTGGTATCTTCCCTGATACCTGGTATAGTATTGAGCCACTACTCCATCATATATAAAATGCAAAATAATTTTAGTAGCTCTAAAGCAAAACATAATTAAATAAAAATATTTCCTAGGGTAGAATGTCAATCATTCAGAGAGAGAGATTTTAAAGGTATAGGATAGTATTTTGAATTACCCATATTATTATCCTCCTCACATGTGGCAACACAGTCTAAAAGGGGGATAATATTTGCACAAATCAAATTTAGTTATTTCATAACTAAGGCTGTATTACATAATATTTAACCTATCCTTAAAAATAAAGTTAATTTTGGTGAAACCTCGTTTCCACTAAAAATACAAAAATTAGCCAGGCACGGTGGTGCGCGCCTGTAGTCCCAGCCACTCAGGAGGCTGAGGCAGGAGAATCGCTTGAACCTGGGAGGCAGAGGTTGCAGTGAGCCAAGATTGCGCCACTGACTCCAGCCTGGCAACAGAGTGAGACTTCATCTCAAAAAATAATAAATAAATAAAGTTAATTTTACATTGTATCTACATGGGAAATGACATAATTATGTAGCAAGGTTTGCACTTCAGGAGATCAGAAGCTAAAATTAGAGGAGAATTAACATATATACCATGGAGTGGACATTATACTAGGCACTCGGTATATGTTAAGCCCACTTAATCTAACACCCTTTGTGCTGGGTGCTATTTTTCCTGCTTAACTAATGAAAAATCTGAGGTAAAGAGAAGTTAAATCCTTTGCCTAAGATCACCAGGTTAATAAGCAATAGAGCTGGGGTCCACATATCTTTCTAACTTTAAAGTCTATGTTCTGTGCCTGAGACTTCACACCTCCCTAGCCTTATGTTCAAAACTGAGTGTTTCAAAATCTGAAGAGGATGCAAAGTTAAGCAGAAATAAGAAAGCAAATAATCAATGAGCAAAATGGAAAACATAATTGTACTTAGAATGAAAATACCTCAAATGTCCTAGTTTACATCCCTGTAAAGGTCCTGAGTTTGCCTATAATGACACATTCAAAGAAGGAGGGAATGCATGTGGGCTCTCCTGAAGTCTAGCACCGGACACAGCAGGCATGGAGCCTCCACTGGTCAAGGATTCAAACGCCACAGACTCACACATGTCCTCTGAAATGCCCACTGAGGCATCTGTACTCTTAAAACCCAGGAAAGCTGGAGGAGAGCAACAATTCTCATCCAGGGATCAGATTATAATCACAGGGTGTCTTCCAAACTGTGCTCACCCTCCGGTGAAGACAGAGGATGTCGGAATGAGAAGTCTGAGAAACCACTGCTCTAAAATATCCCTTGCTTAGTAAGAAACTTTCCAGGGAATAAGAAAATAATAATTCCTAAAAACTAAGTCACATTCATTTCTGTCCTAAAAGCCACCCAGGTCTGCTGGCCTCAGAGACAGTACTTTTGGTCCGCTTTGAGGAGAGGCGTTCTGCCCTGAGGTTATATAAGAATCACCAAGGGTGGTTATATGAGGATCACCAAGGTCTTCAGGGAAGCTGCCCTGCCCACCGGCTGAGGGCAGCTTCCCTGAAGCCACTACTTGTCCTGTGGTCCCAGGAGTCTTCCTGACCTCCACTCCCTCAGCCCAGCTTAGGACGAAGCTTCAGAGCCTCTGTATTAAATGCCTGCGTGAATCTAAAATTAAAAAAAAAAAAATTTTTTTTTTTTTAGATGGAGTCTCGCTCTGTTGCCCAGGCTGGAGTGAAGTGGCACAATCTCAGCTCACTGCAACATCCACCTCCCAGGTTCAAGCGACTCTCTTGCCTCAGCCTCCCAAGCAGCTGGGACTACAGGCATGCACCACCATGCCCAACTAATTTTTTGTATTTTTTAATAGAGACGGGGTTTCACCATGTTGGCCAGTTTGGCATTGAACTCCTGATCTCAGATGATCTGCCTGCCTCGGCCTCCCAGAGTGCTGGGATTGCAGGCATGAGCCATTGTGCCTGGCCTAAAATACTTTTTTTTTCTTTTTTTTAATGAACTGACAAAAAGCATAGAAGACAATTATCACCACTAAAAAAAAAAAAAAAAAAAAAAAAAATGCTGCTCTGAGATGCCCTGAGTGGCTTTGTTTACTGACTAAACCCTTTTACTTTCAACACTGCTTCAATGCCTTCTGCTCCCACTTTGATCCTTCTGGTCCAAACTGTCCTCAAAGGCCTAGAAAACAGGTTCACACTTCATCTTCTCCTTCTCCATCTGTCCTGTGGACTGTCTAATCAATATCACTGGCTCCCTCCCCGTTTAAGTCCAAATTCCTTAAAAAGGAATCCAAGATCACAACAATCTGGCCCTGACTGATACTTTCCAACCTATTCCCTGCAGCAAGCTTGACTTCCCGTGCCCTTGTTTAGCAAACCATCCCCCAGTCTCAACTGCTGACCTGGGTTCACCTCCCCGGGGTAAGGCCTAGCCAAATTCCAAGCACTCTCAACTACAGGTTATTTCCTCTCTCTGGACATTTGTCACATAATCATGCCTGGTCTCTCACTCCTCTGTATTTTCACATGCAAGTCTTATTTCCCCAAAATTGATAATAAGTCCATCAAAACAAGCACTATGCTTTATAGCTCTAAAATCAGCTACTGTGCACCCCAAAAACAGAGCTGCAATTCTGGTAGATAATCAGTATATATTTTTGAATAGCACTAAGAATAATCTGTATACACAGGCATTAATTTATCTTTCACAGACCTAGGGCATAAACAACAAAATTTATAATGGAAAGATGTCTTTGTGAATATGATAAACTTAAATCTGTTCTTTTATAAATTCTGAATGATAACAAAAACGTCAGCTTACAAAAAAGGAAGATTCCCTACTTCAGTGCTGGGTATCCAAATCTTTTAGAGACCAAACATCTTCTGTGAATTATCATTTACTGTGATTTTCTACAGTTTGCAATTAAAACTCACACTAACAAAGTCAACAGTTAGTAAAATAAGTATCACAGAAGTATACGATTTGCAGCTTCCCAAGAAAAATATCACAATATAAAAGGAGAGATGGAGGAGACTACCACACACGCATAAATCTTTGCTAGAAACCAAGTGTCAGTGTATTTTTAAAACACACACACACAAAGAAAGAGAAAGAATAAAGAAGAATTGAGAGAAGGAAACAAAAGCGTTTGTCTTGTGAGCATTCTGAGTCCTCTGTCCATCTCCCTGCTAGCGGTGACCCAGCTCCTTGTCAGCAGGGACCCAGTCTTAGTTATCTACATATCCTTAACATCTAGCACAATCCCTGGGACAGGGAGATTGATGCCTGAATAAAATAAATGCATAAGCCAATAACAAATAAAAATTAAGGCACTCATAATGAAAAAGCTTTTCATAGAGTTTAAAGAAAAATTCGATCAGACAAGTTAGCCATGTTGAATTTCACACTGCAATGCAGAGGTAGGCTCTGTGTCCCCTTACCTGATGCACAGGCACTTTCTGCGGGGTGTTCTGGGGTGATGGGTGGAGCTGTGCCCAAGGCTGGTGATGAGGGTGTGGAGGTGAAGACTGGTGGTGCAAGCCCGGGTGAGGCTGCAGTGGAGGACAGGTTGGCAACTGCTGAAAAGATGGCTGTTGACCAGGATGTTGTTGGCCAGGTATCAGTCGTTCCTGGATTGCTTGTGGGTCTCCAAGGCCAACACCAGGACAACCATTTGGCCTCATGTGCCCAGTCAATTCCCTTGGTGCCGAGGACATGCCTATAAATGGACGAGACTGCTGCATGTTTCTGGGGCCCATATTCCTCTGTCCGATTCCCATGGCACCAGGGGGCTGGTGAGATGGCTGAGGATGGGGCATATTTGGATAACTGCCAACTTCCATTGGTATCCCAGCACTTCCCGGCCTGACTTGTGGAGGAGGAGTGCCTGCTGGATTACTCATTGCTTTCATGGGTGACATGGGAGGTGGAGAGGCATAAGTTCCCTGAGGCTGTGAAGGATGCATAGTTTGTGTGTTCATTTGGTTAAGTGAGCCACTGGGGTGGATGGGCTGCTGGTGCATTAGTCCTTGACCACTGTTTGATGGGAATCCTACAGCATTGGGGTATCTTGGTACGGACTGATTCATTGGAGTATTATTTGTAAGGCCTAAATTTTGATTCATCCCTGTATTGTTAACTAATCCCTGATTTAGGTTACTGTAAGGATATCGAGAATACTGCCCTGAGTTGTTTATAGTAGGAGAGGGGACTGTCTGGCTCCGAGAACTAAAGTTAAGGGTTTGCGGCCTAACAGCCCCTTGTTGGGGAGGATTCGGGGAGAATCTGGGACTGTGGGCAACGGATTCTCCATGGAGAGCAGTAGAGGGGTGGTGATGGAACTGCTGCACCGAGTGACGCAAGGAAGGTGCCATGCTGGGACTCTGCTGGGGCACGTGGGACAAGTGGCCAGGTCCTGAGGTGGCAATAAAAGGATTTCCCTGATTGAGGCCCTCTTGGCCTTGGGAAAACTGGCTCATCCTCTGCTGTGGCTGACCATGCTGCTGCATGGAAAAATCCCCACGTGCCATATAGCTGCCCATCTGCTGCATGTGCTGAGGGTGGCCCTGTGCAGGGGGCCCCGACGGAGCCGGCTGCGGTGGCTGCGGCTGTGGCTGCTGCTGCTGGTAGGGGGCTCGTATCTGGTCTGGTACCTGAACAGCCCTGGGGCCCCACATGGAGCTGCTGTCCACAAAGGATTGCCCATGCCTCTCATTCTGCATGCCAGGGTAGACACCCATCTGACCGCCACCACTGCCACCATGGGGCACCTGAGGAACGGGAGGGGTGTGATACTGCGAGTGCGGAGACGCGAGTCCGTTCCCAGGGGTGTTGCTCATCATTCTGTTCGGCTGATCCATCAGATGCATCTTTTGTTGTTCATACTGATTATAGTGATCAAAATGTGTCAGCTTTGTTTGATTTTGATTAGTTGAAGGATGATGAAGGGATGGCTGTAAAGAGGCAAAGCCTTGGTCTATTGGCATTTGCTGACCCATAGGATTTACTGGATTTTCCGGGTAACCACATTCTCCGAGGCCTTCAAGACCTTCACTGAAAATATTCCCATCCTCGCCAAAAAGACTCATCATTCCTGGATCTGCCATCTTCTTCCAACACACGGCTCCTCCAAACCACAGCTCAGGAGCTTGCCTGTGCTTCACTTCACTGAGGTGTTTGCCCTCAAAGCCTATAATCCTTAACTAATCTTCTTCATGTCATTCCATATTTCTTTAATTCTCTTGGACCCTGCAGTGTCAGGCAAAGTCTGGATATAGGTCCTGGAAGGGAGTTTGGGGTGGGGGAGAAGAAGGAAGAAAACAAAGAATTAGGATCCAATGATAAAAACTGCCAGTATTTTGTACATCTGAATTTGGTCCCCATCAACAATACGAATCTAGCTCCCTCGCTGAGCTGTATTTTATAAATTTAGTTCACTTTAAGAGAAACTCATTAGCTTCTACCAGAAGCATCATTATGATCGGTTACTTAGAAAGCAAGCAAAACACTAACCTTAACCTTAAATTAATCCATTCACTACACTTCCTAGCGTTCCATTCTTGGATGAAACAGAACAAAAGAACACAACGTGAAGCAGCAGCAGCTGCCACAGCAGGCAAGCAGATGTATGAATATAGCCAAGCAGCTCATCTGCTGAACTAAAGCCCTGGAAATGCTCTGGTTACCAACAGCCCGCCCTTAACCTTATTCCCCTGAGCGGTGTAATCAGATGAGCAACAGCAGCACCAAGGGCTGTGAAAAGCTCAAGTTAGTTAAATTGACTAGAGGATTATACAAATACCAAAATCGGTCATTTCATACAAATTAGATATTTACAGCCCACATACAACTATGTAACTGCAACAGAGGCATCTAACAAGAAAGTGTTCATAATGATGTTGAAAAGCAACCTTGAGAACAGTACAATAAATTCATAATTTCATTATGTTTAATGGCAGAAATATACAAGATTCAGAAAGAAACTAAAAGAAAAGCTTTCATTGTCCAAGACGACCAATTTCACTCATGGCTCTGAGCCTACCATGGTCCCAGTCTGCACTGACACAGAGCAGCCCAATCACCAGGCTCATTATTCACCCGCAGGCATGCTGGGCTCTGGTGGACCAGAATCCCACGTGACCACTCAGAGAAAACTAGTTGAGTGGATACTTTGTGGACACCAACTATTCTCATAACTAGAAATACAACTTTCTCCAAAACTGAAAATTATTTTTACAGAATAAAGTTCAAAATATGCTCTCCTCACCATTGCCTTAAGTCCTTTTGGGACAAGGCAGGACCTAAGCAGGAAGGGAGACAAGTTGGCAGGCACTTGTGTTCGCACCCTACGTGCTTCCAGCGCACTGTGTACACTATGTAACATGCTGCATCTTATTCAAACTCTTCCTAACAGATCCTGTGTCAGATTAAAATAACTAATTTAAAGAATGCGTTGACAATCTAAACAGGAAAGTGTTTTTGTTGAACACTAATTAAATCAACGGCCTAATAAAGACCTAATTCATATAGAGAAAATGACTGAAATCTTAAACATCTTTGGAATTTAACTCATTTTTTTCTCTTTTATAAGGACATTAAGCATTGTGTGATACTAGCTCACTTGAAAAAAACAATATCTTGTTGAAGAATTTCCAAAGTGATGATAAAAACAGGCTCAGTCATAAATTCTACTGACACCCTTCCATAAGAGCATGGGAATGAACAATGGGCTAACCAACACTCCTGAGAACTTACCAGTAAGACACATAAAAATTCTGTTTCTGCCTGCCGTATTCTAACACATTCCTAACAAGGGGAGAATTTTGCTTACAGAAAATGTAAACAACATTCCTGTTCACTGTCAGAACTACAGACATAACACCTGAGAGGGTCTCCAGGCCTGTAGTTTTCAGGTGACAGCTGTCAACTAAAGTCAAAGGTCTCTTCACTCTGCCGCTAACTGCCATGAATTTTCTGATCTACTTTCTCCAAATACAGAGGTCAGATGGGTGAAAATAAGGTGAGCATGAAAGCTATTTTACTGAAAACACGCTGCTTTACTATACAACTATTTTAAAATCCAAAATAAAGAGAAGTAGACATCTCCAGTGCCAGTTGCAACAAATATTCTTAAATACACTCCTAAGAAGGCTAAGCAGTCAGTCATCATTTATTCAAGGCTCATTCTAACTTTCAAAGAAATAAATACTGGAATGGACTTGATAATAGCTTAAACCAGCCATGCAGCCCAACCACTTACCAAAATAACCTTTCAAATTAGCTTAAGGAAAGTAACGTCTACATATGTGTCCTGGGGAGCAGCTTCATCCTCCAGGGTCCGCCAACTGTTATGGGAAGAAATGCTACTGACTCGATGGGGCTCCAGGCCAGCTCCAGGTAAAAGTGAGCCCAGAGGGAGTGGATGGCTTAGCCCACTGGTGACCTTCTCTTGCAAGCCCACTGAGCTCAGAGGCAGAGGCAGAGTCAGATCAAGCTTGGAGAAGTGGCGATGAAGTTGGTGCTAACTTTTTATCAGCTTAAGATTCAGAAGAGGGACAAGTTGCCTATGCGCATGAGTAGGGAAAAACAGCCCTGCCTGAGAGTACCCATACTGATCCTTGGCTGTGCTCCTCTTCCTGTTCCCTACGCCCTTCTACTAAGTGTCCATCTCCCAGACGCTTGAAAAACGCCAGCATTATATGGTATCAACTAAGCATGTCGCTCGGCACAACTACAACCATGCTCAGGTAAGGTCCAGGCAGAGAAGTTCAAAAACTGGCTTTGCAGTCTGCCATTAGTGACCGCTCACTGGGACAGCCACCAACGCCTTCCTGCCCCTTTTCTGACCTCAAGACCCAGCTGGCAACTATGCCAGGAATCCATCTGGTAGCTGCATTTCATATTTCTGATTTGAGATAATCTAATTAATTTGTTTTGGTCCTTTTTTTAAATTTGATCAAGACCATCTGAATGCCCACTTTCCCAAGTCGCAGCTGCATTGTATAATTTTGTGTTTCTATAAAAGATATTCATTCAAAGCCCTATTTTGAAAGCTTCCCTCTCGTCTACACTCAATATCTAGATTTTCTGTGTCTAGATGAACACTGTTCAATGGGCCACAAATGCGAGCTATTACATGTAATTTTTAGTTTTCTAGTAGCTACATTTTAATAGTAGACCAAAAGAGTGAAATCCATTTTACCAATTTCTATTTAAACCAATAAATGCATAATACTGTCATTTCAACAGGTAATCAATATAAAAAAATGAATAAGCTAGTTTACGTATTTTGGTATTGAGTCTTTGAAACCCAGTATGTAATTTACACTTACAGTACATCTCAATTCCTATTAGCTACATTTCAAGTGAAAAAATGGACATATGGGGCTGTGGCTTCCATACTGGACAGCATAAAGTATTTAAAAAGAAGAAACAGAAATAACAAATTAGCAATGAAATTTTTTAAAGTCTCATAATTATCACCTGGGTAATAAACATTCAAGTTGCATTTATGTTTTATTTGGTGTTACATAAAAATTAACTCTCAAATCACAATTATTTATTCAAAATGTATTTACTGAGCACCTACTATGATCCAGGCACTAGTCTAAGAGCTGGAGAGAGATCTGTGAATAAAACAAAATTCCCTCTTGTCCTCATGGAGCTTATATATCTGTAAATGATGCATCTCTTAAATAAGAACTAAGATTCAGGGCTTATGTTATTAAAAATATAGGTTGCCATTTTACAAAATACTCCTCGGTAACTTCTGATGAGGAATAGTCTAACTAAATGTGAGAATATGTAGCAAACGGTACCTATGCATATAATGGAGACATAGTAATTCAAGTTTCTACTCAGTGCCCTATTGGCCAGCATTTTCTGAGATGTGAACTAAAGGACAGTTCAGAAGATGCATGTGTTTGGGGGTGAGGAGGGGTCACAACGAGACCACTCAACTAACAGAATCATCAACATTAGAGGCACACTGTGAAACCAATTACAAACATTTCAGAGTTAGGAAGCACTCTGAAGACCTTCTAATCCAAACCCCTCCTCATTTAACAGATGAAAAAAATCCTTTTATAGACTGAGAGGAGTAAACTTCTTCTACAAAACATTTTAGTGACAGTTCCCAAAGATGAAAGAAATGAATGAATGAATGAAACAGCAGCTTACTAGTGAGGACAAAATATTAAAGGCCTGCATCAAGTCTGTTTTATTCAGAGAATCACTAAAACTGCTGCTGCCATCAGCAAATAGAAGTGAATTTCCTTTCCAAAAATGTTTTTAAATCATACTATATATAACTTTTAGGAAACAAGCATATATCAACACCAAATTGGAGCTATTGGTAAATTTTATTGGGAAATAGTCAAATGAAAAACGGGCAGATCCAAGCACAGACAGAATCAATGATAAAAGCAACGGGTGCGCAAGAAACCAAGATGAAAGAAATGTCACTGAAAATATTAATATTTTGAAAAATATATGTATATATAAAATTTCTTAATTATAACACATGTTAAATTTTTACTTATTAAATTTATTTTATATATAGTGATTTTCTGACCTTCCAAAACAATATAAACAATTATTTACTACACTCTTCTCAAAGTAGAATGGCATTTGTATAGCTGAGTTTTAATTTTGTAGTGACGCAGAACCTTTTAGCGTCACAGGTGTGGACTAGAAACCTAGCAAGGAGATAGGTGAATACGTAACACCTTTCACATGCAAAGTATCTCCTATAGCTCAAACACTATTTGTCCTATTGTGTAAGTAAAATGTCATCCAAGGGAAACTTTTTTGATAAACAGCCAACACGTGGGCAAGAGTGAAATCATAGGACATTTGCCTATTGGATACTGAAGACTATTTTGCTGCTTATGGTTTGATTTTGAGTTGTTCTATTTAAATTTCTCTCTTCCACCTCCAAAGAGCGTGAGGTATAGAACATCACTGTGATAATGATTCTGGGGATGAGGGTGGAGCATGAATCAGAATTTCCAAGGAAGCATTTTGCAGCTAAAAAAACAGCACATCACCACCCTCATCATAACCCATGGAGACACCTCTCAATCATCAAGGCTGCAAAACATATCAAGAGAGGCAAAGAATCCACACACTGGTAGGTGGACAGACCGAAGACAAAGGGCTCACACTGCTGAGCTTCCACTCAAAGTGAAAGTCCTTTCAGCTAGATCCTGAATCCGGTTAACAGGAATCTCCTCCCACTGCCCCACCCACAACCCAGCCCCCAACAGCCACTTGGGAACATCTAGCAGGACCAATGCTTGCTGATGAAGGAGACATCTATCCAACTGACAAGAACCTGGATAAAGAATCAGGAAGTGCCCCCCAAGTCACCAACACCAGCTTATCAGTTCACCACAAAGTATTTTCCGTATTTGCTTCATGGGTCAAATGATGCCCTTCCTGAACCCCCTGGGTTGGCCAAGGGGGCCAAGACCACATTTTCTTCCTGGCCAAGACCACATTTTCTTCCTCATTAGTATGCTAGGGCATTGCCAATACTCTATGACGGTGCTGTGTAATCCAGAAGCCACCAGCCACATGTTGTTATTTAAACTACTTAAACTAAATAAAACTTAAAATTCAGTTCCTTAGTCGCACAAGCCACATTCAAGTGCTCAAAAGCCACATGTGGTTGGTGGCTACCTACTCGACAGTGCCTATAATGAACATTTCCATCACTGCAGAAAATTACATGGAAAGCACTCCTATGTATTTCTTCTTAGAGGTAACATGTTTAAACAAAGACCATATTAAATAGCAGCAATCCTCTTTCATAAAAAATATTTTCTCCTCTTTCAGAGATTAGTATTCTTTTAAAGGTCCATATCTACCCTTTGGGATGAAATATATGTTATTTTTTCCATATATCATATTTTATGTTAACTATACTTACAACCTATGTCTCCTTTCTGTATTATCTCCCAACATATATTCTTATTTCTTCATAAATAATTTTCAGTATGTTAGGAATAATTCTCAACTATACACAATTCAGAAAAAGATTTAGAAAAAAAAGAAGTATGTGAAGTCCTTCTAAGGTCTGTTTGTCCCCAAGCATCATATTAAAAATAAAACCATAAATAGTAATAAGGATTGTACTGGTAACCTCCATTCATATTACTAGGTTACCTCCCATTTTGCTGATATTAACAGAAGAGACACATTTTTAATAAGGAAAACCACTGACATCGTATAGGGCAACGCTACGCCTTATGTTAGCATTCGCTATGACAGTAACACCATCTCCATCCACCTCTTCAACCTAGCCAAACAATGGGAAATAAGCCTAGATCCTTCCTGTCATCATTCATTTAAAAAATATTCAAGGTTAACAGACACTGTGTATACAGTGTTGAACGAAGCAGATGTGGCCCTGTCCTCGTGCAGCTTGCAGTTTGAATAAACGCCCCAGTACATCCCACATATTCAGTGCATTTCCCAACCTGCTAATGCTCTCTCCCAGATATTTATGGGTCTAACTCCTCCTCCCTGTTTACACTAGCTCTGAAGTAATCAGACCTTCATGGTTTAGTGAACCACAAAAAATTAGAAATCTAATCAGTTCTCCTAATTCTGGTCTCAACGCTTTCACACTACTGATTGAATGATCTTATAAAACACAGATTACATCATACCTCTCCCTGATTAAAATCCTTAAAGGACCTCCCATAGCTTTCAGGTTCCAGTCCAAATGCTCCAGCATGCTTGAAGGCACTAATAATCAAATCCTTATTGACCTGTCCATTCTCAACTCCCTTAACTCCCTTCCCTCTATCCCCTGAAGCACTCACAAACACCCCCATTAGGTATATCAAACTACTCAAAGTTTACCAACCATCCATCAGCTATCTCATACCTTCCTCGCCTTCACACCCATGGTCTCTTCCCTGGCCTCCTTATCCCCTCACTGTAGAGGCTGGCCTCTTTTTCATCTCAGTTCCTTTGTTATCACCCATCTTCGGAAGCTTCCTGACCCTCAACCCTCCCTCTTCAGGCTGATTTCAAAGCCCTTGCTAGCAGTACCACCACATCAACATGGGCAGAAGCTACAAAAGTGCCAAGCACGCTACTATTCTTATGTGTTCACCTCCCTCTCTTTCTGGCGACTGGAGCCTTGCCATGTGAAGTGGAATCCTGAGAGACAGGACCCCTGGCACCCCCGGGAGCTGGTAAGAGACGCAGACTCTCAGGCTCACCTCAGACCTCCTGCACCAGAATCTGCCTTTATTAACAAAGGCCCCAAGTGATTCCTGTGCATGTGAAAGTTTGGGAAGTCCTGCCCTCAGACTCTGAGCTCCTCCTACAGGATAGCACACTGACCACTCAGTTAATATAATGGATCAACAACAAATGGCACATGTTACAAAGAATATTATAAAGCAATACAAAGATATGTCACTTAAAGAAAGTAGTCTTGACATTTGTGTCTGACAAATAAACAATACTGACTTCATTCAAAGAATTATGAACAGCCCTTAGTGACAAATTTAATCTGTAACAGTTTACAAGGAGTGGGTATCTAAAGATGGTTTAATTTTAAAGATATGCCCATCTGTTTGCCAATCATTTGTGCAAGTCAAAAAAATGCAGTTAACATTAATATCTAATGCTATGTTACATAACATACTATTTCACAGGTTTCTTGCAGAAATCTTTCAGTTATTTCTACATAACTTTGAAGACTCTGGATATTCTGAGTAGCCTTTATGATAAAAAAAAAAAGCTGTTCTTTTGTTCCTTCATGCAGTATTGAGGCTAACGTTTCCTTTCAAGGCAACTAATGAAATAGCACTTGGCTAACAGCTTATACTAAGTGCATGCCCACAGCACTAGCTTTTTCCAAAGTGGTCAAAAGGAGTATATTACCCCATACATAAATTATGCCACAAAAGCACAAGGATCATGAAAATTTGTGTCCTTTACACCCTGCAATTCAAAATTCAAATACCTCTCTGAAGCTAACTCCTAAAGGCTAAGCCCACTGAGAAGGTGGCCAGCACCTTGACCCTAACGTGGAGACAGCTGACCTGCTGCCGCAGTGCAGACACTAAGAAAATATGTCCAGCAGGGTCTTCATTCCATGTACACAACATGTCCTAGGAACAGATGGGCACACATTCTAATAGCACCTGAAGTACTCAACATTGTATGGCAAAAGAGAAATGAAGACAAACATGTATCTATATATACCATACCTAGGTGTAGATCACATATGTAGCTACATAAAATATGTGTATCTATCCCATATCTTTTTTTTTTTTTTAAGAGACAGGGTCTCGCTCTGTCACCCAAGCTGGAGTGCAGTGGCACAATCATAGCTCACTGCAGTCTCCCAACTCCTGGGCTCAAGTAATCCTCCCAGTGCGGGCTCCCAAGTAGTTGGGACTATAGTTGTGTACCACCACACCCAGCTAATTTTTTTTTTTTCCTGGGAAACAAAGTCTCACTATGTTGCCCAAACTGGTCTTGAACTCCTAGGCTCAGGGAATCCTCCTGCCTCAGCCTCTTAAAGTGCTGGGGTTACAGGTATGAGCCACTGCACCAGGTCTCATATCTTTTGAATGTTATCCTAATTAATTGTAATATGGTAGAGAAGAAAATCAAATGAAGAGACAGGTCTAGAAATAAGTAAATGAAAACTTTTTAAGTAATTTATTTTGGATAGGAAAAAAATTAAATTTCAGAAATGTATTTCAACCCACCTGGCAAGAATGCTTACAGTGCAGACTTATGGAAGAGTAATGTATATTTTACAAAATTTGCTGATTGCTAGTATGTATCTTGCTTAATATTATAAAATATCCTGGGTTTTGTAAAGCCCAGGGTGGTGTATAAAGGCTAGTAACACCATGTTTATTAGCCTGATTTTAAAAAAATCACCATTAGGAAAGATTTTCCCACTTATTCTAGACTTATTTCAAGCTACTGACTTGACACACAGAAGCTCCAGGTGATGTCAAGCCTACAAAAAGTGAGGGTGGAACAGAAGGAAGGGAAGGAAGGAGCTGCCCTGTGGCCATGCTCTGTCTGGGGACCCCGTGGCAATCACCAGCTCCTATAAGGCTGACACTGAACCTCTGGAGGAGGATGCAGAGGTGAGGCAAGGGCAAGCATGCAGAGGGGCTGAGAAAGCAGCAAACAGCTAGCTGCTCTTGTAAGAAGCGTGCTCTTCGTGTACTGACTGCAGTTGTCACTGATTAACTAACTGATTTGGCAATTTCCTACATTCTTCTACATTTTAAAAAATTTCTGGAAAGCTGAAAAGGGATCTTTTTTCATATTCTGGGGGAGTTTAAAAGTGTACTGAATCCTGCCTGGTTTGAAAGGCAAGGGATA
The DNA here is from genome assembly GCF_000001405.40 of Homo sapiens. Taxonomy (NCBI): domain Eukaryota; kingdom Metazoa; phylum Chordata; class Mammalia; order Primates; family Hominidae; genus Homo; species Homo sapiens. The sequence goes on along the minus strand of NC_000008.11, from coordinate 60,732,164 downwards.
GAAAGGGTGTAAACAGTCTTTTCTGATATACACCACTGACATTCTTTTCCTTAAAGGGAAAAAAACAAAACAAAACCCTGGGCAACATCACAACTGAAAAGAATTTGTCTATTCTCTTTGCTAGAACAGTGCACATGTGATAGGAAGGGAGTCTTATCCATCATGAATAAACCTGAGCACAGGACAGGCAAAGCATCACAGCATACCAATGGCAGGGGCCACACAGGGAGCTCCAGGGCTTTCGAAGACCCATGCCTGTTAAGGCAATGCAAAAAAGAAATACACAGGAATTATAAAAATTCAGATTTCCATTAGGGAAGCAAGCAATACAAACAGGAGTTCAAACTGTAAAGGAAGGTTGAGATCTTTGGAAGAGTATTAGAAAAAGTATTTTGGAAAACTGCACCCAATCTCAAAAAGGTAAACCTACAGGAAGAAAAAAAATGAAGAAAACAAATGTAACTTATTCAGTGACTATGACACTAAATTTTGGTTTCAAATCAAGTTATATTTGACAAAGGAGATGGAATTAAGGCTGAAATACAGAGTTAACAGTTGCATATCCAATATTTCACAGTCATTTCAACTTATAACAAATTTGGGAAACATTTTTTCTATGCAGTAGTCCCCCTTCATCCTGGGGATACGTACCAAGACCTCTAGTGGACACTCAAAACCATGCACAGTACCAAACCCCATTGCCGTCAGTTGGAACACATTTCTATCCATGTCTTCCACCCACAAATTTAATGTATTTTCCATCTTAACTAAGCATTTATCAGGCACTGTGACTGTAACTTTTGCAGTTTGAGATACAACAGCAAAATTAGCACAAATTTGTTTTTCCTTCCCCACAATTTAACTGATAGAAGATTCATTCTTACCATAAATAATACTTATGATTTATTTATAAGATGTATATCTCAATACACAAACTTTTTTCTTTATGAGCTTTTACCTTTTCATTTAAAGGAAGCATTTTCCTGCTTATCTTTGGCATATCCAAATCACCAGCATCACTACTCTTGCACTCTGGGGCCATTCTGAAGTAAAATAAGGGTGACTGGAACACAAGCACGTTGACACTGCCACAGTTGACCTGATAACCACAAGATGGCTACAAAGTGACTGAATGGGCAGGTAGCATCTACAGTGTGGGTATGCTGGACAGAGGAATAATTTATGTCCTGGATGGGACAGTGCAGGTCAATGCAATACTTCATCATGCTACTCAGAAGGGTACACAATTAAAAACTTAGGAGTTATTTCTGGAATTTTCCATTTAATATTTCCTTTTTTTTTTTTGAGACAGAGTCTCGCTCTGTCGCCCAGGCTGGAGTGCAGTGGCGCGATCTCAGCTAACTGAAAGCTCCACCTCCCGGGTTCACGCCATTCTCCTGCCTCAGCCTCCCAAGTAGCTGGGATTACAGGCGCCCGCCACTATGACCGGCTAATTTTTTGTATTTTTAGTAGAGACAGGGTTTCACCATGTTAGCCAGGATGGTCTTGATCTCCTGACCTCGTGATCCACCCGCCTCGGCCTCCCAAAGTACTGGGATTACAGGCGTGAGCCACCACGCCCGGCCTCCATTTAATATTTCTATACCAAAGTTGACCGCAGGTAACTGAAACCACTGAAACTGAAACCTTGGAAAGCAAAAACTTGGACTGGGGTGGGGCAGGGGGTCTACTGTACCTACATTTATCATTAATGCAAGTAGGTTCTACAATGCCACCATAATCAAAACTATAAATATCACACAGCGAAACATGCCATCTTTTAGCCAAATTAAATGTCTTCATTCATATTAGCATATGATAAAAGACAAAGTTTTATCCACAAACTCTGTATATTTAACTTAACATCTTCCTACATCTTCAACAAAGGTTCAACCCCAAACTGGCCTCTCTCCTTATTCCCCAGCAGTCATCTGGGTTTCCTTCCTCCAGAGAGTCATGTACTGGGGGAAAACTAACTTCAAGAAACATCTTTTATAATACTATCAGTAATTAACTTACAAGTTACATTTGCTTTTTTTAAAACTACAATACAAAGCATTTTGTAACAAATTCTTTTATTACTTTTTTTGCACCACCATGCTATTCTACATCATTGAGCATTGACTGTAATGACATGCTTCTGGCTCACATATTTTCCCTAAAAATCATTTGACTAACCAATTCTAATTTTAAGTACTTCATACATATGAGTGTACAAGACTCTTGATATTAGGACAGCAATCTAACTTGTAAGTAAACTTCATATTTCAGTTTGAAAAAAGATCACACTTTAAGTAGTCATAAATTTCTACATTGTGTCCATTTTGATCACAGATCAATAAGTACATGTCAAGTTAGCAAAGAGACTGTAATATAAGAAAAAGTAAGTGCAGTGAGAAGACAAGCTACTACCAGACATGACATTTGTTTTGCATAATGAGAATGATGAAAATAATTTAAGTTTACCTATGAAGCTTCGAATTTTGTGCTTGGTTTAATCAAAGATTACAAACAGAACCAGGCACCTACTCAGTTTCAAAATACAGTGTTTACTAAGGCCTAAGACTGCTGCACCCACCCATCTATATGGTCTTAATGAGTTTAACTACTATAAATCAGCTGATAATAAAATTATGATCCAGATAAGGAAATCTAAATAATTAGGTTTCATCAGGGATAATACTTGCATCATACTATACCTACCCACATTTTCAAGTTTCCTCCCCCATATCTGCTGCATCTCTAAACATAGCAAATTCCCTACTTTATGCCAATTACTCAGAAATCATTTGAAAAAATCACTATCCTATTAAACAAACCTAAAGAATATAAATAAAGGTTTGGCAAAAAATGTTCTGACAGACCACATATCTCACTCTTCTACTTCAAAAGCACAGTCACAAGCACTCTGTGCTTTGGCTGGGCACCTGTCTGGAGCTCTACACATTCAAATGCCAAATTTCCTCAGCCCCAAAATCCTGCCATCCTAAGACAGTGAAATAACTTATGGCAAAAGTTCTTAAATACCACTTTGTACTCAAAATTGCTTAGATCACCATATCCAAATAACTTTTATTGGCTACATACAAACTGGTTATTTAGTAGCTTTTAACCTTTCAGAATCATGTATAACACTTGTAGAATAAATCTAATTTTTCTGTTATTGACACTGGGGTCTACTTGAGGGTGGAGGGTGGGAGGAGGGAGAGGAACAGAAAAGATAACTATTGGGTACTGGGCTTAATTCCTGGGTGATGAAATAATCTGTACAACAAACCCCTATAACATAAGTTTACCTATGTAACAAACCTTCACATGTACCCCCAAACCTACAAGTTAAAATAAATAAACTTTGTTATCTTAATTTTGAAAGAATTCTTTTTCATTTCTTCATATTTTTCTTTGAAAAAATGATATCCTGTTTAAAGGTCAACCTGTAAATATAGACTATATTTCAATATTTCTTTCATCATAAACCATTTCAATGTCCCCATTATAACTCTATAAATGTGCACAGTGTCCCCAGCTAGGCGGGCACATCAAGAAAGACCTTGCTCGTTGCAGTGAGCCGAGATCGCGCCATTGCTCTCCAGCCTGGGCGACAGAGCGAGACTGTCTCAAAAAAAAGAAAGAAAGACCTTGCCTTTTATGTCTCTCACTTGTACCCCCAATGCCAGACACGGTGCCTTAAAATAGGTGTGGAATTAGCCATTACCTAACATCTCAGTATATCACTAACACTCCTTCCTCCTGCCACAAAAACATGGAAGAGTCAATGATTGTATAGGCTCCTTAAGACTTTATTCACATAAGTGAGGGGTGGGTTTTGGGTTGGGGTAGGGAATTAAAGCATCTTCCATCTCTCCGCTAATACTATACCATTCAAAAGAACTGCACACTGATGACACCTTTTCAGCTTTACAATTCCTTGTTTGTGTAATGATCTGTTCCAGCTTTCAGAGTAGACCCTCCAAGGTAACATGGCCTGGCAAATTTCCCATCAACAGAGTCAAATAATCCACAGTTTTTAAGCTACGCTTTTTAAGAGAGTTGTGCATTTTACTAAACTGTGGAGCACAGACTGGAAGAGAAAGGTACAAGACTGGAGCCTGGAAGACCAGTTCAAGAGCTCACACAGGAGTTCAGGTAAGAGACAATGGTGCTACAAAGAAGGAGACAGACATACTCAAGAGAGAGACTTGTTTCTGGATGGAGAGTCTGGGATGACAACGAGGCCTGTGGCTTGGGTAACTGAGCAGATGGTAAAAACCACTCACTGAAATGTGGGGAACAGAAGAGAAGCAGGATTTATTTATTTGGTATGGAAGAGAGGTGTAGAAAAAAATTCACACAGAGCTCTCCAGGAGACAGTACAATATGAAAGCAGAGAGCTCAAGAGAGAATGCTGAGCTGAGATATGGCCGTTTAAGTCATTGACAAACAGAAGGAAGACAAAGTTGCAGCAGATGAGGTCAACCCAAAAGCATATTTAGAATGACAAGAGAAAAGAGCAAGGACAGAATCCTGAAGAATATCAACACTCAGAGGGCAGGCAGAGGAGTCAGCCAACAAGGTAGGGGCAAACACCAAGAGAAGAAGGAAGTGACCAACCAACCAGTTCAAATGCTACAGAGAAAGAGGGAAGGTAAGACAAGTGCCCATCAGATTCAACAAGTTGGATATTAACTCTCTTAAGACTAACTCTGTTATTAACTCTGTTAAGAGTAGTTACTATGGGCCAGGTGCAGTGGCTCATGCCTGTAATCTCAACACTTTGGGAGGCCAAGGTGGGGGGGATCACTTGAGATCAGGAGTTCAAGACCAGCCTGGTCAACATGGGGAAACCCCGTCTCTACTAAAAATACAAAAATTAGCCGGGCAGGGGTGGCAAATGCCTGTAGTCCCAGCTACTGGGGAGGCTGAGGTGGGAGGATCCCTTGAGCCTTGGAGGTCGAGGCTGCAATGAGCCATGATCATACCACTGCACCACAGCCTGGGCAACAGAGAAAGACCCTGTCTCAAAATAAATAAATAAATAATAAAATAAAATGGGGATAATAATAGTATTTATTTCAGAGAGCTATTAGGAGCATAAGTACATTAGTATTTGTAAAGCATTTACAACGTCTGCCACTTAGAAAGCACTATGTAAGCATTTGCTACATAAAATATACAATTAAACACTAATAGAAGTAGGCACAGAGGGACAGAGACAAGTAAGAAGGGGCAAAGATACAAAGAGGGAAATTAAGGAAATCTCTCTGAAGAGATGAGATAGGAGAGGCAGAACCCCCTGGGACACACAGGAAGGTGGGTGCAGATGGCTGAAGGAAATCAGCAGTGGATGTGCTTCCACTCTGATGGCTACAACTGGCTCAACGAGTTATGCAGGGGGTGGTGGTCATGAGGTGCTTGTGTTAAAAAAAGAACCAACAAAACACTCTGGGCCCACTGAAGGTCTGAGACTGATTCTGAACTATAACTGAACCTGCACTACAAAGAAATTTCTTTTCTCATTTGTCAAATACATACGATACCACCTACCTTTAATTCATCAGGCCAAATTAGATTGTGTGATATAATGCACTTAACGCAGTACTTTGTAGATAATTAGCACTCAGTGCAGACGATCACACATTTCCTGTTTTAACCTGTACCCCCAAACCTAAAAGTTAAAATAAACTTTGTTATCTTAATTTCGAAAGCATTCTTTTTCATTTTTTCATATTTTATGAAAATTTTAAATACACAAAATATTAAACTAGGCTACGTGGCCTTGATCCAGTTACTTAACCTCTCTGATTCTTGGTTTATCTCCAGAATGGGGAAGTGGAAAGGGAGCTGAAGAGAATGGCAAAAGTCCCTTCACTCTAAGAGGCTAACTTTACTAGCTTCACAATTGGAAATATGCTAAGTATAGCTGTCTTCTTCTGAAATCCACACTTCTGGTGAAAGAAAAATATTCCAAATTTCAAGAAGCACAGATAAGTGATAAAACATAATTATATAAATAAATCGAATACATATATGTTATGTAAATGATTCAGTGAAGTTTCAGTTTTAAATGCAAAATTACATTTTATGGGATATTTACCAGGAAACTATTAGTAATCGGAAAGTAACTGCTCCTCCCTGGTTTTGGTAGTAAACTTGTGTACTTCTGATGCCAACTGTTGTAAACCATCACTTCTCAGAACACATTTGCTTGTTCTCATTGGAGGAAATCCCCCTGCTCCCCACCTAAAGGAAGTGAAGTTGGCACTGGGATGCCTGCCAGCACCACCTCCAGGAAAACGGCTCAGGTACCTCCCAGATCCAGTCCCATAAGCCTGGAGTGTGTTGGTCCTAAAACAAGCGAGTCAGCTGAAGCAAATTTCTCAGAAGAGTGAAATCTCTCACTACCCTTTACTCCTAAACAGGTCTGGCAGCACACAATCTCTCCCTAATCACCAACAATATAAGCTCTCTGCCACACAACTGTAACCCTTCCATCAAAATAACAATTCAAGGGTTCAGAATGTAACTGCAAGGGCATCCTATAATGCAGATGCTTAATATATTCTTTCCATTTCCCAATTCCTTGCTGAAAAAATATGAGTGAGAAGTAACCTCCATAATTTCCTTTTCCAACAATAAAATAGCTTAATGTCAACTGTCATTCCCAGGGATGCTGTGAGGATGACTTAACTACTTCAAATCCCTAACAAAAAATATGCTTAGCAATATAAAATATATATAAAAATTCAACTCTCTGCTATCATCTGTCTTGATGGTACACTTTGGGATACTACTCAGAATTCCGGACTATACAGATAGAAGAGATCTCTCATGAAGAAACCACAAGAAATTTCATCTTCATCCTTGATCTTGACTTCCACAATTTTTAAAACCCTTCAGGAGAGATAACCGAACATTCCTTTAAGACATCTCCATCCCTAACAACCTGCCATCAGTGCATTTCCACACATCTGAAATCCAGAGTTTAGGAACTCAAGCTGCTAGCTGGGAGCCCTGTGGCTCTGAGAGGCCCTGGGCTAGGTGTTCCCGCCCCTCTTTATCCCCAGGGCTTATCGCTGTGACTAGGATAAAGGAGGTACATGAATGCACTTGTTGAAGGAGTAAAAGATAACAGTTCTTTTAAACAAATAATCCACCAAAATTTGAATTTCTGTTCTCAATATGGAAAGGCAAATTGTAAACACCTCAATGCCAGATTTGCACATTCTGTCCTTGCTTGTCCCAAAGCTTATCTGCCCTCAATTTCATATATCTAATAGCCCTGGGCCATCTATTTCAACACAGGCCTATGACTTAACATCAGCATTTTCTCTTCTTTAAGTTTTTATTGGCCTTTATTAAAAATTAAGTTTATAAATGTTAAAGTTTATAAAATCAGCACTTCTCAAAGATTATTGATGTCCAATTGTGACATCTCTCCAACACTTTAGAACAGCTTAAGTCATAGAGAAAAATGAAAAATGGAATATAATGGCTGGGAAGGCATGCAGAAAAAAGGAGAAATTTGGGGGAAACCAGTTGTAAAAAGCCAACTAGATCTGGCTCAAACACTCTCTTTACATCAGGCAAATTAAAGCAGTTCTCTAAACTTCAGCTTCCTCATCTATGAAAATTTGCATTCCATCACCTCCACCACCTCCCTCACAAGGCTACTTGGAAGCGATTCATTCAACTGTCACAAGTGGCTTTTAACAAAATGCCTTGCATGCAGCAGTCAGCAAATGTCAGTTGTTCTCCCTGCTATCCTGCACCAACCTTAATCTAGTCACCCAACTTTCCTTGCTCCCAGTTTAACCTCAAACATACAGGGTATCTCTGTAGGAGCTGATGATCTACAATACTCAAATGCTGTTACCCAAGTTCTGAACTCTTGTGCTGTAATAAGAATTAAACACTGCCTTTAAAAAATCACAACCACACGAAGTCTGCTGTCTTCCTAGGCCAGAAACAGGCTGGCTGAAAGGGACAGGAAGGCTGTGGAGCAAACCCCCGACGAACTACCTCCCCAGATAATGAAGGGAATCCTGCTGTCATGCCTCTAGAATCTCTGAATCATTGAACATGAGGGCTAAAAGACTTGAGACCTAAGCCAACTACTTAACCTCACAGAGAAATAGTGAAAAGGCAAATGCTTTGTTCAAGGCCACCCAGCCAGTCAGTGGCAGAGCGGAGGTGAGGACCCAGGTCTGACTCTGAGAATTATGCTTGCTCTGCATGGTGCTGGGTCCTGTGTGATAAATATCCTAAATTGCTAAAAAATGTGTCCACAATTTCTCCACTATGCAACAGGGTCTTCGCAGACTAGTCAACTATATTTAGATATAATTGGGAAAACTTAACAAGCATTTGAGGCCTTACAACTTTAAAACAGTACATCCAAACACAATCTATGGAGTAAACTTAAAGTCATAACTTGAAGCAACTCCAAATAAGGTGGCATTCTAAAAACGTTCTAACCATTCGCGTTATCACTGAATGTGGTGTCCTGTCTCCAAGGTCACTATGTTGAAGGAAACAACATTCATTTACATAATTTCTGGCATATTGTCAACTATATTAGGTTTTTTGCATTTAACCAGCAGAGTACTTGCTTCCCCCAAATGGCTCTGAGTAGCCCGTCTATACAGAGATGTGTTCTCTATGCCATCATTCCTACATTCCTTCTAGATAGTGGTTAAATGTCAGTAACCATTCCATTCGAGGTAGAGGAGAAGCAGATTGCATAACTGAGGTATAACTGAGGTGCAGGCTTTTTTCAAAGACCACCAGTTTTACCTAGGGGAGAAAAAAACAACTGAAAAACTACGGTTATACAGACTTGAGTATTTGGCAAACATTTCAAAAATGAACAAAATAAGCCTGTTACTTCCAAGAAAACAATTGACAGTTTTGTTGCCAATGATAAAATAAAATAAGTATTCGAATAAAATAGGAATTTTGGAAAACCTGTAACTACCACCAAGAATTTGACAGTTTTCTGATACTTAAAGGCTTTCTGATTAGATAGGTGGTAATATTAACAAATACAAATTTAAAAAAAATAAAATATGCCAGCATTTGAAAGATTTATGTAACTCATTAAACCAATATTTTCCAAACTACCAATGAACAATGTTATAAAACCATGAATGGTGAAAAGATCCATTCAAAGTGCAAGATAGACCAATAGAGTTTAATGAACTCAAGCACAAAAATTTCAATCATACAATTTCAGATTCCACATTGAAACTAACCTTTAAGAAGCTACCCCTTGTAGAGTTTTGATGTAATATCAAATTATCTGAGAAGGCTATGCAAAAATTCCTCTCTTTTTAATACATGTCCACATGAGACCAGATTTTCTTCATGTTCTTCAACTGAAATAACATATTGTAACAGACTGAATGCAGAAGTAGCTATGAGAATCTAGCTGTTTTCTCAAACCAGGCATTAAAGAGATTTATAAAAATAGGAAGGAATCTCACTCATTGTCAACAACTTTTGTTTTAAAAAACAAAAGTTACGCTATTTATATTAACTTGTACTGGATTTATGTTGATATTAAATAAACTAAGTATTTTTATACTTCTTAGATTTAATTTCAAATGTAGTAATTATCCATAGATCTAACCAACATAAACCAAAGCTCTTTGGGGTTCTCATGTGAAAACCATAGCTCTAAATGATTTGCAACCTTATTACTGGTTGATAACATTGTTGAAAATACAATATGCCAGTAATTATATATTTAAAACTTGTACAACACAAAACATTTTAAGCATGGCAAAAGAAATCCAAAAAAAGACCTTTCAACTACAATACCCTGGATATGAAAAGCATGACCACAATCGTACCCATGGAGTAGAACTAGAAACTCAGTAATTTCCACTGTCTCAATCACCAAAAAAGCCACAGGCATCCTTGACAGGGCAGGGCCAGAAAAAGGAGCCACAGATACTGTAATAAAGGCTTCTTAGCTAAACTGCCTGGCTTTTAAGAGAAGTTGCTGTGGGGATTGCAGAGAAAAGAAGTGGGTAAAGACCAATGTCCAAGCAGCCAGCAAATCAGATGACCAGGCCGTATCTGGTGAAGAAAAGGAAGGAAATACCTTACTTTTGCTTTATAATTTACTATTAGAATACTTCAGCATTTCATTTGTCCTTCTCTTTTTGCAAAAAGAATGCAACATCCCCGACCCCAACCCAACTACTTTGTATGAAGAGCAGGAGGACCTAAAAAGTTTCATTCATGCATCTGACTTCAATAATCCCATGAAATAAGCAGAATAAATATTATCACCCTTATACAGATAATGCAACTGAGGCTCTGAGTTTAAACAACTTCCTAGTTGGGCGGGAGAGCCACTATCCCTACCTCAAGTCTCCCAGCGCTTGCCTGAAGCCTCTCCGACACACCATCTAAACCAGTGGTTCTCCGAACATGGACCAGCATTGGCAGCATTGGCAGCATCGGCAGCATCAGCACCGCTGGGGAACTGGTTAGAAATGTGACTTCTCATGTCAATCCTAAATCTGAAATTCTTGGAGTAAGCCCTGGCAGTCTGCTTTACCAAGCATTTTGATGCACAAACCACTGGCCTAAAAACAATAATGCCTGAGGCAGGCACTCAACCACCAGGACTGTGGTTCTCCAACAATCTCAGTCTGCCAGAGTTCCATAACAAACTCTACAGCCTGGGTGGCTTAAACGGAAACTTATTTTTCACAGTTCTGGAGACTGGAAGTCCAAGACGAAGGTGCTGGCAAGGCAGGATTCATTCTGAGGCCTCTTCTCTTGGCTTATAGGCAGCCACCATCTCACTGTGTGCACACATGGCCTCTTTTTTGTCAACTGGGAGAGCCAGCTCTCTCTTTTCCTCTTCGTATTAAGACCACTAGTCCTGTCAGATCAGGATCCTACCTTATGACCACTTTATAACCTCATGTAATCTTAATTACCTCCCTAAAGGCCCTATCTCCAAATACAATTGCCTTGGGGATTAGGGGCTTCAACATATGAGTTTGGGTGGGAGAGAGTGACACAATTCAATCCATAAGACCAACCAGAAGGAAAATGCCCAGGCTCCATGCCTAAGTTGATGTTGCTGGTCCGGGACCTCACTTCACAGCCCTTGACATGGAATGACAAAGAGAAAAGTGTCCACTTGGAAAAGCAGCAGCCGCCAACGGAATCCCAGAACTGATGAGGATCCAGGCTGCTGAGCAGGGCTCTAAGGGACTCCCATAGAAAAGGGAGAAGGGAAAGTAATTTCCCACACAGGTGCTGCTGCTGATGGTGGCAAGCATTTCCTGGACATTTACTCACATGCCAGGCCCTGTGCTAAGGCTTCAGATGCACTCGTTCATTTAATCCTTGTTACCCCCATTAGAGGAAAGGAAACTGAAGGCTCAAAGGTTAAGTAGCCTGCCAAGGAGCCACTGCTGGTAAGCGGCAGCAATGGGAATAATCCCTGAGACTGCTTTCAGAGACAGCCGTCTTAGCCTTTACTCTCTCTCTACCAGAACGGAGAAGGGTGCACAGGCTCACGGAGATGATATTCAGTCACAGAAGGCGATCACAGAAGCTGGAGGCTCAACAGCACAATGGTGCAGAGGACAGGCTTTAAGGAAACGAAGAAGGCCAAAAACACACATGGAATGATACTTGACTTCACTGGTAATAAAAGAAAGGCACCTATCAAATTGGCAAAAGACAGTAAGGTCCACAGTTGGTGAGTGCACAAAAAAAAGTAACTCATACACCACTGAAAGGAATGTGAACTGATACAGCCTTTCTGGGGCCAATCCAGGAACATTTACCATATTTAAAATGAACATAGTCTGTGACCCTGTAATACCCCTGTCTAGGAATTTATCCCAATGTGCAAAGAGAGGTACATAAAAGGCTGATGATCTTTACAGCCGTGCCATTTTCAATAGTGAAACACTGAAATGACCCAACCGGCCATTGAAAGAGGACAGATAAGTGAAGTTATATGGAACAGGACACAGTCATTTGACCTCGCTGAAAAAAATCAGAGCTCTGTGTGTTGGTATGAAAAGATGAGCCACAGTATTTCAGGAAAAAAGGAGTTGTGTATCTATAATATGCTCACACTCTGCAACCTTTCTCCCATTAAAAACCTAGAAGATTAATTAATGTACCTGAATTTATCAGGGGTGGGGGCTTTCACTTCCTACTTCATGCATGTTTTATGGCTTGAATATTTTGGAATAAGCATACTTACAATCAGCCAGATGTTAGAAAAATAATTTATTATGATTTTTTTGCCTTTGTCAAACAGATCTGGTGTCCATCCAAGTTCTGCTAGCTGATAACCCTCACAAGGCCTCAGTTTCCTTTCAGGTAAGCAGGAAGACCTGTGGGGATGAGAAGTTGGTTGCCGGATTTTCTCATCTCACAATGGACTCTCTGCTCCTTCACAGCGCTCACTGGAGCTGAGCTTCACTGCCTGCCGAATGAGGAGGGTCCCCCAGTGCTGGAGCTCCCTGAGGGCAGGTGCAGAATGTGCTTTGTACACTTTTATTACCCCAGGGCTTTATTTATTACCCCAGGGCTCCCAGAGTGCCCAGTACAAAGGTTTGACCAATTAATAATTCATGGCAAGACAAACTAGCCCCTAACATATTTAATCAATAATAATAATGTAAGAATGTGTCAGTCTGAGACTGATATCCATTTCAAGAAAATTCTGAAAAAAAAGTTTATAAACCTTTGAGCCCCCACACGTTTCAAATATTTTAAAGACATAAAATCAATCTATCTATCTAAATCTAACAATTGTGGAACTTCAAAATGAAAAGTGTCCAAATTTTTCATATTCCTGCTCTGGAACTTTACAAAATATTTTCAGCCTACTCATCTGAAATCATAATTTAGACTTACTTGAATCAAAAAAGGAAGTCTGCCAATCTCCAAAGTTTCCTACCCTGTGGGTGACAAATCCTTTCCCATATCCAAATAGTGTCATGCATCACTCAAGTGTCAGTTTAGAAGGCAAGAGGCTACCTGTAAACATAGTCATGTGTCACCTAATGATGAGGACACAGTCTGAGAAATGTGTCGCTAAGTGATTTTATCTTTGTGCAAACATCACAGAGTGCACTTACACAAACCAAGATGGTACAGCCTCCTACACACCTAGGCAACATGATACAGCCTATTGCTCCTAGGCTGCAAACCTGTGCAGCATGTTACAGAATACTGTAGGCAACTGCAACACAATGGTATCTAAGCATAGAAAAGGTACAGCAAAAATACAATATAAAAGATTAAAAATGATACACTTGCATAGGGCACTTACCATGAATGGAGCTTGTAAACTAGAAGTTGCTCTGGGTGAGTGAGTGAGTGAGTGAGTGGTGAATGAATATGAAGGCCTAGGATGTTACTGCACACTGCTGTAGACTTTATAAACATTGTACACCTAGGCTATAATGAATTTATGAAAATTAATTTTTCTTTCTTCAATAAATTTATCTGTTTACTGTAACTTTTTTATTTTATAGACTTTAACCTTTTGACTTTTACAACTTAAAAGACGAACACATTGTACAGCCATACAAAAGTATTTTCTTTCTTTATATCTTTATTCCAAAAGCTTTTTCATATTTTTAAATGTTTAATTTAGTTTAGTTTTTTACTTTTCAAACTTTCTTTTTTTTTTTCTTTTGAGATGGAGTCTCACTCTGTCTCCCATGCTGGAGTGCAATGGCACAATCTTGGCTCACTGCAACCTCCACCTACCGGGTTCAAGAGATTCTCCTGCCTCAGCCTCCCGAGTATCTGAGATTAGCGCCTGCCACCACACCCAGCTAATTTTTGTATTTTTTAGTAGAGATGGGGTTTTGCCATGTTGGCCAGGCTGGTCTCCAACTCCTGACCTCAGGTGATCCACCCACCTTAGCCTCCCAAAGTGCTGGGATTACAGGTGTGAGCTACCGCGACCAACTTCAAACTTTCTTGTTAAAAACTAAGACAGACATACACATTAGCCTAGACCTACACAGGTTGGGATCATCAATATCACTGTCTTCCATCTCCACATTCTGTGCCACTCTGAAGACTGGAAGGTCTTCGGAGGCCATCACAGGCATGGAACTGTCATCTCCTATGATAACAATGCCTTCTGGAATATCCCCTGAAGGACCTGCCTGAAGATGTTTTACAGTTAAATTTAAAAAAAAATGGTAGAAGGGGTATACTCCAAAATAACAATAAAAAGTATAGTATAGCAAATACAAGAACCAGTAACACAGTTTACTGTCATTATCAAATATTATGTATTGTGCATAATTTTACATGGTGTACTTTTATAAGACCAGCAATACAGTAGGTTTGTTTATACCACCATCACCACAAACCCATGGGTAATGTGTTGCTCTACATTATGATGACTACAATTGTCAGTGGACAATGGAATTTTTCAGCTCCATTATAATCTCATGAGACCACTGTTGTATATGTGGCCCATCGCTGACCAAAACATCATTATATGGCACATGACTGTATAATGAACCTTCAATCAATCAACTTTCAGGGGTAGTTACCTTACACTTTTCAGCTCATGCCACCTGCCCTTCCCCTACACCCATAAGGTTTAACTACATAACCACCTGAGTTGTAGCATGACCAAAAGGAAAGTAACAGTAAAGAAACTAGGGTCACATACTGTGCCACTGCAAGGCCTGACCTATATCAAGAACACAGTTACTTTCTCTCTAGATAAACAAAATACATAGTGCTAGAAATACTCTGAAATGAAAAATGTGAAATAACTTTGTGCCCTCAGAAAAGTTCTACACAAAGTTATTGCTAAGTCTAATAACCAAAGTGTTTACTCTGCAGCCAACAAGTATAACTAAATGGAAAACACCACAATGATACACTATCTTTCATTTACAAGGAAGCAAATCACTATAATTCCAACTTGACAGTAAACTAATGTTATTCTAATAATTTTCTTTTCAAATGGAATAACTCACCTTTACCAAGTGATCAAAGTACGTATCACCAGTAAACGGGACAAATGAACATTACGTACCCAGATGCAATGACCTGAGGGAAGACATACCACCATTCATGCATTACTCCAGGAAAAAAAAAAAAAAAAAGGCTTAAGGTAGATGTAACAAGAGGGGAAAAATGTGTAATTTGCTAATCAGGACTGTCTCAAAGAGAAACACTGTCTTCAATTTCTGAAAGCCACTATAGTGTAACAATATTTGCTATCTTGCTTACAAAGTTTCATCGGCTATACTATGCCAAAAAGTGTGCTACAGAGAACCGAAGACATTTTTCCCTCCAATGATTAGCTCCCATATAATTTTAAGCAACAAATATGTATTGTGCACCTATCATCTGTCAAACACTGTCCTAGGCACTGGAGATGCATCAGTAAACATTATGGACAACGATTCCTTCATGCAGCTTAATTAAGCTTTGTTTGTGGAGAGAGTCAAACAAAATAAATAAGTAAATAACTAAAAGGAAAGTAAGAGAGAAAAACCAAATCACAGCAGAGGGACCGGTTGGAGGAAGGAGGTGCAATTTTAAATTGGGTGGTAAGGGACTGCCTCACAGGGAAGATAGTTATGTATGATCGGGAAGGAACTGAGGAGTCAGCCCAGCAGGCCCTACGAGGCCCTGACAGTGTCTGAGGAGATCAGAGCAACTGTGGAAGACTGAGAGGGGAACTGGCACCTGAGCATCTAAAGGACAGCAAGGACAAAGTGTGGTGTCCCATGAGATTCTGGATGGGGGAGGCTGGAGCAGAGGGTACTTCTGTGAGGGCTGAGGTTTTGCCTCAAGAGGATGAATCACGAACTGCTTTCAGCAGAGGAGGGACATGATCCAGCTCTGGCTCTGAGAGATGACTTTGACTGCTAACATTGGAAAGACTGCAGGCAACACAGGCAACAGCAGGGAGAGCAGTAGGGGAGCTACTGCAGTAACACCGGCAAGGAAAAAAGGCCACTTGGACCCGGGTGGTAGAAGTGGAGAGAAAAGGTATCAGACTCTGCATATACTTTAAAGGCAGAGCCAGAGGCTTTGAGAACAAATTCAATGTAGCTTGTGAAAGAGTCAAGGAGGACTCCAAGGTTTCTAATACCACAATGTGATGAAGGTTCTGGAAACAATGGTCTCGGAAGGTACTTTAACATCTGCTGTCTCATTTTACACCAAAGTCCTATGAAGTAGGCTGTGAAGGTACAGTGTCACCACCTTTCACGAAGGAAGACACAGGGCGTGGACAGTTAACTGTTCTGTCCATATACATAGTGGTATTAGAAACAAAATAGTGGCCTATATTTTCTAGCCCAAGTTTAGGGTTTTTTTCCATTATACCATGTAACTTGACGTTTTGTTTTGTTTTGTTTTGTTTTTCTAAGGTAGAGTATTGCCATATACAGGAGAAACCCTGCTCCAAGGAGTTTCAGATGGCTCCCTTGAACCAGCGGCTAACATGACTCAGACGCGGCCCCAAAGGGAAGCTCCTTTGGCCAAGTGGAAGCCAAAAAGAGGAAGGGGCTGGGCGCGGTGGCTCACGCCTGTAATCCCAGCATTTTAGGAGGCCAAGGCAGGCGGATCCCCTGAGATCAGGAGTTTGAGACCAGCCTGGCCAACATGGTGAAAATCTGTCTCTACTAAAACACAAAAATTAGCTGGGCGTGGTGGCAGGTGCCTGTAATCCCAGCTACTCCGGAGGCTGATGCAGAATTCCTTGAACCCAGCAGGCGGAGTTTGCAGTGAGGTGAGATCGGCCACTGCACTCCAGCCTGGGCGACAAAGCAAGACTCCCAAAAAAAAAAAAAAAAAAAGGCAGAGCCCTCTGTGTGCTGGAAAGGCCCCTCCCTGAGTTGGTGTCTGATTCTATGAGGGATACATACAACTGGAAAGCCAGCGATGGTTCATCTAGCCTTATTAATAAAAATGCACTCCAAAGTTTAGCCCAAAGCTGTTAGTTCTTCACTCTCATCGGTCTCCGGAAGCAAATAGTGTCAATGTGGCGGCTCTCATTTTTTAACATCAGCTATAAAACTCTAATGTCTTTCTCCAATCACATTTCTCACTGATCAAGAAGAGCCATGCATTGAGCAATCCCACCAACACAAAAAAACAAACCATTCGGACAGAGTATTTCTCTTTCCTATTCTTGTGGCTGCCGGCAGAATATTCCCTCCTGCCCCTCCCCACTATGGCGCCTGCGCCCTCATGCTCCACCGCATTCATTCATTCATTCAGCCGCTGAGCACCTTTCTGATAGAGCTATGTCAGCAACAGGCATTACCATCCCCTTTTCCCCTGGGCAGACCTGGAACACAGAATTACAAGTGGGCTGTGGGCTACGAAGGCAAAACAGGCTGCTGAGGTCAAGTTACGGGGACCTAGCCAGGTCTCCATCCAGAGAAGGCCTCCCGAGACGACCAGAGTGAGGAGGAGCGGGAGCCATGAGGGAGGGCAGGTGGCAAGAAGGGCTCGGAACAGAGGGCGTGGCCTGTGCAGCACCTGAGGCCAAGAAAGGGCGGAACCAGGCCGCGAAGTGGGGGGCAGTGTGGCCATTTCGAGAAGCCCAGGGGCCAGGAGGGCTGAGGGCTGAGCCAGGTGCCAGCGCTGGAGATGACCCTACAGCGGTGCGCACGGGCGCGAGATGGCCTCGCTGACTCCTGCCCACTTCGCTCCCAGTCTCAGCGTCCAGAGGCCTGGCGGTGTGCGGGGCGGGGGGGGGGGGGGGGGGGGGCCTTCTCCCGGCCGCCATGTTGTCAGGCCAGGTGGGGCTCGGCCTTCCGGTCAGGAAGTGGCCGCAGCTCCGGCCCCGAGCCACTGAGGCGGGCATGAGGTGAAGCGAGCGCCCCGAGTGGGTGGGAGGCCACGGTGCCGGCAGCGAGGGCCTTATGAGGGCCTTCCGCGTGCCAGCGATGACCCCGCTCCGCCCTGCGTCTGGCCCAGGGGATGCCCCGCCCCCCGGGGGGCCCGCTCGCCGTCCTCATGTCCTCGCGCGGGCTCCGGGCGCTGACCCATCCCGGAAGCGCGGCCCAGCCCGGCCCACCCCGCCCGCCGAGGCCTGGCTCTGCCCCAGCGCTCCCCCTAAGCAGCCCTGGGAGTCTGAATCTGGGGTTTTGGAATGAAGGCATGCCTTTTTTCTTAACTGCCTTTTTATTGAAGATTATTTATGTCTGCTATCTTTCTACAAAGAAAGAAAACGGGGATTGGGAGTGGGAGCGGGAGGAGAAGCAAAATAAGAAAAAGAAGGAAAAAAATCACATCGAAATTCCTGGCTCATATTCAGGCAGGCAATGAGAAGCCGATCTAAGATGTTAAGCTGAGAAGTGACAAGACCTGGTCTTGTGGGAAAGGTCACTTAGATCCCAGTGGGATGCGTTTTCCCTGGCTTCTCCTGGAATCTGTGCTGGTTTACCCCAGGCAGCAACAGCTCTAGAAGAGCTCCTCGTGAACGCCCACCACCTCCTCCAAACCTCTGGCCTCCAAACAATCTTAACACTGACACCCTAGAGAGAACGTTGCTTTTGTGAATAAAATAATGTTTTGACCCTGTCATTCTCATTTCAGAATTCTAGGATTGCTGCTAAAATCAAATTAAAATCAGTATTGAAATCAAATACTGATCCTAACTGTCCAACAATTGCCTATCACCCTCTATATTCTAGCTAAGAAAGCATGCTTACGAATCCCTTCTCAAATATAGTACTGCCTTTCAATTAAAAAAAAAAATTTCTGGCCGGGCGCAGTGGCTCACGCCTGTAATCCCAGCACTTTGGGAGGCCAACGCAGGCGGGTCACGAGGTAAGGAGTCGAGAACAGCCTGGCCAATATGGCGAAACCCCGTCTCTACTAAAAAATACAAAAATTAGCCAAGCGTGGTGGCGCACGCCTGTAATCCCAGCTACTAGTGAGGCTGAAGCAGGAGAATCGCTTGAACCCAGGAGGCAGAGGTTGCAGTGAGTGGAGATGGCGCCACTGAGTCCAGCCTGGGCGACAGAGTGAGACTCTGTCCCAACAACAACAAAAAACAAAATGTCCACAAAAATCTCTATAGCAATTTAATCTGGAAAGAATTCTTTTTTTTTTTTTTTTTTGAGACAGAGTTTCACTCTGTTGCCCAGGCTGGAGTGCAGTGGCGCAATCTCGGCTCAGCGTAACTCCCCCTCCAGGGTTCAAGCGATTCTCCTGTCTCAGCCCCCCAGGTAGCTGGGATTACAGCCACACACCACCACACCCAGCTACTTTTTTGTATTTTTAGTGGAGAAGGAGTTTCACCATATTAGCCAGGCTGGTCTCGAACTCCTGACCTCGGGTGATCCTCCCCACTCAGCCTCCCAAAGTGCTGGGATACAGGGGTGAGCCACTGCACCCAGCCATTTTTATATTTTTAGTAGAGATGGGGTTTCACCATGTTGGCCAGGCTGGTCTCGAACTCCTGACCTCAAGTGATCTGCCCGCCTCAGCCTCCCAAAGTGCTGGCATTACAGGCATGAGCCACTGCACCCGGCCAGCTTCCCTTTTAGTGATACTACTTGAAGTATTTTAAAATAAAATACTATACTACCTGGGATTTGCTGCTAAATAATACAGGACATGGGAAACACCAGTGAGAATGTGAATAAACAAGGCAGGCCTGAGTTAATGGACCTGATGAGGCATCCGATGCAGGAGGGCCGATTCTGCTCGTGTCTACTTTTACATGTTAGAAAGGTTCTGCTGTTTGGGTATCTGAAGCATCTCAGAGTCCTCAAACATTGTAAAAATTCTTCTTTTTTCCTATTATTTTTCCCTATAAAATATGATGTTGCTTAGAATGATACCAAACACCACCCTCCGTGATTAAGCTGTAGAAGTTCAGTCAACAAACATTTCAAAAAATAATAATAATAATTTTAAAGCAAGTTATGTAATGAAGCATCTGTAATTATTTTTTAAAAACTGTCCTGCCTAAACATCTCCCTTCCACCAAAATTATTTTAATGAAACAACTGTAGTTGCCATTTGCAGCTTTAAAAGCTACAGTTAATCTGTGTTAACAGATACCTATGTATTTCCAAATAACCTTCTTAAACCAACTATGTATCTTCTACATCATTTGGAACACCCACCTCTGCATATGGAAGATGTTCATCAAATGTGGTGCACCAACTTACAGAATCAATGACTTTCAAGGTTGAAAAGGATAGTCAAGGCTCTCTATAATCAACCAGCCATTTGGTGGTTTTGTTTTCAGATTAATGTGCACATGCAATCTGTTAAGGTTGAATGGGTAATTTTGTTCTGGCTACTATGTATCACATACAGTAGGAAAAATGGGAGACCAACAAAAGCGTCTCAATCTACAATGGCAGGATCAATTGCCTTCCTAATACCTCACTCTAAATAATTATCACTCTAGAAAATAAAATAACACTAATATGTCTGTGTCATGTTATAACTTCTATGGTAGACAATTATAGGCTACAAAGAAATTTTGTACTTGACATCTTCCAAATCGTATGCTTTACCACAGTGTTCAGTTGTTGGAGCTGCCCCACAATTAGCAAGAGGAATAACACCATTTCTATTCCTCGCTCAACATCTAAAGTCAAAGTCATCAAATAACGAAAGATTTCATTACCACCCTGTACTGACAGAGACCAATATTAATTATTATTTGAATTAACCTCTGAGCCATGGTTTTCATCAGTACTCAGAAAAGACAGGGACAATTTCTAATTACATGCCACCCTCATTATAAGTCAGTAGGCCGCCAAGCTGTATCTGATGAGGCTGCTACAGTTTGGTTTGAAACTCTGGACTCCATTATAACCTCATCTCCTCCACAAGAAATGGAATTCTGCAGGCCATAGAGATGCTTTCCCCAGGAGTTATCACTTTTTCCTTTAAAATTGTGATGTGGGACTATAATTAAGCCTACTACTAAAAGTCCTTAAGTACAAAATAAAGTTATTCAATGTTTACACTTTAAAGCTGGACAGTCACAGCCTTTTAATAGCCCTCCTTGTCCACAAGATCTTAGAGGTACTTGTACATGGAGCAGAAATGTAGGGAACACAGGTTATCACAGCCTCACGCTCACCAAATGTCAACTGGTCTATTTTACTTAGTGTAAAAGTAACTTATGATATAAAAAAGGACAAAAACAAACAGTAAAGAAGACTAGGAATTTAAAAAAATATGTTTTATTACCCTCTTTCATCGCCTAGTGTAACTTTCCAAAGCTAACAAACTCAATAGTTTCCTGTGCATCCCTTCCTGCCTAGGTGATCTTGTGCAGATAGGTGTCTGCACATAGTATGCATTTTCCAGCTCTTTTTTACGCAGGACACTAGGAGCTGGCCATCACAGCCATGCATCGCCATTGCAGCTGGAGCTGCTCCTAAGTGAAGTCTTGGTGTTGCCCTCTTAAACAATCACACTGCTCTCTGAGGTACACATTGTATTCTCTTCTTTTAAAATGCACCATTTTTAAATCCAACAGGTTTCAGGCTAGTCATCCATGACAAATATTTGCATTTAAAATACCTCAAGATTAAGGATTTGGGTATGGAAAACAATGTCAAGGGGCAGTGGAAAGCAGATAAAAATGAATCTGGGTTCTTAACAACAGAAAAGACACTGAGTTTTTGAATCCTGAAATCAATTGCACGTTAGAAAGGCAATTTACCAACTTTGATACAGATGGTACAGTGAAGAAGGAAAGATGTCCATCTTCCACAGTCAGAGACAAAGCTAAATGGGGTGTCTTGAGTGAATCGACACCGTACATAACTGTGTGCATTGCAGGCATGGCATCTGCCCTCTATGGGCTGGCTAGTGCTTCCAGGATGAGTGCCTTCTGTGTTGCCAAACCGAATACAGCTACTTGGACTATCACCATGAGTATGACCAAAAAAAAAAAAAAAAGTTTTCATTTCAAAGTTTGCACAAGAATTATGATCAACTAAGAGCGTGTATTTTGAAATCTAAAATGTCTTTCTTGAATACCCTCTTCCCCACTGCCTCCTCCCACTGTTGTGAACAGAAGAGAACATTTCATCTAAACAAGGTGTAAAAAAAAAAAAGTGACATTGGGAGAATTCTCTCCCCCAAAATGGAGTGGATTTTTGTATTATAAGCAATACTAAGGGAATAAAAATCTGAAATTTAAAAAAATAAAAGTATTCCCAGCAACCCATATTTATGATCTCTAATCTTAAATACTCCATTACTAACAAATCAGGTATACATAAATTTATACAAATTATTACTATAAGACACATTTTAAACTCTGTAGGAGAATAGCTATCTTTAAATGGCATTTTCTATTACCATTGCTATTGAAGATTAAATTGGGTTTTGAAAATTGTATTTAAAGTACAACATGATGCTTCCATATAGTTATAGTGAAATGGCTACTATATAGTCCAGCAAATTAAAATATCAATCATCTCAAATAGTTTCCCTTTTTTGAGATATGAATAAATTATAACTAAAGATTTATTTTACCCTCAAATACAGTTTAAATTTCTATTTAAAAACTTAAATGTACATAGGATGTGTCAGATTGGACTTGATGCTATAAATTAAAAGTAAACAAGAAATTCTTCATGAACTCAATCTAGTCAGAAAAGCAAAAAAGAAAGCAACAATGACACTCATTCAGCATACTTTAGTTGCAAGTAACTTTTACCTAAGAGTTTTTATTAATTTTCAATTCAACCAAAACCTGTAAACCTACTATTCTAAGCTGTTTGCTGGCTGCTACAGGAATACAAAAATAAAGTGAATAAACGTTGGTGATTTTTACACTGTTTATCATCTCCACCTTCCTCTAACTTAGCTGAGTTCCAGTCAAGCATACACAAGATTCCCTTTTTAAGGGAATCCACCATTTTATCAAGTTATCAAAATATTACAAGCTACACAAATGCACCTGGGTTATTGCTTAGGTAACATTACAATGAAGCTACCTATTTTAGAAATCAGACCTTAACCCTTTAATAGGAAAATACTAAAATAGCCCTAGGCTGCCTTCAAAGAGCTTATAATGTAAAAGAAGAAAACAGGAACGTAGATAATGAAGTGCAATAAAATCTTAGGAATTCCGCAAAAGGAAAGAGCCTCAGTCAGAGAGAGGAGAAACAGAGCAATGAGTCACCCCAGGAAAGGAAGGGCCAGCAACGTCTCCACAGAGACAGGCGAGCCACTAGGGCATCGTAAGATGCTGCCTTATTTACCTCTGCACCTCACTTGTGTGTTTACTGGCTGCACAGCCTATGTACATAGGGACATGTGCCCCCATATAACTAGAATGAAAGGACAATATAAGGTAAGGAAGTTGCATTCGGTTGAAAAGAGTCAGAAATGGCTTTACAGAAGAGGTAGTATTTGAAACAGAACCTGAAAACAAGCAGAATTTCGACAGGCAAAGCTGAGTTTGAGTGGACAAAATCGTACTTGAAATAGGGCGAAGCAAAAGCAAGAGGCATGGAAGAGGGAAACGACTGAGTGTTTAGGGATCACGAATAATCCAGGTAGGCCTGTTGTGGACTATATTTAAAGAAGAGCAGATCCTACAGTTAGAAATGTAGGCAGGCAGTAGGGGAGGCCTGCATCCCAGGTGAAGGGAAGCAATCTGTTTTCAAGGGTTAAATGCAAAGCTGGTTGTCCAGAAGTGTGAGCCGATAAGATGCAGGCACCAGAGAGACTGAGAAGTCTCTGCAGGAGTCCAGAAGAGAAGGCAGTAGACACTGAAATGCAGGCAGGATGTGAGAGGCAATGAGGGGAGATAAAATCTACAGACTTTGCCAACATTCTGGATACAGAGGATTGCAACAGGAGAGAAAGTCAGAGATGAAATGGCGATTGTATTCCTGGGTGACTTGCAGAATGGTTGGGGAGAAAGCCAGGTGTGATTTCGAATACCTCATACTTAAAGCACAGCTCAGCTGTCACCATTCCCAGTGTAAAAATAATCCCAGATTCATTCAAAAAGCCCTCCTTGGGCATCTTCATGTCTTCTCTATTTCTCCTAGACCAAATTCTTCCTGGTTCCTAAATACAAAACTTGGCTGCTTTACGCACCACCCTTCGACCTTTATCACCGCTCTCTCTGGTTATAGTAGATTCTTTAAATCCTGCACAAAAGCTAATTCCTCCAGGAACCCTCACCCACACTTTAACTGGCCACATACAATAAACACTTGAGGTCTTAATGCTTTGACAGACATACACGGCATTTTATTCAAACTTGCATGTACCTGGCATCCTGCTTTGCCATAAAACTGGGTTTTGAAAATTGTATTTAAGGTACAACGTGATGCTTCCATATACTTATAGTGAAATGGCTACCATATAGTCCAGCAAATTAAAATCTCAGTCATCTCAAATAGTTTCCCTTTTTTTGAGATATGAATAAATTATAACTAAAGATTTCTTTTACCCTCAAATACAGTTTAAATTTCTATTTAAAAACTTAAATGTACATAGGATGTGTCAGATTGGACTTGATGCTATAAATTAAAAGTAAACAAGTGCTGGTCATCTATTAATAGTTACCCAATTCTGGTCATCAATTCTTCCCAGTTACTATTAAAATCCCTCAAAGTAGGTTCTTATACAAGGGTAACTTGTAAACTTTTTATTTATCCAATCCATTAGTAAGTAAATGAGCTATCAGTTACATTAAGACAGACATCTAAGTTGGTTCACAGGGAACACGTGTGTGAACTAGGTCAGACAGTAAATGACAATCTCCAAATCTAGCAGGACCACAGAAGAGCACTCAGGGAAAGCAAGCAAATTCCTTTCCACAGAAGAGCTGCCAGTCAAGGGAGACTGCTGGATGTAGAGGATCA
The DNA here is from genome assembly GCF_000001405.40 of Homo sapiens. Lineage (NCBI taxonomy): Eukaryota > Metazoa > Chordata > Mammalia > Primates > Hominidae > Homo > Homo sapiens. Next base: position 60,707,301 of record NC_000008.11, on the reverse strand, counting down.
CACTACTGTAATTGAAATCACTATCAATAAATCTAGTTTTGTCAATATTTGCATATTTCAGCCTCTGTGGATGCATGAATAAGCAAGTTCCAAGACCATACCAGACAGCATCAAAAGGTGTTTCTTACTAATATTTATCAGATTTTATATCATATTCAGAGCTTCTACACAGAATCTTAATAGTGTCATTTTATGTTAACTTAATATGTTATTTTAAAAGATCTTTGTAGATTACTGCATGTTCTCACTCATAGGTGGGAAATGAACAATGGGAACACTTGGACACAGGAAGGGGAACATCACACACCGGGGCCTGTCGTGGGGTGGGGGGAGCAGGGAGGAATAGCATTAGGAGATATACCTAATGTAAATGACGAGTTAATGGGTGCGGCACACCAACATGGCACATGTATACATATGTAACAAACCTGCATGTTGTGCACATGTATCCTAGAACTTAAAGTATAATAAATATATATATATTTTAAAAAGATCTTTGTAGATTACTAAGCAATGTTAAAATAACTTCCTTTTTTCATATATGAAAACTAACTTCCAGCATGTCAACTTTTTTAAATAGCAAAATATTTCCACTGAGGGGTTTCAAACTTCTTAAATCACCAAATCATAAATTACTATAGTTTTGTCCTTATAATTTGAAGATAAATGTGATAATCTCAAATTTGTCTTTTTATATGCTACAGCTCTAATTCCTACTTCTGAGTATTCAATAATTAGAGCAAAATCCTCTATTAAAAAGAAGTTTCATAATACGTAATTATATAACAAGTAGTCTAGTATTACCCCTTGTTCTTTCATCACCTACACTGTTCAGACATTGTTCCAGGATATTGTTTAAATTATTTTTATTAAACTATATGCAAAATTCTAGTCAAGCACAAAAATATTTCATGGTATCATAAAACTCGCTATTTTATCAACTGTGTAAAAATGCTAAATACTACCAAGATGTGCCATATGAAATTATTCCTAACTACTTCCTGAACATTATCAACTTAAGCAATTCATAATCGTTCAACTACCTAACCCAAATTCAAACTTTAAATAATTTCACACAAAAAAAATATGAATCAGCAAGCTTGCTACATCACTCAACAGCAATCAGATCCAATGAATGTAATCACCATGGTGTAAAAGGGTCTGTGTGTTTCCATTAGATTCTCCATGTCCTTTGGAACTGCATAGCTCAGGACCATTAAAAAAAAAAAATGTATCCTTTTAGAATGCCCAGGGTGAAAGGCTCTTGACTTTCCTTTGAGGTCCTAAGACCTAGAATCAAGGATGTTTCATCCATCTACTATATGCATGTGCTTGGGGAAATCCAAAGTTTCTTCTTTTATAAAATGCCACCTTTTCTATATGGATTATTTGTGCCAGCATGTATTAAAATGCCTGGTAAGCAATAAAACACAGTATAAATGTGACTTATTCTATTATATAATGTTAATCAATTCATAGGAGTTGATATAAAAATCTATTATTCCAAGTAGTTCACTTTTCTCCCTGTTTCTCTTCTACATGCATCACCATTATCTTTATACTTTATTTTTAAATCTCAAAGTACAGGTGGTGTGCATTTCTCTAAAGCCCAGGCACCAAACTGTTAGCACAAATTCTGCCATTTTTACTCAATAAGATTTATTTATGGATATCTAATCATAAATTAAACTGGTAACATTCAGGAAGTAGTTAGCAATAATTTAATATGGCACCTATTTACAGTGTTTAATATTTTTACAAACTGGGTGAGTCATTTTTTAGATGCAATGTCTTATTTAACCCTAAGTAACAAGTCTGATTTTTCAATGAGTCCAATTTTCAATGAAATCCAACATTAAGTATCAAACGAGTACTGTGAAAGAACAAATAAGCATGTTTATGCATTCATACCTTTTTGTCCTCAGTGAATTTATACTTTGGTTAAAGAAGCAAGACATAAACAAGTAATTTCATTTCCTACTTTGCAGAGAAAATAGGAGCCCCTCTGATAGCTAACTGTGGGAGTTCCTAAAGCCAAACGCGCAAGTTCACTAACATCTGTACCCATCCATTCCTCCTGCCTCCTTGTTTCCAGGACAACTATGCTCTTCCAGGCCGAGACCTATTCCCTCACTTTTAGACTCCACACTTATCTACCTTTCAGGACTCTTATACCATCAACTACCCTTTACTCTCTCCTTCCTATATATTCCTTTATAGCTCACCTCTCAATTGGATCAGATTTTATATCACATTCAGAGCTCCTATGCAGATGAGATTCCTATCCTAACCAGGTGAGAAAGAAAGCTAGAAAGCCTACATGTTGGTGACTGGCCAGGGGCTGCCGGAGTAAGGCATGTGATTGAACAGTCCCTTCACTACACAAGGGACTAGAGGAAGCAAGTGAGTGTAAAATTCCAGCCAGTATTCCACCAGCCAAGCCATGTGCTCAAGAGAAAGGGTACCTCTTGTTAAGTTGCAAAGGCACCATATGGGTTAGGGGTGGCCCCATGAATATCAGCCATTTAGGCAAAGCAGTAATCCATGTGTCACCTAGGACACATTCTGCCCCTGTGGTTTCCCACACCCAACTCATCATCAAATCTTTTTTATTTTACCTGCTAAATCTTTCTCAGACCCACCCACTTCTGCTTACAGCCGGACCACACCACACTAGATCAAATCACTACCACCTCTCACCTGGACTATGCAATGGTCTTCCCCTTCCAGGCCTTCCAATCTATGCACATGGTGCAACCAGAGTAACTCCTTCCCATTGCTCTTGGGGTACAGACCAAGCTCTCCCAGTGTAGCCGCAGAACCTTTGGGCAAGAAGACCCCAGCCCAAGCTTGCCTTCCTCAGGTGAGTCTTTCTACATCTTCTGAACTAAGTTAAATGCCTCTGTTACCCACTCCATGACATCACTGCTCCTTTTTTTCAAGCAATTATTACAGTTGTACTTACACAGGTTTGTGTGGTCATTTGGCCCACTGTCCACCAGCCTTGGGCACATGGTATAACTGTGTTCGCCCCTGCATCCCCAACACTCATCATGGTGCCCAGCCCACAGATATACATGAATACTTTTTTGGATTAATAAACACAAAACGATAAATTCTATAGCCAATAACTTGGGAAGAGTAAGACAAAATATATGACATGAGTACTGAGGAAACTCAAACAAGGGAGAAATTTTTCTATGAGTAGGTTTAACAACAGGAGTGTTTTTTTAAAGGGGCAGGGGAAGCATCAGGGGAAAAAAGCCCTAAGATGGCATAAGTCAGAGAATGGCACAAGTGGAGCTGGGCAACACTGGAGAGGAACAAAAGAACTGGATGAAAGAGGGGGTGCAAGCAGAGGGCCTTGAAAGATTAAGAGAAAGTTTTACATTGTGGATCCAGGAACTGAGGCATGGTTAAATCAAGATTCACTTGGCAGAGTGAAGTTATATCTGACTTCGCTCAGGGAGAGGTAGGAGTTTATGAGCTGTTTCAGAGATGCAGCAGAATAACAGACCAGGCTTGGTAGCTGGCTCAATAGAGGGAAGGTGGCCAGTTTAGTCAATTAAAATCCAAAGCAGCTGCCAACATGATCCCAGGATGGGAGGGCTGTTTGTTGGCGGGACAGTCCTTCCATAAAGGGGTGGGACAAGATCATGGATCAGCTTGTACTCACAGACAGAAATGTAACATTAATTTTATAATGTGGCTAAACAAAATGGGAGCGTTTCATGGTTCCAGTTACTGAAGTATCACGAATTTGGTTTTTCAGTTGGGTGGTGGGGGGAGAGTGGAAAATGAAAGCACAAGTAGTCTTCTGTTTTTGTTTTGTTTTCTTCTCTCATTTCCTATCCATAACCCTACCTTGACCAATAAGAGGAAGAGAAAGCGATGAATTTTAACATGTTCTTCCCCAGGCCTTTCATTCTGGTGCTATATGACCAATCACTGGTCAAAGGCATTCTACAGAAGAATTAAGAGATATGCACATGTGGGGAAGTGAAATGTGTATAAAATTTCAGTTTTACAAGAGTTATGGAGATGGATGCTGGTGATGGATGCGTAACATTATGAATATGCATTTAGTATCACTGAACTGTACACTTAAAAATAGTTAAGATGTGTATTTTACCACAATAAGAAAAAGGAAGGAGGAGGAGAAAGAGAGAGTGACGTACATTCTCTGTAGAAGATGGTCGCAGTGGTGGCCAAATATGTTGGGCCTCCCTGAAGTATTCCCTTCTACACTGCCTGGCCATGTAACTTGCTTTGGCCAGAGAGACAATAGCAAACTTCAGGCAAACAGATATGAAAAGTGCTTGAGCACCAGAGCGGCCTTCTTTTCTGCCACCATGTCAACAAGCCTGGGCCAATCTGCTGGAATATGTGGCGCTCTCTCGCTCACTCTCTCTCACATGCAAACATATGGCCCCAGCTAACTATCAGCCACCAGCTGACCAGAGATGCAGGGGTGAGTCCAGCTGAAACCAATCCAAACTGCCAACCCACAAAAGTATGTGCTAAATAGATGGCTTCTCTTTTAAGCCACCAAGTTTCAGTGTAGTTTGTTACACAGCAAAAGATAATAAGATTCACTATGAAAACGAAGCTATTGGTCCCTAAGAATATATGCAAATTCTTTGTCACTTTTGCATTTTATTCACCAGCAACTAGAAAGCTGTAACAGGGAAAAGACTGGTGTAAGAGATTTCGTTTTTAAGTTTACAACCAAGATCACAGTCTCCACCTTCTCACAGGCTTATTGCTTGACAGTCTTAGCATTAAAAGCTTTATTTACTTAAGGGACTACATAGATTCCAGTTGTTCTGTAAAGTCGGAAAGGACAGTCAGAGAAAACCAAAACAAGAGCTATAAGACACAACATGTGATATGAATACAATAACTATATTTACACCAAAGTAAAAAGTAGGGGGGATACCTAGTCTAACAAGAAAGAACATCTAAAATAAGAATATCCTATATTTTCCAGATTATATACCCACCACATTTAGAAAATTAGTATTAAAGTAGAAGAAAAAGTAATTAACATTTAGTAAGTGCTCCCTGTGGAAAGAGCACTGCGCTAGGGGCTTTGCATCATACACCCTCTCACCCACCCACACACCACCTGCCCCCATATAATCCTCACAACTATGCCTGAATATTATCTGCCTATATTTTGTAAATGAGGAAACTGAAAGCAATTAAGTGAGTCTTCCCAAATCACAAAGCTAGTGAGTGGAGGAGCTGGTATTTGATTATAGGTCCCACTACTTTTAAAGTCCATGTTTTTTCTCTATTTTGTTCTATAATACCTCCAGAAAACACCACTGCAGGGAGGCACAGCCTCCACTCCTCATGACTCTGCAGAGCACAACACCAGAACTTAAGGATTGGCACTGGGTGCAGAAAACAACCCTACATCAAGACACATGTGCCCTACAGAAAAATTAAACAAGCCAAAATGATGATGGCTGCCTCTCCCCAAAAAAAGTGCAGGATAAACTTTTCAAGATCTCCAGGAAGGTTAAAAATATTTCATAAGTTCACATGGAACTGTTACTAAACCAGATACCTTTCAAACCAACAGTGTTTTTTCCTTACCCAAACCTACCTTTCCAAATAAAATTCACTCTTTAAAAATTGTAATTGTCTGATAAAAAGGTGTCCAAGAAAAGAATATCAGGAAATATTCCCATTATATAAGGTAGACAGTTACATAAAAGAAAGAACTATGATACAATAAAGTAATCCACACTCTAATGACTGTGTAAGTGGAGAGGCCACAATTAATCTTCAGGTAAGGAATCCCCTTTCCATTAAAACTAGCAGATCCCATCTGTCCTAACCAACCATCCAAGTATAACTAGCTAGAAAAACAGAGGCAAAAATAATCCACCTAACCTTAAGGACTTACACTTATTTTGGGAAACAAAAGGGACAGTCCGCAAATAAAGATACTGATTATAAGACTTTCCACAAATGAATGAATCCATGTGACTGAAAAGACTGGTGATCTGAGCCGGGATCTCTTCTACCATGATGACCATTTACTGCACACTCAGTACTACATAACCTGTGAACATTTTACACACAGCTCTCTCTTGGAAACAGTGACTAAACTGTTGCTGCTGCTCACGAAGATGTATCAGTTGTGAATCTTTTTTTAAAAATTGTACCTACAGTCTGCTGAGTTGGTCAGATTGTTGCTACCTGTTACTTTCACATAACAGATTCTGAATTGCATCAAGTATAAGTCAGCATGTATCTTGTATTCACTTTCCAACTCAAACATAACGTTATCACAACCTCACTCAGCTCAAAACCTGAGACAGAATTCAAATGAGCAGCCTGTGCTCTGTGAGCAGCGTGCCACTTGTGAGAAGCACCGTGCTCTGAGGCAGTGACAACCTGCCAAAGCTGTACCCCTGACGTCTCACTGCCATCATCGTCCTCATTGCACTTACAGTGTGTGTGTCCGGCACTGGGCCCTCTTCAGAACTTAAGTCGCTTTCCCAAAATACTATGGTACAGTGAGGAGTCTAAATTAGAACCAGGTTCTAACTGCAGGACCCACTCTTAACTGTTAGGTTATACTGCCTCCAATGGCTGCCAACAGCAGACCTGGCATTAGAAAGCTGCATGTTGACAGACCATGTGACTGGCTAAATGGGCACCAGCCGGCACCCAACCAGGCAGGACTTTTAGGTTGCTGCCTAAAATGAGCAACGTAATAGTTGCTACCAACTATTCAGTCACCTAACATCATGGCATCGTCTCATTGTGTTAGGCCAAATGTAGTAATCTTCCGTGGTGCTGATGCCTTGGGGCTTAATATTGTCTTTATCTTCTAGTTTGGACTGAGATATATATGAAATCTTAGTTCTTGTGAGGTCAGCACACTCTCAACATAGCATCAACTGGCAAGCTCCACAACCTGTTAAGTAACATACACCTACTCCAGAACAATCATCAGCAGTTATAATTACTCTAAGATGGTAAGCTTCTAACATTTTGTGAAGGTGAAAAGCAGCCAATATGGTTAGAAAGAGCCTAAGGCAAGCAATCACCAAGTACTAATTTAGTATCTAGTTTCATTCATAATGATCTTCTAAAATTTGGTTGTTTGGAATTTAAAATATTTCCATAGAAAGAATCTCAAGTTGCCAGGCACGGTGGCTCACACCTATAATCCCAGCACTTTGGGAGGCCGAGGAGGGCAGATCACCTGAGGTCGGGAGTTCGAGAGCAGCCTAGCAGCCAAACCAACATGGAGAAACCCCCTCCCTACTAAAAATACAAAATTAGCCAGGCATGGTGGTGCATGCCTGTAATCCCAGCTACTCGGGAGGCTGAGGCAGGAGAATTGCTTGAACCAGGGAGGGTTGTGGTGAGCTGAAATCACGCCATTGCACACCAGCCTGGGCAACAAAAGCAAAACTCTATCTCGAAAAAGAAAAAAAAAAAAGAAATAATATCAAGTTATCAAACAATAAACAAGAAAAAACAATGCCATCTAACCTGTTATGCAGGTGAGAGCAGAATGTGACGGATGACACGTGAAGTCTGGGAGCATGGGGTAGAAATGGAGATGGACTAGAAACTCCTTAAGGTCTTGCCCTATTTATTATAATTTTCTACAGCTTCTCCCACCTCATCCAAGAGTACTGAGAGGCTCTAGGGAAGGAAATAGAGGAGCTACAGTATATTCCATAGCAATGGGACAGACAGAGCTGGCTCCAGAACAGGCTACCCCAGGCTTTAAAAAAAAAAAAATTTTTTTTTAAGTGAAATGTAATAAAATAAGACCTATCACATTACGCTGGCTCCCTCTAGGTGATTAGAAACAAAACAGTTAAATCATCAATGTTTGAAATCATTTCAGTTCTTCTGGATGATCACATAATTTGTTGGTGACATTAAGATATTGGGTTATATCACCTCAGACAAATAAATCTATGGAACAAAATAGATATGCCCTTGTCATCTCATACAAAGCACAGCTCCTACACTTCATCTTAAATCCACACTGCCATGTTAAAACCACTACATATTTAACCACATGACACATGGGAAAATCTAGAAAACTCTGACCAAGATACCACCAGCAAAATGTTCTATAGGTAGTTGCCACAATCATACTTTCACAATCTTTTATTTAAATATGCTAATATCTAATTGCTCTCAAGTTGCATACTGTTCACTATAACACCAAGAAATGTGTTATGTACCATGTTTATTTGAAAGCTCCAGAGTCAGCCAGGGCAGTGGCCCACACCTGTAGTCCCACCTCTTTGGGAGGATCACCTGAGCCACATGGTGAAACCCCATCTCTCCAAATATACAAACTAGCCAGGCATGGTGGTATGTGCCTGTAGTCCCAGCTACTCTGGAGGCTGAGGTGGGAGGATGACTTGAGCCCAGGAGGCAGAGGTTGCAGTGAACTGTGACTGTGCCACTGCACTCCAGCCTGGGTGACAGACCAAGACCCTACCTCAAAAAGAAAAGAAAAAGAGAAAGAGAAGAGAAGAAAAGTCAAGTCATACCACTAGACATCAAGGCTCTGCAAATCTTTACACTGCTCATTTCCATGTTCTCTTTACTAAGAAACAAAGCAAGCCTTAACAATATTAACTATAGTTCAATTCAATGAATGTTTGGTATAAAATATGCCAGGCATTGAGGAAGGGACTATCAGCTACCTTATTTATAAGCAAGAAAACAGGAACAGGTTATCTGCCCAAGATCCCAAAGGCAGAGAGTACTGCAACTAAGCTTTGAACCCAGGCAGTCTAACTCTAGAGCCCTTGCCTCTAACCTTTATGCCATATTACCTCCTCCAACCTCTAATTATATATTTGAGAAATCTTTAAATTGCTATCATTTTATATGAAATTATTCTTTCCTATGGCTGGTGGAGGAGGATTCTCTGACATCATTATAATTGGTCCACCTACCCTATATTCTTCCTGTATTGGCCTCACCCTAACTGACGCAAAAATCCTCTCAAATTATCCTCGATACAGAAAGGTAAAGGGGGTCCTTCCCTGCTTTGTATTGCTGAGTAATTTGATTTTAAACTTCTGACAAACAGGAACCATTCATTTTCCTACTTTTGCTTATGTACAAGGTAAGCACTGGCCTAGTGAAGCTTAGAATGTATACTCAAATACTTGATAATTGTCAAGTCAGGCTGTAAGTGGTTAGCAGTACATTTCTTGTTTTACTGTGAGTTTTAATAGATTTTTGGCATCACTCCTGTGGAACAGTCTTGGTGACACTGTTTTATGGTACCCAGTGTGTTGACAGCAGTCTGACAGATTAACACTATAAAAAGTTGACCACTGTTTACATTTGGTCCAGTAGCTGAGGAGGGTCATGTTCAAACACCTAACTCATGAGTCCACCTATGCTGTACTCTACGTGCTGTGCACAACATAAGGAGCAAGATCAGAGGTGGCACCACGTGTGATTAAAGTGATATACATAGCTGGGACATATTTTTGCTAAAGATTAGAGATTTAAGTTCCAATTTCAGATGCATTCAGGTGAGTGTCCTTTTTGTTCCATACACCAAATTGAAAAATACAGGTGACTGCAAACTGAGGTTTTTGTGGTTTTTTATTTAACTACTAGATTTCATCAATTCCACGACTTTTTTTTGGCATTTCAATGTATCAGAAATAGAATACATCTTACAACTGACACCATCTTAAATTTAATGCAATACAGTAATAAAATGAAGTTGCATATATTCTGGATTCTATGGTTTTCAAGTCTTATGTTACCAACAACCCATTTATTATTTTGGGGATAATGTTAACAATTTGTCTCTGTTTTTCCTTTTCTTATCCTCCTCTGTTTGCTATAGAAGATATAATAATGTTTGAGGGTAAATTAAAGGTAACATAATGTCAAGGAGACAAAAACTTTGAAGCTATTTTATTATAAGTGCAAAGCTATTGCCCTCCTGTGAAGAAAATATAGCCTGAAAGCTTTTCCAGGCTGTCTGCAGCTCAAATGTGTTTCTTCCATGAGAAAGATACAATTCCAAGGTGAAAGAGCTCCAGATGTTAAAGTCTTCCTACTAACCTACACCAACTAACTCCAAGACAGAATAAACTGTTTAACTTTAGTTCAAAAGTCTCAAGAGGCTTCTCTTCCACCTCCCAAATATCAAAATCATGCTCACATATTTTAACAATTAGGTGAGATGCACAGAAGCTAACACTAAATCGGTCTGAAATCTGAGAGCTAAATGTGCAGTTAATATTAATCAAATTCAGATCTCACCTACAGAAAATTTTTAAAAATTATTCTTATGTTCCTTGATTTCAGGAAACTTTAAAAAAAAAGTGGGGGAGGTTCCAATTAAACGTAACTTACTGTAAAACAAAATTTCTTTGAGATTAAAAAAAGCCAAAACTGCCAAGCAATCTAGAAAAGAAAAAAAAAAAACATGCAAAATTTGAAAGTATTGTTTCAGATATATCGCTGGTTAAAATTATGGAAAATTATGGTACCTAAAAAAAGATTTTCCTGTCTATACCACAAAATTACTGAAAAACTGTCAGAGTCCTTCCTTCCATATACAGTATCAGAGAGTTTCTTGAGTTTTACAATCCTTGCAGTATAAAATTTAGAATATTTAAAAAGTAGAAAGACTGAATTAAAAAAAAAAAAACTACCTGCAATCCAAATAATTAACATTAGTTGTGTGCTAATGATGCAACAAGCACTGCTGGAGCATTTTAGATGCACTGTTGCATTAATCCACATAAGCCTGTGAACTAGTAAGTACTGTTACTGCTCCCATGTCACAGCTGAAGAAACTGCGTCTTAGATCAATTAAGTAATTGGCCTGTGGTCATGGAGTTAGTAAGTCACATAGAACTAGTAAGTCACTATCCAAGGTCACACAGTTAAGCGGTCAGGCAGATTCAAACCACATCTGTTTAACTGTGGAATTGTAGCTTTTAATTAAGTGAAACTGCCAATCCCTGAAACTAATAATTTTTTAAATTGATGTATTTCCCCTAGTCTTTTCTTATGTTTATAATTTAATTTGTATTGTTGTAGACACCTGGTCATAGAAATATTTAAAAAATTAAAAAGTAAAAATTTAATTTGTATAAAACTAATCATGATACAGTTAGTATGTTCTTTTGTACTCTTTCAAGCTTCACATTTTTCAAAAACATGATTTTCAGTGCCTGCATGATATTCTAACATGACTACAGCATAAATTTCACCATTCTCAATTTTTCAATGTCAAAAAGAAATGCTGTGGCTTATAACAGTTGACTGGATTTTAGATTTTTCCTTGGGATAGATGACTGATACCACAGGAATGGCCATTTGTAAAGATCTTTATACACACAGTCTCTACTTTCTTCACAAAAAAAGAAGTTTATACTTATGAAACTTCAGGCAACAGTGAGTGTGCAGGTCTCACCATATTCTAGCAGCATAAAGAATATTTTTAAGTCTTGGCTAATTTAATGAGGAGAAGTATATCATTTTAATTTAATTTGCATTTTTAAATTATTCCATAATTTGGAAATTTTTGTGTTTATTGACAATTAAGTTTGCTTTCCACACATTACCTGCTTATATCCTTGACTGCTTTTCTTTCAGACTGCAATTGCTTCTCTGTTGTATTCTCTCACAGAACATGCTGATGCGCCTTTTTAGTAGACCCATACACAAGTATTAGAGTTGCTAAAGCATCAAACATGAGACAATGCTTCCCAACGCTACAACACACACCTCCAAAAGAAAGGTCAAGTATGCTAAGATGATAAACTTCAATTTCTAGTACCTGCATTTCTGTAGCCCTCTTGTGCTATTATCACTGTGCTATTTTGATTCTGAAAGTATAATACTAATATCAAATTCTGTCCTATTATTCTGACTGTACCCAATGTTATAAGGATATTTATAAAAACAATGTCAAATTATATGTTCCAAAATCATTTTTATAAGAAGTTTATTTTAAAACTTGTTTTTAAATGTTAGATACCTATTTTCTTGAACTGTAAGTTGCAGACCTTTATCAATGGAGTAGCTTTATTTCTAAACCTTTCTAAGGTGATCTTTTTACACCTCTCCCTGCTCAAATGTTTTCTATTTTGGATCAAATCTAAGTTCCAAATGTCAACCTTACTTCTCTCGAAAGGAGGCTTTCTAAGCTATTCTCCGCTCCATGCCAGGCTCCTAGTCCCTCTTCCCCCCACCCTGAATGTCCATGGCTGTGTCTTTTCCTCTCTCAGTCCATTTTCCCCGCCTAGCCAAAGCTCTACCACCTCCTGGTTGGGCTATTTCAACAGCCTCTGACTTTTTGCCTCTAGTCTCTCTTCAACCGCAATCCATCACATGCTGCCAAACTAACCTTTCAACTCCATTTCCATCACGTAATATAAGTCAGAATCTCACTCAGTCTAAGCTTCCAATTTCACCACTGCTCAACCTCTCCCTATCTATCCAACCTGCTGCCCCTCTCCCTCAGGGCAGGCTAACTGATCTTCCCTGAGTCCCAGAAGACTGGTCCTTGAATTGAAGGTTGAGGTGGGGAGGGCAACAGGGGGTGGCAGTGGCTGTGTTGCTCTCCCTGGGGGCCATAGCTCCTGCAAAGCTGCCCTCCCAGGAGGACACCAGAGACAAAGGGCTCTTGCCCTGGTCCTTGCAGGATGTTCTGGGCTGGCCACCTGCTCCCTGCCAGGACCCTTGGCTGACAGCCTCTCCGTGATTTTTTTCACATTATCACTCAGTTCCTCTAACTTATCAAAGGAGAGGGCAAGTCACGCTTTCTGATTTCTTTCTCCACTATACAATGACTACAACACATCACGCCTTCTTAGCACTTAATTACAGACTGTGCTATCCTGTTCCACAGGGTCATAAGTGTGTTAACCTGCTCTACCTAGCTAGAAGTAACATTTTTAGTATCTCCCACAGAGCTTAGCAAAGCCATAATCTCACATCTGCACACCTTCACAAACATTAAAGTTATACCGACAAGTTAGTAGCAACAGACTAAAGATCTGCCTGCTCATGGTTCTTATTTATCTTTGAAAAAAGTTAATAACATTTTTCACCAGGCACATCTACATTTCCAAAAGCCAAAAAGATTCTGTTATAAGCCTCACACCGAAATTGCCATTCGCTCTTTAGAGATGTCAATCTGAAAACATTATTGAATTCCTTCCTTGTCTTTAGTGGCCATGCCTTTGCATTCATTAAAGTCCTTCTTAGAATTGCCACAGTCATGGTTCTTTATGTAAAAGTTCACGCTTATGAGTCTGGATAGACCCAGCTTTCTGAAACCCACCTGAGGGCCCACTGGCAAGGCAGGTGACTGCTCTGATGCTTGTGCCACCAAATGGTTCCATGGTGCTGGCATGACACTCTACAGGACAGTTCCCCATGGGGGCTCACAGGAGAAAGCAGCTCCTCCCCAAAAGGCCTTCAGCTGCTAGTTGGATCACTTTCCCTCGGATATAACATTATACTATTGACATTGTTGTGTTAACCTACAAAAGCACTAGGCTAACCCACGGTGTCCCGCCAGTGCCTAACCATAATAAAGCTACCATGGGAAAATGTGTTCCAATCAGATGTCAGGAATGTGGTAATGGGTTTGGGGAGGCCAGAATAACTCACCTCCTCTTCCCACCCACATTCTAATCCAGCTGGGAGAGGGCTGAGCAGGGGCTCGATAGCTGAGGAGGCCAGGGAAGGACAGGCCACAGGCACAGGGCAACCTTGCCCTGCCCAAGACAGGGAGCCTGGACACTAAACTGTTGGGGCTCAGCAGCAACAGAGGTCTTGCCTGTGGAAGGCACCCCACAAGCCCTGCCAGAGGAGCAGAGCTGGAGGGGGGACCCTCTCTCTGCAGGTGCCCCAAGGAAGGCTGAGCGGCAGGAGCAATGGGGTGGCAAGGTCTAAAGGGTGCAGCAGACAGACAGGGACTTGTTCCACAGGGGAGCAGGAAGGAAGCAAGGAAAGGGTCCCCCTAACATGGGTCTTTGCTGTACTCTCCCCAACCGTGCAAGTTGACAGTGACCATAATGACCTAGCAGGCCTGGGACTGCGCTCTGACCGCCAAGGGGGTGTCGCGGAGGGCACAACATAGTGGAGGGAACAAAGATGCCAACAGGCCAGGACACAGGAAGTGGAGTCTGGAGCAGCCCATCAGCTGGGTTGCCAGGACCTGACACCACCAGCGCAGACTTGCAGTGCAGAGCCTAAGTTCAAGAGAAAGGGCTGGGCTTGAAGTTTCACACTTTTGTTTCATGCTTTTGCAGGAAGAAGGAGTTGTTATGATGACTTCGGTTTAAACAGATTGGGAACATTAAGGATAGGAGTTTGGGGGAGATACGAGAAATAAGAATACAGACGTAGGAGTTAGTAGCAAATAAGGTTGCTGTGGGCCTGAACTAGACCCAGAGGATGCCAGGATCAAACCCCTGAGAACAGGCTATATTGAGGGGGTAGGAAGAAAAAGAATAAGCAACTGAGGCAGCATGGAAGGGAAAGCTCAGGACCCTAATGACGCCTTCGGCCAAGGTCCAGGATAACCTGAAGTGTCAGGAAGAGGGGTGGTCAGTATGGCCTCTATCCAAAAGGGAGGGGAATGGGGGAAGGGCCAGGAAAAAAGCTGCCTTATGTGCTTCCTTTATGCCTTTCATATAAGCATCCTGTCTTACACGAAATTATGCTAACAAGTCCTCCAAGAAAGCACTAACCCACTCACTAAATTACCTTTTAAGATGATTCTCATTTTAAATGTATTATATGCCCGTGGAAATAACACTGGCTTGAAATGGTTGCCCCAAAATAGTTACTGTAGCTTAACAAATGTATTAGTTTGGCAGACATGTACCATTTAAACCAGAACTATATACAAAACAAGCTTTTAATTACTCAGTGGTAGAAATGAAAATAAAATTTAACAAATAAATACAAAGCAATCTATCTTCTACCCTTTTAGCACCACCTTTAAAGACTATGGTTTCAAACGCTTAATCAGTCATCCATCTTCACCTTTATAGTAATTAGTGTGTCAAACAGCAGCCACATTCATTCAGTTACATGCAAGAGAATAACATAACTTGCAATATTCCAAAATACACTGTAAGAATTTTTGCAATTCTTATAATATGAATGATGGACAAGCATATTCCTTGCCATTTTCTAAATTTTTCGTATTTCCAAAGTACATTCATTGCATAACATATTGGTCTAACCACATTGCTTCGTAAGTTTCAGAGTACATCAGAAGCACCTTGATAAAAATTCAGATTCTAGATGACCCAGGGAGATTTAATTCAATAAATCTCGTGTGGAGTTGAGGAATCTGCATTTTTAACAAGCACCCTAAGCGACTGTCTAATTCTAACTCCCAATAAATATCTATTTTTTCAGGCATTCTAAGCTTACCAGATAAACTTTTTACAAATTCCACAGGGTCTTTAAAATAATCTAAAACAAACACACTTTACGAGTTTCTTGGAGAAAACAGGTAAGAAAGTTACCTCGGTCCAGCTCACTATTCTAATCTTCCTTAAAGACCAATGGATGCATTATTTCCGCAAAACAACTCTGTACCTTCTTAATCCTGGTGAGGTGGAAGGGAGGAGTGGGTAAGAACATTAGCTGCAGGACTGAGGCAGAAGCCCAGGCTCAGAGACAATCATTTCCTCCTCCCCATGCAACTCAAGTACCAACTACGACTTTACTTTTTCTGCCTGGAGGATAATGGACAAGCACCTTCTAAGCACCTGTCTCAAAACAGTGAGAAAAGGAGGATGGGGGTTCCTTACACGAAGTAGTGTATCAGGAGAGTAAAAGATGCACAAGTAAACTGTATAAATATATGAATTAATGCTTTAATGCCTTGAATAAAAAGACTCGTTTTTCTTACCTCTCGCCTAGTATTAGGTGAAACAAGTCAAATCACTCACTAGATCAATAGCAGGCTGAAGCAGTGTTATAAAGAAGTAAAGAGTCATGTTACAGGTTTGCCAAATAAAGACACTATTATTGTTGATATTATTATGGTAGTGATCCATAAAGAATAATGTCAGCTGGGCACAGACACCTGTAATCCCAGCACTGTGGGAGGCCGAGGTGGATCAGCTGAGGTGAGGAGTTCGAGACCAGCCTGGCCAACATGGCGAAACCCCATCTCTACTAAAAATATAAAAATTAGCCAGGAGTGGTGGCACACACCTGTAATCCCAGCTACTCAGGAGGCTGAGGCACAAGAATTGCTTGAACCCAGGAGGTGGAGGTGGGCAGTGAGCCGAGATCACGCCACTGCACTCCAGCCTGTGAGACAGAGCAGGACTCCGTCAAAAAGAAAGAAAGAAAGAAAGATGCAAATGACATGGGCAGCTCCCTGACCTGAAAATACTGAGCTGCAGAAAATGACAGGGAGTCGGCGACTGTCAACCATTCTGCTAGGTACGGCCTGGGTTTCTGTGCCACTCCCATAGCCCAACCATTCACCATACCGAGACAACAGTAAAACAACAACAAAAATGAAAATTGTGGTGCTATGGCAGTGGCACTGACTGCCAGCCAGCAATTCAGCTACAGCAGTATCACCACCTGTGTGCTCCACAGTGTGGGGAAATTACTTATGTCCTTGAATTGTGTCCTTATTAATGTATTTGACAGCATATAAGACAGTTTTCCTTATCCTGCTGGCCTTTAGCAGCTAAATGGAAGGCTCTCAGCACCCCAGAGTAGCCACAAAGTTCCCTATAAAACTGGAGGTTTGCTTCATACACCAGCCCAGATGTTTATTTTTTTTATTTTTTTTAATAAGTGGGAACATTGAAAAGTTAACATACTAAATCTGGTGATAAACACAGCTCTGAAAATTAACACAATCAAGACAAATATTAAAATATTAAATGCACCAAAAATAGCAAAATTTACATTTTAAGTAGAGGCTTACCATACTCAAGCTAGTCAACAGTTTATTCAAAATTGTGAAAAGAAAAAAACTATAAACATGTACAAAATCCAAAAATACACCATCATAGACTATTCGTGTGGGAGAAAGCAGTATTAAGACTTGGGATTTTTTTTTTTTTAATCCCCTGGCAAAGGAACATCCACCCACTCTGTAACATGTAAGACTACTGATTTATACATTTGAACTGTATACCTATTTGAGAATATGACTGAGTGTATGACTGCGGAAGACAGTCTGTTGTCCTGTGTGTTCACAGAAGCAGTATGCAAATATCTCACGGAGGCTGCATATTCACACAAGTTAACGCAAATACGAGGAACAAGTACTGTGATCTATAGCCAAGTGGTATCCTGAGTTTTTTCGAAGGCAACTCTAGTCCTGTGCAGCGAGATAAAGATGCTAAGTGAATTACATCTTGGATAAACACTGAGAGAAACTTTGAGGAAGTCAATTCTGTAATAAGCTGAATACTTTGATGTCGGCTACGTCTTGGACTGATAAGTGAAAACAGGGTTAGAGCACTACTAAGTCTTGTAATGAGCATGTGTCTTTCAGGTTGAAAATGTCTGCCATTGATAAGATACAACATCTGAGGAAAGAGGCCTCACTGACTATAATCTGTTAACAGACACCATTCAGCCTCTCGATTTTTCTCCAGGAGCTGGTGCTAGAAAGTGCAGGTGTGTAAGATCATGATGTTTGTTGTTCCTATCCTTCTAAGACCTAGGTTATTTTGATGGGACTATCCAAAGCAATTTCTGCAGAGCAGTTAATGCTACAGGCTGTTAAATGAGCCTGTCCTGCTTTGAGTCCCAACACTACTCATTAAAAACTATGATCTTAGACAAATTTATTAAACAACCTCTTCACCTGTAAAATAGCAATTATTATTCCTACCTCAGCATTTTGACTAATCCTACTTTAGGATTCAGCAGAAATAGTTCATGTAAATAGCTTAGCAAAATGCTAACTGACACAAACTTTATGCTCCATAAATGTTAGCTACTGACATCAACCCCTTGGAGCTACTGTTCTTTTAAAACTTTTGATATTGATACATTTGCAAACTTGCAGTAAAGTTAGAATAGTACAAGGATCTCCCATAAATCCACACGTTACCAGTTATTTACTTTTTGACTCACTTATTTTGTTATTCCAAGTCATTTTCAAGTAAAGAAATAGAATAGAATAAAATGAAAATTGTCTATACTCCATCTCTTCCATTTCCCTGCCAATCTGGGTAGCAGTGAGATTCTAAGTAGGCTACCCCAGAGCCTTCCCTCTCCTAAGAACCTTCTTATGTTCTAGTTGCTACTCACATCCCTGACCCCAACCCAAGCCTACTCCCATTTCAGATACCATCTTGTCTCCTCTTTACATGGTAAAGAGAACTTGGGAGGAAGGGACTGAGGAATCAAAGCTTCTGAGATTTGAGGATCTGGAGCTCCTATAGATTTTGAGAACACCCTGTGACCTCTGGTCTAAATCAGAAAACCGTAATATCCCAGAGCTGATCAAACATGCCTACACCACTGATCATCTAGGATAACATCACCCACCATGTTTGGAGAATTGCAGATTTGGGACAAAGAAGAAATGACTGTTTCACTAGAAGGACAGCCATAACTCTGGTAGGAGATGAACATCTTCAGGACAAGAGATAAGCACTCCCTCAAACCTGTCACTTTTAGTACCTGGGATATCTGAATCAACTCTATATAATCAACAAGAGAATTAGGCAAATAACATCTGGTTGCACTGATGGACAAAGGACATAAAGATGTTATTTTCAAATGTCTTCTCCTGAAGAAAAATGAAAATTGTGTAGCCAGTCACCATTTTAGGCCACTCATTCTTGTCCAGTCATCTGTAGGATTATGGTTTGAGGGACTTTTTAAAACAAAAGTAAAAGCAATACATATGATTTGATAAGTTCCATGATTAAACTGAACTAATAAAAATAGTAACCACTCAATGAATATGCCATATGCTATACCAAGTATGTTAGCTGGAGTGCCTCACTTAACCTTCACCATAACCCTGGGCAGTTAGGAGAATGTATTATGTCCATTTTTATGATTCACACCCGTATCTGTCCGACATCAAAACTCAAATTCTCAGCCGCCTCAGAAGGCAACCTCCACAAGAACAACTCTTCTCCTCATCTCCATGTGAGCAGAAGGGCCTTAAGTGTGAAAGGCAAGGACCTGGTCGTTTTAGGTACGAAGACATCCCATGACATATGGCCCCACAACTACAGCAGGCACCAACAGAGGAAGTACAGAAAAAAATAGCCTGGGCTGGTAAGACACAGCAATAGGTAGCATCACAGCATGGCATGGGTATTTTTAACACACCTTTGTCTATTAAGACGGCAACAATGCAAGCTCCAGAGCTGGTCTACGTGGCAACAGCAGCACCATGCTTATGTACACAGATTGTGGAGTCTAGCTCATCTGGATTCAAATTCCTCCTCCACCACGTGCTAGAAATGTATGGCCCTGGGTAATTTAACTTCTCATCCCTTTTAGTCTCCTCATCTGTAAAATGGGGATAATAGTTCTACCTATTACCTAGAGTTGCTCTGATGAGGAAATGAAATGATCCATGACAACACTCAGCTGAGTAACTACCCAACTGGAAATAACAGCCGGTCATTATGGTTATTACTGTTATTTTTAATATTGTTTTATTATTTCTGCACTATTTTACTTGATTGGCCCAACATATACTTCAGGGTGGGGTACACTGTTAATCAAGATTTTGAAATTCTCAAGATGAATATGTATGATTTTTCTTGCAAGATCGGTACACTTGAGATTAATGAAAGCAAAATTTCAAGCACAAACAAGGCCAAGTATACAAGAACATAAAACACTTTAACAGAGACTTTTAAAAAATTATTTAAGGATATGGGCTCAACAATTTCAATATAGTGCCAGTTCTAACCATAAATAATTGCTAGGCTCATACACTTCAAAATACTTCACCAACTGGGGTATTTTTTTTTTATCATATTCCTGTGCTCAAACTGATTTTATTATTCACTTAGTATGCTAGCAAGCACTGCCTTGGAAACTAAAGGCATGCTTATAATTCTTCGAGGGACTTCTCACTATGACTGCTTAGTATTATGTTAAAGATGTTTAATAGTTTTTAGGTGTGTTGAAATAATATGCACATTTGCTAATTATGTTTTAAATATCAACAGACAGATTTCTAAAATGTTGATATAACAGGGCACAGTGGTGCATGCCAGTAATCCCAGCTACTTGGGAGGCTGAGGCAGGAAAAGCCTTTGAGCTCAGGAATTAGAATCCAGCCTGGACAGTATTGTGAGACCCCATCTCGAAAACGAAACAAAACAAAAATGGATAACAAATAAAATGTTTGTGGTTTCTTTCAAAATGATGAAAAGAGGACACAGTGGCCTCTAAAAAGTTAAAGTAGTTCCCCAAACTTGCTGCAGAACTAGAAAGAAAATTAACTAGTAAGGTGCCATGTACCCTTTTTTAGACATACTGCAAATATGGTATAGAAATCTGACTGTTTTACACTGAGGATACTAGGGAAAGGAGGTGATGTGTCCAACCTAACACATGTGTCTAATTGCACACCTTTCCCTACACAAAGGGTGGGTGTGGAAACCCAGGTCGCACGCGGTCCCTGCTCAGCAGCAGATGGCTATTTGCCCAACCTCATCCTGATGAAATACATGGTGGAAAACTCAAATCCACCACATGACCTCTGCTGCCTCCTCAGCCACTGCAGATGCCAGGAGAGAAGGCAGGCCCCAAAGAAGCATCCCCTCTATTCTTCCATTAAAGCCACATCCACAGGGGCCTGCATGCGCCTTTCCATTCGATGTCTACACCTCTTAGAAATGATCTCTTACACCCTAAGAATACACTGCTGGCTGGACCTAATGACAGAATGTATTTTAAAGAGTTTTTTTTTTTTTTTTTTAAGAAAAACTGGCAAGTTGAAGAAATAGTATTAGATATAAATTGCCACAGAGTAGTTGGCACAAGCCCATCTGAAGCTGAAGTTAGTGCACCAAGTTTTCCTGCCATTCCACACGTGGAAACATTACTTCTCCTGAATTTAAGCTTATTCAAATAATCACTCAAAACTATTGCAGGTGAAGGTAAACTTTCACATGAAGCATGTCCCTACAAACAACACAAGACAGGAAGGAACCCAGAAGACTTGACTGAGTCACAATGGCCACCAGAAAGGCCCATGAGGAACACACAATGACAATAAAAGTATCTTTGAAACAGACCCCTAATTAAAGACACTGAGTCCCAGGAAGGTTATCTTTATGCACACAAGAACAAAATTTGATCTATAACAAAAAGTTCTATCACCCATATTGGCTGGCAATCACCCATATTAGCTGGCAAACACAAAAATACAAACACTTCCCTAAAAAAGCTCCAAAATTACTGTCCTGTATTTTCATAATTTTTCTTATATAATATTAAAGTCAGCAATTCAGAAGCTTTTCTGGGTGTAACAGCATCGCTCATCTGCCACCGGCAACCATGCTTTACAATCTACTTTTCATAATAACTGAACAAAGTAACTTTGAAGGTAATTTACTTATTAAACTGGTTTATACATACTCCACTAAAAACCAGGTAAGTATTCTGATAAACATTGGTATTCTTCTCCACATTTATTTAAATAATGTATTCACTCCTTCCTTGCTTCTGTATGACTACAACCAACTTCTAAAATACAACTCTCTCCGAGGGAGACTGCAGCCCCGAGAACATGGGGGACCTGCCACCCACGTGCCGGGAACCCAAAGACCTTGCCCTAATATGTGACTAGCAACAGAAAGCAGCCTCCGTAAGGGGACATACAGAAGAACAAAATGTGCCAAGGTCTGGTTACCACAGGATTCTACGCTCAACCTGGAATGAGCAAACTCCTACAAAGTGCTATGTATCAGGCAAGTAACAAGCAAAGTGCTATGTATTCAGCAAGTAAGGCTTCCCTCCCCTCTCCCATTTCACTGAACCCATTCACATTCCTTGATGAACTCCCCACGTCCAATATCTTTTGGTTAAAGCTAGCAGATTACTTTTTTTAAAGTTCTGGAATGCCACTAGCAATGCAAAGGATAAAACAATGTCATCATGGTCCATTATCAGCTACCTCAGTCATATGCTACAAGAACTCATGAGCTTCCTTCTCAAATCTTCAGCAGATCTGATTCTTGCCTCTGTGAATAGGATCAGTAGCCAACCAGCCAAGCAGGGAACATGCTAGAAACCTATATGCCCTGAGATCTCCCTCTTGAGAGCGCATCTATCCCCAAGTCCTATTCGTTGAAACTGTTAAATATCTCTCAAATCTGTCCATTTCTCTCCATCCCCATGGCCACCACCAATCTAGTCCAAATCATTGTGATTTCCCCATCCCACAGACCACAACAAAAGCAGGCAGGATATTGTCTACAACCTATTGTCCTCTCTGCACCCACCAATTCAATCTTCTTCAAAACACTACTCTGCTCGTGTCAAAGGCTGCTTAACACTCATCAGTGGTTCCTACTGCTTTTTTCAAAAATCCCAAATTTGATATCCTGAAAGCCCTGACCAAGTTGGATACTGCCTGCCTCGAGTCTCATCTTGCAGTTGAATGCCTCAAACACACAGCCTCCCTGCAGGTGAGGGGCACTGCCTGAAGTGCCCTCACCCCTTCTTCTACCATCATTCAGATGGTAATGCTAAAGCCACTTCCTAAGGGGTAATACCCCACCCAACTGACGGAATCCCCAAGTCCTAAGCTCTCACTCCTCCTGGCACCGACTGCATCACACCTATGACCTTACAGTAGCTCTAGTTTTTGTGTGAGTTTACCATGTCTTCTCATGTCATCACTATATTGACAATTCATAGCATTGCATCTTTCAGGTAGCAGGTACCCAACAAACAGCCGAATCAATGAGCAAAACCACAGATGAAACAGGAAGACTAATCACAGTCCAGATTCTGTGGCCGTGAAAGCCAATCCTGACATGCACAGAGGAAGCAAGGCTCAAAGGGTCACTTTAAAAAGTGCCTTAGATTCCACATTAGCATAGGTAAACAAGCCTGAGAGTGAACCAGCCTTTACTGACAAGTTAAGTTTCTTCATAAATACCTACGTTATTTTTTACTTTTAAAAAGACATTTCTAATTTTCAAAGTAAAAGCAGAACAGAAACCCCAAAAAAATCCTTCTCTGAAAAAACAATCATGTTTGCAGTCAGTCACCTAACATTAGTTAAAATGCAACAGGAATCTAGCTATGGTGATCAATACATGCATCTAAAGTGAAAACAGTTGTCAAATCTTGAAATAATTATCTCTGCATTTTTCCTAAATGGATAATCATAGTTAAAAAAAAAAAACCTCCAAAAACAGAAGCAAATTATTGTTGGTTTAGGAACATCTTTAAGAGTTATGTTGTCCTATGCTGTAGGATTCTAAAGCCTAAAGGTACCTTTGAGTCAGAACATGAGCAAGAGCTGTACTCTTCCAGAGCCAACAAAGACAAGACCAGCACCCCTCCTGCACTGGCACGATGCTAGGCACCAGGAACACAACTGTAACTGAGATAAGCTCTGCAACAGTGGGTGGCCAGTCAGAGGCAGTTCATTTAATTAATCTCTCTGGACTTTAGTTTCTTAATCTGTAAAATGAGAAAGTTCAACTAGCTCTCTAAGGTCCTCACACTCTAAATATCCAATCATTCTCTAATAAGGATAAAATGAATTTTTATTTGACAACATCATTACAACTTCCTGTTTCTATTTCTTCTTTTTATCATGCAGATGTGATTTCATTTACAATTTTTAATCTATTGACAAAAGTAAAATATGGACACATAGTCATGATGTTTTAAATTACCTTCCTAGCTCTTAACAACCACCATAATCAGCTATGGACCTCTGCCATCACTGCAACCTGAGTGATACCCAAATTGAAATAAATCATTCCATCTTTGTATTTTTTGTAGAAAAACCAAGCGATTATTGATCTCAATTTCTTTTATATTTTAACATTAGTCACCTTTGAATGTCAACAATTTTTTTAAAGACTAAATAATAAAGTTTTATAGAGAAAGGGGAAAATAGTATCTCCTGAACTAATGAAACCATAATGGTTTTGGAAACCTGTCTAGAAAAATGCTAAATTCTGAATTTCCAATCGCATGAAAAGAACAGATTTTTTTAAGATACACAAATATGCCCACATGAGTGAACAAGACAATTGAAAGGGTCCCACAGAGCCAATATATTGCTGACATCATCTTAATATCACCTAAGATGTTCCTTCTCCATCCTTTTTGGTGATTTTAGCTATGTGACTATGTGCTTACTTTTTACATGTAGAAATCATTTACTGAAAAAGAATCACTGTCTTACAAAGTTGAAGTTTTAAGAGCCATTTGCTCAGACCTGACTAAACATTTTTATTCTTGCAATGCCACATTTATATTCGATGTTTCTAAGATGGCCATGGTGTCTGCTATCAAACCCAAAAGGTTGTATTTAGTTAATGAAAGATGAAAGATAACTATTACTTATAAGTTTATCTTAAAAGTCAAATGTGAATATTTGCTTACCTATAGAACTGCTCTCTATTAGATGGTACACTCCCTAAAGGAAAGTACTGCCTTTTATTGTTTTAACCATGGAAGGCTTGCCAAGGTTTGCTGAATCAAAGTTAACTAAAGGCATGGTGACTGTGTGGCAAGCAAACTTTTTCAAGCATATGGAATACAATGCTGTAATCTTAGGTTTGAAAGAACTACACTAACTTGGCACTTACATGGCTTTTATGGGTTACACAGCAGGCACACAGAAGCATTTACAGTGTATTTTCTCATAACAAAATATTTCTGTTATTTTGACCTAACTGCTTAAAAACTATAACATATTATTGACTTCGCATCTGTATGAAAAACGGTTGTAACATTTCCTTGATGTTACTGTATTATAAAGGTACTCTTCATGGTATTCATTTTAACTCAATAAAAGTAAGGCTAACCTAGAAAGAAGGCTCATTATGAAAAAAGTTTAGGAAATGTTCCTGTAAGTTGAACTGATTAAAAACTAGACCAAATACTGGTGAATCTATAAAAGTACTATTTTAAAACTAAGTTACTGAATACGTTGTTATAAATTTGACTTCCATATTTTCAACTTGGGAAAAAAAGTTATTTCTTTCCTTGAAAGAGGAAAATAATATTTGGGTTTTTAAACATCACCGGTACAACCACTCTACCATTCCTGTATTGTGCCTTCCATGTTAAGACATATAAAAGAAAGTAACTTTTTAAAAAAACTAATTTAAAAATAAGGCCATTGATTAAATGAATATAATAATTTAAAATTCATATACCAGTCTTTTAAAATTATAATTCATTTCTTATCTGAAAACTCATTTCAATCGCGAAAGCATAGACCCAGGATACAATTCATCATGGTTCAATTTAGTGACTCGAACAGGAGAAAAAATTAGAAAATATAAAGAGAAAAAAACCCACAGTGCTAGAAAACAATCCCAATTCTTGAGTACCAGCATGAGGAAATTCACCTGTTACAAGCCTGACAAAAATCCATTATGTCCTTTTATCAGCAGATTACCAAAAAAGAGAATGCCATATTTCCACTATTGGGCAAAATAAGAAAATTTAGCTTCTAAAATTTGCTGCTCAAGCCTTTACCCATTTCCAAATTATTTTACTATAACTTTTTTCTACAAGACAGATTTTTCAGGGAAAATAAACTTTTCCTGAGCAAACTGGAAGACATAAAATGTCTCCTACTTATCACCTAGAAAGGCAAACCAAGTCCTACTCCATGCCCCAAGCATCTAGCTTTCAGCCTCTTTATTATCATTGTCAATGAATGGGCCTCAGTCAAATGAAAGCTGCCATTTTAGGGTAAAGACTGGAGGGCTTCTGTTGTGCAACAGCAAGACAAAAACACTGCGCGACAGATGTACTCTGGGGGCTGGGAGAAGGATTCAACTTCGTAAAATCACTGCTCAAGTTATTTCTGAAATAGGAATTACCTTGTACTTAGACATTACTGCAATCTAAATATAATTATAACTGGGATAAATCAGGTAGCCATGCTGCTAAGGTCACAGTCACTAAGATATTTTTTGTCATCGTCAGACAAGATCAGTGAAGAAATAAAGACACGTATTTTGTTTCCTCTTCGATTACTACGTATACTGAGTACTCCCTCCCTTACCGAGAGAGAACTGGGGTGAAATAACACTTAACCCCTTAGAAAGGTATCGCCCACTGCAAAGACGGCTTAAATTAAAATTTTTAGAAAATAAAAAATCAGGGCCTCACAAAATCCTTTAAAAATAAATTAAGACATGTAATGTATTCCAGAAATTAAGCCCCCAAAAGGGACACTTTTTAAGATAAGTTATTTAAATCGATTGCTAGATAATATACAATGGGAAACTAAAAAGTATACTTAGCAAGTGGAGCGCTGGATAGTGTATCTAATTCTAGCAATTCAAAAGGAAACTCTCTCCATGTGGGTTGCTACTTTTCTTTTGTCCATTGTCTGTTCAGAAGAGGGGGAAAAAAACTAGTTTAAACCAAGGCGTGAGCAGTCTCTAAAAGTGACCTCCAGGAAAAGAGTCCGACCCATAGCAGGAGCACTCTCCGCGCCGCTCGCTTCACGGGGGCGCTCACAAAGCGGGCGGCCGGCCGGGAGTTTGGGGTGCGCTCCCACGGCTCCGGGCTCCTCGAGGCAGAGCCATCCGGAGAAAGGCGGCTCGGTAATGATGGCTGCTCGGGGCCGGCGGCTCCTTCCCCAGAGCCTCCCGACCAGCGCCCCCACCCCCGCCCGGGAGCCGCCGCCGCCGCCGCCCCCGCCCCCCCCCCCCGCGACCTCGACAGCCCCGCGCCGCCGCGCCCGCCCCGCACCGCAGCCCAGCCGGTGCCCGCGCCCCCGCCCGAGCCCCGCGCCCCCAGCGAGCCCAATCCCCGGTGCGAACCAAACAAACAACGCGTCCCCCACCGCCCTCCTTTCCTCTCCCCGCTGACCGCTTGGCCTCCAGCCACCTCGGCCGTTCACGCTCCAAGCCGCGGCTCTCTGCGAGGGCAGAGCGCACCCGGGTCACCTCGGGGGCCACCTGGTGACCACCCCCCACCGGCGCTGACCCCCGGCGGGTTGGGGGGCGGGGGAGCCGAGTTGCGTTGGAAGGTTAAAGTCGCTATTATGCAGCTGCCGCCGCCGGCGGCCCGGCCAGCTCGACAAGGTGGGGTCCCCTCCTCGCCGCGCCTCCCGGCGCTCGCCCCGGCCCCGCTCCCTTTCTTCTCCTCCTAGCGCACTTGGGAGCCGCCGGGGAGCCCCAGGAGCCCCCAACTCCGGGCTCGCAACTCCGCGCCCGCGACCGGCACTGGCTGAGCTCGGGACGCCTCCCGCGCCGCGTGTTCGCGCTGCCCCCGCCCCACGCGGCGCCCCGCGCACTTTCCCCGCCGCCGACCCACCTCGCTCGGTGGCGGTCCCCGCGCGGGCTGGCGCCGCCGCGCCGGGAGGAACGCACTTTGTTCGCGCCGGTGCGGCCGCAGCTCCCGGCGAGCGCGGCGTGGTCGGTCCGGAGCGGGGGGCGGGGGCGGGAGGCGGGGGTCGCCGCCGTCCCCGAGCCGCCGCCGCCGCTGCTCAGCCGCCCCGCGCCCGCGCGCCCATCGCCCGCTCGCACTTGAGTTGGAGCCCAACTTTTCCTCCTTCCTTTTTCTCTCGAATGGAGCCGGCAACTCGTGCTCGGCGCCGGCGGGAGGAAACGCGCTCGCGCTCCCCCGCGCGCAGACACGCTCCCTCCTGTCCCCCGTACCCCCCCCCCACGCCGGCAGCACAACAAAAAGCCATTTACATGCGAGGAAGTGACCCTCGGCCGCACCGCGCGCCCCCGCCGCCGCCGGCCCGGCGGACGCAGGCAAAAGTTGGGGCGCCGGGCGGCGCTCGGGGCGCGGGTTCGGGCCCCGCGGGCGGCGACGCCGGCGACACTACGCGGGCGGCGCTGCGCTCCTGCGCTGGCCCCGGCCCCCTCCCGCCCTCGCCCCTCGCCCCTCGCCCCGCACACGCCCAACTCCTCGCTCCCAACTCCTAGCGCGGCCCCGGCCCCGGCCCGGAGCGATTTCCTGCCGCCGCCGCCGCCGCCGCCCCTCCCGGGGGCGCCGGGCGAACTCTCGCGCTCACCGGGTCGGTCGGGCTCCTCCGCTGCCTAGTGCCGAGGGGAAAACAAAACGCAGAGCGGGCTCCGGAGTTGGCTCGGCAGCTGCGGCCAGGGGGCTGAATCCACGGGCACGGAGTTGGCCGGGGGCGAACGGGTCTCTGGTGAGTTTCAGGGTGTCCGGGTCCCCGGGCCGCCTCCTCCGCGGCGCTCCTTTGTGTAATTTCACTCGATTCAAGTTTAATCCGATAGTTCCCGAGCACGAGCGCGTCCGCACCACCACGACTCAACCCCCGCGCCGCCGCCGCCGCCGCCGCTGCCGCCGCCGCCGCCGCCGCCGCCGCGGCCCCAGCACGCCAGCGCCTGCGCGCGTCCGGCACGCCGCGCGCACCCGAAGCCGCGGGGCCGCGCGCGCCCGCCGCCAGCTCCCTCCGGGCCGCGCCGCGCCCGCGCCCGCGCCCGCGCGCCGCCACCTGACGTCAGGCGCGCCTGGCATAATTTATGCAAGAATTCGGCCGGGGTGGCGGAGGCCGAGGGAGAGGCCGAGAGAAAAGGGGCGGCGCGGAGCTGCTGGGCCGCGGGCCGCGGGCCGCAAGGGCGGGCCGGGCGCCACTTCCCGTCCCCTGGCGGGCGCCGGCGCTTCAGGCGGGTCTCCCCGCCGGCCGGTGCGCTGCTGCCGCGGAGTCTTCCTTGCCCGGCTGCACGGAGCGCTCGGCCGCTGCGCCCGGGCGCGGACTGGAGGGGCTGCTGCCACGTCTCCCGCGCGGCACCTTCCCGGAGCCGGGTGCGCCGCCCCGGGGCAGGAAGCGGGGCTCCGGGAGGGCTGCGACCCTCCTGGCTGCCGCGAAGGGTTTCCGACGCTGCGCGGCCGGCGGCGGCCGGGGGTGACTGGCAGTCTCTGCAGTAATTATCCTTCAACTTGAAATTATTTTCCCACATGAAATTATTCGGAAGGGACATGTTCCATTCCAGATGGGTTCGTGCCTGCTTCTCCACATCGCTTTTCCCACCTCTTCGTGGATAGGACACCGGATCCACTACTTAATCAAAAAGTTTAACTAGATGGCATTGATTTTGTCGAATTTGTTACCATACCAAAAAAGAGAGAGAAGGCAGAGAGCTCAATGATTATGAAACAAAGAAATAGGATGTATGCCCATTATTAAACGTGTCGGGACTAGAATGTTTTACTCATTCTTTGGCCAAAATGGCACTTGTATCTGATTGCATAGTCTTAAAAATCCGAGCCTCTTATTCCATTTCTCTTCCCGGTACAAAATGAATGTTAAACCTGAAGAAAAAAAACTTTTTTTTACTAATTTTTATTTTAGGAAATAGATCTACAAACATGGATTAAGCCTCTTCTATCTGCAAAATACGGAGCAATTATAATGTGTTTAAACCATCAATTGTAAACTTTAAGATAATTTTATTAGGTTAAAGATTGCACTTATTTTAAAATCAGGAAAGGAACTCATATCAACCAAAGATTGCCCTATGGCAGGTACAGACTGACTGGTTATTACTGGACTCCAAAATAAACTGAGAAAATAGCAAAACTATGTAAAATGTACTAATCTCACTCACTGATGGTTACACTACCTGTAGTGCTAAGCCTGTAATCACAATATTGTTATTTGGACAAAAGATTAATCAAAACTATCTCATTAAGTAACTACTGCAACTATTCAATAAGTTTGATTATCCTAGACTTAATCACTAAGACATTGATTTTCTGATTTTAGTAATAATTCTATAAATATATCACATTATATTGTGGTTTGTTAAATGCACTGCTTTTAGCTTGCTTTCATCATGTATTTGAGTTTTGTTCTAAAAGAAATAAATGTTTTAATGTTTAAGGAGCTTACAGATCATCAAAAAGAACATAGAAGACAGTACAGAAAGAATTCTGGCATTTAAAAAGTTGAAACCACTAAAATCAACTTCCATCTGTTTTAAACCCGGTATCACAAACCAAGAATCACAACTCTGAGGTTAGGCTACTGTTTCCATTAAGTTTATATTTCCCAATGAAAGTATATGAAAGGTGCTTTAGGGGTGTGTGGGGCGGGGGGGTCAAAAACAGGACACAATGTCTAGAAAAAAAATCGCTAGTACCTGACTATATTAGAACACATTTTTAAAATAATGTGCCATAAAAAATTATGTCTTATCTTTTACAGTGTGCCACAGCTCGATATCAGATGTGCATCTATTTCAAGGCAATTCACAGGAGAAAAAAAATGACATCTACATATAGTGAAATTACAATATTGCAATTAACTTGTTATCAACAAATATGACTATGAGGAGATTCCCTGTGCTCTTGTACATTTAACTCGAAAGCTAGGAAACTTCCTTTTGATATATACCAGTACCCAATGTAAAAACAGTCCTACAGAATATAAGTCCTCTGACTTATAGTCTCCTTATCCTGATCACTGCCCTGAGCCATCATGAAGAAGTCTCTAAGCTTTTAGATGTTGTGGTGGTGTGGAACGTAAGGGGCCTTAAAAAGTAGAGGCCCTCAGGGGCAAACTCCTAGGCAGATCTGGCCTACCTGAGTCATAGCTCTCACCACACCACCACCATCCCCCAACACTCCCCTTTAGCCTGAAATGTTTTTTCTCCATTTGCTTCACTATTGAAGTTTTCCCAATGAGAGTAATTTGAATTCACAAGCTTTCTCTTTAAGTATGCAAATACCTTAGGGTGAGATAAGGGGCTACTGGTCTTTCACAGATGAGTGTAAATTGGTTCAATGGGTTGCTTTCCTCCCAACAGCTAGCCAGAGTAACAAATTTAGAGACTTAGCCATTCATTCAACTTCGAGTGCCTAAGAGTTTCCAGGATTGGTTCTAGGTACTGGAGATATAGTAGTGAACAAAACAGACAAAACGTCCTGCCCTCATGGAGTTTACAATCTAGTGGATTGGTAGTTTTGATCTGGTGATAAGGGAGAATGTTAATTTTGGAGTCTGAGCCCTGGAGGAATAGGACAGACCTGAGTTCCGTGTAGCCAGAGGACAGTGGAAAGGTACTAAGGACCTGGGAAGGAGGGCATTGAAGAATGGAGCGGGCCAAGCAGAAAGCAGTTGAGAAAAACACCAAAGAAAATATGACCCACTACAAAAAGGTTGTCTAGGCCCTAGGTCATGAATAGATACAGTCTATTTGAAGAGCTCAGACTTAATGCTGAATTCCACAGACAAATAAATATCTCTGGAAAAATAGCCCAGAATGTATCAACCTATAATACCTGTGGTGAGGGGGTAATGTGCACATCTAAAATAACTGAAAAAACACTCTAACTCTCAAACACTTAAAAATCAAGTCCTATCTATATTAAATGTTTCCAACTTTAAAATATTATGTAAATTACACTAATTCCAGTGTTGAGGGCATCCTTCAGTATATTTTTGGAACTCATCTTTTGAAATTGTGTTCAGAACCAATTTGCAAGTACTGGAAAATAACTCTCTTTAGCGCCACATATTTTTCCCCCACTAAAAACTGTTATTTTTCTTCATTCACCAAATTTACATCCAAATGACTTTGGCTAGCTCCAAACAATATATTTTGCCTCTAAATGATGAAGGTTTACTGCCATTGAAGATACATAAATAATTAAAATATAAATATATAGAGGGGTATAAATGCTGAAGAAAGCAGCAAAAAGAAAAGTCTAAAAAACTTTTTCTGCTTCACTGGGATAATGGCATAATCCTCCTCTGTAATTTTTTCTTTTTTTTTTTTTTTTTTTTTTGAGACGGAGTCTCACTCTGTCACCCAGGCTGGAGGGGGCAGCGGCGAAGTCTCAGCTCACTGCAAGTTCCACCTCCCTGGTTCACACCATTCTTCTGCCTCAGCCTCCCGAGTAGCTGGGACTACAGGCACCTGCCACCACGCCCGGCTAATTTTTTTTTTTTTTTTTTTTTTTGTATTTTTAATAGAGACAGGGTTTCACCGCATTAGACAGGATGGTCTCGATCTCCTGACCTCATGATCCGCCCATCTCGGCCTCCCAAAGTGCTGGGATTACAGGCGTGAGCACCGCGCCCGGCCTGTAATTTTTTCATAAAAGAAAGCCGGCCAGGCACGGTGGCTCATGCCTGTAATCCCAGCACTTTGGGAGCTGAACTGGGTGGATCACCTGAGGTCAGGAGTTTGAGACCAGCCTGGCCAACATGGTGAAAACCCATCTCACTAAAAACACAAAGAAATTAACCGAGTGTGATGGCAGTTGCCTGTAATCCGAGCTACTCGGGAGACTGAGGCAGGAGAGTCACTTGAACCGGGAGGTAGAGGTTGCAATGAGCCAAGATCACACCATTGCACTCCAGCCTGGGCAACAAAAGTGAAACTCTGTCTCAAAAAGTAGTAATAATAAATAAAAATAAATAAGAAACCAGTTGGCTATGTAAGTGCTGCTGTATTTGTTAGAAAATTGGTCACTTGCCTTTTCATTAAAAAGTTCTATTATGAGGCCAGACACAGTGGCTCGCACCTGTAATCCCAGCACTTTGGGAGGCCGAGGCAGAAGAGTCGCTTGAGCTCAGGAGTTTGAGACCAGCCTGGGCAACATAGTGAGACCTTGCCTCTATAAAAAGTAAAAATAAAAATTAGCCAGGTGTGGTGGCCCATTCCAGGTGTAGTCCCAGCTACCTGGGAGGCTAAGGCAGGAGGATCACTTGAGCCCAGGAGGTTGAGACTGCAGTGAGTCAAGATCACACTACTGCACTCCAGCCTGGGTGACAGAGCAAGACCCCATCTTAAAAAAAAAAAAAAAATCTATCATTTCATATAGTCTAAAATTATAGTTGCCTGTGTGATGTTGCCTTTTTCCTTATTAGTTGTACTGCTTTAAAGTTACTATTTATTTCCTCTTATGCTAATTGAAGAGTACCTGGCTTTGGTTCCTCTGCAAAAAAAGAAAAAAAAAATTATTTGTTAGATTTATGCTCCCGCGTTTTCCACATAGAGAGTATATGAGTATGAATTGATTCCATTATTTTTCAAAATATTTTCATATACTATACTTGTAGTACCTTCCGGACTATTTCATTTATTGGGTATATATGTTGTAAAACTTTGTAGTAATCAGCCCATAGTATAGTATCTTTTAATTAAGCAGATAGTATATTGGTTGAAAAACCATTAGCTCCAATTCCCATTTTATCTCTATTAGCCCAGAACACTGCTAGGAGCTTTTGCTGGCAATGGTCAAGGTTGGTAAGGTCAACATATCAGATGAAAAGAAAACCACTATGGGCTAGAATTAGGCCATTGTTGGCTCCTAAAGACAACATGTTCAGCTGAGTTTGAGCCATTGTTTCAGCAAACATTTGTTGAATGCTTACAGTGTGCCAGACTCTAAAATAGCACTGGAGACATGGTAAGGTCCTGTCCTCAAGGAGCTCATGCTGTGTGGCAGCATAAAGTAATAAGTGAGGCTGGGCATGGTGGTGGCATGTGCCTGTAGTCCCAGCTACTGGAAGGCTGAGGTGGGAGGACCTGCACTCCTGAGTGCAGGAGTTTGAGGCCAGCCTGTGAGTCTCTAAAAAATAATAATAATACTCATTTTTACGAGATTCCAGGTTCATCTCCTGCATCAGAAAAAAAAAAAAAAAGCAGGGAGTGATTTTTGCTACCTGGGATATCAGGGAAGCCTTCCTAGAAGATGAGAGCCTTGCACTGTGTCTTGAGTAGGCACAGTAATTCATCAGAATAGGGAGATTCATCAGAACAAGCAGGGGAGGAGGGATTCCCAAGAAGACAACAGTGGTTTCATAGCCCAGTGAGTCCAGGCCACTGCAAGTGGATCTATTAGGAGTGGAACATGGAGGTTGAGCCAGTCTTCCTCCACAGTGTTCTCTGATCCTCCCAGGATGGGTTGGCTGTTCTTCCTTTGTTCTCCCAAGGATGCCCGTCTCCATCAATACACACTTATGTTGAACTATAATTAATTCTTGTTCTGTCTTATCATTGGTCTGTAAGCTTCTGGGGAACAATGACTGTGCCTTGTCTTTTAGTACCCCCAGGTCCCATAGAGCCTTCCATGTAGAAAGAACTCAATAAATGTTTACACATTTGTTTAAGTGGCAGGGGTAAGGAGGTAGTAGATTAGACTAGATAAGTAGAAAGGTCCAAGGAGAGCTCTAGATTTCTCCCCAAAGGTTATGGACAGCCATTGGAGAGTCTTCATGTGAGAGAGTAACAAGTCAGATCTGTACTTCGAAATATCTCTTTGGTAGGGTGAAGAATGTGGAAAACTAGACTGGAAGCAGGGAGAAAAGTGAGGAAGACCTCCTAAGACAAGAAAAGGGAAGACATAAAAGCTACCACCTATTTCTTTGCACTGTCTAGACTCAAGATTGTTACTAAGTGCTTGTCATGTGGGCTGACTTCTGATGGGGGAAGAGAAAACAGAAGCAAAGGCCCACTCCGCCCTGTGGTAGAGGACGGCAGTGCTCTGTCTAGAAGGAGCAGTGATAGGGAGCTCTGGGGGCAACAGTTCTAAAGTGGCGCTGCCTCCCACCTGGACTGTGCCCCTTTGGCTCTTCTCTCTTCAGTTACCAGCTCCAATGTTCCATGACTTGCTGTTACCCACCTTAATCTAAGTAATATTGGGCCACTCATTGTCTCCATTTCTAGTCTAATAAGTGGACGTTTGTAGTGCTAACTTAACTAATTATAAAATAATTTTACAAAGCATTTAAACTGAAAAAGTATAGCATATGATTCACCAATGGTTATTGGCACTTGCTGTGCATTGTACACTGTGCTGGGTGCTGTAAACACAATAATGAAGCAAACCCCACCCTGGAGGGGGCTCTGTGCATCTATTGGGGGGAGGGCAGGCATTTAAGCATGTCTTTACAACTAAAATGTGTGTAATTGTGGTATTGTTGGGTACAGTGATAGCTCAGAAGATGGGATGACTAAGTCTGAGCAGGAGAGGCTTCAACAGAGGAGATGACATTTAAACTGAGCCGAGCCTGGCTGGACTCTGCAGATGGCAGAGTGTGGGGAGGCCCACCAGGCAGGAAAGCCGGCAGAGACATGCATGGGACAGATGGGACAGCACCAGGCTAGTGTCAGCACTGCAAGTAATTTGGCTCAGTTAGAGCACAGCACACACAGGGGGAAAAAGTGAGGATGGAAGGGCCAAGTGAGAAAGGGTTTTGTAGCATATGAAGAAATGTTTACCTTATCCTCTAGGTCATAAGGAGGCACAAAAAGATAGTGAGCAGGAAAACGATGGGGACAGAGAACCAAACCACAGGGTAGGCTGAGGGTGAGTAAACATCAGTGACAGGCCCAGCATGTGATGGGGTCCTGGACCAGGGCAGCATTTGAGGTGGGAGAGATCAAGGAATAGATGTGAGAGATGCTTAGGTGACATGTTTGGTAAGATTTGATGAATGACTGATGTTGGGAAGTGAATGAAAGGGAAGGGTGAAGATTCCCTTTTAGGTTTCCACCTGCCTTGCATCACTAACCAAGATAAGAAATGGAGGCGAGAGCAGCTTGTGGAAAAACACAGGGCTTTGGTGTGGGAATTCCTTTAGAGGTGGTTTGTGAATATTGAAATGGGGATGTCTGTTAAGTAAGAAACGGGAACTTAGAAGGTTTATCTGGCCTAGAGATATAGGGGTAAGAATTATGAGGTATGAACAGTACTTAAGTCCACTGAAATGGATGGGATTGCATGGGAACACAT
Source organism: Homo sapiens (assembly GCF_000001405.40). Classification (NCBI taxonomy): domain Eukaryota; kingdom Metazoa; phylum Chordata; class Mammalia; order Primates; family Hominidae; genus Homo; species Homo sapiens. Next base: position 60,671,382 of record NC_000008.11, on the reverse strand, counting down.
GTGACAGGTGAGGAAATCAGGCTGATGACAGGGATCGTTTTTATTTATCTATTACTGTATATAGAACCACTCCAAAATTTAGCGGCTTAAAACAAATTATGATCCATCTGGTGGGTTACCTGGGGGTTGAACTCAATTGAAAAAGCTGGGGTAGTTGAGCCTCTCTCTCTCTCTACCTATCTCTATCTCTGTCTCTCTCCACTTGCTTTTTCATCTTGGTCATCCTGATGACATGGCAGTCTCTCTTCCAATAAGGCAAGCCCCAATACACAAGCACTTACCAGTCCTCTGCCTGCTTCGGGTTTGCTGATGTTCTACTGGCCAAAGCAATCCCATGGTCAAGCCCAGAATCAATGTGGAGTGGAATAGGAAACCCCTAGAGGTGAGATTCACTGGGGAACACTGCTTATTCATGTAAAACATATGCTGAGAGATGGGCAGAAAACCCAGTAAAAGAAGATATTAAAAGATAAGCCAATGAAGAAAAATTAACAGAGATCAGTCTGAAAGGAAAAATGAGACCTCGAGGTAAAAGTGTTTCTAGAAGGGAAGGAGCAATTGTGTCAAAGGTCACAGAGAGATCAAGTAGGAAACGAATGAAAAGCCTCCATTGGATTTGGTTATTGTTAACCTTTTCAGTTTCAAGTGTTGAGAGTAGAAGGTAGATTGCAAAGGGGTGAGAAGTTAGTGGGAGTTGAGGACATATAGACAGCTCTTTTATTAGAAGCTTGGTTATAAAATGAAGAGACCTGGGGTAGTATCTAGAAAGAACTTACATTAAAGAGAGGCTAGTAGTTTTTTGTTTTTGTTTTGTTGCTGTTTTAATATCAAAGTGATAGACATTCTTCTAGACTAAAATACAGGAGCCAGGGGTAGGAAGGAAACAACTACATAGGAGAGTAAGGTTTTGGGGGCAGGGAGAGGAGATCAAGTTCAGGGTTGATGGGAGCAGTTATACCTGTTTTTCTGAAATCAAAGAAAGATTGGTTAAAATGGCAGTAAGTTTGTAGGTTGGAGTGCAGAGAGGTGGAAGAATGCTTAGCAAATTCATTTATAATATCTTCTATTTTTCTTACCAATTCAGTGGTTAATCACCTGCTGAGATTGTCATGTTCACAGGTGGTCAAGAGACCCTAGGAGAGTGTTCAAGTCTTGCAGTAGCCACTACAGGGAAGAAAGAAGCTATAGGAAGAAAGTAAAAAGACTCTTCTTGAGTCCTGAGCTGAGACTGTAATGGCAACAAGTTGTTATGCAACTTTCTTAGGTGTGGTTCACCCCTTGGGGGGAGGAGTATACACAGTGAATTACCAGATTCACCCAGGGAGTCATTCCCTTCTTCAGAGAGAGACCCAGAGGGATGGTTGGCCACATAGCCAATGCCAGGGTAGAGTCTCCAGGGACCAGGCAAGATCAGCTTGAATTGTTACTTGGAGCTATGAAGCTGCCATTATCATGGTCCTTTGTTAAAATATAGAACATGAGTTGTATATGAATATACATAAGATAGGTAGGGATTCCTGGTCATCTCAAATCCTTTTTTTGGAAATAAATGTGTTAGCAACAACAAATAACTAAGCATGTCTCCTCTTTCTTCTATTCCATTAAGTCCCCGGATGGCTGGTGTTAATCAGGCCAACAACTGTTTTTGCTCTGATGATCTCGGTAGTGCCAATATCATATAGTGGGACATTAATATTATCACTGCAAGTTTTTGGATAATTGTAGACCAACCTATGCCAAACTTAAAGTTGTACTTTAATACGTAAAGTGAGAATAGGTCATAATTTAAAGTTGCCTAATATCCTGTCTTGTGTGTCAGACCTCAGAATACTCCTCATTTAACTGGTTAAATATTTTCCAATAACTTTTCCTCACACATGGTACTCCAGTCCTCTTTCTCTTCTTCCCCCTTGGTCAAAATATGCATGGTAGATAGAATATTGAACTTGGTCTTTGCAGATCATGTACATACAACTGTCATTTTACAGGAGAGGAATGTGAGGCTCAGAGAGGTTGCCCAAGGTCACCCTGCTGTGAAAGACAAGGATGGGATCCAAACCCAGATCTTCTAACCCCCTGATCAATGCTTTTCCCCAAATGGAAATCTAATAACTGCCAGAAGATGGCTTGCCTTTCTGGTGATCCACTTTGAGCTGAGCTCCTTTACTTCCAATTGTTTATACTTTCCTCTGTTGTGAAAGGGGAAAAGTCACATGTGATGGGCAAGTCTGCACTGTGATTCCCACAAGATGTTACCATACACTGCAACTCTAGATAAGACTGACTTGAGAATTATGCATCCAACTGTGATTAATTCCTTCTCTTGGGTAGAAACACTGACTTTTCTCTGGCTAACTGCTCCACACTGAAATACAGCAGTCATGGGTACCCACATGCTCAACACATTTCTCAGATTTGTAAGAAGTTAGTTCAGCCAACACCTAGCACAGAGTCTGACACACAGGTGACACTGCACAAATACCAGTAAATGTGGCATGAAGGCCTTGGGATGACTGGATACAGAAAGGCAAACATCATTTTAAAAAATATTCTGTGTACTTGACTCTGAAAGCAGAAACATTCTTAATTTTATCTTAATTTGTATTTTAACATAGTTAACTTCCTCCAGAGTAATTACTTTTTAACATGTTTATAATGTGTTTACATGATTGAGCTGCTATACTGAGGCTTTTCATCTAGAAACCTAGCAAGAATTCTTACTAGGCCATTTTCTAAGCTCCCCTCTGGAGACTCTCCAGGTATGCCATGCATGCTGCTGCCCTCAGTTCATATGCTAGAGCCCCATGAGGTCAAAAAGACAGAAGCTGACCTGGCTGCAGAACTGCAAACCCTCCACCCTTTTTAGCCCGTTCCTTTTCCCACAGCTGCTGTTGTGGGGCCCTCAAAAGCCATTGCCCTTGGGCCACTTATAAGTCACCTGGGCCTAAAGTCGATTAAGTACTGCTTCACATGTTTCCCTGACAGCCTATTCGTTTATTACCTCTCTCAGGAAAAGAAAATGTAATATTGTGAGGCCCTACTCACAGAGGGTAAAACAGTGGATTCAGAGATGGCAAAAATCAAGGCAGTAGAATAAAAATGACTGAATTTTGATAAATAATACCATATTCTAATTGTATGTTTCCTCCCTCATGCCTTTTTTTTGTGGTAAAATATACATAACATAAAGTATATTACGTTTCAACCATTTTTAAGTGTGCACATCAGTGGCGTTAAGTACATTCATATCATTGTGCTACCATCGTTACCGCCCATCTCCAGAACCTTTTCATCTTCCCCAACAGACACTGTGTACCCATGAAAAATAACTCAATTTCCCCACTTCCCAGCCATTGGCAGCCACCATTCTACTTCTTGTCTCTATGAATTTGCCTGCTTTAGGTACCTCATATCAATGGAATCACACAGTATGTGACCTTTTGTCCTTAGCTTATTCACTTATCATAATGTTTTGAATGTTCATCCATGTTGTGGCATGTGTCAGAATGTCCTTGCTTATTAAGGATGAGTAATAGTCTGTTGGGTATATATGGTACATTTTGTTTATCCATTCATATGTCCGCAGACACTGGCCTGCCTCCACCTTTTAGCTATTGTGAGGAATGCTGCTATGAACACAGGTGTAGCCTCGTGCCTTTTTAAGACTGGGACCTGTCCAAGTGAGATCCTACTACTTTGGGTTTTTGTTTGTTTGTTTGTTTGTTTGTTTGAGACAGAGTTTCATTCTTGTCGCCCAGGATGGAGTGCAATGGCACCATCTCCAGCTCACCACAACCTCCGCCTCCCAGGTTCAAGCAATTCTCCTGCCTCAGCCTCCCAAGTAGCTGGGATTACAGGCGTGTGCCACCACACCCAGCTAATTTTGTATTTTTAGTAGAGATGGGGTTTCTCCACGTCAGGTCTCAAACTCCCAGACTCAGGTGATCTGCCCACCTTGGCCTCCCAAAGTGCTGGGATTACAGGCGTAAGCCACCATGCCCGGCCAAGATCCTGCTATTTTGTAACTCCTCCTTTCCCCAGACCAGTTCATGCCAGATCCCCTCATCTCTTTGCCCACTCCCTGGTGAAGGTCTTTCCTCTTGGGAGGGGAACTGAGGCTGGCTTTCTAGTAAGCTACTGTGCTATGTCCTTGGAGTGGCCCTCTTGGACCTGCAGATTCCCTGCTCTTGTCTTTGGGCATGGGATCTAAGGCTGGAGCCACTGCAGTGGCGTCAGATCCCCTCAGCCTAGCCCTTGCTCTTCATGAGCTGAGGTGCTGAAACTTAGTATACCTCAGGGTCAAGCCTTTCCAAACAGTGCTGTAGATAATAACAAAGGCCCATAGAAAATATCAATGAAGGACACATGTGGTGATTGAATAATGCTATAAGACTTTCTCAAGTTATTTATTTTTTTGAGACAGAGTCCTGCTCTATCTCCCAGGCTAGAGTACAGTGGCACAGTCTTGGCCCACTGCAGCCTTTTCCTCCCAGGCTCAAGCATTCCTCCCACCTCAGCCTCCTGAGTAGCTGGAACTACAGGTGCATGCCACCATGTACAGCTAATTTTTAAAATTTTTTGTAGAAATGGAGTCTCACTATGTTGCCCAGGCTGGTCTCAACTTCTGGGCTCCAGCAATCCTCCACCCTTGGCCTTCCAAAATGCTGGGATTACAGGCGTGAGCCACTGCACCCAGCCTCTCAAGTTATTTCTAAATATTATTATAAGTTATAATGACTTGTTACTTGACTATTCACTAATGAAAATTGACAAGTATTTATTTATTGAGTTTTTCCTATGTGGAAGGTACTGTACTGGATTCATGGACGAATACACGAAACATACACATATTTTCTCCACTGCCCTCAGAAAAAGTACACTGAATCAGAGATACAAACCATGATGACATACCTAATCAAATAAACTATGGTTTATCTTTATGATAGGAACTATGCAGGCATTAGAAAGGATGAGGTAGATATTTATGTGCCGATGTGCTGTAATCTTCAAGCTATGCTATTGCACAAAAAACGACAAAAATTCTAGGCTCAGAAGAGTGTATATGGTTTGATCATAACCATGGGGAAAAAAGAAAGGATTTACAAATGTACATACATATACACATATATTTGTACATATGTACATATATGTGTATTTGTGTGTATATGTTTGCAAATGCATAGGCTGTATCTAAAATTATACACAGAGAACTAGCAATAGTGGTTGCCTCTAGGGTGAAGAATTGTGGATGCAAAAAGACTTTTTTCCTGGGCTCCTCTTTTGTATAGTTTAAATTTTCTGTGTGCACATATTACTTTCAAATTTAAACAAAGTTTATAAAACTAACGATAAAAGACTGTGTGGTAAGTGGCAAATGAATAGCATAAGACAACATGAGAGGCTCTCAGAGGAAGGAAGGCTTGCTATTGGCTAGGGCAGGCAGGCAGTTCATGGAGGAGGAGGGGGTCTTCAAATGAGCTCTACAGGATGGCTAGAATTTAGGGACAGGGAAGAGTTGTAGGAGAGCAGGGTGAGACACCAGTCCAATTAGAAGACACAAAATATGCAAACTTAGTCTTAGGTGAAAAATTGACCTTTGCCTGAGGCAAAGGAAAGTGGTGGTATTTTATTCATTTAATGTATACACCAGCTCATTCCCAAATACATATTAAGAAGCTTATAAAGTGGCTGGCGAGGTGGCTCATGCCTGTAATCCAACATCTTTGGGAGACAGATGCGGGAGGATCATTTGAGGCCAGGAATTTGAGACTAGCTTGCTAACATAGTGAGACCTTATCTCTACAAAAAGAATCTTAAAACATTAGCTGTGTGTGGTGGTGGGTGCTGTAGTCATAGCTACTTGGGAGGCTGAGGCAGGAGTATCACCTGAGCTCAGGAGTTCAAGACTACAGTAAGCCATCATCACACCACTGCACTCCAACCTGGGCAAGAGTGAGACCCTAAAAACAGGAAAAAAAAAAAGCTTATAAGATAACTTTTACTATGGACAGAAAGATGGTGTACCAGCTCTTTCAATACTAGTTCTTTCTGTCACCAAATTTTATAAATGTCTCATGGAAATTCACATACGGGACAGTACGTTGTGGCACTAGGCGGGATCAATGTGATCCAGGAGAATGCTCAGGAGTGTCTTGGCTGAAGGCCTTTCGGGATGCAGGTGTCCACTGGTCTACTTTAACAGAGTTCTTGGAAGAGTAGCTGAGAATTCTTTGTGTTGTTGCGTGTTTGTGTGTTGGGTTTGTAATGAGAGACAGACAGCAGGTGATACGAGGGCAGAGCCTAGGTGGCTGGCATTCTGCATTGCGGGTCCACGGCAAGTCCCATGTTTTAAGAATCAAACAAACAGGTAGAAGTGTACACATCTTATTATGAAAGAATAATAAGAAAAGAAAGCAGCAACCAGCGTTTTGCCAGGGTGACAGACAACTTTCCCTTCCCCTGGTGTCTCCCAAGACACATCCAGCATTATCCTCAGAGAGCTTTGTCTTATTCCAGCACTTGTGTCACTGTTGAGTCTCCAGTATTCAACGCTAAGAGAGAATGTCAGATATGACATTGACCTAAGCATGTTCAAGTCTGCCGATTTCCGCGGCTGTGGAATAAGTATCTAATGTTAAGCAATATGAATTGTGTGGTAGGCTGGAAATGTAGATTAGGACTAGGCTATGTTGAACTACTCTCAGTAGTTTACACTTTATTTAACGGGTAATGGGTCACTATTGAAGGTTTGTGAATAAGGAAGCACAGAAAAAGATGCCGCTGATGCGATGGGTGATTTGTCAAGTGGCAGTATATGGGATGGAACTGAGGAAAAAGAGACCAGTGGGAGGTAAATGTAATACTTTTTAATTTAATTTAATTTTGTAGAGACAGGGTCTTGCTTTGTTGCCCACGCTGGTCTTGAACTCCTGAGCTCAAGTGATTCTTCCACCTCAGCCTCCCAAAGTGCTGAGATTGCAGGCATAAGCCACAGCCAGTTGTAATACATTTAGAGCCTGTATTAGGGTAGTGGGTGGTAGAATCAAAGGGAGAGGGTTTGAATACTCTAGAAGGAGAACTGGCAGGTCTTTATGACTGAATGTGGGAGCTGAGGAAAAGGGCAAGATGACTGAGATCTGGACCGCAAGTGATTTAAAAGAACAATAGAAATGATAGCAGAAACAGAGAAGGTGTCAGGAGGGAAAGCTTGTATGGAGGGAAGATAAATTTGCTTTTACACATGTTAATTTTGAGAGATGGCAGAATATCCAAGTGAAATGATGTAGCAGTTAGCTGAAGGTAAAAGGATCAACCTGAATACCAACTAAGCAAATGTGATTTCTTATTTTTTTGTATAAATTTATGGGGTACAAGTGCAATTTTGTAACATGCATAGATTCCCTAGTGGTGAAATCAGGGTGTATCCATCACCTGAATAGCATACATTGTACCTATTAAGTGATTTCTCATCATCCACCCACCTCTCCCTTCCGAGTCTCCAGTGTCTATACCGAGTCTCCAGTGTCTATACTTCCACACTCTATGCCCATATGTACACATTATTTAGCTCCCACTTATGAGTGAGAACATGCAATATTTATCTTTCTGTGTCTGACTTGGTAAATGGGATTTTTTTTTCTAGACAGAGTCTTGTTCTGTCACCCAGGCTGGAGTGCAATGGCATGATCTCGGCTCACTGCAACCTCTGCCTCCCAAGTTCAAGTGATTCTCCTGCCTCAGCCTCCCAAGTAGCTGGGATTACAGGCAAGCGCCACCATGCCCAGCTAATTTTTGTATTTTTGTAGAGATGGGGTTTCACTATGTTGGCCAGGCTGGTCTCAAACTACTGACTTCAGGTGATCCGCCCACCTCTGCCTCCCAAAGTGCTGGGATTACAGACATGAGCCACCACGCCTGGCCAATTTTTGTATTTTTAATAGACGCGGTTTCACCTTGTTGGCCAGGCTAGTTTTGAACTCCAGACCTCAGGTGATTTACCTGTCTCGGCCTCCCAAAGTGCTGGGATTACAGGCATGAGCCACTGCTCCTGGCTGGTAAACAGGATTTCTAATGGCAGTACCTAGTATAACCCATGAAATCTTGCCAAAAAATGAACTTGAATCAGATCAAGCCTCTAAATCTGATTACCAATTCACTGGAAATTTGGGTGAGACAAACGTGTTAACAAAATGGGGATTCAATCAACAAAACCCAGAATGTGGGATATTACACAGGACTACTGAACCAACGTTTTCAACAAATAAATCTCAAGAAAAAAGTAAAAAAGAGGGAAGGAGAATCTAAAGATTAAAAGGCACTTAAAGAGCCACATCGACCAAGTGTGACTTATTGGCCTTATTTGAGTCCTGATCTAATAAAACAGCTCTTAGAAAAAAAAAAAGTACTACACAATTGAGGAAATTTGATGTCACTGAATATTCACTGACATTAAGAAATTCTTTTTAATTTTTAGATATATTTTTGTTATTGTGGTTGGGGTTTTTTAATGAGTCCTTATATGTGTGAGATATACACTGAAATCTTTACAGATGAACTGATATGATTTCTGGCATTTGCCTTAAATAATCCAGTGGGATAGGCCAGGCGCGTTTGCTCATGCCTGTAATCCCAGCACTTTAGGAGGCCAAGGCAGGTGGATCCCTTGAGCCCAGCAGTTTGAGACCGGTCTGGGCAACATGGCAAAACCCTGTCTCTACGAAAAATACAAAAATTAATCAGGTGTGGTGGCATGCAACTGTAGTCCCAGCTACTTGGGAGCCTGAGGTAGGAGAATGACTTGAGCCCCTCAACCTCCAGGTCAGGGCTGCGGTAAGCTGTGATCGCACCACTGCACTCTAGCCTGTGAAACAGAGCAAGACCCTGTCTCAAAAGTAAATAAATAAAAAACCCAATGAGGGTGGGAAATGGGGACAGTTGGGTACAGAGGAAACAAGAGTGGCCAGAAATTGATGATTGTTGGACTTGGGTGATAGTACCTGGGGAGGGGGTTGTGGTTATACAGTTCTTCCTATTTTTGTGTATGTTTAAATTTTTTCCATAGTGACAGGTTTTTAAAGTAAGTAAAGGAGAGAGTTCACCCCACGAAAGTCAACACTTCCCTGTGAAAGTGAATGTCTATAGACAGGTGAGCAGGTATCCCAAACTGAGTCCTGGGAAAGTTTCATATTGAAAGTGTAATTAGGAAAAGAGGAACTACAGATTTCCAGAATAGTAACAATGCACTCTGCTGGCAAAAAATCAGTGCTTTGGAATTCAGTAAGCCTGGGTTTGATTCCACCTCTCACTCTTACTAGATCTGTCATCTTACGCACATCACTTAACTTCTGTAAGCCACCAAGTCTCAGTTTTCTTATCTGTAAAAGTAGGGATAATAATTTCCTCTACCTCATAGAGTTATTTTGAAGGTTAAATGAAACATGTGTATACAGCACCTTATAGTCTGCCTGTCACAAAATAAGTGCTCATTAAATGTTTGCTATATTATTATTTTATTACTGAATACAATATCATAAAAGGTAAGGAAACACCATAATATGTAGTTTGACAGAAAGCAAAATTTAAAAAAATGTTTTGAGACAGGGTCATGCTCTGTCACCCAGGCTGGAGTGCAGTGGTGCAATGATGGCTCACTGCAGCCTCAACCTCCTGGGTTCAAGCAATCCTCCCACCTCAGTCTCATGAGTAACTGGGACTACAGGCGTGCGCCACCACACCTGGCTAATTTTTGTATTTTTGTAGTGATAGGGTCTCCCCATGTTGCCCAGGCTGGTCTCGAACTCCTGGGCTCAAGTGATCTGCCTGCCTCAGCCTCCCAAAGTGCTGGGATTACAGGCGTGAGCCAGTGGGACAGCCACAAGATAAAATTTTGATGAATGGGCAATGGCAATGGTGCCATGTTACAATCAAGGAGTCTGATGCCTTTACCAGATTAGGTAAAATAGAGAATTAGATAATTCAAAGTTCACTGATGATATCATGGTGTTCATTTCATAGAGATGTGTCGAGTACAACTAGATGACAAAAAATTAAGCTAGGAGTGGTGGGAAGCCATGGGAGCAGAGGGTACTATGAATTTCCTTATTTGGTGATGAAAGCAGAGAAAGGAACAGAGCATCAAAGACTCCTTTCAAAGTAGGGGAGCTCTTGCAAGTCTGCAGGAAGAAAGAAAGCAACTTACAGAGCCCAAGGAGATGCTGAGGCAGGAGCGGTGCACCCTCAGCCAAGGAAGAGGGAAGGAGGGCTGGTCCTGTGGTGAGGTTGGAGATTCAGAGAAGTCGGTTTACAACGGAATAGGTTTGGCGAATAAAAACAGCACAAAGCCAAGAGAGGAATCAGCATTTCCAAAGACACCGTGGAAGGAACTGCGAAGAAAGAAAAATAATGGAAACAGAAATGATCGGATGGGGAAGGGAGAAGCGCAGAGATGTTTGGGAATGGGCGAGAAGAGCGTTGAGATTTGGGCTAGCGGCTGAAGGTGGCAAGGGTGGAAGGGCTGGCTCTAAACCAGAGCTGACTCTATGGGGTGCAGGCCTGGCTCCCAAGCAGCGGCAGCCAGCACTCTGTCCTGCCGTGGAGATTGTTTGTGGCCTTTGAAGCCATCTTCTCTTGGGCGATTGGAGAAGGGCGTCAACTGACACCGGGTAATAAATGTGCGTTCACAGTGGCCCGTGGTGGAACAGAGCCCTCCAGCTGCCCGGGGTGGAACTGCAGGTGCCTGGTAGAGAGCAGAGCACCCTCCCCAGAAAGTCCAGGGAAAAACACAGTAGAAAGCAAATCCAGCCAGTGAGGCTCAGGGGTCATGATCAAAAGTGTCAACATGTAAAATCCTTTATTTGTATATAATTACTGAGCCTTTCACTCTACTTATACCTTTATCTCCACTCCCTTTCAGCTTACATCTATGCCTCATCCCAAGAAGGTCACAGCGCTGGATTCTTGTACTACCTAATAAGAGAAAAACCCCTGGAAATGTAGTGACTTGCTTGGAGTAAGAACTACTGAGTCTAAATGTCAGACTTTCCAACAAAGGAGATTAAGATTGGGTAGGAATACCTTTGAAATCTAGATTCATCTGGATTATGATGTCATATTTAGGTATCTTTTTAAATGTAGATACATATGGCCTAACCCTCTTCTTGTCCTCCAATATTCACTGCTCCTCTTCTCTCACACTAATAGAATTTTTAGCTGGAAACACAGTTTCCCAAAAGAAAGACTGTGTATCTCAGCTTCCCTTAAGAAAGACTGTGTATCTCAGCTTCCCTTGCAGCTAGGTGTGATGAAGTTGACCTGACAGGATATAAACAAAATATTGGTAGTAAGCTCCTGGGGAGCTTCCTAGAAAGACAGTCAGTGTGAGCCTTCTACCCTTTTTTTATTCCTTCCTCTACCCTGCTGCCTGGAATTTGAGTCTAGTCCCCATCTTGGACCACAAAGACAGTGGCACAGCCTCAGGATGAGGAAGCAAAGCTGAAAGAGAATTGATCCTTAAGACTTGCAGTAAACACATATCAGACCTTCACTGTCTGCCCTTGAAGTTGTACAGGATTAGGATAAAACTTCCATTTTTTTTTTCTTTTTTTATAGAGACAGGGTCTCACTCTGTTGTCAGGCTGGAGTTCAGTGGTATGATGATAGCTCACTGCAGCCTCAAACTCCTGGGCTCAAGCAATCCTCCTGCTTCAGCCTCCTGATTATCTAGGATTACAGATGCACACCACCACTCCTGCTCATTTTTAAATGTTTATGTAGAGGTGGGGTTTCACTATGTTACCCAAGCTGGTCTGAAACTCCTGCCTCAAGTTATCCTCCCACCTCAGTCTCCCAGAGTACTGGGATTACAGGCATGAGCCACCGCACCCAACCTAAAATTTCTATTTTGTTTATGCTAATGTTATTTGGCAATTTTCTGTACTTTCAAACCTAATTCTAATTGACATACTAAGTATTAAAATAAACTAGTCAATGGGAAGAAAAAGATAATGCAAAAGGTAATGACTTGATATTTAAGAATCTCAATAATTAAGAGAAGCAGTATTCTAGGCAGTGGGATCTGTTGGAGCAGACACTTGGGACAGAGGGAGCATAGCACTTTTGTTCATGCAGAACAAAGCATGACAAAACAGTGCTCTCCTACACAGCATTAGTAGCCAATTAAAGTGTTGTGGAATGAAGCTTAGAGAGTGAAGTTTTAAAGGTTAGAAGAAGTCACCAATGGACTTGTAGAAAAGGACTGCTAAACCTCACTTTGGGTTGCAGACAATAAAGCAATAGGCAGGGGTCCCAGTACACACAACTGGGTAACCCCCCAGCAGCATTCAGGAGCTCATGCAGAAGACAGGATAGATGAAGAGGGGAGGAGTACACAGTGAGGCATCAGGATGGGGCAGGTACTTGGGGAGAAGCTGAAAGAATGGGGGCCTCCATGAGGTTCAAGCAGGTGAAATAAAATCAGTCAGGCAGGAAGGATGGGAAGCTATGGTTATAGGCAGCACATGGATGTACTTCAGAAATGGAGCAGTTCCAGGTGATGTCCTCAATGAACATGGGAGACTGAGATTTGGGGATGGGATGGCAGCTTGAGGGTGGTGGGAGGAAGCCATAGCAGAGTTTTGCTAGGTGAGAGCTAGGGGACTATGGATACTAGGCCAGGTCCAGGAGTGTGTATTTGAGGGAGAATGGGGAGCATTGCCTGGAGAGGAGTCCTCCACTTGCCTGGAGAAGAGTACAGAGGGGGTCCTGTCTTTCAGGGAGAGACTGAGGCTGGGTCACAACTCAAACAGCTACACAGAAAAGTCAGGTGCAAAGCATTAGGCAAATCACTCAAAATATGTCTTCAGCCAGGGTTCCCACCATGGGCTTCCAGGTTTGTTTGGTTTAATATATCTTTTTACTGTGGTAAAATATACATAACATTTATCCTTTTAAATTGTATAGTTCAGTGGCATTAATTATATTCCCACTGTTGTGCAACTATCACCACTATCCTTTTCCAGAACTTATCCATCATTCCAAACTGAAACTTTGTACCCATTACACACTAACTCCCCACTCTCGCCTCTCCCCCACCCCCGGTAACCTTTTATTTATTTATTTATTTATTTATTTATTTATTTATTTATTTATTTATTTTGAGATGGAGTCTCGCTCTGTCGCCCAGGCTGCAGTGCAGTGGCACAATCTAGGCTCACTGCAAGCTCCGCCTCCCGGGTTCACGCCATTCTCCTACCTCAGCCTCCCAAGTAGCTGGGACTATAGGTACCCGCCATCACGCCCGGCTATTTTTTTTTTTTTGTCTCTATTTTTAGTAGAGACAGAGTTTCACCGCGTTAGCCAGGATGGTCTTGATCTCCTGACCTTGTGATCCGCCCGCCTCGGCCTCCCAAAGTGCTGGGATTACAGGCGTGAGCCACCGCGCCTGGCACCCCTGGTAACCTTTATTCTACTTTCTGTTTCTATGAATTTTGCCTATTCTGAGTACCTCATATGAGTGAAGTCATAAAATATTTGTATGACTTTTGCATCTGGCTTATTTCACTTAGCATAATATCCTCAAAGTTCATCTATCGTGTAGCATGTGTCAGAATTTCCTTCCTTTTAAGGCTGAATAATATTTTACTGTATGTCTATACCACATTTTGTTTATTCATTCATCCATCAATGGACGTTCAGGTTGTTTCCACATTTTGGGGGCAGCTAGGATTTATTTATTTATTTATTTATTTATTTTTGAGTCTCGCTATGTCGCCCAGGCTGGAGTGCAGTGGCAGTGGTGCGATCTCTGATCACTGCAAGCTCCGCCTCCCGGGTTCATGCCATTCTGCCTCAGCCTCCCGAGTAGTTGGGCCTACAAGTGCCCGCCACCACACCCGGCTAATTTTTTGTATTTTTAGTAGAGACGGGGTTTCACCGTGTTAGCCAGGATGGTCTTGATCTCCTGACCTCGTGATCTGCCCGCCTCGGCCTCCCAAAGTGCTGGGATTACAAGCGTGAGTCACCGCGCCTGGCCTGGGGGCAGCTAGGATTTTGACCACCTGTGGTACAGGCTTAATTGCAGTGAAAGGACTGAGGGGAAAAGGAAATTTCACAGAGAAAGGGAGAAATCCAGAGCAAAAGAGGGAAGTCATCCACCGTCTCTTTGTACAAATGTGGAAATGGAAGTTGGTAAAAGCCTGAATGACTCAAAGTCACAGAGAACTCGTCTTCCAACCTTAGGACTGCTTTTCCTTCTAGTTTACCATCAAACTGGTTGGAACTCAGCGGAACTCCATGACAGGCAAGGATTATGGGTAGAGCCAGAGAAGCAGACCCCAGAACCCTAAGAGCAGAGGCTGGAACCCCAGGTCATGATGCCAGAGCAGCTCAGAAACAGAGCTAGAGAGACATTATTCCAAGGCAAAGCCATCAAAGCTTCTTTGAGCTCGCTTCACGTGGTCATTGATCCTTTCTGCATCTCTGCCTTTGCCGCTTACTTTCCCTTTTCTGACATTTCCATCTTGTTCCTTTTCTTGCTCTCTGCAGGATAAGAACAATCTCTGCTGAGCAGGTAAAAGATTATCTAGGTATCAAAGTACCATCTATACCCCTCCTAGAGAGATTCATATTTTAAGGGGAAACTTTAGAAAATCAAAAACTTCAGGATCCAAAAGAATCAGCCTATAATGGTACAATGGAGGAGCATGAGGGTGATGGATTCAGGCCTGAGTCCTCCTCCACTGCTTGTTGGAAGAGCATGTTAGAAGGGTGCAAAGATGAAACTACCCACCCAGCTCTCCTTCCCTTGCAAAGAATGGAGGCTCACTCAAAAATGGGCTAGGGCTTGGTTTTGTTTGACTTTTCAGAAGCCAATTTTAGCCCCCTTGAGGAAAAAAATGCATCTTATATTTATTTTACCATTCATGCAGTGTGCACTAAAGCACTCTGCACATTGTAAGTTATCAGTCAAACCTATTAGGATGACTAACTGCTGGCCAAATATATCAAACTTGGATGAAGATGTCAGGATAATATAGAAGAATTGCTTTCATTGCTATTTGATTCCTCAGATTTATCATGGGTCAATAATAACACATAAATATCACCAATGAAGACTATTTTTCTTCTTTCTCAATCTTTGACAGTATTGAACATGATATCCTTCATTAAATACTTGCCCTATTTTTATCTATTTTTTTAGTTTCTTCCTTATATACAAATGTTACCTCGCTTTTATAATACTTAAAGCATAACAAAATCTAGACTGTACCAGATTCCTCTGCAAACTTATTACAATTATTTTTTGTCTCTAATAATCAGCTCTGTTTTGTCTCTAGTAATCATCTATTACCCATGAGCAAATGCAAGTACATATGAATCCCCCTTAGAGAATCAGAGTTGTGAAAAGGTAATTTATTTCCTTTTTAGATTTCTTTATACTTCTTGTATTATATATGAGAGATATATATGGTTATTATGGTGATTTCCATGAAAACCAAATGTCTCCAAGTCCACAGTAGAATGTGTACAACAGTATCCGTAACTACTATTTGACCAGTGTCTTAAGGTTTACGGCACACATTATTCTCATTTGATACTTGTATCAGTACTGCGAGGTGGTCAAGATGGCAAATAGTTGCCCAATTTGTAAATGTAGAAACTAAGTCTCAGACATAACTCGAAGAAGGTATAAAGCTCGCTGACTTAGTCCTCAGTCTTTTAGTCCCACATCTCACCCTCTTTCCACTCTCCCTTTCTCTAGTCATCATATCTGCTTATCTCTACTAGGCTGGCAGTGTCTTTTCAATGCCCAATTAACTGGAAATTTCTGCTAAACCAACAAATGCAGCAAACAGCACTCTTAGATCTCATTTTAAATATGTTTATTTCAAGTAGTCACCTAATCAGGTTTGGCATGCTTATAAATAAGCCTGAAATGTACTGTATTTCCATTATAGATATACTCTTAAAACTAGCTATTAAAAATGTTTCATTATAAACACTTTAAAAAAATCCTTTACCATTCCATCAAGTTTGGAAATAAGATTTTTCAACAGGTTTAAAAAGTGAAAAATGCAGTTAGCTAGAATGTAAGTGAAGTGTAATTTTAGGACTTTTACCAAATTAGAGTGTCTAAAATGTTTTCTAAACTCAAAATTATTCAAGCCTACCTCCAAAAGAAAAGCCATTTCTCCAGCATTTATTATTCTCTTATCATTTGTTTATAATAGCTATTTGACAGGTCCTATAAACAGATAAGATTCATGTTTGAATAATATTTTTCTGTAGAAACAGTAAATAACTATAATGCCTATTTCTTCTGCTTGAAATATTGTTTTCATTAGATAAATTGAGCGGCATAAGAGCTTATGTTAATTATAGCACAGAGCATAGAAACAAATTTTTCTAACTAAAAGTGCATTATTACTTTACTTCTATATTTCATTTATTTTTTGCTTATTTTATTAAACTCTCCCCACTTATTTTTTATTTTTTATTATTTACTAAGTTCTGCTCCCTTCCACAAAAGTGTAACAAAGTAAACAGCCTAGTAGTACAGTAATGAAAAAACCAACAAGGATCTCCTTCAGAGTTAGGCTGAAGGGAAACAATTCGCAGTAGTTAAGATTTATTCCCCTATCCTCCCCTCTAAATATTACATAGCTCAACAAAGAATTCTTGTTTAACTTTATTGGAAAGTGTGTAGCAGAACCATGTTTAGAAATACTACAGATCCAAAGGCACATATGTTATCATTGCTAGCTAGGAGGGAGCACTGGGAAAATGAGAATTCCAATTTGTTACACTGACGTCTCATATAAACAATAGAAATATTAACAGTACCAGGATTTTTTTAAAAAAGCCAGTAACAAAGCAATTTCTTAACCTATCGATAATTACTAGCCTACAAATTAATAATAAGCCCAGCTTACTGCTCTTTTCTTCTGGTCCTTCCTTTAATGATTATTGGGGCATGAGTTTCAGCTGTTTTAAAGTTTCAGCATCTGAGTTTAAAGTGAACATTTCTGCCCATGTGCATTGAACATCGAGCCACTGTTCCTGATTTCATTTCACAAACCACACACACTTTCTGCTAAAAGAGATTTGTAATTGTTTGTGGTGTAAAACGTCATTATCAGTTTTAAATTTATATAATTTAAAAAAATGCTATTCTTATAAAGTGGAAAATTTTAAAACTGAAAAATACAGCAATATAAAATGAATCAATCAGCAAAGATCTCAGGCTACTTGTTTGGTTTTCTGCGCCCATCACTGTGTATCCTAAAAGGGTTATTGGGCTCTGCCAGTATTGTCAGGACCGTCCTAGGAAACCGGAACAATGCAGCCCATGCTCCAAAGGGCTGGCGTGGGACGCGCCCCAGGTCGGACCGCAGCCCACGGCAGTGCAAGGCTACCGGTGCGCGGCAAAGGAAGGGGTTCCACGGGCGCCCTTAACGCTCACGCTGGGGAAGGAGGTGCAGGAAACGAAAGAAGCAGGGAGGAGACGGAGAAGTGCTGCAGCAGCTTGAGTCGGCAAGTTGAGAGAAGTGAAAGCAGTCCAGGTTAGGCGGAACGCGAAGAAGGGCTGGAGGAGCGGCCCAAGGTAAAAGATCCAGCCGCAGACGAAAGCGGTAACTGGATTAGGAGGGCCCTATTAAGCGAATTTAAGGAGATAGGACTTTATCCCGAGAGCAACAGAGAGCCCATAAAAGATCGTAAACAGGAGTGACACGAACAGATTTACATTAAAATAAAGCATCTGACTGGCTGTGCTGTCGAGACAGGGGAGGGGCAAGGGCGGAGGCGGAGAGAGCGGTGAGCGGTCGCCGGAGGTCCAGGTGGGAGACGCCGCGCCCCGCACCGAGGTATGAGAGCTGCAGCAGCGACAACCAGGCGGCCTGAAGTGCAGACGCAAAACGGATCCCGGGGCTAGGTGAATTGGGGTAGGGGGATAATGACCAGATTGTAGTGTTGTCTTTGCTGAGACAGGAAACACGCGAGGCTTGTAGGGAAGGTGCCCAGCTCCGCTGAGAACACCTAGATTTTGAGATTTCTGTGGCACCCAAGTTAAATATGCCTGGACTTCAGGACACGGGGGTTCCGAAAGCAGGATGACGCGCCCGGAGGGGACGAGACGGTCCAGAGCACGCCCGGGAGAGAGGGCGGCCCAGACGGCACCGGCCTGCGCTCCAGCCCTCCCTCCCTCACACACGCGGAATCTCAAAACATGCGGTGAGACAGGTGGGGTATTCATTGGTCTAATTCTGCAGGTAGGGAAAATGAGAGCTTGGGGTAGGGGCTTATGCATGACCACCTGGCAGTGAATCTCCCAGCCAATACAAGCCTCACTCTACCCTCCTACAAATTAATTCAATGCATCCGATTGTTGAAACACATTCGTTCTCAAATTTTTAATAGAGTGCATTGCAGAAATGGCTTTTGCTTTATAAATGCCTTTTGTTCCTCTTTCTCCCAACCCTATGATAAAATATCAAGTGACCAACTTTCAATTTTAATAAATATCACCAGGCATCAGAAACATGTAAGCACTTTTCTCTTAAACCGAACGGAGGAAAATCTTAGAACGTGTGTCCACCAGTCAGTGAATAACTTCTCTAAGTTCTCTGTCCTGCATAAATAAACCTTGACAGCTCTGGCAGTACGCTTATTAGCTCAGCACATCCATCCCCGCTTTTCCCATCTCCAGGACATGCCAGCCCCTCCCGCACACCTCGGGCTGCACCACCTGCTCCCGGCGCCTCCCCGCCCCCGGCTCGCCCGCGCCGGTTCTCACGCGCGGCCAGCGCCCTTCCCCGCCGCTCCCGCCCCTTTCACTTCCGCACAGCTTAGGAGTCGGGGCCAGCGCCTCCGCTCCCACCTTCCCAGCCCCTCTGCTCCCACCTTCCCAGCCCCTCTGGCGCGCCCGCTTTTCCACACCCACAGCCAGCCGCCGCTCCCCCCCGACGAAGTTCCCCCTCCAGAGCCGCCCCCTAAGAAGACTTCAGGGGCGGTCCCTGGAGTCTGGCGCTGATTGGCTGATCAGCAGCGCCCCGCCCCCTGGGCACGCGCAGGAGGTGGGGCGGTCCTGAGGCGGGCGCGCGCCGCGCGGCCCCGCAGGCTGAGCGTTCGTGACCCGCGTGCTGGCCCCGGCGTCCCGGCCCCGGAGTCTGCGAGGCGGAGGCGGGTGGCGGCACATGCCGCGGCCGCCGCGGTGCGACCCTGGGCTTGGGGGGATTTTTTTGGCCTGGAGGGCTCCTCTTCTCCGGCGGCGGTGAGCCGGGCATCCCGCGGGGACTGGTAGCTGCCCGAGGGGCCGCCGCCGTCGCCAGTCCGGTAGCCCGGATGTCGCTGCCCCCTGCGGCGGGGCCGCCAACGCGCTGCTTGGCCCCGGGAGGAGGATCATCTTAAAGGGACAGCGCCGCGTTCGGGCGGAGGGGGCGGCGCGTCCTGCCCTCAGTTCGCGACCCTGCCCCCGGGGTACGCCGCGGCGCCTGCTGCCCAGACCCCTTCCCCGGGCCGGGCGCCGTGGGAGCGCCGCGCGCTCTGACTGGATTAGCCGCAGATGGCCGACTAGAGCCAGGTTTTCCTCCGGCCGGAGCAGTGGCCGGTGGCGCCGCACGGGGCCGGGAGGCGCCGGCCTGTGATTGGCCGAGGCCGCGGTGAATGCAGGACATTGTCTGGTCGCGGCCGTCTCCGTCCCTGCCCGACCGCCCTTCCTGGGATCAAAATGGGTGCGGAGCGAGGGTCCTGGACAGCCCCGCCTGGGGGCCTTTCAGTGGTGGGAACACCGTAGGGGAAAATGTAACTGTTTTGAGATTCTGAGACTGGCATAAAGGTGCTGATTTAAAATACAAGCTCAGCTTTAACAAGGAGATAAAATACTTGGATTTGACATAAAGCTTTCCTTTAAGATGAAAAATATTAAGGTAGTTGAAAAGGGTCAAGTGTTATGAAAATGACTTGGCTTTGTCTTCAGGATTCTTTTAATTAGGACCTGTGATAAGTCATCTGAATGTCCTTTGTAAAATGTTAAGGAAAAGTATAATATATATGGTCATAGTTTCCATGTGTGTAAAGACGCGAGACTGCTTAGCTTTCCCAGTTTGCTTCCATTGTTAAAATACTGATTCTGACTAGAGTTGAAATCTTGATGTGTCCTATGGATTGAATCGTATCTCAAGGCCTTGGAGTAGATGAGACCTTTGAAAGAGCCCTTGAGAAGATGATAATTCTCCCAAGATTATCTTTGAAAATACGTGGGTGTTATTTAAGTGAGGTTGTAATCTCGTAGAGTGTAATTGTGGAGTAAATGAAAATTAGGCTGGGCGCAATGCTGTAGTCCCAACTACTTGGGAGGTTCACTTGAGCCCTGGAGTTTGAGTCCAGCCTGGGCAACATAGTTAAACCCCTGTCTCTTTAAAAAAAAAAAAAAAAGAAAAAGAAAATTAAAACAATAGAGGAATATGTGAAGACACCCGTGAAATAAGAGATACACATGATAAATGAAGATTTTGAATAAAATAAACTTGGTATTTGCTTTAAAAAAACTGGGTAGAAAAAATATTGTAAAGTTAAAAGCAGACGTGTAGAGATAGAGATTTTTTTAGCATCAGTTTCATATCTTTTCAAAACTAAAAAACCTGATTTTATTTGAGTAATCAACAACAATTAAGGACTTGGAAATGACAAACAAATGAAGGAAAGACTTCAGAAAGAAGATAAATTTAATGACATGATTCATTGCAAGAGACATGACCTCATTTCTTATTAGAATGATTTCCACTAAACCAGATTTGATGTTAATTAAATTTACAGACTTTCCTCAAATTTATACTAATGCAATATGTCTTTTTTTTTTTTGGTAAGGAAAAGAGAAAAGATATAAGGAAAATTGTAAGACGTTGCCGCTTCCTCATATGACAGTTTTCTAGACGCCTCACCCTCATCCATCATAATACAGGAATAAAAAAAGCAGAAATAACTAGCATGATTTCTGATAGCTGTCCCTAGAAGTGAACCATAAATAGTTGTGTGAGTGAAGCAGATTTAGTTTTATTTAAACTCCTAGCGCTTAAATTCTTAATTTTTATAATTAAACTGGTTTTACTTAAAAGTTATTGAGTGATTAAAATTTAGAGATTAAGCTGAGTGAAATAAAAAGTTGTTTATAATAAACCCAAACATTAGGCAATATGATGTAGGCTATAAGGTATAAAATGCCTCAAAAAATAAGTTTGAGACTTTTCCAGCATGTGTTTTCCTTAGGATTTTTGCTTTGGCATTAAATATGTAACTTTATATAGAGTGATAATATTTATAGAACACTTGGTATATGTCAAACACCATTCTAAGTATTTTATTTAATCTTCACAAAGATTTTAGGAGGCAGGTACAGTTATTATCCCATTTTAAAGATTTGGAAACATGCTCTAGAGGTTAAGTAACTTGCCCAAGGCCTGACGGTCGGTGGGTATAGAACTGGGATTCCAGCCTGATTGCTCAAAGCCCTGTGGCTACGTATTTTCAATCACTCACTAAACAGACTTATAGCTATATATATGAATATTCATTTTTCAACTTAGAGATTATTAATTCATTTTTATCAGACCTCTTGGACAGTTTACTAATTTAGACATTTTTGCATTAGCCTTTTCATTCATTTATATTTCAGGTGGCTATGTGAGTATAAGATGGCCATCTGTTAAGTCAAGCACCCGTATAATTTTTAACGGAATTATCCCTTCAAATTTTCTTCTTCTGTCCTCTTTTATTGATTGATGGATTGAGACAGGGTCTTGCTCTGTCATCCCAGGCTAGAGTGCAGTGTCGTGATCACAGCTCATTGCAGCCTGGACCTCCCAGGCTCAGTTGATCCTCCTGCATCAGCCTCCTGTAGCTGGGACTACAGGCACACACCACTACACCCAGCTAATTTATTTACTTTTTTTTTTTTTTTTGAGAAAGAGTCTCACTCGGTCACCCAGGCTGGAGTGCAGTGGCACGATTTTGGCTCACCACAACCTCTGCCTCCTGGGTTCAGCGATTCTCCTGTCTCAGCCTCCCAAGTGGCTGAGATTACAGGCACACATCACCACGCCTGGCTAATTTTTGTATTTTTAGTAGAAACGGGGTTTCACCATATTGGCCAGGCTGGTCTTCAACTCCTGGCCTTGTGTTCCATGCCCCCCCCCCACCTTGGCCTCCCAAAGTGCTGAGATTACAGGCGTGAGCCACCGCACCCGGCCTAATTTATTTACTTTTTTTAAAGATAGCGCCTTGCCATATTACCCAGGCTAAGTGTGGAACTCCTGGGCTCAAGTGATCCTCCCGCCTTGGCCTCCCAACGTGTTGGGATTACCGGCATGAGCAACCACACCCAGCCTTCTGTGCTCTTTTGAACAGACCCTTGGCATGGATAGTGGGTGCATGGGTAAGTCTTTCCACTTCCTGTCTCTCTGTTACCTTTCCCCCTCTTTTTCTTCCTTCAGACCTATTGCTCCATAGAACTCTATACCTACTGGCTGTGTTTACGGCATCTAATGTGTTAGTCCCCGAAGATGTGTTAGCATACTCAGTCACTCAATTGTTGGCTGAATGCCTACAAATCACCCAAACCTTCAGAAGATGGAGAAGGGAGGAGGAACCAAGAGGGCAAGACAGGAATGTTGGAGGTTCATTAGCGTGGCTGAGATGAAGGACTGTGTTTTTAAAATTTTCTTTTGCCTCTCTTCTTCAGTCTATACCTTTGGCTGAGAGCTGGCACATCGCTAATGGCAATCAAGGCTAACGGGTCACTACCCCTTACAGTTCCTGTGGTCTCTCTCTTTAGGCACTGGTTCTGTAGTTTGTGGCCATTAGAGCGCTCATCTGTAGCTCTGCCGAAGACAGGAGAAAAAAGAGTGTAGTCAGTCTCAGATCAATCCCAGTTGTTGCTTGTTTACAGTGCCTATATAAGGAGGGTTAAGAAGTTAGAAATAAAATTATTCTGAAGGGGATGATTTGTGACTTATTAATCCATGTGATTTTCGATGCTCATTATCACTGAAAATTGAGTTGGCTAAGTCTGTTTAACTTTTGTGATTAAGGATCAGTGTGAGGATTTGATGTTTGGGCTGAGAGGCAGAAAAAGATTGTATGCACACATCCTCCCACTTAGCACTTAGTTCTCTTTATCTTTGGCCAACAACTGGTTCTCTAGCTCCTGTACAGTGAAGTGACATCTAGGGAACAGCATGGAGGAAGGGACAGCAGCTGGCAAGCCCGACCTATCGAGTCACTCTGCCATCGGGGTAACAGGCATGGCTGTGCCCAGTGTCTTAACATCCGAGGTGCCCCAGGGGCAGTGGAGACACCTCTTCAGGCCCTACTAAAGAGAACCACCTGGCCTCTTATTAGCTAATGGATGTGTCTTTTTTTTTTCAGAGTTCCATAATTAAGCGTTTACCATGTGATATTTCTCTAACCCAGATATTAAAACATAGTACAAATATTTAAAAATATTTTAAATCTGATAACAAGCACATAGTTTTCCGGATCTTTTTTCTAGTGTTTCTTAGGGCTCAACAGGTGGCCACTCTTCCTTGCCTCTAGTGCATGGCCCGACTCTGGCTGTGCCATCTTCTCCTCTCAGGCTAGGGGAGGGCCTGGCTTCCCACTGCTGCTGGGCCCTGGGAGCCTCACCGTTGTTGATTCCCTTAACTCTGCCCACACTTCTTAAAAGTCTTTACAAAAACCCCTAAGGAATATGCCTTTGATGACCACCTCAGATGGTGCCTGATTCAGACACCCATCATGATCCAGCCCCTCCTTTACCTACAGTCTACACTGCTGTCTTTGTTTTCTACATCCTTGCTTCTGACGCATCAGACTGCTGCCCTAACCCACCCACCACTCTCAACCTTGCATATGCTGTTCTTTCTGCCAAGAATACGAAGACTTCCTAGAGCCCCTTCCACGTGGGCTGCCTCTATTATTGCAGTTACCACATTGCATTTTTTAATTATTTTTACATGTCTTTAATTTTTATTTTTTAAGAGATGGTGTCTTGCTTTGTCACTGATGCAGGAGTGCAGTGGCACAATCATAGCTCACGGCAACCTCAAACTCTTGGGCTCAAGTGATCCTCTCACTTAAGCCTCCCCAGTAGCTGGGACTGCAAATGCCTGGCTACCATATTGAATTTTAACTACTGCCTTGCGTTTCCAAAACTGGAAGTTCCTTGAGGTCAAAGAGGGTGTCTTACTCATCTGTACCTTTTTGGTGCTTAGCACAAAGCCTCACTTATGGTAGCACATGGGAAAGTAATAGCTGAATAATAACTGAAAATAAGTTTCTTTCTTCTGTTGATTCTTTTCCTAAATCAGCTTTCTAGGGTTTCAAAATTGAATTTTAAAAAATTTCAATCTTGTCAGTATTCATGTAGATAAAATTATGTACTTTAATCAATGTGTACATGATAGCATGCTTTTACAGTACTGTTTACAGCGATGTGCTCCTGAAAGTTCCATAAATTAATATTTGAAATTTAGGTGTTTTTAAATGTAATGTAATTTGATTTCTTGATTAGTGGTGAAGCTTTTTTTGTGTATAGTAAAGAATCATTCTGTAAGTTATATGAGTTTTTCCTGTATCAGATTTGCCTTAAATAATCCTATGTTGAACTCATTATAAATAGGTTTGACTCAGAAGTATCATTTTAGTGTTTTTTTGCTTGTGAACAGAAGAATAAGGACCACAATGTAATCATCGTATTTTTCTTCACGGGAATTCCACCATCTGTGTGTTTTGGGCAGTGGGAGAAGGGGGAGGGCAAACTTCTTCTCGGTCCCTCCTGTGTTTCTCTAGTTCTAGCAGGGACGTTTCTGTAATTGGTTTTCAACATTTGCTGAGAGTCTGTTTCCTCTTAACATTCAACATGTTTAACAGAAGTCTTGTAATAGTTCCAAAAATAATAAAACCAGTCCCAGGAATAAAAATGATACATTCACAGCATATTGGTGTTTTTTATTTTTTGTCATGGCTTTGGTTTTAAGTTCTTTTTAATAATTCCTAGTGTCAAATCACATGAAAGAAATAAAAAGGTTTTCTTCACAGTAATAAAGCCCAGTGAAGAAATGCTATCGATGACTCGTGCAGCGGGAGGAGTTGTCAGCCCAGAGGCAGTCACAGGACCATGTTGAAGGCACTCCTGGTACAGTGTGGCCATCTCAATGTCTAGCGCTTCTCTCTAGTGATGTTAAGTGGATGGTTATGGTTGCTTGTAATGCTGTAGCCTAGGACGAATGAGAGCTGATGCTTCTGATGTATCATTAATGCTGCTCTTAATCTGCTGAAATCATTCCTCACATTGTCAAATATTAACATAAAAAAGCAACACCTACTTATATTTCATCCCACCCCACCATCACCCCTAATACAGTGATTAATGTGTCCCAACAATAAATTTCTTTGCTTTAATAATTAGATGTTTGAATGAAAATAATTGGACTTCCTTTACAATTATTAATTAATTTAACATTATTATTATTATTAGAGCATCTTTAAGTGTTCAGGGCATCTGGACTTAGGAAGAGCTTTAAAATCCCAGAGAGAGATAAGAGGCAACTGCCAAGCAGGTAACTGGGGAGCTGATAACAAAATCTCTTTGATTTCATGCAAGGCATTTTAACTGTTTTTTCATCAGTAACTTGGAGTCCAAAAGACCTAAGACCTTGGCAATAAAAGCAATAATTCTGGTGAAATGTGGTCCTCTGTGTTGCTGTTACAGCATGTATCCCAGAGCCAGCAGGATTCACACCATGTTTGGGAAACTTTCGTCCTTTCCCTAAATCTGTCCCTTGCACTCTTCTAAATGAGCCCAGTTTTCCCTGGACCTGGATGGGTTGTGAACAGAAAGCCTTGTCACAAGTGTGGTTTGAACGCCAGCAGCATCCTCATGGCTGTACCTGGATCGTCTGACCCAGAGTCTAAAGACATCTTCAGGGGACTCACATGCACCCCACCACAGGAGAAGCCGGGCTGAGAGCACACCCCAAACTGAGGCCAACCAGAACCCCCCATAGCTCTCACAGTGGGAACCCCGTTGTGTATTCTGTACGCCATTTTGCAGGTTTCCAGAAAGTGGAAGGATTCAGTAGAATGAGAAGGAGTATGCACCTCACGGAGCTCCATCAATACTGCGGTTCTGGCCAGGTGCAGTGGCTCATGCCTGTAATCCCAGCACTTTGAAAGGCTGAGACGGGCAGATGGTTTGAGGCCAGAAGCTCGAGACTAGCCCGAAAGACATGGCGAAACTTCATCTCTACTAAAAGTACAAAAAAAAAAAAAAAAAAAAAAAAAGGCCGGGCGCGGTGGCTCATGCCTGTAATCCCAGCACTTTGGGAGGCTGAGGCGGGCAGATCACGAGGTCAGGAGATCAAGACCATCCCGGCTAACACAGTGAAACCCCGTCTCTACTAAAAATACAAAAAATTAGCCGGCCGTAGTGGCGGGCACCTGTGGTCCCAGCTACTCAGGAGGCTGAGGCAGGAGAATGGCGTGAACCCAGGAGGCGGAGCTTGCAGTGAGCCGAGATCATGCCACTGCACTCCAGCCTGGACGACAGAGCGAGACTCCGTCTCAAAAAAAAAAAAAAAAAGCCGGGCATGGTGGCACGTGCCTGTAATCACGTGCCTGTAATCCCAGCTACTCGGGAGGCTGAGGCACGAGAATCACTTGAACTCAGGAGGCGGAGGTTACTGTGAGCCGAGATCGAGCCACGGCACTCCAGACTAGGTGACAGAGTGAGACTCCATCTCAAAACAACAAAAACAAACAAACCAAAAAAAAAAAAACCCAAAAACATCCTGTGGTTCAAATTCAAATTATATCATCACCAAGGTAAAACCAAAAAAACAAACAGTGGTGGAGGATTGTCATTCAGTGTGTAAGCATTACATTTAAAATGTGTTTGTTTCTTAAGGCTGCTGTGAAAGTACCAGGGACTGGGTGGCGTGAAGCAACGGAACTGTATTCTCTCACAGTTCTAGACAAGAGTGGGAAATCCAGCTACAGGCAGGGCTATGCTCCTTCTGAGCTGCTGGGTAGAAACCTTCCTGGCCCAGCCTAGCTTCCAGGTTTCCTGCAATTGGCATTCTTTGGCTTGCAGCTACAGGGGAAGAGGGCACAGAACAGAGAGGGACACAGAAGCTTGGGAATGTCTCTTGGAGCGACTTTATAACCAGACTTTAGGCGACTCCCTTCGGACTCTGCGTCCTGAAGGCTGTGTTTGTAACAAGCCCCAAGTGACTCTGATGCAGGGAGACAGCCTCACTTGCAACCCACCCCATGGCATCAGGATACTGGTGAGGTCTCCCCAACGCTCTGCAGCCCACACGCACGCCCTGCCCGGAGTGCACCCCAAGTGTGCACGTAGACGAACAATTGGGGGAAGTGTGAGAATAATGGATCCAAGCTGGAGGAGCCCAGTCCCAGGGAAAGCAATTAGGAGTTTGCTGTGAGTACAGTGACAGGTGACAAAGGACCTCAACAGTGTCACGAACACTTTTATTGTTGTGAAGTCCGCACACTAACCCCAAGCCGTATGAACTAGGATGGTTCATTCACTTATCAAATATTTGAGTGCCAAATACATGCAAGGTGCTATGTTCAGTGCTTTGGGGTTTGAGAATTTGGCATAGTTCTTTTTTAAGCAAATTACATAAATTTAGGAGATTAATATAGAATTGCACATTTAAAATTTTTATTATGCCAATTATGGAGAATTTTTTGAAGTGCCATCATAAAAGACTTTTATTGTTATTTTATTTTTAATTTGTATTAATTTATTTTTAAGTAGGTTAGTATTCAGAAGTCTATTAAACAGGCTGGGTGTGGTGGCTCACGCCTGTTATCACAGCACTTTGGGAGGCCAAGGTGGGTGGACCACTTGAGGTTAGGAGTTCAAGACCAGCCTGGCCAACATGGCAAAACCCCGTTTCTACTAAAGACACAAAATCAGCCAGACATGGAGGCGTGCACCTGTAGTCCCAGCTATTCAGAAGGCTGAGGCAGGAGAATCACTTGAACCCAGGAGATGGAGGTTGCAGTGAGCTGAGATTGAGCCACTGCACTCCAGCCTGGGTGACAGACTGCAACTCTGCCTTAAAAAAAAAAAGTCTATTAAACAAATTAATAGAGTATTTTTTATTTTTTAAATTAACAAGCTATGTTTTTTTTTTAGCAGCTTTAGGTTTATAGAAAAGTTTCCATGTACCCCCTTACCCACCTATTATTAATATCTTGTGTTAGTGTGATAATTTGTTATAATTGGTGAATGCCTATGGATACATTATTACTAACTAAAGTTAGGAATTTGCATAAGGTATCATTCTTTGTGTACATTCTATGGGTTTTGATACCTGCAAAATGGCATGTATCGACCACTACAGTTTCATACAGAATAGTTTCGCTTCACTAAGGTACAAAGGATGATGGTGGAAATTAAATGTCCCTTGCACAGAGGCAACCTCTATTATTATACTAGAAAAAAAAAAAGCCATTTTAATATAAACAACTTGGAAAAACATAATCTTAGAGAAAAAGAGTTTTTTCCACAAAAAGAACAGTTGGGAAAACTATGCTTATATATTTTTCCTTTCTTTATTCATTCACTTATTCATTTACCAATGATTTTTTTATACCCCTATGAATGAGGTGTGATTTCAGGTGCAGGAAATACACCAGAGAACAAAGCAGTGAAAATCCGATAGCCTGCCTTCTTGGAGTTGACGTTCTTGTGGGAGTTGGATCAGAAACTGAGACCCCTCGTGGAGGCACATGTGAGCAAATGGGGAACCCCACCAGAAGCCAAGAAAGAGAACATCTATGTGGGCCAAGAGTGAGCTGGCTTTATTCCAGGCACTTAGATACAAAAATGAGCACACGTTGAGAAATTGACCACCTGCATGGCCGGGCGCGGTGGCTCACGCCTGTAATCCCAGCACTTTGAGAGGCTGAGGCAGGCGGATCACCTGAGGTCAGGTTCGAGACCAGCCTGGCCAACATGGTGAAACCCTGTCTCTACTAAAAATACAAAAATCAGCCAGGCTTGGTGGCGGGCGCCTGTAATCCCAGCTACTCGGGAGGCTGAGGCAGGAGAATCGCTTGAACCCGGGAGGCGGAGGTTGCAGTGAGCCAAGATCTCGCCATTGCACTCCAACCTGGGGGACAAGAGGGAGACTTTGTCTAAAAAAAAAGCCGGGCGCAGTGGCTCACGCCTGTAATCCTAGCACTTTAGGAGGCCGAGGTGGGCGGATCACGAGGTCAGGAGATCCAGACCATCCTGGCTAACACGGTGAAACCCGGCTCTACTAAAAATACAAAAAATTAGCCGGGCATGGTGGCGGGCGCCTGTGGCCCCAGCTACTTGGGAGGCTGAGGCAGGAGAATGGCGTGAACCCCGGAGGTGGAGCTCGCAGTAAGCCGAGATCACGCCACTGCACTCCAGCGTGGGCGACAAGCGAGACTCCATCTCAATTTAAAAAAAAAAAAAAGAAAAAGAAATTGCCCACCTGCCTTGTCCAAGACTGGTCAGACAGGGCCAGTAGGACTAGTCAAAGGCCTTCTTGTGTGGGTCTGAACTGGACTCAGGAAACAGAGTCTGACAATAAGGTTTGCTCTTTGCTTGAGTATGAATGCAAGGTGAGGAGGGAATATTGAAGCACTGAAAGGACAGTCATTTTTATTTTTTTGATGAGGGGGTTTCTATTTATGCAAAGAAAGCAGCTGAATCTGCCTGCCTTTTGCCTGCTTCTCTGTTGATCTTTCGAGCATCTGGCCTTGCCTCTGATTCGAAGCGGCAGTTGAACTGCACTGAGTTACAGCTCTGCCCATGGCTCTCCCATCTGGAGATCTGTTGCGTAGGGTGAACCACAGACTTTATGCCTTTAAACAAACGAATAGAGTATTCTTTTGATTATTTTTTGAATGATTACTTTTTTTTCTTTTTTGATTTGGAGTCTTGCTCTGTTGCCCAGGCTGGAGTGCAGTGGCACCATCTCAGTTCACTGCAACCTCCACTTCCTGGGTTCAAGCAACTCTCTTGCCTCAGCCTCCTAAGTAGCTAGGATTACAGACATGTGTCACCACGGCCAGCTAATTTTTGTATTTTTAGTAGAGATGGGGTTTCACCACGTTGGCTAGGCTGGTTTTGAACTCCTGACCTCAAGTGATCCACTCGCCTTAGCCTCCCAAAGTGTTAAGATTACAGGCGTGAGCCACTGCGCCTGGCCTAGATTACTTTTGTTTTGTTTTATTTTGTTTTGTTTGCAGTTGTAGGTTTATAGGAAAGTTTCCACGTACCTCCTCTCCCACCCTCATTTCCCCTATTATTAACATCTTGCATTCATGTGATAATTTGTTATAATTGGTGAATGTGTATTGATACATTATTACTAACTGAAATAAGTAGTTTTAAGCTCACGCCTATACTCCCAGCACTTTGGGAGGCCAAGACGGGCGGATCTCTTGAGCTCAGGAGTTCAAGACCAGCCTGGGCAACATGGCAACACCAAATCTCTACTAAAAATACAAAAATTAGCTAGGCATAGTGGTGGGTGCCTGTAGTCCCAGCTACTCAGGAGGCTGAGGCAGGAGAATTGCTTGAACCTGGGAGGCAGAGGTTGCAGTTAGTGGAGATCGCATCATTGCTCGGGCGATCCACCTGCCTCGGCCTCCAAAAGTGCTGGGATTACAGGTGTGAGCTACCTTGCCATGCCCCTTTATGGGTTTTGATAAATGCAAAATGACATGTATCCATCACTGCAGTATCAAACAGAATAGTTTCACTGCCCTAAAAATCCTCTGTGTTCTACCTATTCATCTCTTCTCATCTCCCCAAAAGCCCTAGCAATCATTGCTTTTTTTTACTGTCTTTATAGTTTTGCCTTTTCCAGAATGTCATATAGTTGGAATCATACAGTGGAGAGCCTTTCAGATTGGCGTCTTTCACCTAGCAATATGTGTTTAAGATCCCTTTGTTTCATTTTGTGCCCAATAGCTCATTTCTTTTTATTGCTGAATAACCTTCCATAGTAGGGATGTACCACTGTTTTTTATCCATTTACCTATTGAAGGACATTTTGATTGCTTCCAAGTTTTGGTAATTATGAATAAAGCTGCTATAGACATTCATGTGCAGGCTTTTGTGTGAACATAAGTTTTCAACTCATATGGGTAAATACCAAGAAACGTTATTGCAGGATCATTTGATAGGACTATTTTTAACCTTTATGCTTGATTTTTCAAACAAACTCTTCCCTTTTATGTAAAGTGTTTAATGCAGAAAAATGTAGCATAACATTTTATTTTAAAACAATATGTTGCATGCAATTTCTTTTTTGACATGAGTTTGCCAGTTTAGGAATTTGCCACAAAGCTAAACGCTTTAATGTCCAAAACAACATTTGGGGCATTTGGTTTTTTAAAAATAGACTTTATTTTTGAGAGAAATTTTAGTTTCATAGCAAAATTGAGCATAAAGTACAGAGATTGCCCATATGCCTCTAGCACCTTTTTTTTTTTTTTTTTTTTTTTTTTTTTGAGACAGAGTGTCACTGTTGTCTAGGCTGGAGTGCAGTGGCTCGATCTCAGCTCACTGCAACCTCTGTCTCCTGGGTTCAAGTGATTATCCTGCCTCAGCCTCCCTACTAGATGGGATTACAGGTTCCTGCCACCACACCCGGCTAGCTTTTGTATTTTTAGTAAAGACGGGGTTTCACCATGTTGGCCAAGCTGGACTTGAACTCCTGACCTCAAGTGATCCATCCACCTCAGCCTCCCAAACTGCTGGGATTAGAGGCATAAGCCACAGCATCTGGCCTAGCACCTACATTTTTACAGTCTATCATTTATGAAAATATAGTTGCATGTGGGTTTGCTCATGAAAATGTTGACTTTAAAAAAAGCAAAACTTCAGAACTTTTAAATTTCAATGGCAATAAAAGCACACAGAAACAAATACAAGCAATGCAGACCTGACTAATGTAAATATTATCACTTCTGGCCGGGCATGGTGGTTCACGCCTGTAATCCCAGCACTTTGGGAGGCTGAGGCAGGCAGATCACTTTGAGGCTAGGAGTTTGAGACCAGCCTGGGCAATGTGGTAAAACCCCATCTCTACAAAAATTACAAAAATTAGCCAGACATGGTGGCGTGCACCTGCAGTCCCATCTACTCAGGAGGCTGAGGTGGGAGAATCACTTGAGCCCGGGAGGTGGAGGTTGTGCTGAGCCTAGACTGCTCCACTGCACTCCAGCCCGGGCGACAGAGACTGACTTTGTCTCAAAAACAAACAAACAAAAATATAATTTCTCCTTCTTCCTCACCCCCACCCCTCTTGCCCTGGTCACCACTCAATACAATGTGTAAACTTGCAGACATCACTTTTCTGTGCTTCAAAAGCGAAGTTAAGGGGTTTTTTGTTATTTTTTTTCTCAGTTCACCAGTAGTTTCATTTGTGTTATTGTTTTTACAAAAATGGGATTCTACCATAAATATTGTTCTGCAAAATTGTTTTTCTTTAAATACAGTACAGATGCTTTTTAATTTATGATGGAATTGTGTCCTGATAAACTCATCATAAGCCACCCAATAATTGTTAGGACCTCAAAAAATAAAATAAAATAAAAAAGTCATTATAAGTTGAAAATATCATAAGTTAAAAATTCACGTAATACGCCTAAGCCTACCAAGCATCATAGCTTAGCCTACCCTACCTTAAATGTGCTCAGAACACTTACATCAGCCTACAGTTGAGCAAAATTATCAAACACAGCCTATTTTATAATAAAGTGTTGAATGTCTCATGTAATTTACTGAATTCTATATTGAAAATAAAAAACAGAATGATGGCCTGGGTACTTGAAGTATGGTTTCTACTAAATGCATGTTGCTTTTGACACCATCGCACAGTAAAAAAATCATTAGGTCAAACTATTGTAAGTTGGGAACTGTCTGTATGAACTTTCCAGCTGAGTGCATAAAAAATTAAGTCTTTTAATGATTGCATAATATTCCACAGTCCATTACCCTATGATAGAAATATAAGTAATTTTGTTATTCCAAATCATGCTTAAGTAAACATTCTATACACACATCTTTATGCATTTGTGCTCAAATTTCTGTAAGATGAGGCAGAAGTATAGAATTGGGATCATTGGCTCATTTCATATACACACACACACATGCACACACACCCTCACAGACTTAAATGGTTCTCTGTAAATTCCAGCAACATAAGTAAATCTCTACATGCTGGATGGTATTTTTTGCCACCTTCAAAGGCAAAAATTGGTATCTCATTATTTCAAGTTATAGTTTACTGATCTTGAACATCTTTTCATATGCTTGGAAACCATTTGAATTTCTTCTGAAATTTGTTCATGCTCTTCACTTATTTTTCTTTTAAAATAATTTTTATAAATAATATACAATAATTCATATAATACAAGCAATATATTAATGTAATGTCCTTATAAAATTTCAAACAGGGCCAGGTGCAGTGGATCATGTCTGTGATCCCAGCGCGCTGGGAGGCTAAGGTGGAAGCATCACTTAACATCAGGAGTTGGAGACCAGACTGGGCAACATTGTGAGACCTCATCTGTATAAAAATAAAAAATAAAAAATTAGGTGCGTGTGGTGGTGCATGCCCATAGTCCCAGCTACTCAGGAGGCGAAGGTGCGAGGATTGCCTGAGCCTAGGAGTTGAGGTTACAGTGAGTTATGATCGTGCCACTGCACTCTAGCCTGGGTGACAGAGGGAGACACTGTCTCTTAAAAAATAAGAAATTAAAAAAAAAGATTTGAACAGTACAGAAGTGTATAGAATTAAAATGTAAAAATTCTGTCTTCGGAAATCAGCTACTCTAGTCAAAATTTGGGATGTATTCCCCTATAAAGTTTTTTCTGCATATGTGATACATACATACATGTATACACACGTGTGTATGTGTGTAACTATGTTCATAAAAATCTATTATCCTGCATCATGCTTTTTGAACTTAATAGATTTATATATAAATTGTTTTACTTAACAATATGTCATATATAGAGAACTCTGATTTATTTTTATTGATTGATTTTTGAGACAGAGTCTAGCTGTGTCACCCAGGCTGGAGTGCAGTGAAGCAATCTCTGCTCACTGCAACCTCCACCTCCTGGGTTCAAGCCTCCTGCCTCAGCCTCCCGAGTAGCTGGGATTACAGGCACCCACCACCACACCAGCTAATTTTTTTTTTTTTGTATTTTTAGTAAAGATTGGGTTTCACCATGTTGGCCAGGCTGGTCTCAAACTGCTGACCTGAGGTGATCTGCTCACCTCAGCCTCCCAAAGTGCTGGGATTACAGGCATGAGCCACTGCACCTGACCGAGATTTTTTTATTTTATTTTATTTTATTTTATTTTATTTTATTTTATTTTATTTTATTTTATTTTATTTGTTTATTTTTTAAGATGGAGTCTTGCTCTGTTGCCCAGGCTGGAGTGCAATGGTGCCATCTCGGCTCACTGCAACCTCCTCCCCCAGGGTTCGAGCGATTCTCTTGCCTCAGCCTCCTGAGTAGCTGGGATTACAGGCGCCCACGACCACACCTGGCTAATTTTTGTTTTTAGTAGAGACGGAGTTTCACCATGTTGGCCAGGCTGGCCTCGAATTCCTGACCTCAGATGATCTGCCACCTCAGCATCCCAAAGTGCTGGGATTACAGGTGTGAGCCACCACGCCCGGCTTTGGAGAACCCTGATTTTTAAACCATCCTTTAGTATTCCATGTGGCATGGACTGAATGTTTGTGCCCCACCCCCAAATTCATATGTTGAAACCCTACACTGAAGTGAGATGGTATTAGGGGATGGGGTCTTTGAGAAATTAGGTTTGGATGGAGTCATGAGGGTGGAGCTCCCATGATGGGATTAACGTCCTTTTAAGAAAACAAAGAAGCTACAGCTTGAGTTCTTGGCCATCTGAAGGTACAGTGAAAACGAAGCTGTCTCCAGACGCCAGATATGCCAATACCTTGATTTTGGACTTCTCGGCTTGCAGAATTGTGAGAAATAAATGTTTGTTGTTGAAGATATATTTTTGTTATAATAGCCAGAACTGAACAGAACATCATTAGATTTCTCTCCGTTTTGTTTCCTTTCTTTTTAACCAACACATATATGTTGCTTGGTGGATAAGGCATTCTTGTAGTGCTTTATAAGTATTAGCCCATTTAATCATTATAACCATCCCATAGAACAGGTATTCATTTGATTAAGAAAACTGAGGTATGAAAAGTTTAAGTAACTTGCTCAAAATCACATGCTAGTTAGCTGCAGAATCGATTGAAATTTTACTTTAAAATTCCCTTATTGATAAGTTCATGCTCTTTCTAGTTTCCTGAGGTTTCCCATGGTGCTGCAGTGCATATCCCAGGTACCCAGCAAGCAGCCTGGAGAGGAGCAGGGAGTCAGGTCCAGGGGGACTGAGAAGGTCAGAAGCACCAACACAGGCAGAAGAAAGAAGGGCTGAAAGCCTTCTTTCTGAAGTGTGGTATGCAGGTGGCCTGCAGAAAGAACACATTCTCACAGCATCCACGAGCAGAAAGAACAGACCATGGAGCCAATCAAGGACAATTTATCTTGAGAACAGAAAAGGTTAAAGTAAGTCAATAAGGGCCAGCTTGCTGGGCAGGGTTTCAATGTGGAAAAGTTGCTTATTGAGCCACAACCAAGGATCCTAACAGTCATTATTTCTCAATGATTTGGATGATATGTATGAAAGAATATTATATTACATTATCAAATAGCACATTAATATGATTTGATATGTTTACCTGGCAAATTTGCTATAGTTACTTAGCATTTGAGAATTTTCATTTATATTGAATTGATTCAAATGCATACAGAGTGAATATTTGCTGTTTCTTCCTGGATGGCATTATATAGCTAAAATAAGAGAAAGACTATTTTTATTTTTATATATTTTTACTTTTTTTAGAGACAGTCTCACTCTGTCACTCAGGCTGGAGTGCAGTGGTGCAATCTCAGCTCACTGCAACGTCTGCCTCCTGGGTTCAAGCGATTCTTCTGCCTCAGCCTCCCAAGTAGCTGGAATTACAGGTGCACACTACCATGCCCAGCTAATTTTTGTTTGTTTTTTGAGACAGAGGCTCACTCTGTTGCCCAGGCTGGAGTGCAGTGGTGCGAACTCGGCTCATTGCAACCTCTACCTCCTGGGTTCAAGCAATTCTCCTGCCTCAGCCTCCCGAGTAGCTGGGACTACAGGTGCCCGCCACCATGCCTGGCTAATTTTTGTATTTTTAGTAGAGATGGGGTTTCCCCATGTTGGCCAGGATGATCTCGATCTCTTGACCTCGTGATCCGCCCACCTCGGCCTCCCAAAGTGCTGGGATTACAGGCGTGAGCCACTGTGCCTGGCCAAGAAAGACTATTTTTTAAGATAATAAACTAAGAGATGTATAGAAAGCAAGTAGTTGAAAATAAAATTAGATAAGAACTGATGAAAACGAGAGTTAGTAGAAATTATGGAACATCTTAGATTTGGTCAAACAAAAATAAAAACAGGCAGGAATTTCCTTCCTAAAATGAACTAAATTTTGAAAATGTAGAAGCAAAACAAATTTTAGATTTTGAAAACAGAGATCCTTAAAACAGGAATGTTTCTGGAATAAATGTCATTATCTCTAAATATCTTTTAAAAGTCCTTGTTGCATGGAAGCATATCGTGTTCCTGGATGAGAACACTTGCTATTATAACAATATCAATTTTCCCCGAATTAAACCATACATTTACCTCAATTTTCTAAAATCCCAAGAGAACCATGAGAGTCTCAAGTGGCGGCACTAGCATAGAAATACAGAATCTATGACACAATAAAAACTTGAGAAACAGGTTCAAATATGCATTAAAAAGTGGCCTGAAATTAAAGCATTTAAATGTACTGAGGAAAGGATTAACTGCTTAATAAATGATATTAAAACAAAACGTGAGCTCATCAAGTTGCCAAAAATATATTTTTCAAATAAAAATTTCCACTATTGGTAATAGAGTTCAGGAAACAGAACATTCTCGTGGTCTGATTGGAGTATAAATCGGCACATTTCTGGAGGGAAATTACACAGATATAAAATCTTCA
Source organism: Homo sapiens (assembly GCF_000001405.40). Lineage (NCBI taxonomy): Eukaryota > Metazoa > Chordata > Mammalia > Primates > Hominidae > Homo > Homo sapiens. Next base: position 60,634,206 of record NC_000008.11, on the reverse strand, counting down.
ACAATGTCTATATTTTATGAGCCAGTAATTCCGTTTCTAAGAATGTTTTCTAAAGAAATCTTTGTATTTTATTTTATTTTTAATTTTTAGAGACGGGGTCTCACTCTGTCACCCAAACTGGAGTACAGTGGCACGATCATAGCTCACTACAGTCTGGAACTCCTGGGCTCAAGTGAAAGAGTTGTTGATGTGTCCAAAGATTTATCTCTGAAGATAATAACTGAGTGTTGATGGTTTTGCCTAAATTATTTATAAATCTAAATAGTCAATAGGAAGGTATGATTAAATAAATTATAGAACACGCTCACAATGAAATACTGTGCAGCCATCAAAATTATGTGGCATGACAGTGAGCTAACATCTGTCCAGTGCTTGGCATGTGCCAAGCAGATTTCTAAGAACTTGACGTGCAGCAACGTGTTTCAGCCTCCCAACACATCTGTATGAGGCAGGGCGATGATTACTTGCATGTTATAGCTGAGGAAGCCACTGAGAGGGTGCAACTCCTTGCTAGTAAGTGGTAGAGCCCGTATTTGAACACTCCTAATCATTACAACTATGTAACAATATTGGAAGATTTTATGCAACATAAGTGGGGAAGAAGGCAGTGTCCTCAGTGTGACCCCATTTTGGTAAAAGAAGGCATGTATACATAATCATAGAAGGAAACCAGAAAGAAATCCAGAAAGATGCTGAGTATTTTCTGTGGGTGGTGGGATTCTCAGTCTTTTGAGCAGATGCTGTTGGTACCCTGGCCCACCCTCGTGTCACCACCTCAAGTTACCTTATTACAGGGTAGGAGTTTCCTGGTCTTTCTGCCCAAGGGCAGAAAGTGAAAGTCTGGCCAGTGTACAGGGCAGACCAGACTGCTGAGGAGCTGATGTCCCAGGAGTACCCCTCACAGATGACAGAAGGTACCCTTTGCGGCTGTGTCCTTCCCACTGTCTCAGAGGGTCCCCAGGAGAAGGAGCACCAGGGACCCATAGCAGTAACGTTTATAGCAGTGCCAACACCTTCGTGAGCTTTTTCTCTTCCTCTCCCATCTCATTTCTGCTTTCTTTCGCCATGCTTCCTGGGATCACCTCCCAGCAAACGTATTGGCAACCAAATCATGTCAGCGTTGGCTTTGCGGAGAATCCAGACTTGGTGAGTAGTTTTTAAATGTTCTCCTTTCTTCATTTTTTTTTTCTTCAGCAAACATGTTGCATTTTAACAAGTTAAAAGGAAGACTAAGTTATTGTTAAAAAGGAATTTACTGGGTTTCTAGTTAAACAAGGTGGATTGAACCATGCATTTATCTCCTTCACAAGACTGCAAAAAATGCCATCAAGGCAATAAAATGTACAAATACACAGGGCAAAGAGAATAGGAGAAGAGATACCAGTGTACACGAAATGCCAACAAATATTTGACTTAGCAGAGCAAAATGTCGGTGAACAGAGTTGCAGTCATGAGGGAAGGTGAGCCAAGGTGTGGGGCTGCCTCTGTGTCTCCTCCAAACACCACGCAGCCAGAGATTCAGCCTCCACCCCTCCTCACACGGGAGATAGAGGTTGAGTTCAGGGGCTATTGGCTTCAGACAAGGGATGCCCAGCGCCAAGGAAGGAGTGGGTAAGAAACAGGGCTGAGAGCTCTGGGGAGGGAATTGCGAGGTGGGTACAAAATGAGGGGGGGCTGCTTTCTTATTATAAGCCTTGTAATACTATCTGGCTTCTAAAAAAAAGTATGTGCTTGTATAATGTTAATCAATTTTAAAATAAAATACTGAAGGAATGTTTTTATTTCAATTTAGAAAAATCAGACCAGTGCTATTTAATCCTCAGATGGACACACATGCACAATGTCTATGGCAGCACTGGTCACAACAGCCAAAAGGTGGAAACTGCCCAAATGCCCATTGGTGAAAAAATGCATAAGTAACTTGTAGTATAAAATTCAGTTGTTTTACAACTGAATTATAAAGGAATGAAGTACTCATATAGCTACAATGTGGATGAAGCTTGAAAATATTATGCAAAATGAAAGAAGCCAGGCACAAAATGTCACCTATCATAAGATTTTATATATATGAAATATCCGGAACAGGTAGCTCCATAGAGACAGAATGCAGATAGTGGTTGCCTGGGGCTGGGTGGAGGGGTACTGTTGGGTCACTTCTGGAATGGGATCCCCTTTGGGGTGATGAAAAAATTTTGAAACTAGATAGAGGTGGTGGTTGCACACATTGTACATGTACTAAATGCCACTGAATTGTCCACTTTAAAATGGCTAATTTTACATTATGTGACTTTCACCTCAGCTTAAAAAGAAAGAAGAAAAAAAAAGCATTCAAGACTAATAAAGGACTATGCGCAGTAGCTCATGCCTGTAATCCCGGCACTTTGGAGGCTGAGGCGGGAAGATCGCTTGAGCACAGCATTTGAGACCAGCCTGGGCAACATGGCAAAACCCCATCCTTACAAAAAATACGAAAATTAGTTGCACGTGATGGGGTGTGCCTGTAGTCCCAGCTACTCAGAAGGCTGAGGGAGGAGGACTGATTGAGCCCATGAGGTTGAGGCTGCAGTGAGCTGAGATTGTGCCACTGCACTCCAGCCTGGATGACAGAGTGAGAACCTGTCAAAAAGAGGAAAGAAAGAAAGAGAAAGAAAGAAAGAAAGAAAAGAAAAGAAAAGAAAAGAAAAGAAAAGAAAGAAAAAGAGAAAGAGAAAGAAAGAAAGAAAAAAGGAAAGAAAGAAAGAAAGAAAAAGAAAGAAAGAAAGAAAGAAAAAGAAAGAAAGAAAGAAAGAAAGAAAGAAAGAAAGAAAGAAAGAGAAAGAAAGAAAGAAAGAAAGAAAAGAAAGAAAGAAAAACGACTAAGTGGGAAGGCAAGAAGAATTAGGAATGCTGGACACTACTGCACTTGCCATGTTTTCAAGAATGTCACCGTGCAGACCAGTGATTCCGCCTCGCAGGATGACATATGGCCCTCGGACCAGGCGACACAGTGGAGATGCGCATGCCAGCCTCGTGAAATCATGGAGGTTCAAGGGGCAAAGTGTTCACATGCCTAATGAGTGTTGATCAGGTGGTAAGACACCCACAATAGGAAGGGTATTGATTATTCCACGTGCTGAGCTTTTCTTTAGATTCAGCAGACACAGATGAAAATAAGGAACATAAAGGAAGCATTCTTCAGAATCTCTTGATACCTTGACTGTTTGTGTCACACACAGTGTTCCCCAAATCCCAGCTTCATCATAAAGACTTCCTGGGCTGAGGAAGGAGCTGAGGGCTTCCCTTTTTAACTCTCTAAAGCTCATAATCTATAATCACATTTTTTTATGAGCAGAATTGTGCTCCAGTCCAATTCATATGTTAAACTTCTAAACCCCAGTACCAGAAAATGTGACAGTATTTGGAGATGAGGTCTCTACAGTGCAGTCAAGTTAAAATTAGGTGACCAGGGTGGGCCCTAGTGCAGTATGACTGGTGTCCTTATAAGAAGGGGATATTTGGACATAGAGACCCACACAAAGGGAAGATGATTTAACAAGACAGAGACAAAATGGCCATCTCCATAAGGAGAGAGGCCTTAGAGGGAACCAATCCTCCAACACCTTGATCTTGGACTTGCAGCCTCCAGAACTGTGAAACAATACATTTCTGCTGTTTAACTCCCCCAGTCTGTTGTACTTTGTCATGGCTGCCCTAGCCAAGCAATACTACACTGTATAATAATCCCTGCTCTTCAACCTTCAAATGCATATAACCTGTACAAATACCTCGCTCATCTTGTATTGGGTGATCTTGTGAAATAAACTCATGACCATTTTAGATAATAAATTTTTTATAGGATAGATCCTAGGGATAAATAATTTTTTGGCTACAGCCTCTAACAGAATCATCTATGATTACAGTCGTTAATAATTGCTTTTATACTACCAACTGCAAAGAGGATGTTGAGTATCAATGCTTTAACAGAAATCACCACCTGCATGAGGAAAAGGTATGACATGAAGCATGGATAACTCACACCTGGGCAGCTCCCAACACAGCACACACACACAGGCAAAGAGGCAGCACAGGGCTGGCTGGTCATTTACCACGTTCCGTAAATGTGAATTCTGTGCGGCAGCAGCATCTCCTGGGGACTGTAATGTGGCCATTTTAATGCAAAATTAATTGTCAAATATAAGACTGCAGCGGCCTTCTCCCGAGTGATTACCTCACCCTCCAGCAAGTCATCTTCACTCTTGTCATCGATGCTCCCTACCTTGTTAGCAATATTCAAATGATCACAAATGACTTCAGGATCTCACACACAAAACGCAACACCTCCTGGTCAGCTCACACCCATTCTAGAATTTGTTCTTACTCACTTATTTCTACAACAGGAAGGGAATCATTTCTGGAATGTGTGTTATTTCTGCATTGTCATTGTCATCATCATAATCATCATAAGATGACACTTGTGTACATTTGCCACTTGCTTCAATTTTAGACTGAATTCTGGGCATAAGTCACATTAAAAAATGTGTCTCTAATATTATAGCAATAAAGTCCTATGTGGTACATATGATTTTTTCTGGAATCTCTTATGTACTGATATTTGATATTCTGAATAGCCTCTTGGTATACAGATTAAATTATTGCAAGGTTGGAAGATGTAAAAATAATACTCCTAGATATTCACTTCGCTTCTGCCAAGTTGAGTTCTACACATGCCAGTCAGTGCAGCAGCTTTACCCTCCCATAGCCCCTGGCTGTGATGTGCCCTTTCACTGCAGGTACAGAGACAGCTGAGCAGAACAAATGTCTTTGTTCACAGGGTATAAGGGGTGTATTCGTTTCTATGGCTGCCATAACAAAGAGACTCTTTGGCTTAAACCAACAGAAATTTATTCTTTCACCATTTTGGAGGCCAGAAGTCAAGATACCTGCAGGGCCATGCTCCCTGTGAAACCTGGGGAAATCCTTCCTTGCCTCATTCTAACGTGTGGCTGGCAGCCAGCAATCTTCAGCGTTCCTTGGCTTGCAGCTGCATTAACTGCATTCTCTGTGTTGGCCTCATATGGCGTTCTCCTTGTGTGTTTGTTTTCACAGGGCCATCTTCTCATAAGGACACAGTTATGTTGGATTGGGGGCCCACCCTACTCCAGTAGGACTTCATTTTCATTAATTGCATCTGCCATGTTCCTATTTCCAAATACGGTCAGATTCTGAAATACTAGGTGGTTAGATTTCATTTCTTTTCTTTTTTGTTGTTGTTGTCATTTATAGAGACAGGGTCTTGCTATGTTATTAGGGCTGGTCTCAAACTCCTGGCCTCAAGAGATCCTCCTGCCTCAGCCTCCCAGAGTGCTGGGATTACAGGCATGAGCCAAGTCAGGATTTCAACCTATCTTTTTAGGGTAGACACAATGCAACCCATAACAAGGGGCACTGCAAACTTCATGCTTTTTAGTTTTGAGGGCAACTTATAAGGCAGCATTTTTGTTTGTTGAATGGACACAAAATCTTATTTATAGGGAAGTGCATAAAACACAGAGGCATAGTTTATAGACATATAAAGCAAATATCTATGTAAGTCTCATTCAGGTCGTGAAACAGAACATTGCTAGTCCCAGAGAATCTCCCTGTGCCCCTCCTATCCTGCTAGAGGTAACCAATATCCTGACTTTTGTGATAATAATTTCCTTGCTTAACTTTAGAGTTAATGAAATGATGCTATATGTATTCTTTTCTGTATATTTTTTTCACCAGCAAAATTCATTCATTTAAGTAAAATAAGGGTTAATTTAAAAATATCATCCATGTTGCTAAATGGCTGCAGTTCAACTCATCTTCATTGCTGTATGTTATCCCACTATATGAATATACCATGGTTCAACCCTTCTCTTGATGCACATCAAGGTTGTTCCCAGGGGCTATTACATATGAAACTGAATATTCTGGCAGAAGGATCCTGGTGCACCCGTGGATGAATTTCTCTAGGGCATGTTCTGAGAGAAGGGATTGCAGGCTGTTTTCCAAAGTGGTTGCACCCATTTGCTCTCCTTCCAGTAGTATATATGAGCATTTCTTTTGCTTTACAACCTTGCCAACATCCAAACATTTGATGTCAGACTTTCACATTTTGCCAACCCATGGATTATAACTCTTTCACTGTGAGCTTTTAAAAAATTATATATATTTAAAAAATATATAAACATGTTTTTAAATTATTGAGATGGTGTCTTGTTCTGTCACCAAGGCTGGAGTGCAATGCTGTGATCACGGCTCACTGCAGCCTCAACCTCCCAGGCTCAAGCAATCCTCCCATCTCAGCCTCCTGAGTAGCTGGGACCACAAGTGCACACCACCACACGGGCTAATTTTTTGTTTGCAGAGATGGGGTCTCCCTGTGTTGCCCAGGCTGTTCTCAAACTCCTAGGCTCAAGCAATCCTCCCACCTCCGCCTCTCAAAGTGCTGGGATTACATGCATGAGCCACCACACCCAGCTTCATTGTGAGCTTTAAACATGCATTAATGGCTCCCAAAGATGTCCGTGTTCAGGAAATTGTAAATATTTTACTTGGCAAGGGAGAAGTAAAGTTGTAGAAACTCTAGTAAGACTGTTAGCTGGATAAATAAATAAGGTTGTAGAAAGAATTATGCTTGCTTATCAGCCAACACTGAGATGAGATTATCCTAGATTATCTGGGTGGGGAAGGAGGGAGGGTGAAGAGACTGGTCAGAGTGACTTCATGTGATGTAAAAAGAACTCAAGTGGCCATTCTATAGTTTAAAGATGGAGGAAGAAGCTGCAAGCCACAGAGTGTGGACCACCTTCAAAAGCTGGGAAAGGCAAGAAAATGGATTATACCCTAGAATCTCCAGAAAGTAATACAGCCCTGCCACCACCTTGATTTTAGTGAGAATTCTGACCTCTAGGACTGTAATAGAATACATTTGTGTTGTTTTAAGTCACACTTATAATTTATAACAGCAGCAATAGAAAATGAATACACTGGATAAAATAAATCTGTGAGATTCTTATTACTAATAGCCAGTTGTTCCTTGGTATGTGCTGGAGGATTGTTACAGGATGCTTGAGGAGACCAAACTCCATGGATATCAAGTCCCTGATATAAAGTGGTATTTGCATACAACCTACCCACATCCTGCTGTATACTTTAAATCACCTCTAGATTACTTATACCTAACACAATGCACTTGGTATGTAGACAGCTGTTACACCGTATTGTTTAGGGAATAGTGACAAGAAAAATATCTTACATGTTCAGTACAGACACAAGCATCCAGTTTTTAAGAAATATTTTCAATCTGCACTGTACTCTTAAAATGGGGCATTAATACAATTCCTCAGAGACTTCATATGTCTTATCCATGAGAATAAATGTTGGCTTACCAGCTCAAGGAGGGCAGGTATTTTGGTTCTAGTACTTTTGACAAATAATTTGAAAAGAATATTTGCTTTGAGAGTGTATTCTTTTAGCTAATTTTGACGGCAATATTTGGAGACAGGGACAATTGTGTGAGGCAAGAAATCAGCATTAGTAGAAGGAAAAATAAGGCCACTGCAATCTTGTTGGTCTACACTGAATTTCGTAGGCCTCATGATTTTTTAACTTATTCTAAATAATCTTAGACCTACAGAAAAGTCTTAAAAGCAGTTTCCATATACTTGTCACCCACCTCCCCCTAATATTAGCTTTTTTGTTTTTAGATGGAGTCTCACTCTGTCGCCAGGCTGGAGTGCAGTAGTGGCACAATCTTGGCTCATTGCAACTTCTGCCTCCTGGGTTCAAGCAATTATCCTGCCTCAGCCTCCCAAATAGCTGGGACTACAGGCGCATGCCACCACACCCAGCTAATTTTTGTATTTTTAGTAGAGACAGGGTTTCAACCATGTTGGCTAGGATGGTCTCAATCTCTTGACCTCGCGATCTGCCAGCCTCAGCCTCCCAAAGTGCTGGGATTACAGGTGTGACCCACTGCACCTGGCCAACATTAGCCTCATACATAACCATAGGAACAATGATCAGAACCAGGAAATTAACACTGATCAAAATGCTGCTAACTAATCGGCAGACCCTATTCCTATTTCACCGGTTTCCCCACTAATGCCCTTTCCTGGGTCCAGCATCCCACACTGCATTTAGTTGCCATGGCTCCCTATCTCCTCTAGTCTCTGACAGTTCCTCATTCTTTCTTTAACTTTCATGATGTCCAGTTGTGAAGTGTTGGCTACTTTGTAGAATGTTGCTAAATTTGGGTTAGAGGTTTCCTCATGACTGGGTTGAGGTGACCCATTTTTCCCAATGCCATGGAATAGTGTTTTTCTCAGTGCATCCTATTGGGAAGTATGTGGCATCCTCACATCTTCCTGATCACTTGATAAGCCATGGTGTCTGCCAGATCTCTCCACTGTTGTATTTCTTCTTTTGCAATATCTCGTGAGGAGATACTCAGATTGTACACATAGCCTTTCTCAGGCTTTTGCCCATGAATTTTAGTATTGATTCCTGCCTTTAACAATGACTATGTTGTAGATTTTCTGTTTACATCATCCCTTTTATCTTTACTAACTGGTCGCTAATGTAAGGAAGAGCTGCATCTTTCCCATCTACTTAATCATTCATATTAATATAAACTCATGGATATTTATCTCACTCCCCGGTTTACGATCCATTACTAGAATGCTTGTTAGTGTCCTTTGGCCTGACTCCCCTCTGCCCCATCATTTTACGAACAATTCCTTACTTTCCTCTGGTATCACAGGATATTCCAGGCTCATTTTCTAATTTCCCTGCCCCAACTCAGGAAATCAATCATTTTTCTAATGAACCCTAGTTCCCTTTATTAGAGAATGCTATTTAGAAACCAGTAATGGGCAGTAGGTATGCTCATTGCTGCTGGGCCCTCTCAGCAAAGATGAAAAACATGTTTACTCACAGTGCATCTGTACATACAAAATCCATGAGTTCATAATCTCCTCAATTCCAACCTACCACCACAAGGTTCACTCTAGCCTTTCTCAACTTATTTGCAATGCATTTTTGATGAGGAACTTTTGCTCTCATTATCCACAACGTATTTACTTATTTGCTCAGTCTTAGTGTATGTGAAAGGTAGCTTTGCATTGCTAACCCATCCCCTTTACTAGCTACAGCCTTTGTGATCATTTTGTCTTCAGTCTTACAGTATACAGTGATAATACTATTTTCCAAAGTTATATATGTTGGTTTTCTTCCCTATCCCCTTCAGTGTGGTGTTACTCATTTGTAATAATAAGTTCATTAATAGTTTGTATTTCACTGAGTTCCCACACTTTCATGGTTGACTTTAATTATGTTTGGGTTATGTGAAACATAACCATAGTTGAGTCAGAGCTATACAAAAAATGTATACTGAAAGCAGCAACATTCTCCTCTTGTCCCAACTATCCTATTCCCAGTCTTCTTACTTTCCATCCTGTACCCACCCAGTGTTTGTAACTAGTTTCTGGTGTATTCTGGAGATCTTCTTCCTCACCCTTCTTTATAGCTGTGTAGGACTCCACTGTGTGGATGGACACAGTTTAGTGAATCACTATAGTTTATTGAATCACTATAAGTGGAAATGACATATAAGTCATTTCCAATAATTTCTAATTACAACCAATGCTGCAGAAAGTAACCTTGTGCATATGGAGCTTTTGCTTTATTGGAGAATTATCATTTGGGCGGATTCCTACAAGTGGGATTTCTGGGCCAACAGCAAGTGTACATGTAATTTTATTAGGTATTGCCAAGTTCCCCTCCAGAAAGGTAGTTCCAGTTTGCACTTCTACCAACACCACACAAAGGTGCCTCACCAATACAATGTGGCGTTGTATTTTACATTTCTTCCAGTCTCATAGGTGAGAAATGGCATCTGAGCTTTAATTTGCATTTGTTTGAATTTTTAAAAATAAATTTTATTGTGTTTAAAAGTATACCTGTTATGGGATACACATAAATAGAAGGTTACTAGAGTGAAGCAAATTAATGTATCCATCACTCACATTTGAATTAAAAATGCATTTTAGGGACACTTTGTATGTTTTTTGTAAATTGCTCATTTTCCTCCATTTTTCTATCAGGAGTTTGGTGCTTTGTCCTTCAATGTTTAAGAATTGGCCTCATAATTTTGTAAAACTAATTAATACTAATATATAGACTGGCACTTAGTTTTTGGCCAGGCATGGTGGCTCACACCTGTAACCCCAGCACTTTGGGAGGCTGAGGTGGGCAGATGACCTAAGGTCAGGAGTCTGAGACCAGCCTGGCCAACATGGCAAAACCCCGTCTCTACTAAAAATACAAAGTAGCCGGGCGTGGTGGCAGGGACCTCTAATCCCAGCTACTTGGGAGGCTGAGGCATGAGAATCACTTGAACCTGGGGAGGTGGAGGTCACAGTGAGCCAAGACGGCGCCACTGCACTCCAGCCTGGGGGATTAGAGTGAGACCTGTCTCCCAAAATAAACAAAATAAATAAAATGAAGTTCTCTGTCGTGACTTCAACCAAAAAATAATAATACCTAGTACATCCGAATGCAGTATGAGATGATCTACTGTGGCGTTAGGCTTTATTTTAATGTAAACATAAAGCACACATCTAAACTCTGAGAAATACAGGTAGATATGCTGGTTTACCTATTTGTATAGTCAATTCCTGTTTATTATGAAACAGCGTTATCTCTTTGTGTATCTTTTAGCTCATATAGTCAAACCCCATGCTGCCAACCTCAGGACTAAATAAACTGAGATGGGGCTTTACTATCTATGACAGAATAAATGTTTAAGGTGTTGCAAAGCCAGACATGAATCAGTTTTTCTGAGTGATTGGAAACATTTTGGTACGATTTATATCCTAACTCTTTTTGACCATTAGCAGATAAATAGGGACTATTTTCCTGCTAACAGGCTATTTTAAAATATCATTAAAAACAAATTGTATGCAGTTGTATATCCTGTTTCAGTTGTATATCTAATTATATGCCACATTCTTTCAAAAAATTGGCTTTTCATTCAGTTGTCTTAAATTTGCAAGACGAATGGTAACAATGTCTTTATGAAGATCACAATTTTGAATGTTACATGTTGAGTGAGACATTGAAAGCTGTGTTTATTTTTTTCAGTGACTGATTTTCTATGTCCATAGATGCTATAAAAACTGATCGAAGATCAACTAAAAATTCAATTACAATATTACAAATTCAACTGCAGGTACCAATATTACATTATTTGACAGGGATAATAAAATGAGCAAAGACTGGAAATCACAGACAATAACATTGCTTTCTCAATTAACAGAAAGGATTCATAACATATTCCTTAACGGTAGATGTGATTTGTAGAGAATGTGGAAAAGAACTATTGAGAAGTCCACCTGCTGCCCCAGACTGAGGCACATTAGGGTGGTTGTGGGAGGAGTTATATTTGAGGGTTCCATTTTTCCTTAGGGTATTAAAATGCATGTCCTGGTTTGTTGTTTATTTGCCATTAAGTTCTCTTCTTCAAATAAAAGAATTAGGGGAGAAAGTATGGAAAAGAAACGCACTAAACTTCTGGAAAAATTAACAGAAGCTTAAAAATAACAATTTCCAAAGAATCATTCTCTTCTTGGTATAGAGCAGTACCTGTCCTAGTTGCCTTAACTTTTTGTACTCACTGGTAAAGACAGTGATTAGTAAGACCAGTGAATTTGATACAGCCACTTGAAAGAAAAAAAGGCTGTACTACAAATACCCATGAAAACAGATTTTCTCTCACCCTTCCCTCTGCCCTCAAGGAGACAGTTAAAACAAAACTATGACAGCATTTGGTGATTTCCCACAAGAGTACTGTCAAACCTTTGAGAGAGTACTGCTGAATCTTCAGGGAAGACCTGTAGAAAGTTGAAGGCCATGAGCGAAATGAAAGTAGTTAGTTTCAGAGTTAGAACTTCTTTATGCTTTCTTTCAGGCATAAGTGCTTTTGTGCTAGTTCAGGAGAAAACACTTGCTTACACTGCTTACACCATCAACAAAAATAATTTCAGTATGGTGAGATTTGTCGCATTTTAGCAAAATTTTTAAAAAGGGTTGAGTGTTAACCATTCTGACCCTTTTAAAAAACATGCTTAAACCCATGTAAAAGCTGTAAGTGGACTAAAAATACATTAAAAAAGAGGTGGTCATAATAAAAAAAAAGAACACTTTTATACATAGGATTTTATTTTGCACTGCTGTAACAATTTCATTATAGACCAAGGGAGAAAAAGAAAAAAAGGATAAAACCACCACACTGAGTAAATTACTAAAGCTTTTCTACTTTGTAACAGGATTTTCCATCTGATAGATTTATTGTCATATCCCCTTCAAAACAGACAAGATGCTCACCATATTTTAAAGATTATAGAGGTTGCCACTGAAAGAAAAATTTTACACAGTCACTGTACATCAAGGTTGAAAAACTGTCCTGCATGAAAAATATACTTAGAAATCATGTGAATAAAAGAAAAAAGAAAACATTATTGTGTTTAAGGAAAGATTAAAGTCCTCATAATGTGCCATCTAAATGTGGATACTCATTCTTCTTGGAGTCGCTAAGATGTAGAAATTTCTTGCTTCTGCCCTTTTCACTCATTATACTGTGTTTTTTCCCAACAGTATTCATTAAGGCAAACAAATCCCTTTCTGAAGAGGTCTTAAGGAAATTGTGGACAAAGCAAACTTTTGGCATTAAAACAGGTTAACATATACAAAGCCTTTGTAATATACATTAAGCATATTTTTCTTGGACTAGTGACAAGAAAAGATGAACATGCTTGTTAACAATGTCAAAAAGTTTAAAATTCAGTGTCCAAGCAATTCCTAACAATGCTTCTGTAGCTTTAAGCTCTAAACAGTATAGAATTTATGCAAATGCATTAAAGAATTCAAGCTTGGCAAATTACACCCAAGCAGGTTATTAAACTATATATACAGAAAGTAAATGATAAATACAGAATTAAAAGAGTCCTTCTGTTTCCTTATAGCCGTGAAAATTGACAAAGTTTCTGAGGACAGTTCTATAATATTAAACATTAGGTAACCACAGATGTTGGGAAACCTAACTACACAAACCGATTTAAAATACTCAAGATGACTTTGTAGTGTTTAATACAATTCAGTTCGTAGTTAAGGGCACAAGACAACATTTAACAAAAATAATCACATCAATTGACCTAGAAATCAAATGCAAATAGATATGAATACAATCTCCAAAATCTGTCTTTTAAGTGAACATTAACCATTTATTCAAAGTTATACAAGAATTTGACGGATTAAAGTCTTCTGTGACATAAAGCCATTTCAAATAGTTTCATGTCTCAGCTGAGCAGGAGGAGAGGGGGTGAAAGAATAAGTGAGTAGGCCCCGTTGGGCAGCTAGACAGTAAAAACAGACTCAACAGCAGCCGCCCCCAGCCTGCTGTCCTCCCTGATTGCCTGCATGTGTTGCATTGGTAGCAGCATGCTGAGGGCCAATTTTAATGCCATTTGCCTGAAATAAAAGAGAACAGAACAATAAATATGACCAGACAATATAGTTTAACTAATTCTTAAAAAACTCATTTAATTCTTTATGATACAATTTTATCAAACAACTGAGAAAAATACAGCAAGTAGATTTTAGCAACAATTAAAACAATATCTCCTAAGGGATGTTCCTTCCTTTTAAAAACACTGTGGAAATGTTTCTGAAAATAATTCTTTATCATACCAGGTACGGGGTAAACAGTTATTGGATAATGCTGCTTTTCAGGAAATTCTCATAATGCAGAAATCATTTAAAATAATTATTGCAAGTAATCTTTAAAGCATAAAAATACCCAAAGCCCATGCTGCTTTAATACAACGTAAAATCTTTTCTCTAGACAGTGTTTCTGTTCCATGTTGAATCAGCTGTACAGGCTAAGGGCATATGAGTGTTCTGTGTCATCAATAATTTCTATGATCCCCAAAGACATGGCAGCTTGCCAAGAACCCACACACAGAGTAGTTCTTTCATTCATCAAACTCACACTTATGTCTTAACCCTCACTCCCTCAAGTGGATTTTACCTAAAAATACAACACTTTGAGAAAAGTAATACAGTAGCTTCAGAAATTAAGCTCTTAAGGAAACTTTACGTCACAGTAAATCTCAGATTTATAGTGCTTGGCAGTTGTTCTGCAACAGTAGTAGCCTTGGGGTTTCTGGCACTAGCTCAGTATTGACAGCAGCTGATGTGGTTTCTTTTCGCTCTTTTGACTCCTCTTTAATAAAAAGCATGCCCTATGGCTCATTGATTTTGCCCCCTCTGGGCTGGTAGCAACTTCTTGAGGAGTCAAGGAGTCAGACTTGGCATTAGGCCAAATAAATAGCACGGCCTGTTGGCTCCCAACAGCACATTACAATCAAAGCTGCATAAGGCACAGTAAAGCAGTCAGCTACTATATGAAACCAGACAGAAACAATGAATGTGCCCTTTTAGATAGAGGCCCAATTACTGTTCAATTTATATGGCATTAGTCTCTGAATGGTGTCACCTTTAAACTAACTCAAGAAGTACCGTCATATAAGCCTAGAAGATAGGATTTAGAAACTATATTACTCCAAATTAAACAATGAAAAAATCATGTACTTTTTGGAAACCTTAGGTAAACTGCTGTTTGTCTGAGCAGAGACTACTGAAGTAATAGAGAGCCTCATTTATGTATAGGATGAGAGAGACATACATAATGGCTTCCTAACACAATGCTTTTCTAACTGCAACTGGGGAGAAACCAGGGCTTTTCTTTCAGAAGCCAGAAATCTTAATACAGAATGGCAAAAATATTTATGTAAGAATAAGTAGGCTACATCCACATAAACATTTTGAAATAAATACAGATAAATGCAGAGTGGGGATGTGGGTCAAGTGATGATCTTTGGTGAACACTCTGAATTAGATGCTTCAAAGCTTTACATTTTATCCTAATCATGTTGACCAAAACAGGATCAAAATAACATTACAAAAAACCCTATGCCAAATGCCAATTTTATATATATATATATGAATTTAGTCTCCTGAAAACATGCTATGCTATATTGGGAGTAATTTCCAAATTTGGTATTTCCCTCTTTCCTGCCAGATAACAGAGAGAGCATCTTGCATTAGTACATAGTACATGCATTTATATACCAGAACATTATTCCCAAAGCAGATGACACCATATGGTCATGTGGATAAAAGTGGATTTTCTTTTCTCTTTGGGGGATTTATATTATTTTGCATTGCTTGCAATGAATGGATAGGGCCACTTACTTTAATCCATTTCCATAGACAAAGTGTTGCTCTACTAGAACATAAATATTTAACTACTATACCACATATACCAATTTTTCAGTTGGATGACTGTAAACTAATGGTGTTAACTGATTATCATGATTGATTTTAGGAATTAAAAAAATTATAAAATAATGAATTATAAAATAAAAAATATAAAATAGTAATCAAAAGTGAACTCTAAATTAATATTGACCAACAATATTTATATGTATATACCTCATTATTAATGTCAAAGACTCCTTCTTGAATTTTTTCATAAATTTCTTTTGCTGTATTAATAAATGCCTGAAATATAGAGAAATTGGTTCATATTATATAAAACCAAAGCAGTAAAATAACATTATATATGCTCTATAGAATATCATAACATTCAACATATGAAAGTCAATCGACGTAATACATATTAATAAAGAACAAAGATATTAATAACATATTAATAAAGAACAATCGATGTAATACATTATATTAATAAACAAGCCCTCATGATCATCAATAGACATAGAAAAAGCATTTGACAAAATCCAACATTTCATGATAAAAACACTCAAGTCGAAATAGAAGGGAACTCCTCAACCTGATCTAAAGAATGGCATCTAAGAAAAACTACATCTAACATCATATTCGAAGATGAAGGCTGAAAGCCTTTCCCCTAAGATTAAGAACAAAGGATGTACGCACATGCTAATTAGCATTACAAACAGCATTATTCACAACAGCCAACAAGTGCAAACTACAGAAATGTTCAGTCAATAAAAAACAAAATTTGAGATATTCAATTAGTAGAATATTATTTGGCCATAAAAAGGAATGAAGTACTGATTCATGCTACAATGTGGATGAACCTTGAAAACACTGTGCTAAATGAAAGAAGGCAGACACAAAACGCCACAATACTACAACTCCATTTGTACGAAATGTCTAGAATAGGCAAATCCATGGAGACAGAAAGTAGATTACTGGTTGCCAGAAGCTAGATGGAAGAGAAAAAGGGGAGAGAATGCTAATGAGTATGAGGTTTCTTTTTGGGGTAACTAAAATGTTCTGGAATTAGATAGTGGTGATGGTTGTGTAACTTTGTGAATAGACTAAAAACCACTGAATTGTTTATTTATTTATTTTTGAGACAGGGGCTCACCCTGTCGCCTAGGATGGAGTGCAGCGGCGCAATCTCGGTTCACTGCAACCTCTGCCTCCCAGTTCAAGTGATCCTCTCACTTCAGCCTCCTGAGTAGCTGGGACTACAGGTGTGTGCTGCCACACCCAGCTAACGAATTGTATAGTTTAAAAGCATCAATTTTATGGTATGTGAATTATATCTCAAAAGAAAACATCATGACCATGAGAGGAAAAAAGAATATTGGAATATGAGAACAGCACACAGAGAAAAACACATTTCAATTATGTAAACTGCATAATCCTCCATGTAAAAACTAGCTTACTTCTGGATAATACAGTTCCACTCAGGGCCTTTTTTGCCATGATAATGTATTATTTAGTATATAGTTTAAGAAAGCAAAATCAAAGGACGCTTACGATAAAGAGAGAAAAGACGGCTCAACTTCTTTGCCATTAAATTGTCAAAATAAAAAACTACTGTTGAAATACTGTAGACCAAATGAAGCCTATAAATACCAAAATTTATACACAAGCATTCTCTATGTAAAATATTTAGAAATTATATATAAATATTACGAATGCTATAGAAGGCATATACAAACTCTGAATAGGTTCTAAACTATCAGATTTGACAGATCACAGATAACAGTACCAATCAATAAAGTCCTCTTCAATTAGCATTCTATAAAAATTCATAAAAGAAAGCTATACTCCATTACCACTGATACAGACCTAATTTAAAGTTTAAAAAGTAAACAGCATTCATGGAGAGGAACAAATCATACCTTTTATCTTTTCTACACTGGAAACATTTGACTGCTGAACTTGCCATCAGAGCTTTTGTTTCCTAATTAACAGGACTGATATGTTTTCACCTTTAAAGGCCTTACAGCTCCCCAGAGTAATCAATCTACTGCAGCTCAATTACTGCACCAAGCACACACCAGTCAGTGAAGGAGATCTGAACGTCTGCGGCAGGAGCACAGAGATATGAATATGCATAAACTCTAAGTGGCTGATCGAATCATCACAGAGGGTCATGAGAATTTGCAGCAAAATAATGAGAAGAATTAATCACTGCAGATTCACAAGGCACTTAGGACGCGAGTGCGCTTTTCATGTATGTGCTAGAGCTAAACTGAAGAGGGAACTGGCTTTCAGCCAAGTATGAATTGATTCACATTCTTCAAAATTGAGGTTATCCCTATAAATAAGGAAAAACTTAACTTTATTTCCAATAACATGTCAATTACTGTGATGGCTTTAGAAATCAAGCTACCTAATATTGAAGTCAACAGATACATAAATTCACAGGGCTGGAAGTGCTTCCAAGAGCATCCACATGTGCACATTTCACTAGAATGTTACATAGAACTACAAGGCCCCATAAGTGAGTTATAACTTCATACAAACAAGCACTTTTATACTACAAAAGTTATTATTAAATGTGTCAATTTGCATAAAAATTGCCTTTTTGCCCGTCTGGTAATAAATCACTTTAAAAACAGGCTTAAGAAAGTGATGCTACATAAAATTAAGTAAGTCACTACTAATTTTATTACCTAAATAGTACTGAATACTTTATTAAGCACTTTTAAACATAGTTGTACCAGATGAATTAAGGATGTACATACAGTATTTTTTTATCTGAAAGGCATGCAATTAACTCCATTACAACTGAAATATAACAAATAATCTTTGGATAATGCTACATTACTTGGTCGTTCAATCTCTGATTACACATTACAGACAATAAAATCAAGTATTTTCTACCCCCTGAGCATATTATAGAGGATACAATACAAACGGGTTGTTTTACATACTTCATGACAAACATTAATATTTAATATATATTACTAAGTGATTAATGACTAATTTTAATGAGTCCTTTGCGTTTGAAACCCAGCATGACAAATGTAGACATTAATATACTTGTTTTAAAAGTATGTGGCTATTTGCAATAACACTAGGCTTTGCACACACACACAAACAATAAAATATGTGGCCATGGACTTTGAAATTGCTGAGTTCCTAAATATAATGAACATTAACCAAATACTAGTAAGGCTTATGAGAGGTCAAATAAAAGTTCTAAGGTAAGAGCCTTGGGTGTCACAGATAAAATCTCCTCCACTTAAGATGCAAAACATTTCCAAAAAGATGAGAAATATGTATGTATATAACACATTGGCTGGGATTTTAAAAAATTGATCATTTCACTCTATTCATTAAATATCAATCCCATATATAAACTTTTTAAGGTATAGATGTTTCTAATCCATCTTTAGACCACTGCATTCCATATATATATAATGTACAAAAATACATTTTAAGTATTGGTTGGTAAATATCTCAAGGCAGTACTAATGTTCTTCACAGAATTAGTTTAATTTGAATGGTTAAGCTATTCTCTTAAAAATACCTTATCTATAGATGTTAAACATATTGTAGTTTTGAATCTCTAGCACAATACCTAAAATAGCATAGGTACTTAAACCGCCTTTGTTAAACTCAATTACCCTTAGCAAGGAAATACCTACAGGGTAAGGTGGGCTTACATGAAATTGCTGGTTTCTTTTTGCTTATGTACATCTCTTTAGGGGCAAGCTCTTTTAAGACTTCATTAAGGGACAAGCAGTAGGCAAAACTAATAGGTTTTAGAATAGGAAAAAATATTTGTTAACAAACTGATGTCAAATGATTTCATTTGTTTCAATGATTTCACTGTTTGCACCATGAAACAAGCAATGTCTAGGCAGATCCACGATTATGAAGTATAAACAGATTTCTCTGCAGCCAACTGAATTTGGTGGTCCTCCTGCTTCCCCATGTGGCCGGTGCTCTGTTGCAGTAAAAGAAGCCTGCCTCTCTCATTTTACCACTAGCCTTTCCTTTCCCCCAGACTTTAACTGCCACATTCAGTCCTTTACCTTCCTTTTCTTCCTTAGCCATTCATTCTCTTGCTTTCCACCTCAAACACTAATCTTTCAGTGTTTGGCAGCAGTTAATCTGAATGATACTGATAATACCTAAACTTAAGGCAAAATTTCAGGGACTTCGATTGCACAGTTGAAACAACCGTAACCACAAAAGACTATAAATATGTTCTAATTCAAATAAACATTCAGTAAATACACACGCTAATGTGGATCTTACATATCACTGACATTTACCCAAGGGCACCTGTTAAAACTATTGTCACTGGCCAGGCTCGCACCTGTAATCCCAGCACTCTGAAAGAGGCGTAGGCAGGAAGACTGCTTGAGGTCAGGAGTTTGAGACCAGCCTGGGCAATGTAGTAAGACCCCTGTCTCTATTAAGAAAAAAATCGTTGCCACATATTCAGAACTTCTGTAGGTACCATGGAAGACACAAAGATGAGGAGGACTATTGTTGCTGAACAATAGGAACTATTTAGGTAGGAATAAAATCATTTAGTTGGCAGAATCTAAGCCCAATGGCTCAAATCTCCATAAAGATGGAAGAAAAAAACTTTCTGCACTAACCGATAGAAGAATGCAGGGCTGGATTAAGGCAGGTCTCACGGATATTGTGCTAACAGGGTCTTTAAAATAGACTGGAGAGAATGCAGGCAAAGGGAAACATGAGATACTATTTTATTTTTTATTATGGTTGGGCAGTTTTTAAGGCAAAATATTGAAAATAAATGATCTTCAATAGAATATTTAAATTACTTCCTTACATAACATGCTGCCACCTGGTGGCATGATAAAAATTAGGTAAGACCAGTATTTTGGACAGTTTAAATATCTTGAACAGATGCTACAGAGCAGGGTATCTTGTAAACAAGCGACTTTTAGTTTTCTCTTAGAACTGAGAAATATGAGGTAGCTAAAATGTGGCTTTTCTTCTCAACTGCTAAAAGTCAATGCTATGAACATTACAGTTATCCATTTGCCTAAGTTAATAATAATCAATATATACTAAGTATTTACTATGGGACAGTCACTATACTGATTTACAAAGGTTTTCACTATTTCTTAAAAGAAATTCTAAGTATGTAAACAAATAAGAAAATTAATGTTAACTTTATTTTGCTTTCAAGAAAATCTGTATTTGTGGGATGAAGTTAGACCTTTAAAATGAACAGAATTACTGAGGGCTCTAGAACCAGGCTCTCCAGGATCAAACCCCAGTACCACTTCTTACCAGCTGTGTTGCTCTGGAACCAGTGCTTAGCCTCTCTGTAAAATGAGGATGATAACGTGGGAAATATGTGCTTTTTTAATGTTCAATTATAACTGCAACATACAAAACAAATGAAAATTCCTTTGACTTGTATTAAAGATAAATGATCCTAATAAAGGAAAGATAAATGTAGCCCACTTCATAGGATTGCTAGGAAGGTTAATGTAAAGCACTGAAAACCGTGCTTGACATGTAGTAAGCACCCAATAGGTGTGTCAGCTGTTGGCATGAACGTCTGGATGCAAAGACACATGGGGAACAACAGGAGAAGGGAGTACTGGTGCTAAATGTGTATGTGCCCTGCAGACACTCCAAAGTCAAGGAGAGAAATGGTGATCAATGCTCTATAGTCAATTCATATATCTTGATTAAATAGAGCTAAACCTTAAAAAAGTGAATTGGCAACATATAATGTGCACAATGAGCCCCCCAAAATAAAATATATTTAATAAGACTTAGATATTGGGCAAAGATAGGAGAGTCCTGTGAAAAGCACAGCAGACTAGAATTTCATATTAGGGAGTTTAAGAAACTTCTTCAAATTCTGTGATTCTATCTGATTTCGGGTCAGTGAAGAAAAACTCGTATATCATCCAATAGTGGCTTTTAAACTGTATTTCAAGGCAATTCTGCAGGGGCCACCTTTTGGAATGAGATGGAGTAGGGACAGCCCTGTGGAGGGAGAACCTCTGCCTCTTCCCCGCCTCTTTCTATAGCATCACCAGTTCCAAAGTAGAGCTGTTGTGGTGTTACTTCTCTCATACAGTTTCTCTGTGTTTCACTAGAAGGAAAAGGGCCATTGCTAAATCTACAATCTATAATTTTCTCATTTTGTAGATATGACTGAGCTGCAAAAGGAGAAACGACTTGCCCAAGACCACACATAATTACAGCAGACGCAGGATTAGAATCTAATAGTCTTCTCACTACATATATCTTTCCTTTATTAGGATCAGCTATCTTTAATACAAGTCAAAGGAATTTTCATTTGTTTTATGTTGCAGTTAAAAATGAACATAAAAAGCATATACTTCCTACATCCTTTAAAACCCTTTTAGCTAGAAATTATATTGGATTTCTAGGATTATTTTTGGAAGTATATAAAATTTGTATTATTTACATCTTTTGTCTCTTTCCTACCCTTTACAAAAATTAGTATCACCAGTATCAATGCTAATTAAAGGAAAGTAGGGAGCCTAAACACATCTTAATTTTAGCAGGAAACTGAAGAGGGGAAGAAACTAGAACTATTTGATTAGAAAGGTTTGGGGAATATGGCATTTAAGAATTTCCTGTTCCTAGAAAACCAAACACTGCATATTCTCACTCATAAGTGGGAGTTGAACAATAAGAACACATGGACACAGGGAGGGGAACATCACACACTGGGACCTGTAGGGAGGTTGGGGAAAAGGGGAGGGAGAGCATTAGGACAAATACCTAATGCATGTGGGGCTTAAAACCTAGATGACAGGTTGATAGGTGCAGCAAACCACTATGGCACATGTATACCTATGGAACAAACCTGTATGTTCAGCACATGTATCCCAGAACTTAAAAAAAAATAGTTGTTTATTTTAGGGTTTGTTGCTGCAGCATAACATAGCAACAGCTGCGCAATGCAGATTAATAATTGGTTTTCTATGTAAACTTAATAGTTTTAAAAATCATAAATATTGCAGCATTTTACTCTTCAGTACTGAGTATACTGAACCAATGACTGACGTTTTGTAATTCAAGTGGATTTAAACTTAGCTCATAAAGAAAAATTTTACTCCAAGTTATTCTTAGAATGCTTATTTATATTCAAAAGTAAATATTAAAATGTTTTCAATTAAAAAAAGAATTTCCTGTTCCTACTTTCTGTCAGAGGTAACACAAAAATGTTTAATTCCTTAGCAATTTAGTTCTTCCATTTAATAAGCATTTCCTGAGTGCTTGATTTGTACCAGGCACTGAGGACACTCAGATAAATATGAATACCTTACATCTCAAGGATGTGGTATATAGGATAGATATGCATCCAATATGCGAACATAGAAGAAAAACCTTCAGTTGCTTAGATGAATAAGGTAGCATGACCACTTCTGAGAGAGAAAAGCCCTGCAAGTGAAGGCCTGAAAGACAGGTAAGCTCCCACTCATATATTAGGAAAACTGAGGGGAAGAAGGGCATTCTGGACAGAGGAGCAGATTTTAAGTTCAATTCTGTTGGAAGCTGAGGACGGCCAGGAACGTGAGATAAAGTTAGAGATGTGGCCCTATAGGCAGAGGAACCCTGAAAAGGTAGGAAGCAGGGGAGGGACAAAATCAGAGGAGAGTTTAGAGAATGAATCACAAGGGGGCGATACTGGCCACAGGGAGACTGAGGAGTCCAGAGCAATGACCCAAGAAAGAAAGGTCAGATGGTGGCAACGAGAATGAATGGCAAAGCTCAAACCTAATATCTGTTGTGAAGAAATTAACAGGACTTTAAGTGACAGAGTAAAATGGTGATATGTTTATGGATGACTCCGCTTTTGGTTTAAGTGATGAGATAAAAGGGTATACCATGAATTGAGATAAATTAAAAAGGAAGAAAATCAGTTTTCAAGGAAGGAATGAAAAATTTCTTTTAGACACGTGGAATTCTAATACATCGTACAAGTGGGAAACTCTTGGTAGATGGCGATCTATATAATTGTGCACTTATATGGGAATATAAGCTACAGATAAATGTGAGTGTGTAAGTATATGACATGCATTTATTAGCATAATTTTCTTGGGTAATGTTTAGCCACCCTGGTTTAGAAGTACAGAAAATGGATGCAACTTTCAAAGTCAGAGTTTGGATCATCTATGAAGTTCCGGGGATGATGGCCAAATTAGAGGTGAAGAAGCTGATGCTAGTCAGCCAAGTCTACCAAAATGTGGAGGAGAGTGGTAAATATTTATTAAACTAAGCTATCCTCAAGGGATACTGGAAAACTGCTGAGGAAGGCCAGGTCAGATTTCCACTGAAGTCTTGTGGTATGCATCCATGGGCTTAACACTCAGAATAGATTTAAGGGGGAAACAAAGCCTTCAGTTTACAACCTCATTACAGCTACATAAAAATACTCATTCCACCAGTTACAACAAAGCCCAAGACAAGATGGTCCCTCAATGCAAATAAAGTCTACAGACTTTCAAGTACTGAGACAGAATGCAGGTATTAGCAAGGGGACTTGAAACTGGTAGTCTTCCTAGTTACTAATGTCTTAGTAAGTCATGTGTTCTCTCTGGACATAGAAATTCATCTATCCTGTCAGTTTAGGTGGCTTGGTGGGTTACTGCAATCTGTCTTAGGGTTAGCTGGTTGTATTTTCAGCTATAGTCTTGGTGGTATCTAGTACTTCAGTAGCATAAATACTTCAGCAGCATAAGCATAAGGCTTCTGGGAAGGGTGGGGGTTTACCTAGCCTGCCATTATGACATGAACATCTCTCCACCTAAAAAGGCCTTTTCAAACCACAAAGATTCCAGGCAGCTACTGAAGGAAGAAGCACCTGATGAGAGGCCAATTTGCTTGTCTGGATTTTTTTTTTTTTTTTTTTTTTTTGAGACACAGGGTCTCCCTTTGTTGCCCCGGCTGGAGTGCAGTGGCATGATCTCAGCTCACTGAAGCCTTGCCCTCCTGAGCTCAAGTGATCCTCCTACCTCATAGCTGGGAGTACAGCAGGCGTGTCCCACCATGCCTGGCTAATTTTTTATTTTTTTGTAGAGATGAGGTTTTGCCATGCGGGCCAGGCTGGTCTCAAACTCCTGGCCTCAAGTGATCTGCCCACCTTGGCCTCCCTAAGTGTTGGGAGTATAGGTGTGAGCTACCATACCCAGCCTCACCTGGATTTTCTAAAATCTCATGTTTTAAAATGCTTGGGCAAAGATAAGGTTTAGGACAGAATTCTACCTACATGTAACAAATGGGACCAAAGCATAACCAGAATGAAAGACTGAAGGAAGAAGAACATGGTTGAAGCAAATACATACTTACTCATCCAAACTTTTGTTATCTACCATGTGGGGGTTGCAGAAATGAAAAGAGTCTGTGTCTTTAAAGAACTCAATCCTTTTGGTGGGCCGACATGACAAACAAGTGCAATGATATCATACTAAGGTGAATTCATGCCCAGGACAACACAGGAATAAGGAGAAGAAGAAGTCTATCAATTCAGATGTTGTGTGTGGTGGCTGGTGGCAGAAGGAAGACATGCTGGTGTCATGGAACACATTCCAGAGGAGGGATCAGACTTAACCATACCCTTGGAGGATCAAGTCGGAAGGAAGGGCATTTCAAGTGCAGAGAATACTTTTTTGTGGAGAAGGGGAGAGAACACTGTAAAGCTGATCGACTCCTAGTTTACTATGGAGAGCATATGGTGTGA
Organism: Homo sapiens; assembly: GCF_000001405.40. Lineage (NCBI taxonomy): Eukaryota > Metazoa > Chordata > Mammalia > Primates > Hominidae > Homo > Homo sapiens. The sequence continues at coordinate 60,609,137 of NC_000008.11, read as the reverse complement.
GGGGTTGGCAATCAAAGCATCCTGCATGCCAAGCTAAGGAGTTTGATGCTGAAGCTGTGGGGAACCACTGCATGGTTAATAAAACTGGAGAGAGACATTCAACCTTCATTTTTAGAAAGATCCCAGAGGTCACAGTGTAAGGGACTGAAAAATGAAGACAGGAAGTCCAATTAGGATACAATTATGACAGAAGACAATTTGGAGAGATATTTAATAGGCAGAAACAATAACAGGTGAAAAGTGATACGTATTAACTGAATAAATCAATGTCAAGGGGTAAGAGAAAGAACACTATAGAATAGAGGATCTGTAGACTAGAATAGAGAAGGGCTATCAGTTCAGCTGGATGTGTTAAATCGGAAGGGTGTGAAGATCACTCAGCACAACTGTCTAGGCAGCAGCTGTCAGGGTGGAGCTGAACATACAGCCTAAAATGGTACCTGAAGTAACAGACTTAGGTGATATCTCAAAGTGGAACAAAGAACTGGTAAAAAAAATCTGGGGAAGGCCAGTGAGGTGGGGTGGGGGTAAAGGAAGAGGGAGGGAGGGAGGGAGAGGAGGAGAAGGAGAAGGAGAAGGAGAGAGAGGAGAGAGAGAAGGAGGAGAAGGAGAGGAAGAAGGAGAGGAAGAAGGAGAGGAAGAAGGAGAGGAAGAGGGAGAGGGAGCAGGACCGGGGGCGGGGAGACACAGAGAGAGAGAGAGAAAGAGAAAAAGAAAGAAAACGGTGTCATGGAGCTAAGAAAGAAGTTTACTGAAGAGTAGTCAAAAGTATCAAATATTCCCAAAGGACTGTTTAAGCTAAGAACAGAAAAGCAGAAAAAAAAAGGTATAATTCTTGCTTTTTGGGCGCCTATACAGTCATCATTACTGTTAACATTTTGGTGTATTTTCTTCTAGCCTTTACATATTATGCATGATATGTTTTTATTATTCTTTTACTTATTCTCTATTTTGCAAGCTTTCTTTCATGCAATTACTTTTTTATAATAAACTTTTTCTAAAAGTAAAAATAAATACCAAAACAAACAAACAAACAAAAACCCAGAAAAGTATTTGTTAGTTGTGGCTTTTAGGAAGACCAGGATGACCTTGGCCGTGGTGGAAGAAGTCAGACTATGAAGACAGGTGAGAAAAAGAACAAGGAAATGGAGACAGCTCTTAATAGAAGCCAGAAGGAAAAACATCCAGGAGAAATGGAGTGAAAGGATTTTATAAGATGGTTGAAACTTAATTACATGCTGGGAGCCAAGAATCAATAGAGAAGGAAAGGGTGAATATAATGAGATGGTTTGAAGCAATAACATCTCTGAGGAAATGGGAGGAGACAGCACTCTGCCTGATTGTCCTGTGATAGAACAGACTGGACTCCTCTACAGCCTCTCTATCTCTTCAGAGTGTGACCCCTGGATCAGCAGTATCTACATTAGTTGAGGACTGGTTACAAATGCAAGCTCCCAGGCCACACCACAGATCTACTGAATCAGAATCTGCATTTTAACAGAATTCTTAAGTGTACATTAGTATTTGGGAAGCTCTGGTCAAAAAGACAACTGACTTAGGTAGGCTGGGCATGGTGGCTCATGACATAATCCCAGCACTTCGGGAGGCCGAGGTGGGAGAACTGCTTGAGCCGAAGAGTTTGAGACAAGCCTCGGCAACATAAGAGAGACACTGTCTCTACAAAAACCTTTTTTTTTTTTTTTTTTTTTGAGATGGAGTCTCGCTCTGTCGCCCAGGCTGGAGTGCAGTGGCGCGATCTCGGCTCACTGCAAGCTCCACCTCCCGGGTTCATGCCATTCTCCTGCCTCAGCCTCCTGAGTAACTGGCACTACAGGTGCCTGCCACCACGCCCGGCTAATTTTTTGTATTTTTAGTAGAGACAGGGTTTCACCATGTTAGCCAGGATGGTCTCGATCTCCTGACCTTGTGATCTGCCCGCCTCGGCCTCCCAAAGTGCTGGGATTACAGGTGTGAGCCACTGTGCCCGGCCCAAAAAAATCTTAAAAAAAAAAAAAAAAAAGACAATTGACCCGAAAAAAAGAAAAGTCTTATGAGGCATTCTTAGTTTAGCTTAAAAAAGAAAAAGCAGTCTCCATGCACCCACCACAACATATAATAGTGACCATGAAATAAGAGAGTAAGCAAAATAACACAGACATCAGTCCATGGTATGTTAAGAGATGTTACGCATCCCCCGCCAATTCCAATTTTAGGCATTTCAGAGACTTTCCAGGAGCCCAACCCATCACAGGCCTGGAGGCCCTAAGAGGGAAGAACAGTTTTGTAGGTCAGGCCACGGCCCCACCACCTGTGTTGCCTCAGGACACTGCTTGTGTATCTCAGCCACTCCAGCTCTAGCTGCAGCTCAAAAAGGCCCAGGTATAGCTTGGGCAACTGTTAGAAAAATTTGTCGACTTTTACTTAATCCAGATTTTCCAAGTATTACTTGTGTATACAATAAATATCTATGTGGTTGTATATTAGTGTTATTAATGTAGTATATGATAGTACTCTCTCTCTCTATGATCCTGTCTTGAGAAATTCTTCCCGCTAAGTAACACCTAGTTTAGGAAGACTAGGGCATTTTATTCTTATGCTCTTTGGAAATAAACTTCAAAGTGTTGTCTTGGGTGCCATTTTAAATTTAAGATCCTAGTTCAAGATAGGCAGCATAAATTCAGGTAAGAGCAAAACAGTTGGAATATCAGAGGTATAGTTAAAGGATCTGGGTACCAATATCATCTGGACAGATACTAAAATATTTAAGAGTATTCACTGTAGGATTCACAGGTCAGAGACAGCTCCAAAAATAAAAGTGGTGTCACTTCCTAACAGTACTTCCTAGTCTTTACTCCCTCCTTGCTCAGGGTATCACTGAAATGAAGCATTTTATATACATGTATTAGTCCCTTTTGCCTATGAGTCTTTACTCCCTCCCAGCTCAGGGTGTCACTGAAATGAAGCATTTTTGTTTGTTTGTTTGTTTTCTAAGACGGAGTCTCACTCTGTCACCCAGGCTGGAGTGCAGTGGTGCAATTTGAGCTCACTGCAACTTCCGCCTCCCTGATTCAAGTAATTCTCCTGTCTCAGCCTCCTGAGTAGCTGGGACTACAGGCGCAAGCCACCACGCCCGGCTAATTTTTGTATTTTTAGTACAGATGAGGTTTCACCATATTGGTCAAGCTGGTCTCGAACTCCTGACCTCAGGTGATCTGCCCGTCTTGGCCTCCCAAAGTGCTGGGATTATAGGCGTGAGCCACCACCCCCAGCTTGAAATGAAGCATTATATATATATATGTATATATGTATTAGTCCCTTTTGCCTATGAGCCTGTAAAATAAATAGTTAGCTACTTTCAAGATACAATGGGGACACAGGCATTGGGTAAATACTCCCATTCCAAAAACGAAAAATTGGCCAAAAGAAAGGGGCTATAGGTGCCATACAAGTTCAAAACCCAGCAGGGCAGTCATCAAATCTTAAAGCTCCAAAATAATCTTTTGACTCCATGTCCCACGTCCAGGGCACAGGGGTGTGATGGGTGTGCTCCCAAGGCCTTGGGCAGCTCCACCACTGTGGCTTTGCAGGGTTCAGACCCCACCACTGCTCTCACTGGCTGGCACTGAGTGCCTGTGGCTTTTCCAAGTGATGGGTGCAAACTGTTGGTGTATCTACCATTCTGGGGTCTGGAGGACGTGGTCATCTTCTCACAGCTGCACTAGGTGGTGCCCCAGTGGGGACTCTATGTGGAGCACCAAGCCTACATTTTCCCTCTGCACTGCCCTAGAAGAGGTGCTCTGTGAGGGCTCCACCCCTGCAGTAGGCTTCTGCCTGAACATCCAAAGTTTTCCATACATTCTCTGAAATCTAGGCAGAGGTTTCCAAGCCTCAACTCTTGGACTCTGTGCACCCACAGGCTTACCACCACATGGAAGCTACCAAGGCTTGTGGCTAGCACCCTCTGAAACAGTGTCCCGAGCTCTTCCTGGGCCCCTTTGAGCTACAGCTGGAACTAAAGTGGCTGGGATGCAGGGAGTAGTGTCCTGAGGCTGTGCAGGGTGGTGGGGCCCTGACCCTGGCCCTGACCTACAAAACCATTCTTCCTTCCTAGGCCTCTGAGCCTGTGAGGGAGGGGCTCCTGTGAAGTCTCTGAAATGCCTTCCAGGCCTTCTCCCCATTGTCATGGCTATTAGCATTTGGTTCCTTTTTACTTATGCAAATTTCTGCAGCCTGTCTGAATTCCTCTCCTGAAATGGACTTTTCTTTTCTACCACATGGCCAGGCTACAAATTTTTCACCTTTATGCTCTGCTTCCCATTTAAGTCTAAGTTCCAGTTTCAGGTCACTTCTCTGCTCACACATATGAGATAGGCTATTAGAGGCAACCAGGCCACATCTTCAATGCTTTGTCGCTTAGATAATTTTTCCGCCAGATATCTTAAATCATCACCATTCAAGTTCCAAGTTCCACAGGTCCCTAGGGCAGGGGCACAACGCAGCCAGCTTCCTTGCTAAAGCATAACAAAAGTGACCTTTGCTCCAGTCCCCAATAATTTTCTAATCTCCATCTGAGACCTCCTCAGCCTGGGTTTCATTGTCCACATCATTATCAGCATTTTGGTCACAATTCAAGCAGTCTCTAAGAAGTTCCAAATTTTTCCTCATCTTCTGAGCCCTCCACACTCTTCCAACCTCTGCTCATTACCCAGTTCCAAAGTTGTTTCCACATTTTGAGGTATCTTTATAACAAAGCCCCACTCCTCAGTACCAATTTTCTGTATCAGTCCTTTCTCCCGCTGTTATAAAGAAATACCTGAGACTGGGTAATTTATAAAGAAAAGAAGTTTAATTGTATCATGGTTCTGCAGGCTGTACAGGAAGCATGATAGTGGTATCTGCTCAGCTTCTGGGGAGGCCTCAGGAAACTTACAATCATGGCACAAGGCAAAGGGGGAGCGAGGCACTTCACGTGACCACAGCAGGAGAAAGAGAAAGAGGTGGGAGGTACTACATGCTTTTAAACAATCAGATCTCATTAGAACTATCACAAGAACTGCACCAAGCGGTATGGTGTTAAACCACTCATAAGAAACTGCTCCCGTGATCTAATCACCTCCCACCAGGCCCCACCTCCAACAATGGGGATTAGAATTCAATATGAGATTTGGGCAGGGACACAGATCCAAACCCTATCTGTCTGTCTATCAATCAAGCATCTATTTTCTTTCTTCTTTTCTTTTCTTTCTTCTCCTCCCTCTCCCTCTCTTTCTGTCTTTTTAAATAGAGACAGGGTCTTGCTATGTTGGCTAGGCTGGTCTTGAACTCCTGGCGTCAAGTAATCTTCCTGCTTCAGCCTCCCAAAATACCAGGATTACAGGCATAAGCTATGACATTTGCACTCATTTTTAATAATAATATCATAGCACCATCCCTCCTATTACTAAGTGAATAAAGGGGATTCATATATTATGCTGAGTGGGTGCTTCATTTCCTTGAGTTGAACTGTGTTTTATTATTCTAATTCAGTGTTTCTCAATCTCAATACTGCTGACATTTTGGACGAGATAATTCTGTGTTATGAGGAGATATCCTTTGCATTCATTTACCACGTTGCCTCTTTTCCCCCTCAACAGATCCTTCTTGGATGAAATCATAAAGCTGATTAATAGGAAATCTATAGACTAATAGTAAACTTATTTCCAGCAACAACACAGCTAGTGCTGGAACAAAGCTGTTGTTATCTTATGCTGTAAATTATCCAATCCCTTACAGGGAACTGTAACAGTTAAACTTCATGGTGTCCACTTGTATTACAGTAACTGGGTCTTGGTGAACATGTATAAATAGACTACAGCACAACATCAAAAGGAAACAGGTCCAATTCTAAACATCATCAATGTGCCATTTATATTTAATCTTAACAAATAATAATAGTCTAAAAAATCTTTTAAGAGGGTTCCCTGTGCATTAAAATTTCTCTACACATAGGTGCCAAGGATCAGCTGGGTTGTGAATAATTCTCAACAGATTATAAAAAACAGGATGATGACCTTCTCTGAAATGTCCCAACACCAACCACCACTGTCACTAGACAAGTGGGATGTGTCATTAGAATACCTGCCTTATTCTTAACCCATCACATGATCAGCTCTCATAGAAGAGAGTCCTCCAGAGAGCAAGCTGAGGATAGATCCTGTCTGAGCCCACGGTCAGTTTCTACCCACTGTGCTAAACCGCCTCTCCCATAGAGCTCTGCTTATTCTCCTAAGGAACAAAAGGATGGCATAGTTAGGCAAATCTGAGCCCTTGAAAAGCAAAAACATAAGGCATAGCACTTAGAACAAACTTCCCCATAATTACTGTAATTGCTGTTTCTTTCTAAGTCCAAGGGTCAACCTGATCAAGAATCAATGGGCCATGCATGCCTAACATTTACCTCCTTGGATCTAATTCTGCAGGATAATTCTTGCTTAAATCTCTGAGACAGTATATTGTAATTTGTCAGCAGCATAGTTTGGTCTTGGCTCTCCTGCCATAGGAACTGATGGTGAATGCCTATCAAAAGGCAGATACCAAATAAGTGCTGGTTTAGTTCTCCTCCTTCCTACTTCTCTAAGGAGGAAGAAACCCTTTTGTTAGTCTTCCTTGATCCCAAATAAACTAAATACTTGTTTTCCAATATTACTTGTTGAATGAAATAAAAGGGATGACATTAAGACTTTATATTAGATATTAAGGAATTGCTGTTAAGTTATATATGATAATGGTATTGTGTTATATTTTTTAAAATTACTTATATCGAAATATTTATAGGTAAAAATATTTCTGGCATTTGCTCAACAAATGGGATATAAGACTCAAAATGTCTACACGGTGGTAACTTCTAAAACTAGATGATGTCTATAAGGGTTTACTTTTTTAAGTGATAGTACCGATTAAGTTAATTTTTAAGAGCAGGCTGCCCAGGCACAGTGGCTTGAGCCTGTAATCCCAGCACGTTGGGAGGCTAAGGTGGGAGGATATCTTGAACCCAGGAGTCTGAGACCAGCCTGGGCAACATGGCAAGACTTTGCCTCTACAAAAAAAAAAAAATTAGCTGGGCATGGTGGCACACACCTGTCATTCCAGCTACTTGGGAGGCTTAAGCAGGAGGATCACTTGAGCCCAAGAGGTTGAGGCTACAGTTCAAACCACAGTACCCCAGCCTGGGTGACAGAGTGAGACCCTGTCTCAAAAAAACAAAATAAAATGAGGCTTAACACCAGCTCTATCAACTTCATTGTGAGCCTACCAAAATGCTTTGATATACATGATGTAGAAAAATAAGCTAATGAATAAAAGTGTATTGTCCTAAAAATGCCTTTTACTTAAAAATCTGTCATGTGGACATTGTGAATGAATGCGGTTTTTCTTCTAACCAGGACTTTCTTATTCCATATTAGTACAATTTCATCTTTAGCTGCTTCTGAGAAATGTAATTAAGAGAGTCTATGCATAATATGCTGGGCATGGCAGCTCATGCCTATAATCCCAGCACTTTGGGAGGCCACAGCAGGCGGATCATTTGAGCTTAGGAGTTTGAGACTAGCCTGGGCAACATAGTGAAACCTTGTTTCTACTAGAAGTACAAAAATTAGCCAGGCGTGGTGGCACATGCCTGTAGTCCCATCTACTCAGGAGGCTGAGGTGGGAGAAGTGCCTGAACCTGGGAGGTGAAGGTTGCAGCGAGTTGAGATTGTGCCAATGCATTCCCAACTGGGTGAGAGCGACACTCCATCTCAAAAAAAAAAAGAAAGAAAATAAAGTCTATGCATAATAAAAATCTCAACATTAATTATTATTTGCTAGGCATATGCTAAACATATATGGAGGGAACTATTTGTATAAAAGTTTGCCCTGTGCAGAAACGCAACATACAGAGCAAAAATCTAGTAATTTGAAAATCTGTATTCTTCAAGAATTCATAAAATACCAACAAGCTTCTATAGCCATATTCCATATTCTAACATTAGTATTTTATTGTGGTTAGGAGGCTTCTTCCTGATGAATTCTCATTTTTAAAACTGTCATCATGGTGTTAAAGGACTCAATCAGTTTAAGTTGGATGTACACAGTTATTTTTTGATTAAACTTTTTGTTTTAAGATAATTACAGATTCACATGCAGGTGTAAGAAATAATACAGAAGAATCCCGTGTAACATTTATGTAGTTTCCCCCCAGTAGTGACTTCATACAAAACTACATTATTAGTACATTGTTACAAAAATTTTTATCATTTCAAGAAAGTTACACAGATGGGATAATACAGGATCAACCTTTTGAGAATGGCTTGATTCACTAAGCATAGTTCTCTCCAGATTTATCCAGATTGCTGTATAGTATCTGTAGTTTCCCCCTTCTTATTGTTGAGTAGTATTCCATGGTATAGATGGACCACACTGTAACCATGCAGCCACTAAAGTGTCCTTCAACCCAATGTCTCTAGCCTGTTTCCAGTTTTTGGCCATTCTGAATAAAACTACTATGAACATCTGTGTATAGGTTTTTGAGTCAACCTAACTCTTCATTTATCTGGGATAAATGTCCAGGGGTGCAACAGCTAGGATGTATGGTAGCTGCATGTTTAGTGTTTAAAGAAACTGCCATTTTTCCAGAGTGGCTGTGTTATTTTACATTCCCACATGCAACGTAAGAGTGATCTGGTTTCTCCACATTCTCTTCAGCATTTGGTGTTCTCAGTATTTTTCATCTTAGCCTTTCTGACATTCTGACAGGTATGTAGTGACAGCTCATTGGGTGTTTTTCTTTCTTTTTTGAGACAGGGTCTGTGTTGCCCAGTCCAGTCTCAAATTCCTGGGCACAAGTGATCCTCCTGCTGCCTCAGCCTCCCCAGTAGCAGCTTACACCAACCAGGCCTGGCTTACTGAAGTTTTAATTTCTACTTCCCTAATGGCTACTGATGTCAAAGATCTTTTTTAGTGCTTATTTGCCATTTGTAGATCCTCTTCAATGAAATATCTGCTCATATCTCTCTTGCCCATTTTGTAATTGCATTGTTTTTTTTTTTTTTACTACCGAGTAAAATTACTCAACACTTTTGAGAATTTTTATTTCTAGCCACTAGTCTTTTGTTGGATACCTGGTATGTAAATATTTTCTCCCACTCTGAAGATGTGTCTTTTCATCTACTTAAACAGTCTTTCACAAGGCTAAAGTTTTTGAAAGCTAATTTATCACTTTTTCCTTTTATGAATCATCCTTTTGGTGACACATACGCTAAGGCTCAGATACTGAAATTTTTCTTTTTCTTTTTTTTTCCCCTAAAAGATAAATATGTTCATATTTTACATTTAACTCCAGGATTTTGTGTTAGTTTTTTTAAGGTGTGAGACTTAGGAGGAAGTTCATTTATTTTGGATTTCTAACTGCTAGAGTTCCATTTGTTGAAAAGGCTATCTTCTTCCATTTAACTACTTTTGCACCTTTGTTAAAAATTAGTTGTGCATATTTGTACGCGTGTTTCCAGGTTACTTATTCTGTTCCATTGATCTATGTGTCTATCCCTTTACCAGTATCACGCAGTCCTGATGACTGGCTAAGCAAAACTTGAAATCAATGGGTGGATTCATCCCATTGTATTCTCCTTTGCTAAGCTGTGTCAGCTACTTTAGTTCTTCTGCCTTTCCATATATATTTTATAATAATATTGTCTATATCTACAAAACATTGTACTGGAAGTTTGATATGAATTGTGTTAAACATTTATATCAATTTGTGAATAAGTGACATTTTACAAGGTTGAATATTCCAAACAGTAGGCATAGTATGCCTCTCTATTTATTTAGATTTTCTTTTACTTCTTTCACCACTGTAAGTAGTTTTGTAGTTTTCAGAATACATGGCCTGCACATGCTGTTTTTAGATTCACCCCTAAGTATTTCATTTTATTTTTTGTGTGCTTAAAAATGATATATTTTGAGTTTTGGTGTTCATGTTTTCATGGCTAAAACATAGAAATACGATTGATTTTTATGTCTACCTTGTATCCTGCAACCTTGCTGAACTCACTTTTTTTTGTTGCAAATCCCTTGAGATTTCCTACTGAGACAATTACATCATCCACAAATAGAACACTTTTTATTTCTTCCTTTCTTAGTTGTATGCCTTTTCTTTTTTTTTTTTTTTTTTTTTTTTTTTTTGCTTTACTGCACTGGCTAGAACTTCCATCAATATGTTGATTAATGTTGAGAAGAGACATTACTGCTTTGTTCCTAATCTAAGGAACAAGGCCTTCGACCTTTTGCCCTTAAGTATAACATTAGTTGTGGGTTTTTTTTTGGTGTGTGTTCACGTGCTCTTTAACAAGTTGAGGAAGTCCTCCTCAATTCCTATTTTTCTGAGAGTTTTTAAATATGTATGGGTGTTGAATTCTGTCAAATGGTTTTTCTGCATCAACTGCTATAATCACGTGGTTTCTCTTCTTTACCCTATTAAATGGTGGAGTACACTGATTTGTTTTTGAATACAGAGCAAGCCTTGCATCCCTGGAATAAACCCCATGTGGCCATGATGTATATATACTTTATAAACGTACACATACACAATTTCGTATATTGTTGAAATTCTATTTTCTGGTATTTTGTTGAGGAGTTTTGCTTATATATTTATAAAGGCTATTGGTTTGTACTTTTCCTTTTTTTGTATTGTCTTTGGTTTTAGTGTCAGAGTAAAATCAGTTTTATAAAATAAATAGGGAAGTGTTACATCTATTTTCTGCAAAAGATGGTCTAGAATTGGTGTTCATTCCTTTTTTAAACGTCTGGTAGAATTCCGCAGTGAAACCATTTGGACCTAGAGGTTTCGTTTTTGGGGAGTTTTAAAACTATGAATTCAATTTCCGTTGTAGTTTATAGGGCTATTCAATTTTTTTCTTTTTTGTGAGACGTAGTTTCACTCTTGTTGCCCAGGCTGGAGTGCAATGGTGCCTCTCGGCTCACTGCAACCTCTGCCTCCTGGGTTCAAGCGATTTTCCTGCCTTAGCCTCCCGAGTAGCCGGGATTACAGGCTCCTGCTACCACGCCCAGCTACTTTTTGTATTTTCAGTAGAGACAGGGTTTCACCATGTTGCCCAGGCTCAAATTAACTTTTTCATACTGGCTGGGTGTAGCAATTTGTGTTTTTGGATAAACTGGTCTATTAGTCATCTAAGTTGTCACATTTATGTGGGTAAAGCTATTCACAGCATTCCCTAATTACCTCTTTTATGTCTGGAGAATCTGTAGTGATAGCTTCTGTTTTGTTACTGATAATTGGTAACTTGCACCTTTTCTGTCAGTTTTGCTAGAGGTCTGCCAATTTTACTGAAGTTTTTAAAAAATCCAGCTCTTTGTTTCACTGATTTTTGTTTTCAACTTAATTAATCTCTGCTCTTATCTTTAATATTCCCTCCTTTCTATTTATTTTGGGTTTTTCTTTTTTATGGTTTATTTTGCTTTGGGTTCTTGAAGTAGGAGTTAAAATTATTTTGAGACTTCTTTTCTTTTGTTTTTTTAAATTATACTTTAAGTTCTGGGATACATGTGCAGATTTGTTACATAGGTATATACGTGCCATGGTGGTTTGCTGCACCCATCAATCCATCATCCACATTAGGTATTTCTCCTAATGCTATCCTTCCCCTAGGCCCCCACCCCCCAACAGGCCCTGGTGTGTGATGTTACCCGCCCTGTGTCCATGTGTTCTCATTATTCAACTCCCACTTATGAGTGAGAACATGCGGTGTTTGGTTTTCTATTTCTGTGTTAGTTTGCTGAGAATGATGGTTTCCAGCTTCACCCAAGTCCCCTGCAAAGGACATGAACTCATCCCTTTTTATGGCTGCATAGTATTCCATGGTGTATATGTGCCACATTTTCTTTATCCAGTCTATCACTGATGGGCATTTGGGTTGGTTCCAAGTCTTTGCTATTGTGAACAGTGCTGCAATAAACATACCTGTGCATGTATCTTTATAGAATGATTTATAATACTTTTGGTATATACTCAGTAATGGGATTGCAGGGTCAAATGGTAATTCTGGTTCTAGATCCTTGAGGAATTGCCACACTGTCTTCCACAATGGTTGAACTGAATTACCCTCCCGCCAACAATGTAAAAGTGTTCCTATTTCTCTACATCCTCTCCACCATCTGTTGTTTCCTCACTTTTATTTTTTTTGAGACAGAGTCTCACTCTGTCGCCGAGGCTGGAGTGCAATGGTGTGATCTTGGCTCACTGCAAGCTCCGCCTCCTGGGTTCATGCCATTCTCCTGCCTCAGCCTCCCAAGTAGCTGGGACTACAGGCGCCTGCCACCACGCCTGGCTAATTTTTTATATTTTTAATACAGATGGGGTTTCACCCTGTTAGCCAGGATGGTCTCATCTCCTGACCTTGTGATCCGCCCACCTCAGCCTCCCAAAGTGCTGGGATTACAGGCATGAGCCACCGCGCCCGGCCGTTTCCTCACTTTTTAATGATTGCCATTCTAACTGGCATGAGATGGTATCTCATTGTGGTTTTGATTTGCATTTCTCTAATGACCAGTAATAATGAGTTTTCATATGTTTGTTGGCCGCATAAATGTCTTCTTTTGAAAAGTGTCTGTTCATATCCTTCGCCCACTTTTTGATGGGGTTGTTTTTTTCTTGTAAATTTGTTTAAGTTCTTTGTAGATTCTGGATATTAGCCCTTTTGTCAGATGGATAGATTGCAAAATTTTTCTCCCATTCTGTAGGTTGCCTGTTCACTCTGATGATAGTTTCTTTTGGTGTGCAGAAGTTCTTCAGTTTAATTAGATCCCATTTGTCAATTTTGGCTTTTGTTACCATTGCTTTTGGTGTTTTAGTCATGAAGTCTTTGCCCATGCCTATGTCCTGAATGGTATTGTCTAGGTTTTCTTCCAGGGTTTTTATGGTTTTAGGTCTTATGTTTAAATCTCTAATCCATCTTGAGTTAATTTTTGTATAACGTATAAGGAAGAGACTTCTTCTTTTCTATTGTGTGCATTTAATGATATACATTTCCCTCTCGTAACACTGTTTTAGCTATTTTCCACAAATTGGTATGTTGTATTTTCATTCAGTTCAATGTGTTTTTTGTAATTCAAGACTTGCTCACTGACACACAGAAGCGTACTGTTTAGTTTCCAAGTATTTGTAGATTTTCCTATTTTCTGTTAAACTGATTTCTAGTTTAATTCCATTTTGTTTGGAGAATACATTCCGTATGATTTCAATACTTTAAAATCTATTGAGGTTTATTTTATGGCCCAGGACACGGTCTATCTTGGTATATATTCTGTGAGCACCTAAGGGATGCTGAAGTCTCCAACCGTAATTGTGAATTTCTCTATTTCTCCTCGCAGTCTATCAGTTTTTGCTTCACATATCTGGTACACGCATGTTTAGCACTGTCACATCTTTCTGGAGGGCTGATTCTTTTATCATTATATAATGTCCCACTCTGATAATTTTTTTCTGCCCTTAAGTTTATGTGATATTAATATAGCTACTCCTGTTTTCCTTTGATTAATATTTGTATAACTTTTCCTATCATTTTATTTTCAACCTAACTGTACTGTTGTATTTGGAGTGAGTTTCTTATAAATACCATATAGCTAAGTCATTGTTTTTAAAATTCTCTCTGCTAATCCCTTTTGATTTGTGTATTTTGACCACCAACATTTAGTTATTGATATATGAGGGCTTACATCTGACATTTTACTTTGTTTTCTATTTTCCTTCTCCTGCCTTCCTGTGGGCTAATCAAATCCCTTTATTCCCCATGGCTTATAATATTGTGGAATACACTGATAATCACATCAGACAGTGGTTACTTGTTTATACTTCAAACATCAAACATAATTTGCAAGACTTGAAGAAAAAAGTCTATCATATTTATCCATATTTTTGTTTCTTATGTTTTTTTCTTCCTTTATGGTGTTCTAAGATTCTTTCTTCAATCATTTCACTTCTATTAGAAAACTTCCTTTAGCCATTCTTTTATGCAAATCTGCTACTAATAAATTCTTGGTTTTTCCTTCTCTAAGAATGTCTTGATTGCACCTTCATTGCTAATTCTTTTTTTTCTTTGCTGGGTAAAGAATTCTGGGCTGATAGTTCTTTTCTTTCTGCTCTTGCAAAACACTGTGCTACGTATGTTTATTGTGGCAGTATTCACAATAGCAAAGACTTGGAACCAACCCAAATGTCCATCAATGGTAGACTGGATTAAGAAAATGTGGCACATATACACCATGGAATACTATGCAGCCATAAAAAAGTTGAGTTCATGTCCTTTGCAGAGACATGGATGAAGCTGGAAACCATAATTCTCAGCAAACTATCACAAGGACAGAAAACCAAACACCGCATGTTCTCACTCATAGGTGGGAACTGAACAATGAGAACACTTGGACACAGGGCAGGGAACATCACACACCGGGGCCTGTTGGGGGTTGAAGGGCTGGGGGAGGGATAGCATTAGGAGAAATACCCAATGTAAATGATTACTTGGTGGGTGCAGCAAACCAACATGGCACATATATACCTAGGTAACAAACCTGCTCGTTGTGCACATGTAACCTAGAACTTAAAGTATAATAAAAACAAACAAACAAACAAAAATCACTGTGCTATTTTCTCTGTCCTCCATGGTTTCTGATGAGAAATCTGCTATCATTAGAACTGTTTTTCCCCTATACGTAGGGTGCTATTTTTTGCTGCTTTCAAGATTTTTTTTTCTGTCTTTCACGTTCAGAAATTTGACCATACAGAGGTTCGTCATCATGTGGATTTGTCTGGGTTTAACCTCTTTGGGGCTGTCTTCAATCTGTAGGTTTATATACTTTTTGCCACATTTAAGAAGTTTTCAGCCATTATTTCTTTGAGTATTTTTCAGAGCCATTCCTTTTTCCTCTCCTTCTAGGACTTATGATGCATCATATAACGTCAGCTTTTGTTACAGTCCTATAAGTCCCTGAGGTAGTGTTCATTTGTTTCCTCAATTTTCTCTCTGCAGTTTAGACTAAGTAGTTACTATTGTTCTATCATCCAGTTCACTATTTCTTTCCTTTATCTCCATTCTGCTGTTGAGTCCATTCACTAAGTTTTTTTTTCTAGTGTACAAAGAGCTTTGAAAGAGTTTTAAAATTTCAATTATTGTATTTTTTTTTATTTTAAAATTCCTATTTGGTTCTTTTTTTTATCTTGCATTTCTTTTGCTCAGATTGTTTGTTTGCTAAGACTCTTCTGTTTCAAGCATGTTCCTTGTTTGTTGAGGCATTTTAATGATTGCTGCATTAAAATCTTTGTAAGATAATTCAAACACCACTGTCATTTCACTGTTGGCACCTATTATCTTTTTTTCATTCAATTTAAGATCTTCCTGGTTCTAGGTATGATGAATGATTTTCTATTGAAACATGGGTATTTTAGATACTATGTTATGAGACTCTGGGTCTTATTTAAACCACTGTTTAGTTGGCTTCCTCTCACTCCACTCCAACAAGGGAAATGGTGGTGGTAGGGTGCTACTTCATTACTGCCTGGGGATTGTGGAAGCAGAGCCACAATTTTTTCTGTGATGTTTGGCTACAGTAGAATGGTTACTTTCTAAGAGTGTTCTGGCTTGCGAACACTGTTCTGACCTGCCTATTTCCTGGTTCTCTGGCTAGAAGACTTTCTTTTTCTGTGCCTGTTGACCTTTCTAGGTTGCCTGTTTCTCTAGCACCCAGTCTCGGGTATGTGGCAAAAAGAAAACCAAGGGAAATCATCACTGTGTCATTCCTCTGGCACCAAGGTCTACTAAGGGAAGTGTGTAGTAGGTGCAGTAGTAGGCTATGCCATCTAGGCTTATGTAAGTACACTCTATGATGGTCACGTGACGATGAAATCACCTGGTGACATATTTCTCAGAATGTATCTCCTTTGTCAAGCAACACATGACTGTATAATATTTTACCTAAGAAAGAATTCTTCGGTGAAAATACCAATGCTGTAGAATTACTGTAGTCAATTTTTAGGTTCAAGGGTTAATCAGAAGAGCTCCAAGTATCATTCTTAATAAATATTTACTGACTGCTTACTACATTGAAGGCACATGCTAGCTGTTGCCCAGGACCCTGACCTCTGTTATCCTTACGGCAGTGATTCTTAACTCATTTGTTTTTTAGAACTACTTTCTGTAGTTGCTCTTATAAGCTGTTCTTATCTAGAAATCGGGAACTAAGTATTACTTTGGATAAACTACTACTTTTCTTAGCTTCATTACCTCTTTTTATAAAATAACAGTATAGTAATACATTTACCTTAGAAAGGATCAACTACGTAATCATCTATTTATAATATGTATATACATACTACCTCCAAACACAAACACATAGAGCATAAAAGAATACACTGTGTTCAGAAAAGTTCCAATAGTTCAGGTTCATCAATGGAAATAACTGAAATAATACAAATTTCATCAATAGATGAAACAGAATTCTCATGCTTTGTAAAATGTTACACAGCAATAATAGAATACTTTAAGCAGAAGTGGTGATGTGGTAATATATTGACAGTTAAAAAAATAAATAAAATTAAAAAAATAAGCAGAAGTGGATATAAATAGCTACAAACGTTCTGCTGTCTTGAAACATTTCCAAATTTCATTAGTGTGGTTCCTTGTTTCCCTCCCATGCAACACAAAAAAGATTTCCCTACCATGCAACACGAAGAAGTCCAATACCTTATATCTTTGAGTACAGTGGGTTCCCAGAGAAGCCATTTTGCTCAACATAATTTGAAAGAATAGGACTACACTATTCTCCTCCATTGGCCAGACTGACTTTCTATGAATGTGATTAAAATATAACTCTCAGAAACTATAGGAAATTGTTTAGAAAAAGGGAGGGAGTGAAAATACGTACAAAAATGTAAGAAAACATTCAGGCTTTAGAAGGCTCAATATGATTTAAGAGTCTGACAGAAGGTGAATGTTACAAGGGATTTCAAAGGGAAGAAACTTTCCTACTTTATGATGTTCAAAGACCATCCGACTAAAAACTTAAATAATAAGTAAAATGAAGATATATAAAACATTTCTATTAAGTATAAAGATGAAGATTTTAAAGGGCCTCTTATTTACCTCTTCTACATTGGAAGCAGTCTTAGCAGACGTTTCCATGAAGATGAGTCCATGTTCTCGTGCAAAAGCTTCACCTTCTTCTTTTTTTACTTCTCTTCTAGATTCTAAATCACTAAACATGGGAAAGAAAGGGTCACATTACTAATCAACATGGTACAAACAGAAGCATTTGTGGAAAGTGTACCATGGAATTCAAAGTTGTGATGACCATTCTTTTAATTAATTTTTAACATACTAACTGTATTATTCAGGGTATTATGAGGGTTAGTATTTAGAACACACTGTCTAGTTTCAAAGAACTAACAATCCAACAGAAGAAAGATTCTGTGTTAGAGCTTTAGAACGTTAGAACTAGCCGTAACTTAAGGGAGCCTCTAGTCTAATACCTTATATCTTTGAGTACAGTGCATTCCCAGAGAAGAAAGCCATTTTGCTTAACATAATTTGAAAGAGCAGGACTATACTATTCTCCTCCATTGGCCAGACTGACTGAGTTTCTATGAATGTGATTAAAATACAACTCTCAGAAACTACAGGAAATTGTTTAGAAAATCCAAAGTACTAAAGATACATTACATCATTGATCCCAGTTTGTTTAATTCCCAGTTTCCTCTTAAAGCAAAATTGATATAGACAGAGAGAGAGAGGGAGGGAGGGAGGGAGAAGGAGTAGAGAGAGACAGAAAAGGAGAAACGGAGTGAGAGAGAAAGTGTAAGCTAGAAATTTCCAATGAAAGCAGGGTATTCATTTTTATCATACTAGAATTTTATTAGTGGGGGGGAGGGGAGGTAGCAGTTGCTTTTAAAGCGTGTTTTATTTTTAAAGTTAAAAAACTTTATTATTATATTTATTACTTTTTATATATTATTTATTATTACATGTTTATACATGAAAAAAGATGTATAATATAATGTCCACATACTTCCAGCTAGCCTTGACATATTATTTGCCAGATTTCAGGTTTCTTTCCCTTTAAGAAATAAAATCAGCAACAGCAGAATCACCACCTGTGTGTCTCTGATCCCACTCTCCTCCCTCTTACCCTAAAGGTAACCACTACCTAAATTTGGTGTTTTCATTCTCATGCATGTTTTTGCATTTATCCTCATGTTTATAACCATAAATAGTATTTCTTTTTCATGTCTTTAAAAATTCAGATGTAGCTACTGTTTTACAACTTGTTAACTTTGGTCAACACTATGTTTTTCAAATTTATCCATATAATACATGCAGATCTAGTTTGTTTTTAAACTGGTGAATTACAGTCTACTGAATGAATGCAATACAACTTAAATTCTCTATAAGGCAAAGTTATTTATAATTTTTCATTATTACAAACAATGTTACAATAAGCATTATATATATATGTATTATATATATATAAAATACATATATTAAAATATATGTATTTTACATATATATATAAAATATATATATATATTTGTGTATACACGTGCCAAGGCTTTTCCAGGGCAGTTTTTTTTTTTTAATTTTTTCAGAGACAAAGTCTCACTATGTTGCTCACGCTGGTCTTGAACTCCAGGACTCAAGTGATCCTCCCACTTTGGCCTTCCCAATTGCTAGGACTACAGGACTGAGACACTGCGTTAAGCCTGGGTAGGATTTTTCAAACTGTGTCATGACTCAATGAATTGTAAAAATCACTCAGTAGGAAATAATCAGAATTTTTTTTTAAAAAAAGAAACAATAGGCCGGGTGCGGTGGCTCACACCTGTAATTACGGCACTTTGGGAGGCAAGGCGGGTGGATCACCTCAGGTTAGGAGTTCAAGACCAGCCTGGCCAACATGGTGAAACCCCGTCTCTACAAAAATACAAAAATTAGCTGGGTATGATGGTGGGTGCCTGTAATCCCAGCTACTCAGGAGACTGAGGCGGGAGAATTGCTTGAACCTGGGAGGCGGAGGTTGCAGTGAGCAGAGATCGCGCCACTGCACTCCAGCCTGGGCGACAGAGTGAGACTCCATCTTGGGAAGGGAAAAAAAAAAGAAACAATATAAAATATCAGAGTCTATCACCTATATACATAAGTTCCATCTACTGTTTCATGGAACTTACGTATAAAGGTATAATTTACGAATATTTTGTTATATGTGTAGGTGTATACACAATTTATTTACTAGGTCATGATGTAAAATACATTTCTTACTATAGGTCAAATCAAAAAACTCAAAAGCCATAGTACTTGACGATATACTTAGTGCAAAGTTTTAAAAATACCTCAGTTTTCCAGGCATTACATCATATTGTTGTCTTAGTTCACTCCCTCTGAATCCCACTTAAGTTGCTTAGGTTACTTAAGTATCTTTCTTTTAATTTATGGCCCCTTTTTGTTTAGGGTTTGCATTACAACCCTTACACTATTAAAAAACTTTCATTTTTTAAATCTCTGCTTCCTATTTCTTATATAACCAATTTATTAATAAAATGCCATAGTAAGAAAAATTTGTGTCATCTGTTGCTCTGACTAGGTCACTGCCCTTCACTGGCTCCCTACTGCTTAATGCGTCTAATTCAAAAATTGCTTATTCCCTGTTTTGATGTCTATCCACAGTTCAATTCATCTAAAAATAATCATCTCATTTATTTCTCTCTGTTCTTTCTTGTTCGTTATACTCCTGATTTTAAAGGTCACCCACCTACGATCATCAGAAACATCTCGTTTACATACTATGCTTTGTTTATTTCTTCTCACATTTGAACTATCAGCTCCTAGTGGTCGGTGACCAAATTTAAGCCACCAGTAAGCTGTCACTCATCATGTTTCAGCCACAAGGAAAAAATTGGTAAAATAAAAGGATAAAAATTCTCTTTATTTTCCAAGTATTCTCCTCTTATTATTTCATACCTTGAATGACAGAATAACTATTTCCATCATAGAAAGACTAAAACTTCCCTCCAATAGCTTTATAACCTTAAAAAGGTTTAGTGAGATGATTTAAATGTGGAAAAGAATACCCAAGAAAGGCCTTCAGAGAATATGATAATAGTTTCTTCTCTACACAAAGAAGTAAACAATGTTTAGCTTTTTATAATGTAAATATCACTTAGGTAATATTTTCTCTTAATAGCAAATCTCAATTTCTATTAAAACAACACTCTAAAATCTATACAGTATAACGATGTTTTACATTATAGCTTTTTTGAGGTGTAACAGACATAAAAGAAGTTGTACTTAAATGCAAAATTTGTTGAGTTTTAAGATATGTAAGCCCGTGAAGCCATCAGTCTCCCAAAAGTTTCCTCATACTCCATTGTAATCCATCCCTTCTTGCCCCTGCACCCTAGGCAGCTGATGATCTGCTTTCTGCCACTACAGATTAGTACACATTTACTAGGATTTTTATATAAATGTAATCACATGGTATTTTTGGTCTGAGTTTTTTCACTCTGTAATTATTTTGAGAATCATCCATTTTGCTGCATGTATCAATAGTTCATTCCTCTTTATAGCTGAGTTGTAGTCTGTTGTAATGCTGTATCACTATTTTTCGATTCATCTGTTAATTGATATTTGGGTTGTTTCCAGTTTGGGGCTATTAGAAATAAAGCTGGTATGAATATTTGTACATAATTCTGTGGACACATGAAGACATATTTATGTTGGGTAAACATCTGGGAGTAAAGTGGCTAGGAAATATAGATGTGTGCTTTATTTCTTTTTTTTGAGACAGGGTCTTGCTCTGTGGCCTAGGCTGGAATACAGTGGCATGATCATGGCTCACTGCAGCCTTGACCTCTCAGGCTTAAGTGATCCTACCACCTCAGCCTCTGGAGTAGCTGGGACTACAAGTATGTACCACCATGTTCAGCTACTTTTTTAAAAAATTTCTTATTTTTGTATAGAAGAAGTCTCCCTACATTGCCCAGGCTGGTCTCAAACTCCTAGGCTGAAGCAATCCTCCCGCCTCGGCCTTTTAATTTCTAAAGAAACTACCAAATTGTTTTCCAAAGTGATTGTATCATTTTACGTTCCCATCAGTAGTATATCTTCTGTAGTAATTGCTGGTTCAAATCTTTAGATCATTTTTAAAAAGTGGATGTCTTCTTATTAATGAATTATAAGCATTCTTCATATATTCTAGATATAAATCCTTTGTCA
Organism: Homo sapiens; assembly: GCF_000001405.40. Classification (NCBI taxonomy): domain Eukaryota; kingdom Metazoa; phylum Chordata; class Mammalia; order Primates; family Hominidae; genus Homo; species Homo sapiens. Next base: position 60,587,847 of record NC_000008.11, on the reverse strand, counting down.
GATACATTTTTCACAAATATTTTCTGCTAGTCTGTAGCTTGTCTTTTCATTTTTGTAACCGTTTTTCTTCAAATTTATTTATTTAAATTGATAGGTAAAATTGCATATATTTATCATGTACAACATATTGTTTTAAAGTATATATACACTGTGGAATGGTTAATCTAGCTAATTTGCATTATCTCACAGTTATCGTTTTTTGTGGTGAGAACACTTAACATCCACTCTTTCAGCATTTTTCCAGAATGCACTATATCATCATTAACCATGTCACGATGTTGTATAATAGTGTAACCGTCTTTTGAAGAACAAAAGTTTTAAATTCAGTTAAAGAACAATTTATTGATTTTTTTTCTGAACTATAAGTTCATGCTTTTCTCTGTCCCATTTAAGAAATGTTTGCCAAAACAGGGTCACTACAATTTGTTTTCTTTTAGAAATTTTAAGTAGTTTTAGCTCTCACACTTAGGTCTATGATCCACTTCCAGTTAATTTTTGTAAATGGTATAATGTAACAGTTGAGGTTCATATTTTTACATATGACTATTAACTGTTTCAGCACCATTTGATGAAAAAGATTACCCCTTCTTCAACTAAATTAGCATCTCTGTCAAAAAATTAATATATCATATATATATGAATCTACTTCTGGAACTTCTTATTCGGCTCTACTGATCTATGTCTGCTTATGCCAAACAATAGTAAATTGACTATAGTATAATAAATCTTAAAATTTGTAGAATAGTAAATTCTCTCCAATATTGTGCCTCTTTGTCAAAGTTGATTTGGCTATTCCGTGGCCTTTGCACATAAACTTTAAAGTCAGCTTGTCAATATCTACCCTCCCAAAAAAGTCTGCCAATGTTTGATAGTTTGATTAGGGTTACAATAAATCTTTTTTTTTTTTTTTTTTTCTTGGAGACAGAGTCTTGCTCTTTTGCCCAGGCTGGAGTGCAGGTGGCACAATCATAGCTCACTGCAACCTTGAGCTCCTGGATTCAAGTGATCCTCTCACCTCTGCTTCCTGAGTAAGTAGAGCTAAAGGCGTGTGCCAGCATGCCTAGCTAGTTTTTTTTAATTATTATTTTATTTTTTGTAGAGATAGGGTCTTGCTACATTCTCAGGCTGGTCTTGAACTCCTTGCCTCATGTGATGCTCCTGCCTTGGCCTCCCAAAGTGCTGGGATTACAGATGTGAGCCATTGTACCTGGCCTTCAATGAATTTTTAGATAAATTTGAGAAGACATCTTATATTTAGTTTTACAATCCATGAACATGGTTATATCTCTTCATTTATTTAGTCTGTTTACAATATTCTCTCTCTTTTTTTTATCTATAGTGATGTCAACCTTTCTTTCCTGATATTGCTAATGTTTGTCTTTTTCCTGATCAGTATCTATTTTATTTTATCTTCTGAAGAATTAGCTTTTGGTTTCATTGGTTTTCTCTCTCTCTTTTTTTTTTAACGGGCAGGAGGCTTTCCTTAACTTTGATTTGCTCTTATTCTAGTTTCTTAAGGCAAAAAAATTAGGCTATTTTCTTTTTTTTTTTGAGACAAGGTCTTGCTTTGTTGCTCAGGCTGGAGTACAGTGGCATGAACACAGTTCACTGCAGCCTCAACTGGGCTCAAGTGATTCTCCCACCTCAGCCTCCTGAGTAGCTGGAATCACAGGAATGCACCATCATGTCTAGCTAAATTTTAAAATTTGTTGTAGAGATGGAGTCTCCCTGTGTTGCCCGGGCTGATCTTGAACTCCTGGGATCAAGCAATCCTCCACCTGGGCCTCCCAAAGTGTTGGGATCACAGGTGTGAGCCACTGTACCTGGCCCTAGGCTGTTCATTTAAAAATTTTCTTGATAGTACTATTTTAACTGCATCTCACACATTTTCAAAGACTGCAGAGAGAGAAGTTAACTTGTGGGAATAAACGCAAATAATTCCTGTCCATGGAAATGCAGACTGTGTCCTGTGGAATACAATTAATACCCTGTGAATACTGTTCAGTTTTGCATCCATCTTGTAAATTCATTTCAGTTTCTTTATTTGATTATCAATGTATAGTAATTTGAGTTCCCTTTTGAACTGGCTGAAATATCTTACCAGTTTCCTTATCTTGTTAATTAATGAGATAAAAGTTTTGAGATGTCTTCATTATCATATAAGTCATGATTTTACCTATCTAAAAACAGCATCTCTTCAGAGTATTTTATTAATATAACCCTAAAGAATGAATGGGCCGGGTGTGGTGGCTTATGCCTATAATCCCAGTACTTTTGGAGGCCCAGGTGGGAGAATCACTTGAGGTTAGGAGCCTGAGACCAGCCTGGGCAACAAAGTGAGACCCTTTCTTTATAAGAAATAAAAAGATAAACTAGCTGTGGTTGTGCATGCCTACAGTCTCAGCCACTTTGGAGGCTGAGGCAGGAGGATTCCCTTGAGCCCGGGAGGCCAAGCTGCAGTGAGCTATGATCACACCACTGCACTCTAGCCTGGGTAACAGAGTGAGTCCCTGTCTCAAACAAAACAAAACAAAACAAAACAAAACAAAACAAAACAAAACAAAAAGAATGGTGCCTAGCATTTTGAAAATACTAATATTTTCTTACCACTGTAAGTTTCTACAAAAATTAGTGAAAACTTTCCCACACTCTTAGAAGTTTATGGAAACTGGTCAAGCAAGAAGGTTTTCCCATATAATAGCATTTTAAATTGACAGCACAAAGATGTTCAATCCAACTCCCCAAATAAATCAGTAGGCTTTACTTTACATCAGTAATCTGATAAAACTCCTTCAGATTACTTTTTAAAGTATTTCTTTACACAAAAACTATTTCTAATAATAACAGTAATAATTTCCAACAAAGCTTATTAACATCATTTTAAAAATCAAAAGAAACACCTTAGAATTTCCGAAATTTTATAATTTAAGAGGCTGGTAACTCACATTTGAACAAATGTTAAGGAAAGTAGTCAAATAAACAGTACAGTCTTCATCACTAATGCAATGTAAGCTCTAAATTAGCCTTTTTACCTTTTATTTCCAATAAGCATAATGACCATGTTGGAATTGGAATGCTGGCGGGCATCTTCTAACCAGGTTGTCAAGTGGTTGAATGTATCTCTCCTAAACATAAATAATAATTTAATTACTATGTTCAAAGCATTTCCCTCAGTATACAACGAACAATATACATATTTTTAAAGAGAACCACTTTTAGCCATATCCACTTATGTAACGAGAAGTAGTTTTAAGCACCATATCTGGGTTTAGAGTTCACTGATTGTATTTCAGTTTATAAATTAAATGTAATCACACTTTAGAAAATTCCAATGAATAAATAATATGGCCGATTTCAATTTGAAGGTGCTAATTCAAATAAGAAAAACAATTCAGTTGCAGGTTTCTGTAGTAAATTTAAATTGGACTCAAGATGCAGTTTTAAAGGTGAGTAGCCGGGGCAGAAAGGCTAAGCTATTCTTTCATTACTGTTAACCACATCTATTTAGAAAAATTCTCTGTATCAACTACTGAATTGCAAAGTTTTCAAGTTCTCACCGTGTAATATCGTAAACTAGTAAAGCTCCTGCTGCACCTCTGTAATACGACCTTGTGATGGAACGAAAGGATTCTTGCCCTGCCTGTAACGAAAAAAAAGGTTGGAGAGTTTCCTTTAATACAATGTCCTCTACATTTTCATATTATTCATATACAGAATAAGAGCAGGTAGGGAAGGAGTGCATAAAGAGAGACAAGAAAACTTAACTTCACCAGTCTTAGGAAAAAGTTACAAAACACCGCTATTGCTCAAGATTGCTCAAGTCAACGAGACGCACATGTAGTGCACATGTAGTCGCTCCTGCAACCTCCCCAGCCCGCAAGACCTCTAAACCCTTTTTGGCAATCCCTGACAACCCAATTTACTGAATGGCTTCACAATACACGAATCATTATTAAAGGACAGAATGGACTCCTAGCAACTAAGCTCTGAAGACAAATTTGAAAGGAAGCAAATAACCCAGAGCCTCACATTTGAATTCAATAACCCACTCCCTGGGGCAGCTGTTGACACTAGAATAAATAAAACCCATTGTAAATAAATGATGAATGACATCTTTACGCCCACCATCTGCTGGTGTAAAGGTTGTTGGAAGGCCAAGGATGCAGATTTTATCAGTTATATCATAAACTGCAGTGAGCTTTCAACAGTCATCAAATGGAATTCTTTGAGCAATCATTTTATTATGAAAAGCAAAATGGTTCTGAATTTAATTTATATAAGTTTTTTTCTCCACACTTAATCAATTTTCTCTGTATTTGATATATAATGCTTGTCAAAAGGCAACAGGATGTAAAAGTCATCTTTATATCCACTTGTGAAACAGACACAAGAGATTATGCAAAGCTAGGTAATTTCTCTTTTACTCATGGTACTAATTTCTGTTTTTTTAAGAATTGCTGGGGAGGAATGTGACTGTTCTGTCTGAGTTTAAAACCGAGACAGCTCTTATAAGAAGTTATTTTTCATTTTTAATCCCTTCTTTTCCTACTTTTGCAAAAACATAAGCATTTTAATTAAGTAAACGTAAAGCCAATTTTAACGATTTTTATATTCAAAATCCCCTAACTTGAAAAATATTGATGTTTACACATTCTGAGTTCTGATCTTGCAATGTAAATATTTAGCCCTTCCCACCCTCAGAATGCGCATGGACGGCTCATATTCTACCCTGTTTAACACTCAACACTCTACAATACCTTGCTCTTGTTGACCCTTCCTCTATACTCCCTCCCTCCCCCATCCCCCACCCCCTGCATGTGACTAAGTGTGTGCTAGGCACTGGGTCCGGCATATAGCAGGCATTCAGAGAAAGCCTGTTGAGTGAAAAAGTGGAAAAATAGGCTGGGCATGGTGGCTCACGCATGCAATCCCAGCACTTTGGGAGGCCATGACTGGTGGATCGCTTGAGCCTGGGAGTTTTTAACCCATTTATGCCTAGTGTTCCATTATTGGAATGCTAAGCTTGTGGGAGTTATTTATATCCTACTGCTCAAGGTCACTGCCAAGGTCTGATTTTTCACACAAAAAATTTGCAACTTCCTGCATAAATGGGTTAAGACCAGCCTGGGCAACATGGCAAAACCCCGTCTCTACCAAAAATATAAAAATTAGCCAAGTGTGGTGGCACGCCCCCAGCTACTTGGGAGGCTGAGGTAGGAGGATCATCTGAGCCCAGGTGAGGAGGCTGCAGGGAGATGTAATTGCACCACTGTACTTCAGTCTTGCTAACAGAGCAACACCTTGTCTCCAAAAACAAAAACAAAAAAACAACAAAAAAGTGAAACAAGAAATCCTAATGTCTTAGTTATATGCGTAAAATAATCAGTACTCCATCCCACATAGCTGAGTGGACATCTGTAAATCCTAACGTGCTGAGATTCAATGAAAATAACTTCTCCTATGTGGAAAATAACAATTAGACCCTCTCTTGGGTAGGCAATTTTGGCAGTTAGAATAATGTCATGCTAAATTAGACAGTGAGAAAGCCATCACACAAAAGGGCTATAAAAATAGCCAAATCATTTTACATAGCTTAGGTTAAACTGAAGACAGCCGGGTATAATGGCTCATGCCACTTTGGGAGGCTGAGGCAGGAGTATTGCTTGAGGCCAGGAGTTCAAAACCAGCCTGGCTAACATGGCGAGACCCCATCTCTACAAAAAAAATTTTAAAAATTAGCTGGGTGTTGTGGCTTACCCGTGCAGTCCTAGCTACTTGGGAGGCTGAAGCAGGAGGATCACTTGAGCCCAGGAGTTCAAGGCTACAGTGAGCTACAATCACACCACTGCACTCCAGCCTGGGCAACAGATGAGGCCCTGTGTCTTTAAAAAAAAAAAAAAAGAAAGAAAAACAACAACAACAAAAAACAACAAAAAACTAGAAGATACCTTGTTTTTATTTTAAATTGATTGTTTTTTAAAATTTATTATTTTTTATTTTTTTATAGAGACCAGGTTTCACCATGTTGCCCAGGGTGGTCTCAAACTACTGAGCTTTAAGCAATCAACCTGTCTCGGTCTCGTAAAAGTGCTGGGGTTACAGGTGTGGGCCACTGTTCCCAGCCAAATTCACTGTTCTGAAGGCACAATGGCAGGAAATATCTTCTTTAACTGCTTAGCACAGAAAAACTAAGGACTAGATCTTTAGGGATTAATTTCACTGTAAATCCTATGTACCAAGAAAGGATTCTGTGTTAGGTACAGTAGTTCCCCCTTATTTGAGGTTTTGCTTTCTAAGGTTTCAGTTATTGGTGGTCAACTGCAGTCTGAAAATATTAAATGGAAAAGTCCAGAAATAATAATTCCTAAGTTTTAAATTGTACACTATTCTGAGTAGTGTGATAAAAGTCTCCCACTATCCTGCTGCTCCGTCCTGCTGGGGATGTGAATCATCCCTTTGTCCAGCCTATCTTCACTGTATACACTACACTACCTGCCTGGTAGTCACTTAGTACAGGTTGAGCACTTCTTCTCTGAAATGCTTTGAACCAGAAGTGTTTCTGATTTTAGAATATTTGCATTATACTTATCAGTTGAGCATCCCTAATCTGAAAACTAAAATCCAAAATGCACCAAAAAGCATCTCCTCTGAGTGTCATGTGAAAGCTCAAAAAGTTTGGGATTTTCAAATTAGGGATGCTTAAACTGCAGCCGTCTCTGTTATGGGATCGAAAAACTAGTATATATAGAGTTCAGCACTATCTGCAATTTCAGGCATCTACTGAGGGTGTTAGCATCTATTCCTCATGGATAAGGAAGAGCTACTGTAATACAAAAAAGATACATATTTTATTAGTTCAAAATAAAAATCAGGTTTATAGCTCTAATATTGCCCATGGCTGATCATCAAGCAAAGGTAAAAGTCCTTTAAACCAATCTCTCCAGGGACATTCTGTGGGATGAATTAAAATGAACACATTGCTAGAAAAGTACTACTATAAGATCCACAACTTCCAGTTTAGAGCCTAGATAAGAGATAGTAAAGAGTAAAAGACAAAATAAATTTAGGAAAAGGAGAAAAGCAAACTTTTATAACCATTCTCATTCCTTCTGAACTGTTTTGCAAAGAACAAAACACGTTCCAATATGGAAATAACTTACACAATACATTTGAATCTAGACTTCTGCCCACTACAAAATTAAACAAAAGCTCGAGCAAATAAAAAAACACAATTCCCACTGAAGACTATGACTGTAGCTATGCATCTTAAGATCTATGATTACTTTATAATAAATAAAGATGAGTGTTCAGAATAGTTTACAAATTCTTGAGACCTTACTTATCTGAAAACTATCACAACTCTGGCCTATTCTCTTTGATAATGGTATTGGTAGCCTTGAAATAAATCTTGCCCAGTGAAGTTTTTTTTTTTATTATGGCTTCTCTAACTATAAATAAACTGTTATATAACAACTAACTGCATAAAGTTAGCCCAAAGGTTAACTACCTTGACATATTAAAGCAAAGTAATTTGATTTTTAAAAAGCACTTTAGGCTGGTCGCAGTGGCTCACGCCTGTAATCTCAGCACTTTGGGAGGCCGAGACAGGCAGATCACGAGGTCAGGCGTTTGAGACCAGCCTGACCAACTGGTGAAACCCCATCTCTACTAAAAAATACAAAAATTAGCCGGGTGTGGTGGCGCACACCTGTAATCTCAGCTACTTGGGAGGCTGGGGCAGGAGAATCACTTGAAGCCAGGAGGCGGAGGTTACAATGAGCCGAGATCATGCCATTGCACTCCAGCCTGGGCAACAGAGTGAGACTGTCTCAAAAAAAAAAAAAAAAGGTGCTTTAATATATACCTATCCAAACTCGGATTGACCTATATTGTTTTAAGTGAAACAAAAATGTTAACCTAGGGCCAGGCGCGGTGGCTCACGCCTGTAATCCCAGCACTTTGGGAGGCCAAGGCAGGCATATTACGAAGTCAAGAGATCGAGACCATCCTGGCTAACACAGTGAAACCCTGTCTCTACTAAAAATGCAAAAAATTAGCCGGGCTTGGTGGCGGGCACCTGTAGTCCCAGCTACTCGGGAAGCTGAGGCAGGAGAATGGCGTGAACCTGGGAGGAGGAGCTTGCAGTGAGCCAAGACTGCGCCACCGCACTCCAGCCTGGGTGACAGAGTGAGACTCCATCTCAAAAAAAAAAAAGTTAACTTAGGAATTATAAATGTTGTGTTTGATCCTCTTCACTATAAACTGTTGGTTAAAAGGGATTTTGGAAGCTTGAAACCAAACAGGATACAAAATTCTTTGTATTTAATAGTAAGAGATTCCTAATATTAGCTTAGAGTGTAAAGAAAAACACATTTAGTCAAACAGGAATGATTGCCTAAGTGAACAGCACCACAAAACAAACTTGGGGTGGAGTGGCCAGAGTGGACAGTAAGTTCTCTTGGCTCACAATATAACTGTTGGATTAATTTAAAAATCCACAGGATTAGCTGGGTGTGGTGGCTCACGCCTGTAATCCCAGCACTTTGGGAGGCCAAGGCGGATGGATCACCTGAGGTCAGGAGTTCCAGACCAGCCTGGCCAACATGGTGAAACCCCGTCTCTACAAAAAATACAAAAATTAGCCAGGTGTGGTGGCACGTGCCTGTAATCCCAGGTATTCTGGAGGCTGAGGCAGGAGAATCACTTGAACCCAGGAGGCGGAGGCTGCAGTGAGCTGAGATTGCGCCACTGCACTCTAGCCTGGGTGACAGAGCTGGACTCTGTCTCAAAAACAAAACAAAAACAAAACAAAACAACAAAAAAACATTCACAAAATACTCAGAGATGCAAAAAAGTAGAGCAGAACAAGTCTGCCTAAGAGATAAAAACATGCTCATTTTTAGTGATGCTTAATATTAAAGTCACGGAACATTTGTGCAAAAGAAGTCTTACACCTTCATCTTTCATGTGAGGATTGCTAAATCAAAATTGATCCTTTGCACCATAATTTTAAAGCTTATTTGTAACTGCCAGATAAAGAATCCCTTAAACTGGCTTTCCCATGCATCTGAGTCTTTTGGTGAATAGCAATATTTGTAGTAACCAGGCTGGCAACTAGTAGTAATCTTCACCTCTTCTTCCTCTTCTACTCCCACAAAATATAACTTTATACATATTAAGCTGTAGTTCAAAAATCTCTAAATATCCTGAATTAAAGTCCTAAGCTCTTGAGAATCAGACCTCTACTTGTCTCACAAGAATTTTTTCTTATTCAAAATCTTGCTCATACAAGTCCATTTTTTTCTACTGATATCTTGTCTATAGTCTGAAAATTCCTGCTTTTGTGCCTCTGCTTAACTCCTTGCCTGAAACACTATTTTCTTCTCTCTCCACCTATCCAATTTCCATTTCCTTTGAGGACCAGCTCAAGCCCCTAATTCTTTCACAAAGCTGGGAAAGCTTGTCTACCACAGCCCATAGTTATCCTTTTCTCCTCACAAATCCAAAAGCACTTTCATGTGGTCATTTGGTTTTAATACTATTGATTAGATACAATGAACACACTACTCAAATGCTTATCTTTTTTCCTCTTCAGTTATCCTTGAGGAATAGCTTAACTCAGAGTACTAGAGTATATTTATAGTAGGCACTCAAATATGTTACCTGGATTGATCCCAAAGAGCCAATAAAGTGAGAAAATTAAGATTTGTGAGAATCAGTATTACAGTAATACTTCTCTTACTTGCATTGCTAGTTATTTATCAAACAGCTCCAGCTATGTAGAAGACAGATGAGAACCAAAAGAAGGAAAGAAGGATTTCTAAACAGCCAAATAAACTGTCCCTTGCCCAAGCATTAAATCTCAGGTACTTTACTTAAAAGACTCAACTTAAAAATTTAGACCTTGGCCGGGTGTGGTGGCTCACGCCTATAATCCCAGCACTTTGGGAAGCTGAGGCGGGTGGATCACGAGGTCAGGAGATCAAGATCATCCTGGCTAACTTGGTGAAACCTCGTCTCCACTAAAAATCCAAAAAAAAAAAAAAAAAAAAAAATTAGCCGGGCGTGGTGGCGGGCACCTGTAGTCCCAGCTACTCAGGAGGTTGAGGCAGGAGAAAGTGGCGTGAACCCGGCAGGCGAAGCTTGCAGTGAGCCGAGATCACGCCACTGCACTCCAGCCTGGGCGACAGAGCGAGACTCCGTCTCAAAAAAAAAAAAAAATTTAGACCTCTATCAAGGAACTGCTATAATTGAGAGGAAATATTTTGAAATCTACATGCATGTACAAAACTTCTATTCCAGGTGACAGTAAGATCAGTAAGAATCAAAGTGATTTTTAGGCTGTCTTAGTGTACACAGCAAGGGTGGTGAAAAAGTCAACCTGCACTAGTTAGTTGTGGGATCCTGAGAAAAGTAACAATGGGTGGAAATACCTAGAAAAAACAGCACAAGTTGAATGCTTTAAAAAATTTGAGGATATTTACTTTGGAAAAAAGGCTTAGCTGGGCGCAGTGGCTCACGCTGTAATCCCAGCACTTTGGGAGGCCAAGGTGGGCAGATTGCTTGAGCCCAGGAGTTTCTGACCAGCCTTGGGAACATGGCAAAATCCCATCTCTACAAAATTAAAAAAAAAAATTAGCTGGGAGTGGTGGCGAGTGCCTGTAGTCCCAGGTACTGGGGAAGCTGAGGTGAGAGGATCACTTGAGCCTGGGAGGTGGAGGCTGTGGTGAGCTGTGATCACACCACTGCACTCCAGCCTGGGCAACAGGGCAAGATCCTGCCTCAAAAAACAAGAAAAAAAAAAAGATAAAATAGGATATGATCACCGATGTCAGATTCTTTTAGTGCTGCCACGTAAGAAAAACTGGAGACCACAGGTGGGAGGTAATCACTAAAGTACAATGAAATGTCTAAGACAGTTTCCTGTCCCTGTAGTTGTTCAAAAAAATGTTGATGAATTGCTGCCTAAGGAGGAAGAACAGTTGGAGCTCTAAGCCCCTCAACTCCCAGCTTAAGGGATGGTGGGGGAGAGGGAGGAAGTGACAGTAATGGGAGCAGAGAGGAAAGGCAGAAGTGGGGAGGCAGTATTGTTTTCAGCCCTCAGGGTTCCAGGTCCTCTCCCTGGCTCACTGCATCTGGTCATCCATCCTTACTGATGCATTGAAACAAAATAATATTCAATTTTTAGAAATAATACGTCAAGAGTATAAAGTAACATGTTTTTCAAAGGAGAAAAAAAATGCCTGTGATTTGCTGAGAAGAAACTTTTAGCATGTTAGTTTTCACACAATTTGGTCAAAAGTTTCACTGACTTACTTGATATAAGACATGTAAAATAGGAATATTTCTAGGGAAGCTGAGTGGATAAATGAACTTAACTAAAACATCCATATTACAATTTTTTTTGGAGGGGCTGGGAAATCAAATGTATTTGGATATGCTGGAAGGCAACTGAAAGAGGAATAGAAGGCAAGAGAAAAAGTAAGAGAAAAAGAACAAGAGCAGAACAAGGCAGTAATGGCTGGCCAGGGTCTAACAGTGAGAACATACCTCTGCCTTTTTTCTGCCAATGAACAGAAACCAGGGGCAACGTATGTTTCTTCTTTGACTTCCCCTGGCAGAAAAGAATATTTACAGTTTGGCTTTGGCTTTTAATAAATGAAAGAAAAGTAACTCAGTAAAGGGCCAAGTGTCAGTGCTTAAAGGGAGGCACTGATAGACTCTTATCACTGTTTCCAGCTGTGAAACTGATTGATGGCCTTCATGCCTCCAAGGAGTATCTGCTAGCAGCTATTCTCACTACTGGCAAAAGAAAGCAAAGGTGGTGGATGTGAAAATCTTGCAAGGAAAACTCCTTAAATTTTTTGAAGATAAAAATGACAAACATCCTGTAGGCCAGGTGCAGTGGCTCACACCTATAATCCCAGCACTTTGGGAGGCTGAGGCGTGGATCACCTGAGGTCGGGAGTTCGGGACCAGCCTGACCAACATGGAGAAACCCCGTCTCTACTAAAAATACAAAATTAGCCGGGCGTGGTGGTGCATGCCTGTAATTCCAGCTACTTGGGAGGCTGAGGCAAGAGAATCGCTTGAACCCGGGAGGCGGAGGTTGCGGTGAGCTGAGATTGCACCATTGCACTACAGCCTGGGCAGCAAGAGTGAAACACCGTCTCAAAAAAAAAAAAAAAAAAAAAGACAAATATCCTAAGATACTAAGAAAACTCTTCATTTCTATAAGGCTGATAAAACAAATAATAACATTTGGCTAATTTTCCCTTGAAGGACTCTAGGATGGTTTTGTAAACATCTTGGGTCATGAATAGACATAACCCTTGCTACCAAAAATGCAACCGGCTATCCAAATGTACAGACACACTGTAAAACATTAATGCTATGGAAAATCCCGTTTCACTCAGATATAAACTAAGTGTGAGACCAATCTTAATGTGTATTAGGTTACATTTATTAAAAAGTTTTGGAAGTTGGGTATGAAAGTAAGAAGAAAGTCAATGAAAATAAGAGAAAAGCCTGACCAGCCTGGGAAACATAACAAGACTCCATCTCTACAAAAAATTTTGAAAATTAGCTGCATGTGGTGGCATGCATGTGTAGTCCCAGCTACTCAAGAGGCTGACGTGGGAGGATTGCTTGAGGCCAGGCGTTTGAGGCTGCAGTGAGCTGTGATCATGCCACTACACTCAAGCCTGGGCGACAGAGTAAGACGCTGTCTCAAAACCAAAAAAAAAAAAAAAAACCCCCAAAAAAACAAAAACAAAAGAGGAAAACCTGTAAGACAAAGACTCAAGAAACAACCTCCAAAAGAAATAAGTTAAACTATTTTAAACAGTCCTTTAAATCTGGAACAGGCCATTGGGTCTGGGAGCTCTCCATGTAGAAGCTGGAAGTGGTCGAATTCTTTCTGGGATGTTATGATGTCTTTAAACGGACCACCATCTCTCTCAGAAATAGAGGAAAGAAAACGAGCCCTCTACCCTCCTAGAGGAACACAAACAAGGGTTTTTCTTCTCTTCCTTTCTCATACTGTCCAGCATAAGAAATTATTTTAGATTTCTTTTGCAAGTTTATTGTTGTGCAAAGAAATCAACTCAAGCAAAAACAAAAACAAGAAAACCCACAAAAAACCAGGCTTCTATCAAAATGATGTATGACGAGTTAATCTACAAAACAGACAACTAGGAAATGAATGGCTTACTCAAGTTTCAAAAAACAAAGATTATTTAAGGGACTACTTTAAGAATAGAAGAACAAGTGAATAAACTAAAATAACCTACAGACAATGAAGTGGTTTATGCCTAAAATATCACATAATTATCATTACTATATTAACCTTTCCTTTTCAAAACGATGTACTTTAGTAGATATCTCCTGAACACATCCAGTGACCCTACAAGTTGCTTAGACAGAATGAGATTCTCTATTCATTCATTCAGTAAAATTTACCAAACACTGTATTATCAGTCACCAAGCTAAGAATGCAGGATACAAAGCTGCATAAGATATAGGTGGATCCTTCCCTCATAATGCTTATTCTGAGAAGGGTAGATAATGTAAACAAAAAGCTATGACAGTGGGATCAGAACTACAGGAGACATATGCACAAAATATTACAGGAAGAATAAGTTATTCCGATGGGGGTCAAAAAGGCTTCACCAAAGAGCTGACATCTTAGTTGCCTTAAATGGAAAAGAAAACAAAAAACGGCACTTCAAGCAATACAAGTATTTATGCAAAAGTATAAGGAATGAAAAATATGTTTATTGAAGAATAACAGTAGTCTGGTTCACACTACACAATGCAAAGATGTGTGTTACACAAGGTTATAAGCTAAAAAGAGTAACTTAGTTTACGTAAATCAGTTCTGAATAAGAGACAGTAACTCAGCCGGGTGTGGTGGTGCACGCCTGTAGTCCTAGCTATTCAGGAGACTGAAGTGGGAGGACTGCTTGAGCCCAGGAGCTCGAGGCTGCAGCGAGCTATGATTGTGCCACTGCACTACAGCCTGGGTGACAGAGTGAGACCCTGTCTCCAAAACAAGAAGAGAGAACCTCTTTTAATACAGAAGTAGAAAATGTTTCTTTTTGGTTGGAGATTATTAATTTTAAATCTCTAGGAAAAAAGGGACTTTGTGTATTTTATTTTCCTCTTTTCCATGCAGTTTTGAGATGCTGCCTGAGAGAATGTAAATCAAATGTTTTGAGATGCTTTAGGCTCATGTGGGAAATCCTTGAGAAATAGTAAAAGTATGACTCTTCACTGAGGAAGAAGAGGCAAAAAAACACAAGAACCCAGAGTCGAGTGGACAATTCAAGGACAAGGCAAGACAGAGATGTACGGTTATCATTTAAGGGAAAACTGTGACACATAGGAAGTATCAGGAAACCCAGGTCCCACAGCAGCCTTCAGCAACTTGCTTGGTCTAGGGAATCCAGTCTGTGAGACCGGATGTTCTCTAAGGTTCCTTCTTTCAATGGCTACTACACATGACAAGTGAGAAACTAAGACTGAGTGACTGGAGAAAAATAGGCCACGGGTATATGATGATTAAATCCCATCTTTTCTATCTCATTTGCTGGTTTAGAGAATATGTTCTTTGACACAACAGGAGACCTTTCAGGTTTTCTCAACTGGGGTTCTGTGAAGAATTATCTCCTAATGCCCTAAAGCAGTGGTTCTCAAAGTGTGATCCCAGAATCCTGGGAATTCCTCAGACTTTAAGGGTCCATGTGGTCCTCCATTTCCCAACTATTTGTGTGAGGCTGGATTTTCTTAATATACTTCAATTAAACAACATACGTAAGGCTCAGTGCAGAAGCAGGTATGAGAATCCAGTGTCTTCTATTAAGCAGACAGATATCACTAGTCTCACTAGAAAAATGTAGTTGTTTGTTTTGGAAAAATACAGTGTCCATTACAATTATATTATCTACCCTAACAAGTAATTTATTAATTTAAAATGAATTAATGATTGAATATTTGGTAAGTTTCTCATTTTTAATTTCTAATATGGTAAATATTAATACCTTTAAGCCATATAAGCTAAAGCTCTTTGGGGGTCTTCATTAATTTTTAAATGTATAAAGTAGTTCTGAAACAAAATGGTTTGAAAATTGCTACCTTAAGGCACCCAATGTATATAATACAGTAACTTCACTTTTATGCATCTAAGATGGGAGAATAGAGAAAACAGTCACTCAAATCATTTTCTGTATATTGTGGTTCAGATGAGGAATCACCATTAAAAACAATATTGTATGACATGTAATAGGTACTCAATGAACAAGGGTATGACAGAATTAGGATACTGAATTAAGAGCAACGTGACTTCAAGTTGTTAGGACTAAAACATTTAAAATAATAAGCCTGAAGAATAAGTTATTGTATAATATTGATATTCTTATTTTACTTCCTATGTGTACTTGAGACATGCTGATTGTTTTTCTTAAAAATACAGTTTCTAGAGCATTTCAATTTAGACCACATAACGTGAACATTCACTCAGATATGCTCACTAACACCAACACCCAGGGCCCATCTATTGAAAACAGTGCATAAGAAAAACCAGTCTACTCCAGCACCACATTTCATCTCATGGCTGCAGGAAGTCAGTGTCTAACAAACCATAACAGGCATATAATAACATTAAAACAAATATACGATGTACTTTCATAAAGTAACTTTACTGAGATCATACAGTGCACTTTTCCTATACTTACCGTATCCCATATCTGAAGTTTTATCTGTTTCCCATCAATAGTTATCATTCGAGCACCGAACTCTACACCTAAATAGAGTAGGAAATGATTTGTTACAAAATTAGTGGGAATATATCTCACTTTCAAGGATTAAAAACAGAATGTTTACTTCCAAGACATGCTATGCTAGGTAATATACAGATCAACTTTAACAAATGCAGTTCCTATACTTAGAAAATACATAAGCTAAGGAAGAGGTGCTAATAAGACATAAGCTAAGGACATAATTAAAATACTAAGATACTGAAATGTGGCAGAGTCAATATTAGAAACCAACTGTGGTCTTCATGTTTTGCAGGCTCAGTAACATAAAAATTAAAAAAAGAGATCCAAGAGCCATAATTATTAAACACAAATGTTAAATATTAAAATTTCTTAAAAATTACATTAATATGGTATAAAAAACACTAAAAGGGATAGATATATTTCAATATCATAGTATTGGTTCCAAGCATGAATAATTAGCAAGGAAAGAAATCTCCAAATCTGCCACTAGCTATAATCAATGTTTTAACATACTTCCCAGACAGTGCTCCATGAATACACATGCAGAAATAAGTATACAATCCTGCACAAATGGGAACATATAAATGCTGCTCTGCAATTTGCTTTTTATTTAATAATACATCACAGACATTATTCTGTATCACAAACATCCTGGCAAATCAATAAACATAAAACTATGGCATTATTTTTGATGTCTGCATAATATTCTTTTGTGTACAGATAATTTGCTAATTTGGTACTTTATTGCTACAGATTTAGGTTGTTCTCCTATTTTCACTAAATAGTGAATGCTGAAATGAACTTTCTGCATACATTTTTCAACTTACTATAATTTTAGGCAAATTATAAGAAATAGGATTACAGGACAAAGGGAACACAGACTTCACACTTACAAGTTTACTACTTTGGCTTTTAACTTGTATTTATCATCTTTGGAAAGCACTCATTCAATCATCAAAATAGGAGTAGAAAAATAGGAGATAATTTTAGAAGGGCAAACAGTTGTGAAGACAACTCTGAAAGTAGTATATCTCTTATATCAAGTCATTACTGCCTAGAGTATGTTCAATCAGTATTTAGATCAGAGTCAGGGTGAAGGGAAGACACACATGGTCCCCAGAAACCAAATGTCATCCTGTCAGAAAAACAACTTCTAGTTTCCCAGAGAAGAGCACACTGCCCAATATCAGAATTCCAGTTCAGCATCTCCCATAACTCCCCAACTGTGATTAGAAGGGTGAGAAACAAAGGTAATTTGTCCCATGACATAAAACGATGAGCTTTTACTCTACATTATAATACTTCTTCCATCCCACAGGCCTAATGAATACCAAGAAACTAAGATGATGTTTATGTTTCTTAGGCTCAGAAATACAGGAAAGCTAGAGAAAAGAGATCCAGGAGTCATGATGTATCAGACTGAAAAATGAAAAATTGAAAAATTATGCCACATAAAACCATTACAGTGTTTACATATATATGCATCTACATATGCATATAGATTCATAATGTATCTATATGAATATATATATTCATATCTGTTCTGTGCCACAGGGTGGGGACATACACAAAACCCATTAATGACATGAAAAATGAAATTAGTTGAGGGAAGAAACCAGCTGCTAAGTAAGATACAGATGTTCTTTGAAATACTCAGTACTGAAAAGGAGTATACTGAAGCACAAAATTCTACATGTCAGCGAGGTATCAGACAGAGTAGAGGCTTTTTCATGAATTTATTGTTTCTACCTACAAATGAGAAAGAGAGAGAAAAATTTTATTTTTCCTTCCATTGTCAGGGATGGGTTGGCTTTTAAGCACAATCCAAAACTATCTATATTGCTCATAACGTCAAATTTAACAAAAAACAACTACAAACTAGAAACAGACCCATCAATGCTGCTGATACCAAGGGTGAGCAGGTAAGGAAGGCAAGGCTAGCAACAGCAAGCAGATGCTCCCTCTCTGGAATTGATATCTTGAGCAGAGGGCTAAAGATACGGAAACTGACCTGTGACCATTCCATCCGAGCAGATGAGAAGCTAACACAACTGCTCCTGCTGCAGGATAGCTCTTAACAGTTTCTGCTTCCTGGGCTCCAAGATGCTTTGTTCCTGCCCAATTCCAAGACCAAGTTTCCAACTTACTGTAGGTTCCATACATAACTACAGACATTCTAGAATATTCTCTTTGCTTACCTTAGCTAGAATTGGGTTTTAGTATGTTCGTCTCTTTATTCAAATTAAGCAGATCAGCTGGGCCCAGAGGCTCAGTGTGGCCGGTAATCCCACAATTCGAGAGGCTGAGACGGGAGGATTGCTTGAGCCTAGGAATTTGAAACTAGCCTGGACAACGTAGGGAGACCCAGTCTCCATGAAAAATTAAAAAATTAGCTAGGTATGGTGGCAGGTGCCTGTGGTCCCAGCTACTTGGGAGGCTGAAGTGCGGAAGGATCACTTGAGCCTGGGAACTCCAGGCTGCAGTGAGCCATGATCGTGCCACTGCTTTCCAGCCTGGGTGACAGAGTGAGACCTTGTCTCAAAAAACAAAAATAAAAACAATTAATAAAGTAAGCAGACAGAAGTTATGAAGCTTAAAATCTTTAAACAAAGATTTTGCCTCTAAAAATACATCCAATTTTAAATAAACCTGTTAAGTAAACATCAAGAATGTTTCTAAACCAGGAATATGTCATAATACAATAGACATCTTAACTTCACTTATCAACCAGGTCAGGATGGATAATTTAAAAACAAACAAACAAACAAACAAACAGAAACAAGAAGCAAAGAGACCAGTTAAAAGGCTATTGTATTATATTTAGTCATGAGATTAAAAAATGGTGGTGGGAAAAAAATACACATCTCAAAAGGAAAAATTGACAAGTGCTGATTACTGAAAAACTATGATTTCTGTTTTCCTATCAAAGCGAAAACAAACACACTTTAATTTCAGCTTCAGAAATATAACTCTTTCCCATTTACCTTCCCATAACTGGGTCCAATTCCCCTTTAATTCTATGTGGCAAATGAAAATACTGAATCCTAGTCTCTTGGAAGCCTCAGAAACAAATATAGAAACCAAAAACTTGATTTCTTCTCTGGAATATTAACATTTTAAAATCATTTTCCTTAGATGTATACATGCTTGAGAATCCCATTTAGAAAGGTTTCCTTCTCCTTTTTTTTTATGTGATAAATTGTTATTCTCTATGCCTTTGACGCCCTCTTCCCAGATCCATTTTCAATTAACAGCCAATTTGGCTGCTAGATAAATTTCTGTGGAGTCAAAGTCAAGACCTCATTTACCTGACATTGTCGGGGAGTGATGCTTATTTTCTCAGATATGTTATTCACTTCCAACCTTCCACAATCAAATACTCTGAATAGGTACACTTTCTAATTGTCTCCAATCGTTATCATCCTTGCATCATTTACTGAGCATTCATAATCAATATCTACTTGGTTGTGTGACCCTGTGCAAGTTATTAAGCCCCTTCTTTGTCTTAGTTTTCTCATCTGTAAAATGGTATTCATAATACCTATCTCATGAGATTTTTTTTTAAGATTAAAAGGATGATTACATATAAAATAGAACAATGCCTGGCACATAGTATTTAATATGTTAGGTATAATTATTATTATTCCATATTATGCACTAGAATGTCTAAACTACCATCCGCATGACTAATGATGAGAGACCCTGTGAGAAAGAGCCATCTGTCAGAGCCAGGTAATCACTGGTACAGATATGTGCAGAGGCAGAATGTGGCTCCTTACCTAGGTAAGGCTGGGGCATGCCCATTCAGGCCTCCTTGTAATGTCAAGGCTAGAACTTCTAGGCTGCTGAGGTACTAGGTGGGGTGCTAAGCAGAGAGCACAGCTAGGTGTAGAGCAAACAGCCTTCCTTACCAGCATGGTAACATATGGACTCCTATCCCCCATTCCTGTTCCTGAAACCTAGACACTGCAGAAGTTCAAAATGGAGACTTGAGGGAAGGTGGCCTGATTTTTCCTAATTCTAGAAATAAAGGAAAACTAGATACAAAAAGTAATGTCCTCAATTTTCTATGTAAAACAAAACAGCAAACACCATACTTAATGGTAAAACACTAGAATAATTCAAATTATACTGAGAAAAATATTATAATATTTTCAATTTGGAAATTATTCTAGAGACTTTGGTCAAAAATTAGAGTAATAAAATTAAGAGAAACAGATTTTGGCTTAGGAAAAAATTGTAACTTACAGATAGGACTAAAAAGTCTACCTAGAACATGCAAAATAATTTAACAATGATGAAAAAAATTTACTTACAATAACAACAAAATCTATACAATCTCCAAACTTAAAAAAGCATAAGGCCTATATGAACAAAACCATAAAATTTTACTGAACAGCATTTAAGAAAGTCTGAATAAGTGAAAACATATATTATGTGTATAAACAGGTAATCAATGCTGTAAAAACATAAATTATCTCCAAATTAGCCCATGTATTGAATAAAACTATTTTCAAATTTAAAAGCCTCACTAAAAATCTTGCAACTTGGCAAAGTTCCATCTGGAAGAACAAATGCACAAGGATGATCAAGAAAACTTAGGAAAGAAAGAACACCAATTGGTATGAAGTACACTACAAAGTTGCAATAACTACCACAGTATGATATTGCCTCATGAAATAGAAAAAAAGATGTGAGAGGCCAAGGCAGGTGGATCACAAGGTCAGGAGATCGAGACCATCCTGGTCAACATGGTAAAACCCTGTCTCTACTAAAATTACAAAAATTAGTTGGGTCTGGTGGTACGTGCCTCTAATTCCAGCTACTCGGGAGGCTGAGGCGCAAGAATTACTTGAACCCAAGAGGTGGAGGTTGCAGTGAGAAGAGACTGCACCACTGCACTCCAGCCTGGCAACTGAATGAGACTCTGTCTCAAAAAAAAAAAAAAAGAAAAAAAGAAAGATGAACAAAACATATTTTGGCACCCTCAAACAGGCTTGCTTGCTTACATACAGGGGTCTAACATATTACAAAGGTATTAGGACAAGAATGAATGGCTTATTTAATTAATGGTGTGAGGCCACAAGCTATATAGGGATTAAAGAAAGACATAGCAGCCATAAAAAAGAATGAAATCGTGTCTTTTGCAGCAGCAGGGATGGAGCTGAAGGCCATTATCCTCAGTGAACTAACTCAAAAAATCAAATACTGCGTGTTCTTGCTTATAAAGTAGGAGCTAAACAATGGGTACAGACAGACATAAAGATGGAAATAACAGATACTGGGAACTCCAAAAAAGTGGAGTTTGGGAAGGGGGTAAGGGATGAAAAGTTACCTATTGAGAACCACGTTCACTATTTGGGTTAACGGGTATGCTAGAAGCCCAATGTCCACCAGTACACAATATACTCATGTAACAAACATGCACATGTACCCCCATATCTAAAATAAAATTTAAAAAAAGAAAATGATATACATGACCACATACCAAATAGAATGCAAATTTATAGTTACAGAAGAATATTTAGGACATTGTATGTAATTTTTGCATACAGCAAGGCTAGGAAGCCACAGTAGATTTGAGTTAAAAAACAAAAAAACAAAAAAACTAGTTATCCCTTAATAATTCAAAGTAGCAAACAAAAAAAAGACAAAGATATATAACAAGTAAAATCAAAGAGAAGATAAATAGTTCTTAAACATACGAAAAATGCTCAGCCTCACTAAAAAAGAACGAAAAAGTAAAAATTTTTTTGACTCTAATTTACAAACATTAAAAACTGAATGAGCTGCAGTAGAAGCAAGGATGAGGAGGAATGCGCACTTTGATACATCAGTGGGGAAAGTGCAAATTAGAACAGCTTTGTGTGTGTGTTTAGGAATACATTTAAAAGCTTTAGAAGGCACTAACACACACCAAACATACACCACTCAGTGGTTGCTGGAGGGCCAAAGTTATATAGGGAATTTAACTTTCTCCAGATTTTTACAACATTTTCACAATGATCATATTCTGAGAGGAAAATACTTTCACATTTTAAAAATCAGCTACAGAGGGCCAGGCATGGTGGCTCACGCCTGTAATCCCAGCACTTTGGGAGGCCGAGGCGGGTGGATCACGAGGTCAGGAGATCGAGACCATCCTGGCTAACATAGTGAAACCCCATCTCTACTGAAAGAAACACAAAAAATTATCCGGGTGTGGTGGCACGTGCCTGTAGTCTCAGCTACTCAGGAGGCTGAGGCAGGAGAATCGCTTGAACCTGGGATGTGGAGGTTGCAGTGAGCCAAGATGGCACCACTGTACTCCAACCTGGGTGACAGAGCGAGACTTGGTCTCAAAAAAAAAAAAAAAAAAAAAAAAAAAAAAAAAAAAAAAAAAAAAAAAAAAATCAGCTACAGAGACTTTTTCAGAGCTTAATGAGAAGTTCGAGAGGTCTTTTAAACTATTATTCTAACTTCTTGGCAATGTTGTTCTAGGCAACTCAAGTTACTAGAAAACTGAATCCCAAATAAATGAGGTATATTTTAAAACTGATTTCCTGTGGTGAGCCTGATGGAAGAAATGATGCTTCAATTCTATTACTTTGTCCTAAAAGTATACTTTCATTTCCACCAATCATTTACTTCTTTCTTTTTTTTTTTTTTTTTGAGGCAGGTCTTGCTCTGTTGCCCAGGCTGGAGTGCAGTGGTGCTATCATGGCTCACTGCAGCCTTAAACTCTTGAGCTCAAGCAATCCTCCCGCCTCAGTCTACCAAGTAGCTGGGGCTACAGGTGTGTGCCACCATGCCTGACTAGTTTTTAAACTTTTTGTAGAGATGGGATCTTGCTTTGTTGCCCTGGCTGGTCTCAAACATGTGGCATCAAGCGATCCTCTTGCCTCTGCCTCCCAAAGTGTTGGGATTATAGGCATGAGCCCAGCAATCATTTCTTATAGGCTGACTGGTTTAAGGAAGTGGGAGAGATAGGTAAGAAGGTGAAATCAACATATAGATGGCCTAGCCGCTAGACTAACATTGGTCAAACTGTCCATTTGTAGGTAGTGAAATAAATGTAGTGGGAATTAGTGGGCTGTGCCTTATTTGTAAACAACATAACTGAATAGTATAACATATAGGAATGCAAGCATTAAGCCCTGCAATGGCAAGTACAGCTTTATGAAGTTTTCCTCCACTAAGTAGGTAGTATATTTAGCAAATATTTTTAAAGTCCCTAGTATGTACCAGGTGCAGATACAGCAATAAACAAAACAGAGAACCATCTGCTGTCATGGACCTTACTTTTTATTGGTGGGGGAAAATCTATTTACTTATATTTACTTGTTTAAAATGTTAAGAACAGTAAATCTAGGTGGGAGGATGGGTATGAATGCGGTATGGGTATGAATATGGGTATGTACATATACACTCATCTTAAGACTTGAGAAGGAAAAATCAGAAACTATTTGGGACATGTTCAGTTTAAGATGTCTATTAGACATCTAAGAGAAGGAGATGTTGAGTAAGTAGCTAGATCTGTACATGGGGGAGGAGGGATAAGTGGAATGGGTTCATAAAATAGGTGGAAACTGTAGACAGAAAATATGAACAATTCATTCTGTGGAATTTTGCTAATATGAGAGAAAAGGATTAAAAGCTGGAAAAGAAAATAGAGACATTAAAAATAACCATCAAAAAAGGAAAAAGTAATGATGCCTGAAAGCAAAAAGAACTACTAAAGCAGTGTCCTTCAGTAGGCCCTGGCTAAGAACTTAAGTTTACCCACAGCACCAAGGGAAAGGCTTAGTTTATAGGGCACAATGCAGGTAGGTGGGTCAATGCAGTGGTGGAAACCTGTGAAAATCCTCTTCTACTTGCCTCTATTTTCTGAGTGAAACCAAAACCAAGGTTATCAGCTGAGAGTAAAGATAGCAAAGATGTCTGCTTAAAGAGCAAGAAAGTATGATATCGTTCTACAGGAAACTAAAGGGTGAATATAATGGAAATAAAAGTACAATTGTCAGGTAGTACTAAGGATTTACTTGATGTGAGTGTCCAAGAAATTAAAATGAGACTAGTTAGCATGGCTCTGTGCTTTTCTCCAGACCTGTCTAGCTGTAAATGTCAGGAATAGATGGCTAGATTTAACCTATGGTTTAGCCACGAGACTATGATACAGCATGAGAGGGACAAGAAAACTGTGGGTGCATGCAGGAATGATTATAAGGGCACAGCTATTAAAGTTGAATCTGGGTAAGGAGGAAAGTAGCAACACAAGAGAGATGAGAGTGAAAAGATACTAGAATCAATGGCATAATTCTGATGAGGTAAAAAAATTGTTAGTAATTAGGGACTAAAGAAAGTGAGCAGGAAGGATGGGATACAAAGTCAAATAGTCAAATGCATGAAACTAAATTCTGAAATGGTTCCAGATATTGGTAATGATGAGTTCTGAGAGAAACTATGGGAGGGAGTAGCTGAAGCAGGGTGGAACCAAGATCACACGGCGGGGAGAAGTAAAGCCACTGAGAGGCCAGGATGTGTGCACAAGGCAAAGCACATAAAGTGTATTTCCAGCTGGGTAATCAATATTTAAAAGCCATTACCTCCAGTGCTTTTTAACCTTCAGTGCCCATATGAATCACTTGGCGATCCTGTTAAAATGCAAATTATGATTCAGTAGGTTCTTTAACAAGCTCCCACGTGATACTGATGCTGCTGCTGGTCCAGCACAACAGCACATGAACCATCTTTTGAGGAGCAAGGCTCTAGTCTGTACCTTCTGAATTGTGTCCATGAAGCTATTTATAAACTGTTTCTATGACTCAAAGATAGTCAAAGGTTAAAGAATATTTGTATAGAGGCTTTTAAAAACTTTTACGGTCTTTTATTTTCTCTTTTCTATCATTTAATACCTTCTTAGTCATAAACCAACCTTAAATTTTTCACCCTCATTTAGTCATCCAGCAAAAGCAAGTATGCAGCAGAGTCAAGATACTGTCTTACTACTTATTTTACCAAAAATTCTAATGTTCTTTTTAAAAATATGTGATAATAATCTGCTATTTTTTTTTTATCTCTGAAAGATAAATTGCTGTGATGGGTGTCAAAAATGTTAAGTAGGCCTTGGGCCAATGAAGGCAAAAACATGCATTAACAATACTGCTTCTACTGGCCTGTATTTAGCTTGACTGAATGAATGGTGGTACTGAATACCCTTTCAATGTATATATGCAACTCTACATAAGTGGTAGTGGCAAGAAGCACCCCTTTACTCTTCCTCTTCCAGAGGAAGAGCAACTGGGTCGGCTTTCACTTTAAAAAATGGTTTTCAGTAAAAACAATGTAATTATCATTATCGACAATGAACATTAAGCACCTATCAGTATGCTCAGAACAGTTTTATGATCCTAAATATTCTGTTTGCTTCAGATAATTTTTTTAAGTATCATTACCTCAAATATCCTGAAACATCTTAAATATTGAGACTCTGCATAGTGAATGTATAGAGCACATTTACATTCACTTTATAGGATCTAAAATAAAATTTCAATTTAAAAAAATAGTTCATGTTAGCTACCATCTTTGTTCTTTAATAACAGACTGTTGCTAAAGCCATGGCTGGACTATGACCCCAACAAAAAACAATCCATTTTATGAATGTGTACTGGGTGTAGTTTCCCTTAACACACAGCAGGTAAAAAGATGGGACTTCCTACATTCATCTTCCATAAAATTTGCTTTGCCTTTTTAGGAGGACTAATCCTGATTATGAACAATGGATTTCTAATGCATGAGCTACTAAGAATCCCTATTGGTGTGGAGCATTATATTGAAACTGTGTGCCTATACAGTACTTGTTCCTTTCCTGTTAACAATATTTCTCCACAGGCGTGGGTATACAAATCTTACCTCCTTTAAATGGGAGCTATGGTTTGGGATATGGACAGTTGTTCAGAAAAGAACTGTAATAAGCAGAGATGTCAAGCAATGGCATCCTCTGAGAAGAGAAAGATTGAGGGTATGAAAAAGTACTAAGTATTCAGGGAGTAGCAAGCAGCAAAGACTTGACGGCACATAGTGTCTATACGTGTTAGGGAAAAGTAAGAGAGAAAGCAAGAGAGGCAGACTGAGAAGAATCATGAGCTCAGGAGTCAATGGTTTATAAACAGAGTAGAGAACTGATCATTACAGGGGACAAAAGATAAGGACATGATGACTAAATAGAATAGCTAGGTGTGAGGGAATTCTGGTAGTGGCTATGTATGACTACTCACCCAGATTGCTCCTACGACTACCAATTTGGAAACCATGTTGTACAAAAGTGATTCTGGGCCCATGAAAAGAGTGGACAGAACAAGAGATAAGTGAGCCTGAACCAAATTGAGCCAATGAACTCTCGTCCCTAGGAAACTTCAAATTGAGTTAAAGAGAATCTCTGCTCTCCTGAATGGTATATGAACTTTGGAGTTATTGACAATGGCCATTTCCCAACATGGAGACAGGAAAATCAAAAACAATGGTCAACAGGGAGAGAGAAAAATGAAATAGGCATGAGAAGAGAATGGGAGACAATGAGGGAAGGATGGGAGAATGAGAAACAGGATTTCCCGGGTTCCCTCCTTAAGAGCTCTGAGCTCTGGTTCCAGGCTGACCCAGCTAGCTCCCTGCCCTCACGTTGAGACACACCTAAATATTAAAATAATAAATTGTCCTTTTGTTTAAAACCATCTAGGTAAATTTTTGTCATTTACAACCAACTGTAAAAGTTAGAAAGAAAAAAAACGGTATGCCAGTCAGTGCAACCAGAAAAACAGAAACTACACTTAAGTACATAGGGCATAGGGAATTTAATGTAGGGACTTGGTTACAGTAAAGAGCAAGCCCCCAAAAACCCAAAGAAGAGATGGGGTATAAACCCAGAGATTACAAACAGCAGGAAGCTGCTACCACCCCTAGGCTGGAAAGATGACACGGAAAAAGATTATCAGAGCTCAAGAACCAGACCATTTGGGCCTGCCAGGCAGGGGCTGGAGCCAGAGGAATGGAGAACACACAGTCAACCCAAGGAGAAAAAGATCCTTGGTTTTTCTTTTCTTTCAGACTCTTATTTCCCAGTGCCTGCCATTAGCAAACATAGTGTGACGCCAGCTGGCAGTTTATATGAGTTACAGTTTTCCAAACAATTCTTGGGTCTACTCCTTTCTCTTTCCCCGCAAGTATAGCCTATGGCAGAGGTGTCTGATCTTTTGGCTTCTCTGGGCAACACTGGAAGAATAACTGTCTTGGGCCACACATAAAATACACTAACACTGACAGGTGATGAGCTAAAAAAAAAAAACAAAAAACAAAAAACAAAAAAAATCTCATAGTGTTTCAAGAAAATATATGAATTTGTGTTGGGCCTCATTCAAAACTGTCCTGGGCTGCATGCAGGTTGTGGGTTGGACACGCTGGGCTTAAGTCAACTTCTGACAGCAGGCTCAGGTCCATCCTCTCCACTCGGTGTGCCATACCAACTTAGAAATTTATACATAAGATTCTAAGAAAAGGAAGAACACTGTTGTTTAGTATCCTATACTAAATACAACTGTTTTGCCAGTTGTCTTAGAAATGAGTCATGCCTAAAGTTGGCTAGTTTCAAACCTATTAAGCAAAGAGCAAATCCTATAGAGAGGGCAGCGAAGAGAGCTCATTAAACAGGCCAGTGCGGTGGCTCACACCTGTAATCCCAGCACTTTGGGAGGCCAAGGCCGGCAGATCGCCTGAGCCCAGGAGTGCGAAACCAGCTTGGGCAACAAGGCAAAACACTGTCTCTACCAAAAACACAAAAAATTAGCCAGGCATGGTAGTGCACGCCTGTAGTCCTAGCTACCTGGGAAGCTGAGATGGGAAGATAATGAGCCAGGGATTTGGGGGCTGCAGTGAGCTGTGATTGCACCACCGCACCTCACTCTAGTCTACAAAACGAGACTCTTTCTCAAAAAACAAAACAAAATGTTAAAACAAAGTTATCAGGACCAGCATGAGTTACCTGTTTTACCCATCATTATTGTATACACTTAAAACTATCAAAAGTAAAATAGAATACGGATAGTCTTAATGACAGTAGTTGCTAACAAAAGATTTCAATATATCCACAAAGTACTATACCTGTAGCTTGGTTGAAAACTATTAATTAATAATGTGATTCATGAGCTCTATCTCTGATTTGGTATTTTAAAAACACACAGAACATAAGGATCAACATGCTATAAATAGTAAATTAATAATGTCAGCAGAAAATGAGCAGTCAGTGGCTAAAAAGATTCATTAAGCAATTCGTTGTAAAGAATGACTAGATTTCCAATTATCTCGTCTTCATATTTGACTAATTTCTAGTTGTTAATGGGCTACAGCCACAGAAGAATAATCCAGCTAGATTCTTCAGCTTTCAGAATATAATTTTTAAACAAATAAAAACCCGAAACAGTAAGATTACCTAAAGTTTTTAGCTTTTCACTCATCTTAATTTTTTCCTTTGCATATTAATACAATGGAAAATCACTATTTTAAATAATAACAGCTAATATTTGTTGACTATTTCTTACCAGTAACTATTTCATTTACTCTTTACAACTGAGGAAAATACAAAATGCCCAGTGGTATTTTTTCTCAGTTAATAATTATGAGAAAGTCTAGAGCACTTTCCACATTGCCAGGCACTTGAATGGTTTACATTTACTAACTCACTGCTCACAGTAACTTCATGTGATTGGTACTACTACTCTCATTGAACAGAAAGAGAAACTGAGACATGAAACGGGGAAATGGCTTGCACAGCAAGTTAGTAGCAGAGACTTGATTTAACTTCCAGCAAGCTGAGTCAAAGTTTCTGCTCTTACCATGCTTGGATACTGTCTCTTAAATTGTTTCATCGCTAATTACAATTGAAATCTTAAAAACTACTGTCTTTCAGCAGTAGCTTCTTTAACCACTTCTACAAAGTTAGGTAATATTTATTTTTACTACACATATTTTTAAAAAAGTGACAGAGATTAAACAGCGTAACAACAAATCCAGTTTCACTGATTTTAGCATCATCACTAGTAGAATGGACCTTCTAGCATTTTCCATTTAAACTATCCAAAACTTTTAGTGCTTCTCATCCCTTTTATAAAACTTACCAATAGTAAGGTCATGCACTGGCTGAAACCTCTTGTCTGTAAACTGTAGCAATAAGCATGATTTACCAACACCTGAAAGTTAAAAAAAAATAAATAAGAGACAAAATTCACAGAAATTAAGATGCTTTACAAAAAGGACATGGAAAAGAGGCAGCCAGGGTTTCTGGTGCACTGTGAATAATCTACCATGATTTCCTCAGTACTCTAATTTCTTGCAAAATAAGAGGACTGATGATTTAGGTGGAAGCTGTAAACCAATCTAAAGTACATTTTCACCCTTTCTTACACATTTAATATTTCAATGTGAAAGATAAATATGGCAGCTAAACTCACAGATGACAACTAACCAGGTCCTTCTGGTAGCCTCTACTACAGTACTGTTTTTGTGCACTTTTGTTTTTTGTGTTACAGTGAAAATATTTAAAGCATAGTTAATAGTTCATTTTATCATACTCCCCTATGAACAAACAAATAAGCCAGCAATAAGTGTCTGAGATCTACTTTTCTGGGAAAAGCTCCTTGCTCTGTTTTCTCGCTAATTCATTTCACAAGCAAATGGAATCTGAATTGCATTCCTTCACTCTATTAAAATTGACCCCGTTACGGTCATGAATGACTCCCACATTTCTAAATTCAAAGGAAAATTTTCTATATTCATCCTACTTGCCCTCTAAGGAAAATTGGATACTGAATACCATACCCCCTTCTTACTCATTTTCAAGTCCTCTAAGAAACATTTCCTCATCCTCACACTAGACAAAGGCTGCTTAATTGATAGCATCCTGCACTTCTAAAAATACTAAAAGCAGTCACCATTCATTCATTCATTCACTCACTTACTCAAAGTCTTTATTGAATGCTAAGTATCACTGCACTAGGACTTGAAAATACAGTAGTGTGGAAAACCAACATGGTTCCTGTGTACAGAGCTTACAGTCTAGTTCAGGTAGAGAAATTAAACAAACTGAATACTGAAATAATATACTGTATATGAATAATTTGAAATAATTATAATGACTGATTTGAAAGAAAATAGAATGCTATGAGAAAGGGTAACAAACTTGGTGCTGTGGCTCAAGCCTGTAATCCGAGCACTTTGGGAGGCCAAGGTAGGCCTTGAGCCCAGGAGTTCAAGACCAGCCTGGGCAACATAGGGAGACAGTCTTTTAAAACAAAAAAAGACAAAAAAAAAAAGATGGGTGTGGTGGTGCGCATCTGTAGTTCCAGTTACTTGAGAGACTGAGGTGGGAGGATAGTCTGAACCCAGGAGTTCAAGGCTGCTATGATCACACCACTGACCTCCAGGGTAGGTAACAGAATGAGACTCTCTCAAAAAACAAACAAATGATACTTAATTTAGACAAAAGGAATGAAGAAAATCTTTTTTTGTTTGTTTGTTTGTTTTTTTGAGATGAAGTTTTGCTCTGTCACCCAGGCTGGAGTGCAGTGGCTTGATCTCAGCTCACTGCAAACTCCGTCTCCCAGGTTCAAGCAATTCTCCTGCCTCAGCCTCCCAAGTAGTTGGCATAACAGGCGCACACCACCATGCCCGATTAATTTTTGTATCTTTAGTAGAGACAGGGTGTTGCTATGTTGGCCAGGCTGGTCTCAAACTCCTGACCTCAGGTGATCCATCCCCCTCGGCGTCCCAAAATGCTGGGATTATAGGCATGAGCTACCATGCCCGGCTGGGATGGAGAAAATCTTTCTGAAGAAATGACAGTGAAAAGAAACTGGAATTTCAAAACATGTGATCTTACAGTTTTCTTCTTTGTTCTATTACAAAAGGCCCAAAGTCAAACTCATTTTACCCAATTTTTAACTCTTTTGAACAGACTTTCAGGTGTAGGACAGAAGACAAAAGAACAGTTTTTCTAAGTTAAAAGAGTTAGTTATCAAGCATACCAAAGGAATTTGCTCTATGTCCAAAACCTAGCATGAAAGAAAAATGATCTTTTAAAAGGTGTGAAAGTTCAAAATAGGTGAGCAATTATTTAACATCCCCAATTTTTTCATATGGTATAGAAAAAATATATATAGTTAGAAATCACATGTTTTCTTGAGAGACTTCAAGAATCATCTAAGAGTTTGGTAATCATTTAAGTGATAGAAGAACCAGAAAACCCTTTCCCACTTCACAAGAGAGAATATATATCACTCTAGTAATACTAATCTCATTCTGACTAAGTGTTGGTTAAATACAGAAAATGCTTATTTCTTTGGTTCCTCATTTTCAGGATTCCATATTCTTCTTCTTCCTCTTTTTTTTTTTTTTTTTTTTTATTAAAAAGAGGTAGGGTCTCACTATGTTGCCCAGGCTGGCCAAAAACTCTTGAGCTCAAGAGATCCTACCACCTTAGCCTCTCAGGTAGCTGGGACTACAGGCATGTGCCACTACACCTAGTTTCCGTGTTCTTAAAATTTTTTTTTAAATTTTAATTGACATATAATTGTACTTATTTATAAGAGTGATATACATGTATACAATGTGTAAATCAATCAGGGTAATCAGCATATCTGTTCACCTCAAACATTTATCATTTTTTGTTATGTTGGTAACATTCAAAAATCCTCTCTTGTAGCTATTTGAAAATATACAAGAAATTATTAATCATAGTCACCCTATAGTACTATAGAACAGGAGAACTTATTCCTGCTGTAATTTTGTACCTATTACCCAACCACTCCCTATCCTCACCTTTCCCCTACCCTTCCCGGCCTCTAATACCCACAATTCTACTTTCTGCCTTTATGAGCTCAACTTTTTAAGCTACTACTTATTGTGGATACGAGAACATGCAGTATTTACTTTTCTGTACCTGACTTATTTCACTTTACATAACGTCCTGCAGTCTCACCCATGTTGCCACAAATGACAGGATTTCATCCTTTTTTATGGCTGAATAGTATTCCATTGTGTATATTTACCACATTTTCATTATCCATTCATCTACTGCTGGACACTTAGGTTGATTCTATATCTTGGCTACTGTGAATAGTGCTGCAACAAACATGGGAGTGCAGATATTAACACTACTTTGATATAATGATTTATTTTCCTTTGGATAAATACCCAGTAGTGGGACTGCTGGATCATATGGTAGTTTTGTTTTTAGTTCTTGGAGGAATCTTGATATTGTTTCTCTTAGTGACTATAATTTAAATTCCCATCAACAGTGTATAAGAATTCTCTTTTCTCTGAATCCTCACCAGCATGTTCTTTTTTGTCTTTTTGATAATAGCCATTCTAACTAAGATGAGATGTTATCTCACTGCGGTACTGGCTTGCATTTCCCTGATGATTACTGATGCTGAGCATTTTTTCATATACTTGATGGCCATTTGTGTATCTTCTTTAGAGAAATGTCCATTCAGATCCTTCCCTCATTTTTAAATCAGATTTTTTTTTTATTGTTGAGTTCCTTGTATATGAATCCCTTGTAAGATAAATAGTTTGCAAATATTTTATCCCATTCTAAAAGTTGTGTTTTCACTCTATTGATTGTTTCCTTTGCTGTGAAGGATTTTAGTTTGATATAATCCCATTTGTCTATTTTGCTTTTGTTGCCTTTTTGTTTGCTTTTTGTGCTTTTGAAGACTTATCCATAATATCTTTGCCTTGACCAATGTCCTGAAGCATTTTCCCAATATTTTCTTCTAGTAGTTTTACAGTTTTGGGTCTAGTTTTGAAAGACCAAAGTCTTTCATCCACTTTGAGCTGATTTTTCTATATGGTGAGAGACAGAGGTCTAATTTATTCCTGCACATGGCTATCCAGTTTTCCCAGCACAATTTATTGAAGACAAATATATTTGTGTCCATAAACTGTATCTATATAATGTATCTGCCTACAACCTCCTTGAAAATAATCTCTTCTGGCTTTGTCAGGCTACAATTATCTCCTTGATGTCTTAATTCTATGACAACCAACTCCTCTTCTTCCATATAACCCTGAAAATACTGGAGGTCTTCCTCAACACTCTCCACTCTGCCTTTCATTACTTTTCATTTGAGAGGACGAATCCAGTCCCGTGGCCTCAACCTATTTCTTTTTTCTTTCTTTTTTTTTTTGAGACGGAGTCTCGCTCTGTCGCCCAGGCTGGAGTGCAGTGGCGCAATCTCGGCTCACTGCAACCTCCGCCTTCCGGGTTCAAGCAATTCTCCTGCCTCAGCCTCCTGAGTAGCTGGGACTACCAGCGTATACCACCAAGCCCAGCTAATTTTTTGTATTTTAGTAGAAATGGGGTTTCACCATGTTGCCAGGCTGGTCCTCAACCTACTTCTATAAATTAGTCAGTGATTATCAAATCCACCACCTTAACTTCACTCCAATTATTTCCAACTGCCTACTAAACATTTACACTTCAATACCTTCAGCTCCAAAACTCAAACTTACGGAACCGAATTCATTCTTTTTCATTCTCTTGTTCATCATCCTCCCAATCAACCTGTGATTCACCCTACCCATGATAGAAAAGAACAAAACACAGCTTCTCCTTCAGTATTTCCTAATCTCTGGAATTGTTTCCCAATAGATCATACTTAAAAGAAACCTGGAATCATCCTTAATTACTCCACTTCTTTCATCATCCAGCTCTAATGGTTCACCAATCTCATCAATTCTCTCTGCAAGTCTTCATAAATTCCATGCTCTACCCTCCTCTGAATCATCAGTGCTCTAGTTCTGGTTCTCACTAAGAACCAGATCTTTCTGCCTTCAGCCTTTCTAACCTATTTTGTAAACCACTGTGAAAATGTTTGCTAAAATGCAGATACAATTAACTCACTCTCATGTCACACTGACTAAAATATAAAAATTCAAGCTCTTCAAAACAGTACACAAGGTTCTTTTTGAGCTGAAAATTATTACTCTAAGAGATTAATACTATGACAATACAGTGTAAAGACTCTATAGTTAGCAACAACAAACCATTGTCCCCTGAAATGATATCATATCTTTTTGCTGGTACCTTTTATAAAGGAACTTTTCACTCCCTGGCAAATTTAAATTCATGCTTTAAGACAACTCAAAGCTTCATATACCCTCTTTGGTAGAACATTCCTGTTCCAAAGATTCTACCAATCCCCAAGCAAAACTAATGGTTTAGCCCCCACAATCATATACGCCAATGAATGAATCAATTTCAGCCTTGGGCTCCCATAATACTTTATATATGCCTCAAAACCCTGATTAGAATCCCAGCTCTGTCACTTATTAGCTGTAACACAGGGTACTTGACCTTTCTGAGCCTTAGAATCCTTATCTATAAAATGGAGGAAATCTCTACACCTCAATGAACTGTTATAAGAAGCAAATTAAATATATAGATACAAAAGGGACCCTGTACAGTACTGGTTACCTGAGTGTGTCCAGTTTATAACAATTATTTGAGCTATACACTTAGTATATATGCATTTTTCTGTGTGCATAATATACTTCAATAAAAATGAAAACAAAATGACGGTCTTTTTGATGCATCAGTTTGGCTAGGCCCTACCCTAGTTATGCAATCAAACACTAATCTAGGCGTTGCTGTGAAGGCATCATACAAGTAATAAAAATCCATAATCAGCTGACTTTAAGTGCGACAGGGGCTTCCTAGAGAGAAGAAATAATTCCACCTGTGGACAGCAACTTTAGCCATACCTGTGGGTTACAGCCTGTCCTGAGGATTTCAGACTTGCTTGTCCAGCCCCCAAAATCACATAAACCAAATAAACAATCAATTTCAATTTCAACTCCCATCTCTATCTATCTAATCACATGCACACATATATCCTGCTGGTTCTGCTTCTCCAGTTGGATGCTGACTTTTTTCCCTTTTTCTTTTTTCAACGCCTATCTTATTATCCCAGATACTGAATCTCACAAACAACCATCACCTCTCAAAAAGCACAGTGTGTAGAACAGGAAGGCCCTCAAATAAAGCTATTATTTTTATTAATTGTATCATGCTTTATAGGCTCTCCCATAACAGAACGTGACCCCCAGCTCTATTAGGACAGAAATCACTTGCAAGAGTGTGTCCCTAGCACACAGCAGGTACAAAGCAAGCCTCTGTCTGTCCTCATACCCTTCTTACTAGAAAACTTGTCTAAATTGTTGACTGATAAGAGAGAGAAAATTTGCATATACAGCTAATTCTGAATTTTCCTCACTACCTTTAGAAGATGGGAGGGGTTTAACCAACTGTGTAACTTTCCATATATTATTTCATCTTTTTGGACATAATTTTACTATATGTACAGAGAATCAGAGAATTGAGCCAGACAATCATCAAGTTTCTTTCTAACTCTACTAATTGGCCTTGATGATTTATTATTTAGAGCTTTAAAATTTTAATAACGTTTTCTTTTCATGGATAAATTTAACATCTGAGTATCTGTTTAGAAATGTAAAACAATGAATCCATCATATCACAAAGTATAGTAATACGAAGAAAATATAGAGAATTTTTTTCCCTATAACTTATAAAAGTGATAGGTCACTGAGCATGGTGGCTCACACCTGTAATCCCAGCACTTTAGGAGGCTGAGGCAGGAGGATCACTTGAGGCCAGGAGTTCTAGACCAGCCTGGGTAACATAGTGAGACCCCATAGGTATAAAAAAATTTAAAAATTAGGCCGGGCGTGGTGG
The DNA here is from genome assembly GCF_000001405.40 of Homo sapiens. Lineage (NCBI taxonomy): Eukaryota > Metazoa > Chordata > Mammalia > Primates > Hominidae > Homo > Homo sapiens. Next base: position 60,552,285 of record NC_000008.11, on the reverse strand, counting down.
CTCATACCTGTAATCCCAGCACTTTGAGAGGCCGAGGCGGGTGGATCACGAGGTCAGGAGTTCAAGACCAGCCTGGCCAACATGGTGAAACCCTATCTCTACTAAAAATACAGAAAGTAGCTGGATGTGGTGGCAGGCACCTGTAATCCCAGTTACTAGGAGGCTGAGGCAGGAGAATCGCTTGAACCCAGTAGGCGGAGGTTGCAGTGAGCCGAAATTGCGCCACTGCGTGCCAGCCTGGGCAACAAAAGCGAAACTCCATCTTAAAAAAAAAAAAAAAAAAACTCCCAGCTACTCAAGAGGCTGAGGCATGAGAATTGCTTAAACCCGAGAAGTGGAAGCTGCAGTGAGCCGAGATCGTGCCACTGAACTCCAGTCTGGGCGACACAGCAAGGCTCTGTCTCCAAAAAAAAAAAAAAAAAAAAAAAATCAAGGCATGGTAGCACATCTTGTAGTCCTAGCTACTCAAGAGGCTAAGGACAGAGGATTGCTTGAACCTAGGAGTTTGAGGTTGCAGTGAGCTATGACTGAGCCATTGTATTCGAGCCTGAGTGACAAGCAAGACCCTGTCTCTAAAATAAAATAAAAATAGTAAAAATAAAAGATCAAAATCTGAAATACAGTTTCTACTGAATGTCACTTTTGCACCACTGTAAAGTTGAAAAATTGCTAAGTCAAACCATCAAAAGACAGAGACCATCTGTAGTTATCTTTTTAGTGCCTCAGTTTCCTAACCTGTAAGAAGTAGGTTAATAACACCTATCTAATAGGATACTTGAGAACATTAAATAAGTTAATCCACTGTAAGTCTTAAAACAGTGTCTGGCACATAGTAAAGTTTCAAAAAAGAATTCAACAAATGTTTGTTGCTACCATCAATAGTAAAACACTATTACTATGTCTGTTTACACTTTAAGCTCCCTAAAAGCATGAACCATGATCCATTCATTTTCAGCATTAGCCACATGTATCTCCAGTGCAAAGACAAAGGCTCACAAACTTGTGGAATGGGATGAAAGACTATAAACTTGTTTTTTCCCAACATGTGTGCACAAATGTGTACATGTATACAGAAGAGGGAGAGAAATAGAATCAGTTGCAGGGTGTTAAATGCTATGGTAAAAAGAAAAAGCAGAGCAGGGCAAGGATGTAGGACCTGAAACGCTGGGGTGGAGGGAAGGAGGAAGATGTGTTATTTAACCAGGTAGTCCCTCATGGAGAAGGTGAGATTTAAATGAAGGTTTAAAGGAGGTGAGGAAATAGGCCAGTGGATCACTGAGAGAAGAGTATTATTCCACACCAAGGAAACAGTTAAGAAGAAAAGTTCTAAGGTGGCACATTTTAGAGAAACTGCAATGAGGCCAATGTGGCTAAAGCACAGGAGGCAGGGAGAGTCATGCCCCTAGGAACTAGGATATAGGAATGACAGGGGCCTAATCACACAGAACCTAAAGAACTCTGTAAGTTTATTGAGATAAAATAGGGGATTCACTGGAGAGTTTTCAGCAGAGAAGTAATATAATTTTACTTAAATTCCAAAAGGCCTACTGGCTGCTACAATGAGAACTTACAAGTAGAAGCAGATGAGAGTAGAAGCAAAGAAGGCAGGTGTGGTGGCTCATGCCTTCCCTAGCACTTTGGGAGGCCAAGGTAGGTGGACTACTTGAGCCCAGGAGTTCAAGACCAGCCTGGACTACATGGTGAAACCCTGTCTCTACAAAAAAAATACAAAAAACTTAGCCAGGCATGGTGGTGCACACCTTAGTCCCAGTTACATGGGGGCTGAGGTGGGAGGATCGCTTGAACCTGGGAGGTGGAGGTTGCAGCGAGCCGAGATCACACCACTGCACTTCAGCCTGGATGATGGAGTGAGACCCTGCCTCAAAAAAAAAAAAGACAAAAAAAACCGTGAACCAGTAAGGAGCTTTCTCAATAAGGCTAGAAATGGTGACTTGGACCAGGGTGGTTGCATTGGGGGTAGTTCAAATTGAATTTGTGAGGCAGAGCCAAGAGAATGTGTTGACAGTGTGAATTTTTTGAGAAAGAGAAGTGTGTTAAGAATGATCCAATGTTTTGCCTGATCAAACAGAAAGTTCAGTGAGATGGGAGATGTAGGTAGAGCAGATTGAGAGTGGACAGATCATCAGTTCCAGTTTGGTTATTTTGAGTTGAGATGTCTATTAGTCACCCAAGAGACAAAGCTGAGTAGACAAGTGAATATGTGAGTACAGATTTCAAGAAAGACATTCAGGATGAAGATAAGCCACATGTAAAGAGGAATCAGCAAAAAAAAGACTGAGACATAGCCCATGTTTGTTATTTAATCACAGAATTAAACAGAATGAGAACAAACAAAAATGGCTTTTGAGTAAAGGCTGGCAAATTCCAAAACTTTTTTTTTTTTTCAAAAGGAGGACGAATAGAAAGCCTGGATTTAAATCTTTACCAAAAAACAACTTCTAGAAAGGAATCCCCTATAAACAGTTATTTTTGTTATTGTTGCTACTTTTCCAACAGAAATGGAAAATTAAAGAAAAAGCAACTATCTACTCTTTTAAAAAAATTTATGCTGGGATCTCTGATAAAAACCCAATTTGAAATGGGGGGAAAAAACTATCTCCTGCCAATGGCTTTCATTCTGCACCAAGAACAAGGCCTGTGCACATCCTCCCCCTTTCTCTCCACGTAGACAGACACTCCACATTACAGATGCCGTCCTTTGCCATTCCATGTGAAGTAGCTCCAATCCCCAATCATTTTCTATCCATTAGTAGTTTTCAATCCACACCAAAAAAAAAAAAAAAAAGGTTGGTGGAGACGGGGTTTCGCTGTGTTGGCCGGGCTGGTCTCCAGCTCCTAACCGCGAGTGATCCGCCAGCCTCGGCCTCCCGAGGTGCTGGGATTGCAGACGGAGTCTCGTTCACTCAGTGCTCAATGGTGCCCAGGCTGGAGTGCAGTGGCGTGATCTCGGCTCGCTACAACCTCCACCTCCCAGCAGCCTGCCTTGGCCTCCCAAAGTGCCAAGATTGCAGCCTCTGCCCGGCCGCCACCCCGTCTGGGAAGTGAGGAGCGTCTCCGCCTGGCCGCCCATCGTCTGGGATGTGAGGAGCCCCTCTGCCTGGCTGCCCAGTCTGGAAAGTGAGGAGCGTCTCTGCCCGGCCGCCATCCCATCTAGGAAGTGAGGAGCGCCTCTTCCCGGCCGCCATCACATCTGGGAAGTGAGGAGCGTCTCTGCCCGGCCGCCCATCGTCTGAGATGTGGGGAGCACCTCTGCCCTGCCGCCCCGTCCGGGATGTGAGGAGCGTCTCTGCCCTGCCGCCCCGTCTGAGAAGTGAGGAGACCCTCTGCCTGGCAACTGCCCTGTCTGAGAAGTGAGGAGCCCCTCTGCCCGGCAGCCACCCTGTCTGAGAAGTGAGGAGCGTCTCTGCCCGGCAGCCACCTCGTCCGGGAGGGAGGTGGGGGGGTCAGCCCCCCGCCCGGCCAGCCGCCCCGTCTGGGAGGGAGGTGGGGGGATCAGCCCCCCGCCCGGCCAGCCGCCCCATCCGGCAGGTGAGGGGTGCCTCTGCCCGGCTGCCCCTACTGGGAAGTGAGGAGCCCCTCTGCCCGGCCAGCCACTCCGTCCGGGAGGGAGGTGGGGGGGTCAGCCCCCCGCTCGGCCAGCCGCCCCATCCGGGAAGTGAGGGGCGCCTCTGCCTGGCCGCCCCTGCTGGGAAGTGAGGATCCCCTCTGCCCGGCCAGCCGCCCCGTCCGGGAGGGAGGTGGGGGGGTCAGCCCCCCGCCCGGCCAGCCGCCCCGTCCGGGAAGTGAGGGGCGCCTCTGCCCGGCCGCCCCTACTGGGAAGTGAGGAGCCACTCTGCCCGGCCAGCCGCCCCGTCCGGGAGGGAGGTGGGGGGATCAGCCCCCCGCCCGGCCAGCCGCCCCATCCGGGAAGTGAGGGGCGCCTCTGCCCGGCCGCCCCTGCTGGGAAGTGAGGAGCCACTCTGCCCGGCCAGCCGCCCCGTCCGGGAGGGAGGTGGGGGGGTCAGCCCCCCGCCCGGCCAGCCGCCCCGTCCGGGAAGTGAGGGGCGCCTCTGCCCGGCCGCCCCTACTGGGAAGTGAGGAGCCACTCTGCCTGGCCAGCCGCCCCGTCCGGGAGGGAGGTGGGGGGATCAGCCCCCCGCCCGGCCAGCCGCCCCATCCGGGAAGTGAGGGGCGCCTCTGCCCGGCCGCCCCTGCTGGGAAGTGAGGAGCCACTCTGCCCGGCCAGCCGCCCCGTCCGGGAGGGAGGTGGGGGGGTCAGCCCCCCGCCCGGCCAGCCGCCCCGTCCGGGAAGTGAGGGGCGCCTCTGCCCGGCCGCCCCTACTGGGAAGTGAGGAGCCACTCTGCCCGGCCAGCCGCCCCGTCCGGGAGGGAGGTAGGGGGGTCAGCCCCCCGCCCGGCCAGCCGCCCCGTCCAGGAGGGAGGTGGGGGGGTCAGCCCCCCGCCCGGCCAGCCGCCCCATCCGGGAAGTGAGGGGCGCCTCTGCCCGGCCGCCCCTGCTGGGAAGTGAGGAGCCACTCTGCCTGGCCAGCCGCCCCGTCCGGGAGGGAGGTGGGGGGGTCAGCCCCCCCGCCCGGCCAGCCGCCCCGTCCGGGAGGGAGGTGGGGGGGTCAGCCCCCCGCCTGGCCAGCCGCCCCGTCCGGGAGGTGAGGGGCGCCTCTGCCCGGCCGCCCCTACTGGGAAGTGAGGAGCCCCTCTGCCCAGCCAGCCGCCCCATCCAGGAGGGAGGTGGGGGGAGTCAGCCCCCCGTCCGGCCAGCTGCCCTGTCCGGGAGGTGAGGGGCGCCTCTGCCCGGCCGCGCCTACTGGGAAGTGAGGAGCCCCTCTGCCCGGCCACCACCCCGTCTGGGAGGTATAGCCAACAGCTCATTGAGAACGGGCCATGATGACAATGGCGGTTTTGTGGAATAGAAAGGGGGGAAAGGTGGGGAAAAGATTGAGAAATCGGATGGTTGCCATGTCTGTGTAGAAAGAGGTAGACAGGGGAGACTTTTCCTTTTGTTCTGTACTAAGAAAAATTCTTCTGCCTTGGGATCCTGTTGATCGGTGACCTTACCCCCAACCCTGTGTTCTCTGAAACATGTGCTGTATCCACTCAGGGTTGAATGGATTAAGGGCGGTGCAAGATGTGCTTTGTTAAACAGATGCTTGAAGGCAGCATGCTCCTTAAGAGTCATCACCACTCCCTAATCTCAAGTACCCAGGGACACAAACACTGCGGAAGGCCGCAGGGTCCTCTGCCTAGGAAAACCAGAGACCTTTGTTCACTTGTTTATCTGCTGACCTTCCCTCCACTATTGTCCTGTGACCCTGCCAAATCCCCCTCTGCGAGAAACACCCAAGAATGATCAATAAAAAAAAAAAAAAAAAAAAAAAAGACCCAAAAAACAAAAACAAAAAGCAACCCAAACTGATGCTCAGGCCTCACACCTCCAGAGATGCTGATTGAACTGTCAGCATTGTGTAGTGGTTAAAAGCACTACCTGGGTGATTTTGGAAAAACTACTTGGCCTTTGCACGCAATCATTTTCAAAATGAGGATAAGAACAATACATACTTCACAACAAGAGTTGTGAGAATTAAACCAGTTAACCTATATAAAGCACTGAAAACATGTAGGAAGCACTATGTAAAAACTTAACAGTATTATTATTTAATTAAACAAACAAAGACAAAAATCCAACATGGATCACTTCTTCACTTGAAGTTTCCTCTAGATGTCCATGTAGTTTATCCTTTCTTTAATGCTAGAGAAGTACTATATTCCTTTACCAACCAAAACTAGATCTCAGCCCTCTCTCCCTGTTTGGAGATCTAGCAACTCGTTTTTCTTGCATCTTTATTACCTGCTTCTCCATGGACATCTTTTGACACATGCATTCAAGTCTCCCATCCTCGAACACACTCAAGAGAAGGTTGGTCAAGTCTTGCACCTCAAATTTTCTCAGCTATCGCAAGTAGGAAATATCACTAACTAGAATCTTAAACCTGATAGGTTTGAGAAGGCTTAAGAAAAAAGAAAAAGTCCAACACAAAGAATTACCCTGAGACTTTGGAGAGTTATTTACTTGTTTTCCTAAACAAACAGAAAGCCATGCACACCCTCCACCTCTTCTAGTATTTCTCTGGATGTGATCTTTCCCTTAATGGACTTCAGAATATGTTATCTCTGAAATGACAATTACTATGTACTAACTTTTATCTTACACTACAGTTATTTAAATGCCTGTTTTTACAACATTTATAAACAAAGTTCTTTCAGGGCAAGATCTGTATTCCTATTCATCTTTTCATCCTCCAAAGCACCTAGAATGATCTGTTGAGCTAGTATTCATGAAATATTTAATGAAAAATGAATAATTTAATAATTTAATGAATAATGAATATTTGTTTAATGAATAATGAATTTGTTTAATGAATATTTGTTTAATGATGTGCAAAACATTGTTTTTTAAGGCCTGGTGTGGATATCTTGGATATACACAGATCATTACCACTCTGTAATTAATACAAATCACTACACTTATTAATGCTGCTATTAGAGTTGCTACCAATACCTTACCTTCTTCCTTTACTCAGGGTCGGAGTCACTGTCCCTCAGTAGGACACCATTGTGAGAGCTGAATATTTAAATACCAAGTCAATGAGGTAACAATTATAAGTAGTACCCATTAAAAATGCAGATTCCTTGCCGGGTGTGATGGCTCACACCTATAACCCAGTGCTTCGGGAAGCCAAGGCAGGAGGAGTGACTGCTTGAGCCCAGGAGTTCGTGACCAGCCTGGGCAACATGGCACCTCTACAAAAAATAAGCTGGGTATGGTGGTGCATGGCAGTAGTCTCAGCTACTTGGAAGATGAGGAGGGAGGATCACCTGAGTTCAGGAGGCTGAGATGTTATCGTCCCACTGCACTACAGCCTGGGTGACAGTGTGAAACCTTATCTCCAAAAATAAAAATTAAAAAAAAGGCAGATTCCTGAAGCCCCATCCCAGAGACTTAGCACGTCTTTCGTGGGGCCCAAGAATCTAATTAAGTCCTCTTGCATTTTAAGGCAAAGAGTCCTTCACAAGAAATACGAGTAGGTGCTGGGTATTCTACTGGAGTTCATTTTCCTTGTCCTAAACCAACTTCCCACTAATTGCAGGATTCGTCAATATTAGTGATGATTCTATTTTTACAACCACAAGCCAAACAGCTTTAATTTAAAATATGTGAAAACGCAAGTCAGGCATGGTGGCTCACGCCTGTAATCCCAGTACCTTGGGAGGCCGTGGCAGGCGGACTGCTTGAGCTCAGGAGTTCAAAACCAGCCTGGGCAATATGGTGAAACCCTGTCTCTACCAAAAATACAAAAAAACTAGCCATTTTGTAATTACATTACAAACTGAAAAACCGTGAAACATGAAAAAATAAAGTCTGCCCTTTTCAAACAGAAAATTAATAAACAACAGGCTTTACAGTTTTAACACCAGTGTTCAAATCCATCTGGATAATTTCATAACCTGTGACCTCAAGCAAGTTAGTTATGGAGACTGAGCTCCACTTCCACATGTATAAAATTGCAAAATGAAAATACAGGCCAGGGGCTCACACCTATAATCCCAGCACTTTGGGAGGTGGAGGTGGGAGAATCACTTGAGGCAAGGAGTTTAAAGACCAGCCTGGGCAACATACTGAGACCCCATCTCTATTTTAAAAAAAAAAAAAAAAAAAAGGCACTAGGGAAAAAAAATAGCATTCCTACTTCAGAGGAATGTCATGAGGCTCAAATGATAAAATGTAGTAGCATTTTGCAAATTTAAAGTTTTAATACAAACGTTAAACTGAGGATTCTTCAAGATGAATACAGCTAAGAGAGCATTATCTCCAACTAAACTCACCTGACCAAGTTAAAAAACTTAAATATATATTTTAAAAAATGAATTGGGCTGGGGCGTGGTGGCTCACGCCTGTAATCCTAGCACTTTGGGAGGCTGAGGTGGGCAGATCACTTGAGGTCCGGAGTTCGAGACCAGCCTGGCCAATATGGTGAAACCCTGTCTCTACTAAAAATATAAAAATTAGCCGAAATAGCTTGAATCCAGGAGGCGGAGGCTGCAGTAAGCCGAGATCACGCCACTACACTTCAGCCTGGGCAACAGTGAGAAAAAAAAAAAAAGAATTGAAAATATCTGCAATTTATCACTTTTTTTTTTTTTTTTTTTTGAGACGGAGTCTCACTCTGTCACCCAGGCTGGAGTGCAGTGGCGCAATCTCGGCTCACTGCAACCTCCACCCACCGAGTTCAAGTGATTCTCCTGCTTCAGCCTCCTGAGTAGCTGGGATTACAGGCACCCGCCAACATGACTGGCTAATTTTCGTATTTTTAGTAGAGACGGGGTTTCACCATACTGGCCAAGCTGGTCTTGAACCGAACTCCTGACCTCAGGTGATCCACCTGCCTTAGCCTCCCAAAGTGCTGGGATTACAGGCATGAGCCACTGTGCCCAGCTATCACTCTCTTTCTAAATAGAACGATTTCGGAATTGTTTTCATGCTGTTGGTTCGCCGTACATTATCCCCTTGCATCCAAGAGAATAACCTCCATTTCATCAGCTACATACTCTCTGGCGGTTTACTGTAGTAAATTGAATAGATAATGGCCCCCCAAAAGATATGTCCAAGTCCTGACCCTAGAACCATGAATGTGACTTTATTTGGAAAAAGGATCTTTGCAGATGTAATTAAGGATCCTGGATTTAGGGTGGGGCCTAAATCCAATGACAAGTGTCCTAGGAGAAAGGCAGAAGGAGACAAAGACACAGGGGAGAAAGCAAAGTGAATGAAGACAGGGATAGAGAGTACAGTTAAGTGAATGAAGACAGGGATAGAGAGTACAGTTAAGTGAATGAAGACAGGGATAGAGAGTACAGTTCTGCTGCCAGAAGCCAATGAACGCTTGGAGCCACCACAAGCTGGAAGAGGTAAGGCAGGATTCTCCCTGGAGCCTTCTGAGAGAACACACCTAATATCAGGCTTCTGGCCTCCAGAAATGTGACAGAACAACTTTCTGTGATTTTAAGCCACCAAGCTCGTAAGCTGTCACAGTGGCCCTAAAAACCTAATACACTAATCAAGAGTCATCTTTCATTCCTCTTAAGACTCTTACGTTGTTAGTTTCCCAGTCTTGTTGATTCTGTCTATAATAATTCCTAGTGCAATCAGTAAGTTACTCAAACACAAGAAATATTGAGTGGTGTGGGAAAAGAAAATTGGGAATACAGAGCATTTATTTGAGAAGGCTGCCCAGTGAAAGCTAGGAGGGAAGAGAAGAGATAGTTATTCAAAGAATATTAATTGAATGCATGCCTACTATATTCCAGGCATCAAGTTTGGTAATAAAAATAAAGTTCCCAAGAGGATGTGGCTTTCAGAATGTAAAAGATCTTTCTCCTGGAAACTGCAAAGTGCAGAAAAAAGTACGCTAACAAAGCTGAGAGTTGCTAAAGAATCAATTAAAAAAAGAAATGGACAATATGAAGAACTAACCCTCTACCCTCTTTCCCTTGATGCAATCATCTACTACTATTTCTGTTTCTTTCTTTTACAATATTAAAGTACCCCCAATATTAAAACACTTCTGGGATGAGACCAAAATCACAAAAATGAGTAAATGAGATATAAACTCAGCTGAAAGCCTATGTTCCTATATGTCAGTATCTCTTACACATTGGGCCTCTGCATACATTTATTAAGTGTTCTTTCTTTTTTTTTTGACGGATTCTCACTCTGTCGTCAGGCAGGAGTACAGTGGCGCGATCTCGACACTCACTGCAACCTCTGCCTCCCAGGTTCAAGCGATTCTCCTGCCTCAGCTCCCAAGTAGCTGGGACTACAGGCACATGCCACCACGCCTGGCTAATTTTTTGTATTTTTAGTAGAGATGGGGTTTCACCGTGTTAGCCACAATGGTCTCGATCTCCTGACCTCGTGATCTGCCTGACTTGGTCTCCCAAAGTGCTGGGATTACAGGCATGAGCCACTGCACCCAGCCTATTCAGTGTTCTTTCTCTAATAACCAGCGACTTCTTTTGTCTACTCAGCTACTCATCTTTAAGACTTAACTCAAGTGTCATATCCTCTAGGAAGCTTTCCATAAGACACACCTCTCTTTACAAAGGTAGAAGTATCTTCCTTTGTATTCTCCTGATTTTTATTAAAAATTTTTTCCTGATTTTTATTTTTGGTGAGGTAGGGGAGGGTGCTGCTCCAGGCCACATTTGATTTTTTCAAAGATGAACATTTTCTGCCTGTGAATGTATAAAATAATTTATTTAACTGTCTGGTTTCAGGGGAAAAACACAATAGCCTCTGTTGTCAATGCTAGAAGAGAAAGAACACTGACAAGTTTCTGTGATTATCTCGCTCAGCTTGGGTGTGACGTGGACTCCAGGAAACCAAATCTAGACCTGTGTTTCAACCACTAGATGAAGTAGGCCTCACTGAAGGCCTAGACCTTAAAAATAGACTTATGAAGAACTGTAATAATATGATATATTCAGCAACTACTTACTAAGCACCTTAACTGGTTACACAATGGTTAATGGAGTTGTGCTCGTCGCCCAGTCTGGAGTGCAATAGTGTGATCTTAGCTCACTGCAACCTCTGCCTCCTGGGTTCAAGCACTTCTCCTGCCTCAGCCTGCTGAGTAGCTGGGATTACAGGTGCCTGCCACCACGCCTGGCTAATTTTTGTATTTTTAGTAGAGATGGGGTTTCATCATGTTGGCCAGGCTGATCTGGAACTCCTGACTTCAGGTGATCTGACTGCCTCCCAAAGTGCTGGGATTATTCTTTATCCTGCACTCTTTATAAAATCTCTTTACCTTTAACTCCCTTAAAGTTCTAATTTTTTCCCTTAGTTTTTACCTCATGTCCTTTTGTTGTCTCAGGATCACATCTAAGAAACCATATTACATTTAATTGTCAGGCCTTCTTTAAGGTTCCTCTTGGTTGTAACAGTTTCTCATGCTTTCCTTTTTTGATGTTCTTGACAGTTTTGAGTACTGATTAGGTATTTTGTAACATGCCCTGTGTTGAAATTTGTCTAATTTTTTCATGATTAGACTGGGATTATAAGTGTTTGGAAGGAAGATGACAGAGAAAGAATACCATTTTCATCACATCATATCAAGGGTACATACTATCAATGTGACTGATCACTGTTGACTTTAACCTTCATAACCTGGCTAAGGTAGTCTGTCAGGCTTCTCCAATGGAAAGGAACTTTCCCCCTCTTTTCCATACTGTATTCTTGGGAAGGAAATTACTATGCACAGCCCACACTAGAAGAGTTGACTTCTGCCCCAGAGTTTTCACATAAGGAAAAGCTTTTTACCCATTGTGTCTTATATAATGTCATCTCTCATCACCATATCCAATCTTCTGCCCTTCCATATTGTTTTAACATTACCATGTGTAGGCATTACTCTTATATAAAAAAAATGGGCTGGGCACGGTGGCTCACACTTGTAATCCCAGCACTTTGGAAGGCCAAGGTGGGCAGATCACTTGAGGTCAGAAGTTCCAGGCCAGCCTGGCCAACATGGGGAAAGCCCAACTCTACTAAAAATGTAACAAAATTAGCCAGGCGTGGTGGCACATGCCTGTAATCCCAGCTACTTGAGAGGCTGAGGCACGGGAATCGCTTAAACCTGTGAGGCAGAAGTTGCAGTGAGCCAAGATTGCGCCATTGCACTTCAGCCTGAGCGACGGAGAGAGACTGTCTCAAAAAGAAGAAAGGGAGGGAGGGAGGCAGGCAGGCAGTATTTGAAGTATACACTTTTCAGAAATGGAAAAGTGTCTGAAAATGATCTTCATTTTTAACACTTTTCACTCCCTATGATATCCTTCACTAAACCCTGATAATTCCAGCTCTCATCTGTAACCTCCTTTTATTTTCATTACCACTGCCTTAGACAAGGCCTCTAGGAACCTCTTCTCTGGAACATTTTAATTACCATCTAACTATATACCCGTACCCTTCTAATCTATTCTACGTATGACTGCACCAGGAATGGATGAGAAAAAGACAAAAAGAGAATGGATGAGACAGAAGAAAAGGATTACATTTAACATCTAGTATGTCTACGCTACTATATTAAAATATGAATATATACTGTATTTGGTTTTAAAGTTAATTATAATTCTAGTTGTATACTCTTTCTTTCAAAAACTTCAATGCATTCCACTGTCTACAAAATAGAGTTCAAACTCTACCTTAACCTGTCACATGTACCTCCCTAGGTCCACCATGTTTAATGGATTTATCTTTCCAGCCTTATTTCTCATAACAGCCTGACACAGGGTCCATACTAAAGTTAAACTGGACCGTTCATATCAAGGACAGTACAAGGTGTGGAACTTAGCAGACAACTACCTTCCTGTTTACTCCTATTTTTATATTTTGATTTTTTACCATTTCTACTTGTCAGAACCAGTTCAAATGTTATTGTACCCTATGATTTTCCAAGAAGGAGGAAAAACGCATTCCCCCTCTTACAAAATGCCATACTTTCTTCCAGTTCCTCAGTCAGAGCCCTTATTATATTCTACAAGCACAGCTAGACTATAAACCTCATAAGGGCAAGGATGCATCAAATCTACTTTTTAAATCCTTCACAATTGCATTTAGTCCTACGTTTTATATTTGGTGAACTTATGCCTTCTTCATTTCAAAGTACACGACCAGTTTAAGAGATAACAAATATTTACTGGGCTAGATTTGAATCCTGTGTATGATGCTGATTGAAAAAGTTGCTTCAGGTTTCTAGGCCTTGTTTGCTTATTTGTGTAATGGTAATTATACCACCTTATTCATTGGCTATTGTGAGAAATAAAAGAGATAATATGTAATAAAAGAGATAATGCATCTAGGAAAAATCACTTCTTTTTCCTTTCCCAGTACCTGAAGACAAGCTCACTTTATCTGCTAAGGCCAAATTACTCTATACGTACATACTTGATTAAGCACTTATCACATGGTACTTTTATTATCAGTTTATATATCTAGCTTTACTCCTCAGGAGCAGTAACATTTGCCTTTCTGTATTTTGAAAACGACCTTGCACAGTGGACTGGCTTAAAAGCAGATGCTCAGGGAATGAATTAATGCATCTCATGCTCACTGGAAAGATCACAAAGTAATAGACTATTCTATCAAACAACTCTAGCCTACATCTCAAGAAAAAAAAACTATCAATTTCTAAAACAAAATTTTATTCAACAGTGGATTTTTCAGATGGGGAAATGACGCTAGAGAATGAAAATATGACTGCATTAAATTAGAATTGTATCTGTATCATTATCTGCCCCAAACTTAAGTGTTATTTTCCTTTCAAAAGGTAGTGAGTACTCTCATGTGCCAGTTTTCAATTGACTGCCTTCTTGCTCCAAATCCACCCTTCACTGTCCTTCAAGTGAGACTGAAACCTTTCTACCTTGGTAGGGCACAGGGCATGACAGCTTCATCAGCACTCAGCACCCCTCTATGGCCATCTGCCCCCAGCACTCCTTCAGGTTGCTTTTCATGGAGTTCTCAGGCCACACACACACCATAGAAGCTGAGCACAAAGAGGGCAGCTGTCCAGCCCATTTCAGCCCCTTAGTTAATGTCTCTGACATCCAGTAGGCCTCAGCCATGCCCCTCCAATGAGGTTTGAATGTCAGATCTGTCCTTCCTTCCATGCTCTGCATAGCCTTAGAGGTAGTGACTACTACCCTATCTGCTGTTACCACAGTCTTCAGAGTTCTTTCTACCTCTTAGCCAATTCTCCCATTACTCTAATTCTACGTTACAGTTAAGGACTGTTTACATTAGACTTTCTCTGTTCAAATTCCTGTGTAGTTTATGTTTCCTAATTGAACTCCCAATGATACAACTAGCATGAATAACGTATCCTTCATTAGATAAGCCAAATTTAATTTGGTAAAGTTGAGGGTATTTGAATATAGGTAGAATTTAAATTTTCTTAGGAAAGACATAGTTTGTCTTCAAGTGCAGTATTTTTGCAAATACAAAGCTAGATATGATTTAAATCTTAAAAAGTTGGAAAATACAGCATTTGATAATTTTATTAGGGAATAAGTTACAGAGGTATTAAATCTAATAGCAAGTAAGAATGCGGCAAAAATGGCATCCCTATTCCTTTCTTCCTCCCAACTCATGGAACTTTCCTCACTAGTTTATCTTAATAGTGGAAAACGGCTAGAATGTTTAAGAAAAATCAGGAAGAATAAAACTGGGCTATACGGCCAGGCATGGTAGCTCATGCTTGTAATCCCAGCACTGGGAGGCTGAGGTGGGAGGACTGCTTGAGGCCAGGAGTTTGACACCAGTTGGGGCCACCTAGTGAGATCCTGTCTCTACAAAAAATCAAAAATTAGCCAGCCATGGTTGTGTGCACCTGCAGTCCCAACTACTCAGGAGGCTGAGGCAGGAGGATTGCTTGAGCCAGGGAGGTCAAGGCTGCAGTGAGCCACTGCACTCCCACTGGGCAACAGAGTGAGACTCTACCTGAAAATAAATAAAATAAAATAAAATAAAAAAGAAAACAGTTATAAATACCTCTTAGAATTGTAGGATGTCGGTTTTGTTGGAACTAGAGAGGTCCTCTGGTGTGATGTTTTTTAGACAGTAAGCCATAACTAGTTAGGTCATGAAACCAATTTAGTGGATTGGAACTAGCATTACAAAAGAATTAGATGGGTGAGGTGTGGTGGCTCACGCCTGTAATCCCTGCACTTTGGAAGGTCGAGGCGGGTGGATTACCTGAGGTTACAAGTTTGAGACCAGCCTGACCAACATGGTGAAAAACCCCATCTCTACTAAAAACACAAAATTAGCTGGGCGTGGTAGCACATGCCTCTAATCCCAGCTACTTGGGAGGCTGGGGCACGAGAATCACTTGAACCCGGGAGGCAGAGGTTGCAGTGAGCTGAGAGCACGCCATTAGACTCCAGCCCAGGCAACAAGAGCAAAACTCTGTTTCCAAAAAAAAAATTATAACAAAATATTTATACGATTAGAATAAGAACACTTAGAAATTTTTGTTTTAGAGATATATATGCATTTACACACATGAATCCTAGATTGCAATGTAAAATATACCTTATACTGTGGCTTATAAAAAACCTAGAAATTACTGTGTAGTGTCTAATCCAACTCATATACAACAAAAGATCTCATCTACATTTTTGCTAGTAATGATGGTAAAATAAATAAACTGGGAAGAATCTGGAACACTTCTATTCTCTTTTAATTGATATTTACGAGGACAGAGATGAAAGGAAAAATCTGACTGAATCATTTGTTGGCACTTTAACATAAATAATAAGAGGCAGAAACTCAAAATCAAGTTTTTTGATTCTGAATCATATTTTCTTCCCCCACTGCGCCACTCAACCTCCTGAATTTGTTCTTTCTCAGATACATACTGCCATTTGTAATCAATACATTTGCTAACCAAAAAGAATGTTACCTCACTTTCCAACTAGCAATTCTAGGGATGAAAGGAACATTCTATAAGTGAAATGATCCTGACACTGCAGAAATCTAATAAAGAGAAATGTTTTTAAAAGAATACTATTTGCACTATGCTGAGTTTATCCCAAATAATAGTGTTCCAAGTAGGTCACATAGATAAGTCATGTATCTTAACACACTTTAATCTGACCATTTTACTAATCCTTTCATAACTAAAAATTCCAAATAAGAACTGCAGTATTTCAGAAATATATTTCAATAAAGTTGCTTGAAGAGAAAACTTTTTCATGATAGTATATATCAAACTGGATGTAAATGTAAAATATAATTATCTAATAAATTTACTGTACATGATCTCTAAGTCGTATATTATAATACAAATGGTTTGTATCAAAATCAAAGGCTGTAAGCAGAAAAACTCTTGTGCAATTGACAGATTAAATTAACAAGAGCCAAAGAAATAATGTATTAACAGTAACAAAATCAAACTGCTAAATTCCCATAGACTAGGCATCAGTTAATATACACAATTAATGTTGGTTAGCCTGTTGAATTGTAAGTACCTGAAATATATACCAAAGTCAAAATTAAATATTCTTTCTAAATTCATACTTTTAATGGATGGTAATTTGGCAGTACCTATCAAAATGCAAAATGTAAATACCAGTTGACCCAGGAATTTTACTTCTTGCACAAACGCACAAGAAGGCTAACAGCAATATTATCTATAACGATATTCATCAAAGCAGGAGTAGGTGGACATTTGCTGTTTCTGGCTACCTAGCATCAGAGCACTCTTCTTTGAGCTCCCTAGCAGCTAGGGCAGGGAGACAGGTGTCCTAGACTGAGCCAATCAGATACTCCTATCTAGAACTTAGAATCTTGAAAAAGTGCTGCAATATCAAGGACCATCAAGAGACAATACATGGTGGCTACAGTGGAGATGAGAGAGCAGTAGAGGCCAGTGGTATGCATCCAGCATCTTCTCAAGCAGGCCGTATTGATAACAGCAATTTGGCTGTGCCTTGCCTTCCTTCATTTTGCCCATTTTCAAACTTGATTTTACTGCTTTCCTGTCTGTGAACCATCCAATATTTCCAATCAAATCTTCTGTTTACATTAACCAGAGTTGGTTTCTGTTATTTGCTACCACAGACCTCAACTAACAGAATCAGAAGCTGACAAATGGTAGTTCAGTTATGAGAGTTTTTAAAAAATGAGAGATTTATATGTGGTGATACAGAAAGACACTCAAGATTTACCCTCAAATGAAAAAAATAAAGTTGTAGAACAGTAGTGATTGTATAATCCTACTGGTAGAATTGGGACACATGTACACACACACAGGCTTATAGAGGTACAGAAAATTTCTGGAAGGATACGTAAGCCACTGTTTACCATGCTTGCTTACATATGTAAAGTGTAAAGAGGAACTTTCATCAATGCTATGTAAGCAGTACTTTTATTGACTTCATTCAACTACCTCCATAGTGACACTGCACTTAAATAACCAGCAAAACTTCTACTGTGACCAAATATAGCTACTTTAAATGTCAATCTGATAAGAAAATTACAAGAAAGCCTGCAAGTAAAATAATGCACTGTGAAACAGACAATTTTGATTTCTTTCTCCTACCTGTGTCTAAAAATCTCTTAAGAATACTACTCAGTAGTACTTTTTAATAAGATTTATTCATGGCTACGGCTGAAAATTCACATAGTGACACTTAAGTCCAACATGATTTTTCTATTTCTCCTACAAATTCTCCAAGAAATGAAACTTTAAGCCAGAAAGGATAGGGGGAAAGGCCAAGCAAGAAAAAAAAAAAGGTTAAATGGTGAATGAGGCTTATTATTGTACAAATATCTGAGTTAAGGGTAGAAATCTGCCCCACTTAGAGAATGGGGAAGGGAATAAGGCTCCTTAATGCAGATATCCAGAGGGTTAAGCAATCCCTTAAACTATGTCACACAATGGTCTTCACAGTGTGGTCCCAAGATTCCTTAGTGTTAATCATCATCTCCCTTTCCCCCAGTTCTGATGAAAACCCTTTACTGCCACATTTTGTACATCACTCCTGGTATAAAGTCATCAAACCTTCTTGGCAAAATAAGTGTTAGCAGCCCAACTCAGTATTTCTCACATAATATAAAGATGGGGCAAAAGCAGAAACTGATTCTACTGATTAGGTGGACAATTATTCAAATAAGTTATACCAAGTCTGTACCTATCACCTGATTTTTCATTTGTTATTTATGTTTTATTTTAAAGAGACAGAATTTTACTACACTGCCCAGGCTGGAGGGCAGTGGCTATTCACAGGCATCAGTGATCATGGTACACTGCAGCCCTGAATTCCTAGCCTCAAGCAATCCTCCTACCTCAGCCTTCCTAGTAGCTAGGACTACAGGCACATTCCACCACATCTGGTTACTGATTTTTCATTTGGAAAACGGGGTTAGCAGCTACCTACTAAGATTACCGCGAGAACATATATGAATGTCACAACATAGTACTGGCATACAGTAAGCAGGTGCTCAATAAAGGTTTACTGACAATCTGAAATCTGTTATAAGCCATTCACTCCAGTTAGAAAGTACCCTGTCCACACACCTTTAGAACTTCGTACATATTTTTATTACATTTTCTTATAGTTATTGTGGCAAATTGGTCTTCTCTGTAGGGTGGGACAGTCTTCATTTTTCGAACTCCAGCACAGGGACTGCCCACAATAGTATCTTTTTGTTGTTGTTGTTGTTGCTATTGTTTTGTTTTGTTTTTGAGACAGAGTCTTGCTCTGTCGCCCAGGCTGGAGTATAGTGGTGCGATCCCAGCTCACTGCAACCTCCGCCTTCAAGCGATTCTCCTGCCTCAGTCTCCCGGGTAGCTGGGATTACAGGCACCCACCACCACGCCCAGCTAATTTTTGTATTTTAGTAGAGATGGAATTTCGCCATGTTGGCCAGGCTGGTCTTGAACTCCTGATCTCAAGCTATCCACCCACCTTGGCCTCCTAAAATGCTGGGATTACAGATGTAAGCCACCATGCCTGGCCCACAATAGTATCTTATATTTCTTTAGGAAGAAAAAAAATCAACTGCAAATCTCTATCCTTTGCATAAACTCCATCTTCCAAGCCTTCATATGTGTCAATCAAATTCCTACTCCAGCACAAATTAACTTACCAGTGAACAAGCTCTTTCCATTTTATGAAGAGTCCAACTGTATGTCTTCTACTCACGGTCCTGGTATGAGTCCCTCTTTCATATGTCAGTCACCTAAGTATCTGAAAGTCATTATTATATTCTCCTTTAAGTCTTCTTTTTTAGGTTAAAATGGTTCAGATACTCAACCATTCCTAAAATGTCATGAATGTTATAGCCTTCATATCAGCATTACTGGTCTCCTGAGCACGGGCTCCTGTTTGTAGATATTCCTTTAAAACAAGAGTTTCAGAACTGAATTGCAGTTGAGGTCTGACAGGGTAGAACCTGCCTTATCCATACACTATACTTTCACTAATCTAGCATCACATTTATTCTTTTGTTCGCTTTATTACTTATCTGACTCATATGAATCAAGTAATGTAAAACTAAGTTTTTAGACATGTGTGGATATTGAACCAGCTGACCTCCATTTAGTATTTGTACGGTTATTTTACAAGCAAATACTGGGTTTTAACTTCATTTTTATGTAATACAATTTTGCTAAAATTTGGCCAATCATTCTGCCTACCAAGGTCATTTTGGATTCTGTCAGTTAAAATCCAAATTACATATTAGCTCTTTCAACCAAATTGGACTGTGTCCAAGTTGTTGCTAATATCAGAAGTCAAAAATCCAGGACTGCACATAGCAGCATGCTCCTTCCCGCTTGCCTACATGGCAGTCCTTTATGGATACAGTTCTTAAACCGGTTGAAAATTCATGTAGCTGGCTGAGTGCAGTGGCTCATGTATGTAATCCCAGCACTTGGGGAGGCCAAGATGGACAGATTGCTTGAGCCCGGGAATTTGAGACCAGCCTAGGCAACAAAGTGAAACCTTGTCTCTACAAAAAATACAAAAATAGCCGGCTGTGCTGGCATGCACTTGTAGTCCCAGCTACTCAGGAGGCTGAGGTGGGAGGATCACTTGAGCCCGGGAGACAGAGGTTGCAGTGAGCTGAGACTATGCCACTGCACTCCACCCTGGGGAACAGAGCAAGACTTCATCTTGGAAAAAAAAAATCCACGTAGCTATGAAACCAGTAGAATTTCTTCAACACACACCCAAGTTTATCCTGAGCAAGTATAACAAATACCTTTACATAGAGGACTGGTGACTCAATTCATCGGGCATACATTATTATTGCTTTAATTTATTACTTTTTAGCTATTTATTAATTTTTGTGTCAAGTAAAGCCTTGAGCATAAATAATTTGGGACACATATACTTTTACTTTCCCTTTGACACAGTTAAAACTGAACTAACAATACTTTATCCAAAGAAAGAAGATAACCACTGACTAACAGATTTATTTATATCAAAGACTTCTATAGAGCTACAAAACCACCTCTTTCCAAAGGGGTTCAAAATTGACTGAAATCATTCAAGTGGTACCACAAAATACTAAGAGTGAGTGTAGAAGAAATCAAGGTAGGCTGGGCACGGTGGCTCATGCCTGTAATCCCAGCACTTTGGGAGGCCAAGGCGAGTGGATCACCTGAGGTCAGGAGTTCGAAGCCAGCTTGACCAACATGGTGAAACCCTGTCTCTACTAAAAATACAAAAAAATTAGTTGGGCGTGGCAGTGCGCGCCTGTAATCCCAGCTACTCGGGAGGGTGTGGCAGGAGAATCGCTTGAACCCAGGAGGCAGAGGTTGCAGTGAGCCAAGATCACGCCATTGTAGTATAGCCTGGGCAACAAGAGCGAAAATCCGTGTTAAAAAAAAAAAAAAAAAAAAATCAAGGTAGAAGATGACTACTGGCCTTCCCTTCTCTTCCCTGAAGACTAGTGAAAAACAGTACCTCCTTGATATTCTTCTCAATCTCAAGTGGACTATGAAGACATCTGAGATGGAAAAGAACTTTCTTTTATTGAGTCATGGAGGACAATAGAATCAAGGAGAGCCATTTTGTGGTTAACACATGATCAGCACAGTGAACAGCTTTTTTCTATAGGCAAGACCAACCCCACTAAATTTTAGGATGCTCAACAGATAGGAAACATTATCTCTAAGGTATTACTATTAATAAAGCACTTTGCAGCTTACAAGGCACCTTACCTTCACATATTATTTACTTTAAGCTCACAAAAATCCTGTGAGGTATAGATAATCCAGGCATTGCTATTGGTTTTTCCAGATGAGAAAACTAAAACTGAAGAGGTATGAACTTTACTGAGGTCACAAGTAAACAGTACAGACACCACATTAATCGAGATATGCTAATTACAAATACCAGGCTCTCGGAAAATTTTCAAGAGTGGTGTCTAAGCTAAAATAACCAGCGAGGACTACATAGTAGCTATTTCTAAAGAAGGACAAATGCAAAAGGGTCATCCATCAATTTTAATAATGCTGGGGCAGCAGAGCAAGCATGAATACACCACTGACACTGATATATCAACTGTAAATAAATGAAGGAAACACATGACTGACACTTAAATTTTAAAGACAGCTGTAAAGCTAGGGGAAAAAAACAAAACAAAACCCTGAGTCTTGGTGAATAACCCTATAGGGTGCACTAGGCAGGTACTATACCTGTTTTAGAAACAGAAAATTTCAGAATTTAAATTAATTGTTCATGTGCACTAGTAAGTTAGTGGCAGGTATCTTCTCTTCAGTAATCTCTCTACTGGCCTGCAAGGAATAGGTGACCTATACATGCTTGGAAAATCTACCACATTGTTTCCTGTGCCAAGACATGTGCCCGTCTAAACCCAAAAGCCCATGACAAGTGGGCATGCCTGTGATCTACACCTTGATCTTTGTCTATATGACTGAACCAGGGTGGTACTTGATAGTAGAAATAAACCCAAATCCATCAGTGATTACAATACATATAAAAACATTAAATTCTCCTGTTAAAATACAGACTCCTAGATTGAAATTTTTAAAAATATAGAAATGGGCTACATTAAAAAATAGGCCTTTTTTAAAAAAAAGGTGATAAAGGGCTGGGCATGGTGGTTCATATTGTAATCCAACACTTTGGAAGGCCGAGGTGGGAGGATCACCTGAGCCCAGGAGTTGGAGACCAGCCTGGGAAACATGGCAAGACCCATTTCTGCAGAAAATTTAAAAATCAGCCAGGAGCAGCCAGGCATGGGGGCTCACATTAGTAATCCCAGCACTTTGAGAGGTTGAGGTGGGCAGATCACATGAGGTCAGGAGTTTGAAACTAGCCTGGCCAACGCGCTGAAACCCTGTCTCTGCTAAAAACACAAAAAGTAGCCAGGTGTGTTGGTGTGTGCCTGTAATCCCAGCTACTTGAGAGGCTGAGGCAGAACGGCTTGAAACCAGGAGGCAGAGGTTGCAGTGAGCCAAGACTGTGTCACTGCACTCCAGCCTGGGTGACAGAGCGAGACTCTCTCTCTCTCAAAAAAAAAAAAAAAAAAGAAAAAAAAATTAGCCAGGTGTGGTGGCATGTGCCTGTGACCTCAGCTACTTGGGAGCCTACGCTGGGAGGATCCCTTGAGCCCAGGAGGCAGAGGCTGCAAGTCATGATAATGCTATTGCACTCCAGCCTGGGTGACAGAGCAAGACCCTGTCTCAAAAAAAAGGTGACACAGAACCAGAATGAGTCAACTGATTACTTTGGAGAGAGATTTAGATATGCTGGTAAAGCCAAAGATGTATACACCTTCCACCCACAAATCCGCTGCAAGATTTATTTCTAAAACTCTAGCACCCAGCTCAAGGAGGCAGGCACAAGAATAATCTATGGAGTATCATCTTTTACAACAAAATAAACAACTTTAAGATGTCCATAAGTGAAAGAATGGAGAAAACTGCAGTATAGTCAAACAACAGAACATAATCAAGCAATTAATATCAATAAAATAGAATGAAATGTATTAATATAGATAAACCCCCAAAGTAATGAGCAAAAAAGTTTCAGAGTCAAGTGTAATGTTTACTTCCTAAACAAAGCAAGTATGAACCAAATATGCAAAATTAATATCAAATACCTGAATTCAAAAAACCATACTAAGAAACAAATGAAGGGAAACCTAATGACAACGGAGTAACTCCTCCGTAAGATGTATGGGTCATAAATACCTTACAAATTAGCCCCCAAATTCACGCGGGGAGGGGAGAAATAATCTGACAGAAGAACAAGAAAAATCCATTGTCACAATATGAGATTTTAACATCTCTCCCCAAAGGTCAAAAAAGAAGTAGACAAAAGACTATATAGAAGATATAATCCACGCTAATATCAAGTCTGATCTAACAGACATGTACGGAAACCTGAACTCACTACACACACAAGAATATTTTCAAGCACATATGGAACATGTACAAAAACCAATCAAGTACTCGGCTACAAAATTAGTCTCACACACTGAAGAATCAGTACATATAGCCTACAGTCTCTAAGTGTAATAAAGTCAGAAATCAATAATGAAAAGATTTTTTAAAAAAGAAGAAAAAGACAAAGAAAAAAAAAAGAAACATGCTTAATGGGTCAAGAGAGAAGCCATGAGAAGAAAACAAAAACTTCAGAGTAGCCAATTGCCCAAGATCTGTTACACTGTTTTACTTGGATTACTATAAGCCCTCTTTAAATTCTTATCATAAATCTCTTTTCTTGAGCTAGCTGGAGTGCGTTTCTGTTCCTTCACAGAACAAAATCCTACCGAGTCTTTTAAATCATTACCAGGAGCCAAGCACAGTAACTCACACCTGTAATCCCAGCACTTTCGGGGGGCTGAGGCGGGAGGATCACTTGAGGCCAGGAGTTTGACAGACCAGCCTAGGCAACATAGTGAGACCTCATCTCTTAAACAAGATAAATCATAAGTGGACTTGGATGGCCAATCACTCTAAATTAAGCAAAGCTGCCAAAAATATAGATATCTGAAATAAAAGGAATCTTGATAACATAAGAAACTTGCCATAAAACAACTTGATGCAAACAAATAAAAACGCCAACACAGGGTAGGAAAAAAAACAATTAGAATCAAGGATAACATGCTTGTTATTCTTGTAGCAGCTGGTCAAAAACAAGCAAGCTAAGTGGGGGACAGTGGGACGATCAACATATTAGAACACACAGAGGGCAAAAAAAATTATGTTTTTGCTATTATTAGCATTAGACACTATACAGCACTGGTCAGATTTGGGTGAATTTTTCAAATGCATATGGGGAAATTATTGTAACATTCAAAGAAGCAGGATAAAAAAGATATAATCATTTGTTATTCAAGTCACTGTTACACATATGATATCATTTATTCATTCCCATTTTATAGATAACGACACAAAGACTCAGAAAGATCAAATGGGTTGCCCATAGTCACATGGCTGGTAAATAGCAGAGAAAGTACTTTATCCTACTTTTATATAGGATAGTTCTGCACTATTATGCATGAATGGAGGTCCTACCTATTTAAGGGAATTGAAGGCTATGTACTCTCACAGAAACTTAACAGACCAAACAGTAAGCCAACAGAAGAGGTCTGATGTGAAATTTATGGGAATCAGGAACTGTAATATGGGGAAGAGAGCATGAACTTTGGAGTCCGAAAAACCTGGGTTCATGTTCCATATTGGTCAGTTACTAGCTGTATACAAAAAGACTGTATGTGATAACCAGTGTCCCTTTCCTCACCTATAAAATGGTGTCTTCCTCATAGATTCAATGAGTTATGCCTCTAGAGAAAATGCCCTATAAAAGCAGTTGTATATTTACACTCGCTATACTGTATTATTTTTAAGAGGAATCAGAAGCAAAGCTTCTTTCAAGATTCTCAATGTCAGCAGTTACTAAGTATATACATGAACATACTTCAAAAAAAAAATAATGGATACTATGATTAGGGTAAATGAGCAGGGTTGTCTTTTTGCACTGGTTAGTGCTAAATTCAGTGACCACTTCAAAGAAGTCTACACCACCTCATATCATAGACTTTGAGTATAAATGTCCTGATATGGTTTGGCTCTGTGTCCCCATGAAAATCTCATCTGGAATTGTAATCCCCACATGCTAGGGGAGTGGCCAATCTGGTTGTTTAATAAGGCATGGCCCTTCCTCCATTGTCCCTCTCCTGCCGCCTTGTGAAGAAGGTGCCTGCTTCCCCTTTGCCTTCTGCCATGATTGTAATTTTCCTGAGGCCTCTCCAGCTCTCCAGAACTGTGAGTCAATTAAACCTCTTCTGATCTTATTTTACTGTTTCTACCATTTGCTCCTTAGCCCTTGAAATTGTCTGGCTCTGTGTCTCCACCCAAATCTCACATCAAATTGTAATTTCCAATGTTGGGGGAGGGGCCTGGTGGGAGCTGATTGGGTCACAGAGGTGGATTCCTCCCCTTGCTGTTCTCAGTGACAGTGAGTTCTCACGAGATCTGGTTGCTTAAAAGTGTGTAGCACTTCCCCCTTCACTCTCTCTTTCCTGGTCTGACATGGCTAGATGTGCTTGCTTCCCCTTCACCTTCTGCCATGATTATAAGTTTCCTAAGGCCTCCCAGCCATGCTTCCTTTACAGCCTGTGGAATTGTGAGTTAATTAAACCTCTTTTTCTTCATAAATTCCCCAGTCCCAAGTACTTCTTTTTTTTTTTTTTTTTTTGAGATGGAGTCTCGCACTGTCGCCCAGGCTGGAGTGCAATGGTGCCATCTCAGCTCACTGCAACCTCTCCCTCCCGGGTTCAAATGATGCTCTCATCTCAGCCTCCCAAGTAGCTGGGATTACAGGCGCATGCCGCCACGCCTGGCTAATTTTTTGTATTTTAGTAGAGATGGGGTTTCACCGTGTTGCCCAGGCTGGTCTCGAACTCCTCAGCGCAAGCAATCCACCCGCCTCAGCCTCCAAAGTGCTAGGATTACAGGCGTGAACCATCATGCCTGGCCTCAGGTAGTTCTTTATAGCAGTGTGAGAATGGACTAATGCAGGCCTTTATGGTAAGCGGAAAAATGCCCTCCAAAAGATATTAACATCCTAATCCCCAGAACCTGTGAATATTTTACCCTAGCATGGCAAAGGGGATTTTGTAGATTTGATTAAGATTAGACCTTGAGATGGGGAGATTAGCATGTATTATCCAGGTAAGCCCAATCTAATCACATGAGTCCTTAAAAGTGGAAAACCTTTCCTAAAACAGAGAGACTTGGGATGGCCCAACAAGAAAGATGAGACACAAGAAGGACGTGACCCACTGTTGTTGGTTGTGAAGATGGAGGAAGGGGGCCATGGGCCAAGGGATGTGGGTAGGTGGGTGGACTCTAGAAGTCGGGAAAAGCTCTCAGATGATAGCCAGGAAGGAAACGGGGTCTCAGCCCTACAGTTTCATGGAAGTATATTCTGCCAACAACCTGAATGAGCCAGGTAGCTGAATGAGCTAGAAGGGAACCCAGTCCTGTTGAAACCTGGATTTCATCCCAGTGACACGTTAGACTTCTGAACTATAGAACCGTAAGATAAATTCATGTTGTTTCAGTTGCTAAGTTTCTGGTAGTTTGTTATGCTAGCAACAGAAAACTTATATATATATATATATATATATATATATATATATATGTACACACACACATATATACATATAGACATATATACATATAGACATATAGACATATATATACATATATACATATATAGACATATATATATATCTTTATTCTCTCATTTACATTAAAAAAACTAAAAAATATATATATATAAGTGCCCTTAAATCCTGTTTTGAAACAAGGAGGAATAAATTGGTCAATGCATGCAGCCTACCCAGCAGAACCTACCTAGCACACATTCATTATTTACTGAAGCACTAACTCTAACTCTGTACCAGGCACCATCCTTCCTTTAAGGAGCTGGCTACAGCATGCTGCTATCAATATTCATTTTCTCCCTTAGATTTGGCTAAAAACACAGTGACTCTCAGCTATACCTGAAAATGAGAATATTTTAAAGTGAGAACTGGGAGAAACCTAAAGCTACATTATGGCTATGAAAAGTAAAAACTCAGAAGATATGGGGAAAGAAAGAGCAAAGGGGAATGGAGCCAGACCACCCTGTAATCAAGAGAATGGCCCGTGGAGTCAGACACCCCTAGATCTTTGTTCTACCACTGTATTCGTTCGTTTTCACACTGCTATAAAGATACTACCCGAGACTGGGTAATTTATAAAGAGGCTTAATTGACTCACAGTTCTGCATGGCTGGGGAGGCCTCAGAAAACTTATAATCATGGCAGAAGGGGAAGCAGGCACATATTACGTGGCGGCAGGAGAAAAACAGAGTATGAATGAGGAACTGTCAAACACTTATAAAACCATCAGATCTCATGAGCACTCACTATCACCAGATCAGCATGGGGGAAACTGACCCCATGATCCAATCACCTTCCATGGGATCCCTCCCTCAACACGTGGGGACTACAGAAATTAAAATTTGAGATGAGATTCGAGTGGGACACAGAGCCAAACCAGATCAACCATCTACTAAGATAATTTGCCCCAAATGACACAACTCAGTTTCTCCATCTGTAAAACAGTAATCTCATGTATCTGTTGAAGAATTAACAGATAATAAGCTTTTGATATGGTGTAGGAACTATAAAAAGTGTGGAGGATTACTCATGAGAATCTGCTATACAGACCACAATGCCAAAAGCTAATGTGATGGAGAATTCCATACAAATTCAGTCTGGCTACACCTTAGGGATTAAATAAAATCCCCCAAAGCAGAAAACTTGGCAGCAGAAAAAGAAGAATCAATTTTAGAAAAATAAGCAAAAAAGGCCCATGGCTTACCAGCAGTGGAATGTTACAGTACTACCATCAATACAAACAATACTTTTTAAAAATACTGATGTCTGGGACTCCCCGGAGAGTGACTAAAACAGCATTTCCATGGATGAGAACCAAATATTAATAGTTTGAGTTAAGAAACACTGCAGAAATTAAAAGGGGGCTACTATGTGTGCATTACAGGAGAGAGAATCTAGAACCTTTTTGCCAGGGATCTCTTACTTACAAGTGAAAAGTAACAGCTAAAACTAGAGTATTTTAAAACTTGCAAATAATCAAGGCTAATGAAATCAAATGGGACAGTTTCTTTTAGAAAATGTAAAGTTAGGAGAGGGACAAGAGAGGTCTGCATATGGCTGCATCTTTTGTAGCAAAGGACACAGCCTCATAGACTAAAGTGAGCAGAGAATAACAAATGAAGTAAGCACAGCTGGGCCAGAAGGAAAGGGAAAAACAGCTGAGATGGCAAAATTAGGGTCTGCTCAAATAAAACATCAAACTGACTGGCTACTGCAAGAGGAGGAGAGCTGAAGAATTAAAATGAAGGAGGGAAGCAGTTGGGGAGATAAAAGAGAAACTTTCATGCTGGACAGGAATGGCATGGGACAGAAAGGACAGAACACCAATTGAGAAGATGAGTAGGGAGAGTCACCAGAGGAGTTTAAGAAAGGTAAAAAGGAATGAGAACAACAGGGACAATAGCCTCTATGATTCACTATAAAGTCTCAGGCACGGTATAAATATTAGGGGGAGGAAGTAGTAAATAAACTGGGTTAGAAAACAGACAGAAAAGAGCTAGTCAAAAATCCTGAAAGACTACCAATAATATATATAAAGCAAAAATTTGGAGGCCGAGGCAGGCGGATCACGAGGTCAGGAGATCGAGACTATCCTGGCTAACATGGTGAAACCCCGTCTCTACTAAAAACACAAAAAATTAGCCAGGCATGGTCATGGGCGCCTGTAGTCCCAGCTACTTGGGAGGCTGAGGCAGGAGAATGGTGTGAACCCGGGAGACGGAGCTTGCAGTGAGCCGAGATCGCGCCACTGCACTCTAGCCTGGGCGACAAAGCGAGACTTGTCTCAAAAAAAAAAAAAAAAATGAAGGTTAACAAAAGTATATCATCTAAATTGTAAATGATGTTAAAAGATATGTTTCAGCTCTCATTTGATAAATGAAACAGCTAAGCACATCTAAAAATGGGCAAAACTAAATAATACAGTTTAGGAATCCATAAGTGATACAACTATGAAGAAAAGCAGGGGAGGATTAATATAAAATTCAGGCCAGTGGAAAACTGGTTGAGAAAGAGACATATGTAAGAATGTGGAGTCCTTGGCCGGGCGTGGTGGCTCATGCCTGTAATCCCAGCATTTTGGGAGGCAGAGGCGGGCGGATCACGAGGTCAGGAGATCAAGACAATCCTGGCTAACACAGTGAAAGCCCGTCTTCACTAAAAATACAAAAAATTAGCCGGGCGTGGTGGCGGGCGCCTGTAGTCCCAGCTATTCGGGAGGCTGAGGCAGGAGAATGGCGTGAATCCAGGAGGCAGAAGTTGCAGTGAGCTGAGATTGCGCCACTGCACTCCAGCCTGGGTGACAGCGAGACTGTCTCAAGAAAAAAAAAAAAAGAAAAAGAATGTGGAGTCCTTTTGCATGGGTGTTTATCATTATTCTTTAAAACTATTAAACTGTGTATATGTATTTTATATATTCTTTTATATGCATGCTACATCTCAATAAAAAAGCTTTAATAGAATTTTTCTACCTCTGAACTTCCCAGGTTGTTTTTTGAAGGTAATTCTAACAAATCTGCTTATATAATAAAATAAAATGACTAGTACTTCTGGCCGCAGGTTTTGCAACATTCAGCTCCACCTCAAATCTAGTCAATCAAAATCTCTAGGGGTTGGGCTGCTGAATATTTTTTTTTTTAAACAAACACTCCAGTGATTCACAAGAATCTAAAGAAACTCAAATTTGAGTCTCCCACAGGAAGAGGTCTTCCTTCTGTTTTTCTCTAGAGCTATTGAGAATCTAATCCCCTTCCTTCCCCAATCCTTCCCCAAATCCTCTACAACTTTGCTCCTTACCTCCCCTTCTCTTGTATTTAACCTTTCAACCTCAAGTCTCTCCTATCTTAAAATACAAACACACACTCACATTTATTCTTCAATAAAATAACCCATGCATGGTTCTACTTGTAACTTCCCAATAACTCTTTTTGTAAAACCACCAATACTATGTGTGATATTGTTTAAATTTTTTTTTAAAAAAGAAAGTAGGAGGACCCTACAATATAAAAAGCCCCATTTCACCAACACCAACTCTTTCAGTGTAATCAATATAAGCATATAATTCTACTCTCCTCCCCAGAAGTAACGGTTAAGTGTGTAGTCTTGGGACTTTTTTTATTTACACATATATAAAAATCCACAGTTTTTTAACAACATAAATGAAAATACACCTTAGTTCTCCCCCTCACTGACATCTGAATCAAACACTGTGTCAAAGCACTAATGTCTTCCTACCATTTCAACCAATAGTCCCTGACCTCTACTGCACATGACACTGGTAACCACTCCCTCTCTGGGATCTGCCTTCTCTGCAGATTCCATGACACTGTACTGCCCAGGTCTCTCTTGCTCTTTTGATTATTCCTTGTTAGCCTACTATGCTGATAACTTTCCCCATGTGCCCCATGAACACTAGTATTTCCCACCATTACATCCAAGCTTTCATCTGTCAATTCATTCAATGAACAATCACCACCTACTTCATTCCAGGAGGACAACTTTGTCAGATCCCCATTTGTCAATGGTTTTGCATGTGAACCAATGCTCCAAATCACTTGCATCAAAGAAACAAATGCTGCCTTGCCGCGGTGGCTCACACCTGTAATCCCAGCACTTAAGGAGGCCGAGGTGAGTGGACCACCTGAGGTCAGGAGTTCGAGACCCAGTCAGACCAACATGGCAAAACTCCATCTCTACTAAAAATACAAAAATCAGCTGGGCGTGGGGGCAGACGCCTGTAATCCCAGCTACTGGGGAGGCTGAGGCAGGAGAATCGCTTGAACCTAAGAGGTGGAGGTTGCAGTGAACCCAGATGGCGCCACTGCACTCCAGCCTGGGTGACAAGAGCAAAACTCCATCTCAAAAAAAAGAAACAAATGCTTGCAATTTTAGCATGATACATAATTTCACTTTGCAACTAATTTGAACTATATTATGATCAGCAAGCCCCTACGCCAATCAGGAGGATGGGAATTAGAAGTAAGCTTGAGTAGTTAATTTTTTAAGGTGATAACTTATTAATAATTATTTTCATATCATGAGAATTTTTCTTCCCTACATAACCTTGTAATTTCAAAAGCTCAGAAAATGAACTCTCAGGTAATAGGGACTCCATTTTATGTTATTAGCTCCCAAGTCTCTATCCCAGATTACTCTCTCCTGAGCCAGAAATAAACTTTCAACTACATACCAGACATTCCCCCATGCCCACTCTGGCGGTGCCTACTCATCATTCTAATTTCAGCTGAAACATCACCTAGTGCCTCCCCTCAAGGATCCATCCACTTAACTATTAAATAAATCTGACACTCAATGGTGTACCCTGGCATCTAAGACAAAGGCAAAGACCTTCCTAACTAAAAAGATAATTTAAAATGCAAGTGGGGCTGAGAGCTGTGGCTTGTGCTTGTAATCTGGCACTTTGGGAGGCTGAAGTGGGAGGATGGCTTAAGCCCAGGAGTTTGAGACCAGCCTGAGCAACACAGTGAGAGCCCATCTCTACAAAAATTTAAAAATTAGCCAGGCATGGTGGCATGTGCCTGTGTTCCCAGCTACTTGGAAGACTTAGGTGGGAGGATTGCTTAGGCCCAGGAGACTGAAGCTGTAGTGAGTGAGCCGTGATAGTGCCACTGCACTCCTGCCTGGGCAACAGAGATCATGTCTCAATAGATAGATAAATAATATAAGTAAAATAAAATAAAATGGAAGTGGTGGGTATATACATAAGAGTGAAAAATAAAAAATAAAATGTAAGTGGGACTGGGACTGAAGAGAAGGGAAACAGAATGAGGGAAGAGAGGAGGGGACCAGCATAAAATGCAACAGGGAGTGGTAGGATTTGTTAAACTCTCAAAAGAATGGATAAAAAGGAGTTGGCCAGGTGACAAAAATTTTTGACATAACTTTTTTTGATAGGGAAGAACAAGAAGGAGTGCTTCAGATATTAGCAGAAATAAGAACACAACCAAACCTGTGCCTTTGTTTACCTTGCTGAGCGTTGAGCAGCAGGGAGGGTTAGTGATAAGGTTAAAATGGTTGGCAGATGCTAGAATTTCAGAAGAAAAATTACTATAGATTCGTATTTTTTCTCTCCATGCTTGATAATTAACTGCTTATTAAAAACCACTTTCCACTTTACATCTAGATTTAAATGACACATTTTACTAAATGATTCAGAAACAAGACAGGAACAAGGAAAAAATTTAAAGCTACATTTTAACTGCATTTAGTCTTACAGTAAGAAAACAGCTCAATAGTATCATCATGATCATGTAAAAGTTTTTAAAACCTCTTCTATTAAAGAGGGAATTCTGAAAAGGAAAAATGTGCATTGTTCCTTTCCTTTGAGAAATCAAAGTACTTTCACATTTATCCTCATTTTATCCCACATACTGAGAGAAGGTTATAGGTTACGGAAACAGGGAAACAGAAAAATTAGGTGATTTCCTTCATTCTAAGATGCATGTTTTTGACCCTGACTTTTTAAAAAATCAAAGTGGATCTCACATTACTGATTTTAAAGTCATCTTTTCTAGGGGAGGGCCACACTGAGTGTATCTTACAACTATGGGTACACTCTGCATTAAAGAAATATGGTAAAGGATTTTGCCCAAATTAGTAAGCAAGAAGGTGGCAGAACTGGGCAACAACAACAACAACAACGACACCACTTCTGTTAAGTTATTAATATATACAAACAGGAATATAGTAGCCTGTTTGGCTCCTCTCTTATTAGTTAAATATACAGGGCCTACCTTCTACTACGCTCTTCCTGAAAGAAATACAGAGCCATACAAAACATCTTTTCTGACTTCAAGAAGTATATAATAGGTACCTACATAATAGAGGTGCCTATACAAGTATCTATACAACAGAAAAGTCTGGGATCAATATCAGAAGAATGACACAAAGTGAGAAACATAAATTCAGAAACGGAGTAGTCACTTTCAGCCAGGATACTGTGAAAATCTTCACACAATAAGAGCTTAATATATGTTGACTGTGAAGGCATTACGGAAAACTCAGATAAGACTTTGAAGGACTGATGGATCTTCCACAGGGAGAGATTGTGCCGGAAAGCACTCTAAGAATAGAGACTAGCAGTGCCCAGGAAAAAAACACCAAAATCAGTCACTGGGACTCAATGGCAGAAGCAAGGTGGGGAATAGCGGGAAAGAAGGCGAGAAATGTAGATAGGGGCTAAAATATAGAGTTCACTGAAGGTCAAACTAAAAATTGTGAGCAAACAGGAGTAGCCTTTTGACATTCATGCTTCAGGATGACTAAACTGACAGTAAACTACACTGGCTGAACTGGAGTAGGGAGAAGTACTGCTGCAGACTATAACAGTGTCAAGAATTCTGTTCCTGAACTAGGTCGTATCAGCAGCAATGACAAGAAAGAAGTGTCTTCCCTTTGAATTGCGTGGGGACTGCTTTTGGATAAGAGCAAATTCCAAGAGAACAGAGCATTAACTTGTTAGGATTTGTAGCCCCACTACTCCATGCACAATACTTTATTTATCCACAGTACAGCCTCAAATAAAAAACTGAAAAAAGGCAACCAGCAAAGTCTGATTTGAATTTTCACCACTAATGAGATAGCCAAATGCCACAGTCACAAGCTTCTATTTCTCAAACCCACTCATATTACAGTTAATGTGGCATTCCTCTCCAATCTTGTTTTTACAGCCTAAATGAAATTTTGCCAGAAGACTTTAGAATTCTCCTTCTTCCAAATACACCACAGCATTTTTCTTTTAAAGTTTACAAATCCAATTTCCACACACACACACACGCACGCACGCATCAGAAAACCTTGCTGAAAACTCATGTATCTAGCAGAAATTTTTTCTTTCAGGCAGCAATAAATATGCTTTTTTTTTTTTTTTTTTTTTTTTTTTGCAAACTCCACCTTCCGGGCTCAAGTGATCCTCCCGCCTCAGCCTCCCAAGTGGCTGGGATTACAGGCGCCTGCCACGACGCCCGGCTAACTTTTGTACTTTTAGTAGAGACGGGGTTTCACCACGTTGGCCAAGCAGGTCTCGAACTCCTGATCTCAGGTGATCCCCCACCTCGGCCTCCGAAAGTGCTGGGATTACAGGTGTGAGCCACCGCGTCCGGCCAACATGCTTCTTTAGTTACTTATAGAACCTGCCACATCATTAGTTCAACTACAAACTGCTGCTTACATGACCGAAGTTGTGCAAAGGGTCCAAAGTTGTGCAAGAGTAACCACTGAAATCAGACTCTGGTATATTAATAGTTGCAACATCTAAACAATCTTTATGTTTATTATTAGATTCAAAGTAATGCCAAATCACAGGTATTAAAAATATCTACGAAGAGTCTGTTTACTTTTCTGTGAAATATACTAGGACGTCATTTTAAGTGAGAATAACTGAATTTCTTTCAGCTCATGGACATGAGCTCACCTGAAAATTAGCAGTTGTGACACCGGACTTGACATATCTAAAACATCAGCGTCCTCAACATACACATACCTAAGTACACACCCAGAGCACTGAACGACTTTACATTACTATATAACCCCAGTTCACACGTGGCAAAAGTCCACAGAACTCGTTCATGCTTTCCTAACCCCGAAAGGGATTCTCCAGCCGTCAAGTAATGAGATGTGACTTATTCTGACGTGAGAGTTGAAGGTGTTAAAAAAGCATATTTTATATATATGTATATATATAAAATACATATTTTAAAGGTTTCCTTTTCTCTTTCTCGGCTGCCTGTCCCACGCCAAAAAGCGCCTTGCCCAGGCCTTGATAGATGCGTGCTGGTGGAGGAAGGTTGGACTGGTCAGGAACCAAGACCCGGGCCCCAACACCTTCTGCTCCCCTAGGTTTCCCTCCTTCTTTTTCCTGGGGCCGCGAAGAGACCTAACGCAAGGGGCCCTGGGGGTGGGGTGCAGTCATGTGAGTCGGGCCCCGGCGGCCCTGCGCTAGGCCTCCCCTCCTGTCACACACTTCCTGAATCGGGCGTCGCAAACGGCTGCCACGGCCCTCAGCTGCAAGACTGGCCGGGTCGGGGGCCGCAGACCGGGCCTGGCCAGGCCGCGGCCGCTCGCAGTGCCCACGTCACCAGCTCCAGCACTGCGGAAATGGAGCGGCGCGGCCAGGAGGGAGGCGCCGGGTGGAGTCCGCGTCCCCGCCACCGCCAGACGCCGTTTGCCCCTCAGCCCGGGTCCGGAGGCCGCCGACACCCGCCCGGCCGCGCCCGGGGCCCTCACCTGTGTCGCCGATTATGATGTACTTGAAGAGATAGGCGTACGCCATGGCCGCGGCCGCTCAGTGCCAGGGCACACGGCTCCTCCTCCCGCTGCTGCTCCTCCTCCGCGCCCCAACCCCGGTGCCGCTCAGCCTCGAAACGCCAGGCGCCGCCCGCCGCCGCCGCTGCTGCTGTCAGCCGCCGGGAGTGAGGGGCTGTGAGGAAGCCGGACGAACTGACACCCGCAGAGCCGAGGGAGACAGCGCCCGACCGAGCCCAGCCGAACAATAACAGCCGCCGCGGCGCCTCCGCCCCGCCTCCGCGCCGACCCGGAAGTTCTGCGGCCGCCGGCGCCGCCGGAGGAAAGGGGAGGAGCCCCGCACGCTGGCCCAGCCCTGCACGCTGGCCGCGCCCCGCCAGCCGGAGCCCCGCCCCGCCCCGCCCCGCGCCTGCCTTGCCCGGTCCGCCCTGTCTTCCAGCAGGGCGGGGCCCGGCTCCGGTTGTTCCGCCACGTTTGAGCGGGCGAGCCCGGCGGCCGGGAGACGCCAGGGAACGGGGCTGGTGGGGGTACAAAGGCTCGGTTCCGTCGCCTTCAGCCCTGCGGTGGGGGCACGGGGCAAGTGAGGGGACGGCAGAGGCGGCGTTCGGTGTGAGGCTGCGCCCTGGGCTCCTGAAAATGTGTGTGAAAATGTGGGAGGCACACGGCGAGGGGGTGGGGGTGGCCTGGTATTTCTGTGTTTGGCATCGGGGCTTGAAGGTGAAAATGGCAGTATTTATAAATTGGAAACCGTAAATCTGGGACTGCAAAGTAAATCATGGTATGCACGCACAGTGGAGTACTACGTTGCTCTCACCTGAGGTCAGGAGTTCGAGACCAGCCTGGCCAACATGGCGAAACCGCGTCTCTACTAAAAATACATTAGCCGGGCGTGGTGGTGCTCGCCTGTAATCCCAGCTACTCGGAGTCTAAGGCAGGAGAATCACTTGAACCTGGGAGGTGGAGGTTGTAGTGAGCCGAGATTGAACCACGGCACTCCAGACTGGGCGACAGAGCGGGACTCCGTCTCAAAATAATAATAGTAAATAAAAAATAAATAAAGTCTCTGAACCTGTCCTGGTTCTGAGGGCTGCTCTAAAAAAAAAAAAAAAAAAAAAGCCTGACTTAGGTTAAGCAAAACCGAGATGATCTGTTTATGTGTGTGTATATAACATGCACCATATGTAATATATGAATTGTATATAATTTTTATGTGTAACAAATAGTGGGAAAACATTTACATACCCATATATGCATAATCAATCTGAAAGGAAAGCTAACTGGTATTAAGAGAAAGGAGGGAATGGGATTGGGGGGAAAATGTACTTTTCCCTGAATTTTTTTGTGCAGTTTGACATTTTTTGCAGTGTTCATGAGTTACCTATTAGGAAATACTGTTAAAGGAAAAAACAAAATGACTGTGCATTCAAAGAATAGTTATTGAATACTATGTTTCATGTACCGCCAGGCACAGCAACTGGAGGCCCTGTATGTTCTATGTTCTGTTTTTCTACTTTGCTTTTTCAGTCATCCAGCCCAAAATGTCACCACTCTGTTCAAAAAGACCACAGGTTATGGAAGAGGAGGTGGAGAATAGGGTGTCAGGAAAGGTTACTTAGAGATTATGATTTCTGAGCCAGGAATATGAATTATGTATAGAGTTTGTCGAAAGAACAACAGTTTGGGGAGGGGAACCAAAGTTTATGGACAAGGAACAGAATGTGCAAAATTCCTGGATCTGTTCAGGGAATTTGAAGTTGCATAAGGAAGCTAATTGACTAACTCATATCCTCATAACCCATAACCTCATATTGAAGGAGAATCATTGCTGGGGAAAAGCGATTGGGATTTAGTGGCCCTCGTTCCTGTTGCCTAATACTCTTCTCTTTGGGGCCTCTCATTATGTAATTAGTACTGACACCATCATGCTGGGTTGCTAACATGCTTTGGATGGCCTTGCCAAATATGAACTCACAAGGTTTTTCTGGAATATTTGGAGGGGATTTTACTAAAGGGTCAGAGATGGCACGGAAGAATTTGACATGAAAATTTGACATGAAAAGCTACCTGGAATCGCAAAATTTGGTTCATTCACCTTTAGTTTGAGGAAGGGGAGGTCCCTGCCCAAGGCCTCCAGTTTTCAGATGTCATTTTGTCCCTCCCACTTGAGTGCCTTCACCCAAGTCTTCCTTGGTGATGGAGAAACTCAAGTCTTCACTCTCACAAGATAGAGGGATGTGGCCTTCCTTCACCAGCACAACTCTATTAGGATGTTATACAAATGCCTGGCATCCTAGGAGTCAGGAGTATTCCTACACTGTTAGAGGAGGAGAGTACCTGGAGAGGTCTCTTGTGCCAGGTTATGTAGGGCCTTGTATGTTATGTCACCATGCATTTAGAACTTTACTTAGTAGACAAAGGAAATTGTGACAGGAAATGGTCAGAACTGGGTATGTAACAAAAATCATAGAAATGGATATAAAGCTATAGAGGCAATGTGTTATAAGGAAAATAGGATACCTGGCTTCTGGTCTTGGCTCTACCTGTAACTGATCGGATGAATGTGAGGAATCGTTTGGCCTCTTAAAGCTTCAGAGCACAGGTTGCGATGGCTTGTGCCTGCGGTCCCAGCTACTTGGGAGGCTGAAGAGGGAGGATAGCTTGAGCCAAGCAGTTTGAGGCAGCAGTGAGCTAGGATGGTGCGACTGCACTCCAGCTTGGGCTATAGATTGAGACCTTGTGTCTTAATAAATAAAATAATTATTAAAATAAAAATAATTTAAAAAATTATGAGTGGTTCAGTGCACTTGTCTATTAAGTAAAGGAGTTAAGTGTTTCTTAAAAGGGCTATTCCAAGCATGACGTCTTTTAATTTTATGCTTAGCCAGCCTCCAAATCTAAAGCCATCTGTAAAGAAGGTAGTAATCCTCTCGTGAAAATGCAGGGGCCATAGATGTCAAATGCATATTGTTCTGATTGATTGATTGATTGATTGAGAGGAGGTCTTGCTCTGTCATCTAGGCTGGAGTACAGTGACCCAGTCATGGCTTACTGCTGTCTTGACTTCCTGGGCTCAGGTGATTGTCCTGCCTCAGCCTCCTGAGTAGCTGGGATCACAGGCACATGCCACCACGCCTATATCATTTATTATTATTATTATTATTTGGAGAGATGGAGACTCCCTCTGTTACTCAGGCTGGTCTTGAACTACTGGCCTCAAGCAATTCTCCCACCTTGAAGAACAGGATTTTCAAGTTCTTCTCTGGGCTTCAGTTTCCTTATTTGGAATATGTGGATAATAACTGCTTAACAAAGTCCATTTAGGATCAAATGAGATAATGTATGTGAAAATACTGTGTAAATTATGAAAAATGTATACCTAATACATAAAACTCTTTGCACTGCATAATTTTTGGAAATTACTTGAGGGGCTGAGTGCGGTGGCTCATGCATGTAATTCCAACACTTTGGGAGGCAAAGTCTGGAGGATCCCTTGAGCCTTGGAGTTCAAGAAGATCAGCATGGGTTACATGGTGAGATCCTGTCTCTACAGAAAATTAAAAAGAAAAAAAAGAAATTAACTTGAGGAACTAAAGGCCTAATCACTATATAAATTCATGGTTTAAAATTAAGTTTGTTCCTGGCTCTATTTTATGTCTCTACCTTTTTTCCTATGTATGATTCATAATATTTTGTTATATTTTCTATAAACCTATAATCTCTTAAATCTTCGAAAAAATACAGGGTATAAATAAAAATCACATAAACCTCATTTAAAACATTTTCTTTAGCCCATAAAAATCCAAACATATTTTTCAAGAAAAGTCCCCCAGACAAAATAACAGAAATAAACCTCTCTTCCATTAAATATAGTATACTTCCTGGAATTTTCCATTCAGTTTGATTTTCGGCTATTTTCAGTCTCTTAGGATGTGTTGTGGTAACTCTGTCTCTCAGCCTTACATCATATATGGTCTGAAGGTCATAACTGTGAAATTTCAAGATTGTAGCACTACATTCTTCAGTGTCTCCTAATCAAGTTCTCCATGACATTTTTGAGTACAATACTATATTAGAAGTTTGCATTTGCTTCTCCCAACTAAACTTTCATGTTTATATTTTCTTTGGTTTTAATTACTCTCAGGCTTTGGGAAGAGGGATAGGGTGGAGTGGAATGGGAGAAGGTGGTTGGGAATACTGTAATCTTGAGGTTTTTGCCTTGGTTTCCATGGTTCCTTAGCCACTCCTTCTGAAATGGTATGCAAAACTGATAATGATGTATATATTTGCACATGTACACTTTTATGGGAGAGATTCTTCCATGACCCAGAAATAATTAAGAACAATTGTGAAATGCCTTCCTTCAGCCATCTCCAAGTACCATAACAGAACTAATTTTCCAGCAAATACTTAAACTCAGTACCAGTTTGTTTGTTTGTTTGTTTTTTAGAAAAAGTCTCTCTCTGTCACCCAGGCTAGAGTGCAGTGGTGCGATTTCAGCTCACTGCAAGCTCCACCTCCTGAGTTCAAGCGATTCTCATGCCTCAGCCTCCCAAGTAGCTGGGACTGTAGGTGCACACCACCATACCCGACTAATTTTTGTATTTTTAGTAGAGATGGGGTTTTGCCATGTTGACCAGGCTGGTCTCAAACTCCTGGCCTCAAGTGATCCACCTGCCTTGGCCTCCCAAAGTGCTGGGATTACAGGTGTGAACCACCACACCGGAACTCAGTACCAGTTTTGGAAGAAGAAATAATTAGATTCAAATCCTGACTTTACCACTCAACATCAGTTGAGTGATCTTTGATAGATTACTAAATGCTCTAAGCCTTAGTTTCCCCTCTGAGATGACATATATAAAATGTCTAGCACTATGTCAAGCACACAGAGGACACTTCTTAAACATTGAGGTTGTTTCCCCCTTCCTTTCCTCTCCTCCTTGTCCTCCTCCACCTTCAACCTGTTAATAAGAACTGTAGCTGCAAAGGAAATATATCTCTCCCTCTGCCCCAACTCTCACAACTGGCAATAACAAAAAACAAAAAACCACAGGAGGCTGGGCGCAGTGGCTCATGTCTGTAATCCCAGCACCTTGGGAGGTCGGGGCAGGTGGATCACCTGAGGTCAGGAGTTTGAGACCAGCCTAGTCAACATGTCAAAATCCCATCTCTACTAAAAATACAAGAATTAGCTGGGCATGGTGGCACGCACCTGTAGTCCCAGCTACTTGGGAGGCTGAGGCAGAAGAATCACCTGAACTCGGGGGTAGTTGCAGTGAGCTGAGATTGTGCCACTGCACTCCAGCCTGGGCGACAGAATGAGACTCAGTCTCTAAAAACAAACAAACAAAAAAAACCATAGGAGTTAAATGAGCCCAACAAGGACCCTGCCTTAAAGGAGAGTTGTCTTGTGCTAAGTCATAAATAACTTTGGCCTGATGAAGGCTACAGGAGAGGAGCTCTATTATTTTAGAGAGTACAATTTTTTGGGGGTGAAATGAGGGTAGGTTTTGCAGAGGGAGAGTCTTTTAAGCTGGGTCTTCAAGGGCATTATCTTTTATAGCTATTGTCTTAGCGTAGTCATTCCAGGTGCTTCAACAACCCTCCTTATTGTACTTGGTTTTTCTCATCTACTTGATATGCCATTTCTAGTCTAGTTGGATAACATTCTTAGTAATATTTCTTGTTTTGCTTTTCCACTCATGACCTATTTCTGGTTAGCTTATTATTATCCAAATATTCATTGTTTCTGGTTCAATAATCTGGTTCCATGTTGAAGCCAGAAGTGACTGTTTTCTCTTTTCCATTCCGTTCTGCTCATCCTTCAGAAAGCTACTTGAAGAGTCAAAAATTAGTGACAGCAAATTCACATCCTCAGTCAAAGTGTGTGTAGGTGGGAGAAAAAAGTTTCTTTTATATGTAGGCTATTCTTTATACCAATGGACTGGTCATTAGTAATAGAAAGTACTCATATAAGTGTATGGAACAGAAACAATGAATATTGGGATAACAATAAGCCAATTTTATAAAATACTGCATTAAAAATATAACTATTTGGTCAGGCATGCTGTCTCACACCTGTAAACCCAGCACTTTGGGAGGCTGAGGTGAGAGAATCACTTAAGTCCAGGAATTCAAGACCAGCCTGGGCAAAATAGTGAGACCTTGTCTGCATAAAAAAAGTTTATTTTTGGGGGGGATGAGGTTTCTGTTGCTCAGGCTGAAGTGCAGTGGTGCAATCATGCTCACTGCAACCTCAGCCTCCTGGGCTCAAGTGATCCTCCCACCTCAGCCTCCTAAGTACGTGGGACAATAGGCACACACCACCACACCTGGCTAACTTTAAAAATATTATTTGTATAGCCGGGCACAGTGGCTCACGCCTGTTATAGCAGCACTTTGGGAGGCCGAGGAGGGTGGATCACTTGAGATCAGGAGTTCAAGACCAGCCTAGCCAACATGTTGAAACCCCATCTCTACTAAAAATGCAAAAATTAGCTGGGTGTGATGGCATGTGCCTGTAATCCCAGCTACTTGGGAGGCTGAGGCAGGAGAATCGCTTGAATCAGGAGATGGAGGTTGCAGTGAGTCGAGATGGCACCACTGCACTCCAGCCTCAGTGACAGGGCAAGGCTCTGTCTCAAAAATAATAATTATTTGTAGAGATGGGGTTTTGCTATGTTGCTCAGGCTAGTCTCAAACTCCTGAACTCAAGTGATCCTCCGACCTTGGCCTCCCAAAGTGCTGGGATTACAGATGTAAGCCACTCTGCCTGGCCTTAAAAATTATTTTTAACTATTTAAAAAAATTACTATATAAGCTGGGCACAGTGGCTCATACCTGCATTCCCAGCTACTAGGGAGGCTAAGGTGGGAGGATCCCTTGAGCCCAGGAGTTTGAGGCTGCAGTAAGCAATGATTGTGCCACTGCATTCCTGCTGCACTCCAGCCTGGGCAACAGAGTGAGACCCTATCTTAAAAAAAAACCACTATATAATAGATATTGAATTAATAATTCATATAGAACTTAAAAGTGAATTAAAAACAAGAATAATACTCTTAAATTAATTATTTTTTCTAAGTCCTAGAGATTTGCTTAGTGCATTCAACAGAGACAATGGTCAGGAGAAAGGCTCCATTTTGGATTCCAGAAAGTCTGAATTACAGTCTCTTCCTTGCCACTAACTAGCTGTCCTTGAGAAAGTCCACTTCAAACTTTCATCATCTGTTCAAAAGAGATAATAATTCTGGTTACTTACATAATAGCATTTCTAGCGATAGATGTGAAGACACTCTGAAAAGTACATTATTGCTAGGAGAGTATATATATACCAAGTTGCAGGTGGCTTATTTTCTACAAATGTATCCAAGTATATTAAGGGAACAATTCCTACACAACCAGGTAAAGTCGGTAGTAGTTTATCATCTACATTGTTGAATTTTTTTTTTTTTTTTTTTTGTCAGTGGAGACCAGATCTTGCAACGGTTTCAAACCCTACTCTTCATTTGTCTTTAATATGTCCTATGTTTTATGTTAAATAGTAGGTGTTCCTTGCTTTGGAAAATTTGGGATTGGAATGGGAATGGGATCATGAAAATATACTTCACATGGTGCTAAAGAGAGAACTACTTGTTACTCTTTTTTTATTTTTTGTTTGTTTGTTTGTTTTAGCTTTACTGCTTCTTGTGGAGCAGGGCTACCCCATGGGCAATGTACCCAGAGTAGCGGTACTTGTTACTCTTACAGATGTCTCAATTAATTTTAACCTCTATCCCTAATGGTGTTTAAATTTTGGTAAAGAAAAATTCATTTTTTCTTTATTTTCCAAGAAATGGTAAGCTATCTTTGTCCCTATGGGAGATGTGGACAGAGAAAACTTTCTGTCTCTGATGTCTTTTGTGTGAGACAAGATTTTAGGAAATAAATAAGTGGTGCAGGGAATTGTGAGATTACATTTCACCTCCTTTTCTGTCTCCTCTCTCTTTTATATAATCTTTATCTCTGCTTCTAACAATCTCCTTATCAGAATTTCTAACATATGTAATGATGAGAGAGAGAAAAACTGCCACCACAGGATCAAATTTCATTTCTAATCTGGAGAAACAGGAGTCTAGTTTTCCAAACATTTTTATTCTAAAAAAGAAAAGTTAAGCTATTAAAAGGGTAAGTATATTCTCCAAAAAGTAAAATTATATCTCAGGGCTCCTATTAAAAAATCTGTAAGGTTAATTCAGGTTTGTGGCAAGAAAAATTGCTGTACTTCCACTGCTGTTTTAAATTTCCCAATGTATGGAATCTGGAGATCAATTCTCAGAAACCTCTACAAATGTTCAGATTATGAGAAAATACTGCACAGCCTTGAAACAACAATAAACATTTGATCTCTCACACAATTTTTGTGCATCAGAAATCTACGAGCAGCTTACCTGGGTGATTCTGCCTTAGGGTCTCTCATATGTTGCATTTAATTTTTCAGCCAGGGCTGCAGTCATTTGAAGGCTTGACTGGGGCTGGAGGATTTTCATCCAAGATGGCTCACTCACCCAGCTGTTGGCAGGAGACCTCGGTTCTTTGACTTCTCCGTAAGACTGTGTGAGTATCCTCATGACAAGGCAGTTGATTCCTTCCAGAGAGGGTGATCTGACATAGAACAAGGCAAAAACCTCAATGTCTTTGTATGACCTAGCCTCAGAAGTTGCATATCATCACTTCTGGTGTATTCTGTTAGTCCCACAGACCAGCCATGATAAAATGTAGGAAGGGACTACACATGGGCATTTATGCCAGAGGCAAAGGTCATTGGGAGCCACCTTGGTAGCTGGCTGCCACAAACCTGAATAGATAAAGAAATAAAAACAGACATCTAATAAATATCATCTGAAGTCAGATCCATTTTGAGTCAAATCATGTTCATGTGATCTATCTGCATACAATTTTGTTATAAATGGATTAGCCTATAAAGAAGTTTGTTGTGGTTTTGGTTTTATATACTGCTAGAAATATTTTATTTTATTTTATTTTATTTTTGAGATGGAGTCTCACTCTGTCACTCAGTCTGGAGTGCAGTGGTGCAATCTTGGCTCACTGTAACCTCTGCCTCCCAGGTTCAAGCGATTCTGCCTCAGCCTCCCGAGTAGCTGGAATTACAGGCAAGTGCCACTACGCCTGGCTAATCTTTTTGTCTTTTTAGTAGAGGTGGGTTGTCACCATGTTGGCCAGGCTGGTCTCAAACTCCTGACCTCAAGTGGTCTGCCTGCCTCAGACTCCCAAAGTGCTGGGATTACAGGTGTGAGCCACTGTGCCCGGCCTGCTAAGAATATTTTAAATAAGGAACTGACAAATAATTATTTTAGGCCAGTGCTGTGGCTCAAGTCTGTAATCCCAGCTACACAGGAGGACTGCTGGAGGCCAGGAATCCCAGACCAG
Source organism: Homo sapiens (assembly GCF_000001405.40). Lineage (NCBI taxonomy): Eukaryota > Metazoa > Chordata > Mammalia > Primates > Hominidae > Homo > Homo sapiens. The sequence continues at coordinate 60,507,812 of NC_000008.11, read as the reverse complement.
CCTGAGCAACATAGCAAGACCCCATCTATAAAAAAAATAAAAATAAATTAGCCAGGCATGGTGGCATGCAGCCTTAGCTACTTGGAAGGATCACTTGAGCCCAGGGGTTTGAGGCTACAGTGAGCTATGATTGTGTCACTGCATTGTAGCTGGGGTGACAGAGTGAGACCCTGTCTCTAAACAACAACAACAACAATAATTGTATGGTCATTAGCAAGCAGTGAGTTTTTGATTAAAAAAAGAAAAAAATAATTGTGTAGTCAGAAAAGGAAGATCAAGCATATTTTTTCAGTTTTAAAAAAAGTTATATGCAAAGCAATTGTTTTAAGGCTAGAATACAATGACAAAGTAGATCCTAAAAAGGATTTTTTTTTTTTTAAGAATACTTGCTGTTTGTTTCCATTCCACGTCCTTAGGGATTTACGTGAACAACAGAGTAAACCGTTTATTTATACTTTTTCATGAACTTTGAATCATTTTTTAGAAACTGAATGTTTTCCTGCCTGTGAAAACTCTTATATCCAAATACTACAGCAGCTATTATCATTATGAATAACATTGTATATTATGCATCATTTTGCATTTTAAGTTAAGTTTAACAAAAGTTACACTAAATGGGGGTGGTGAAAGTACTGCCATTAGCCAAGCAAGTTTAAGGTACAAACCAGGAGGGAAGCTTCACTATCATTTGATTCCCCAAAAGTACCTTTTCTGATACTACAGTTTAGTAATCTTTATTAGAAGAACTGCAGCCTTATGTAATTTTGAAATCTTATCTTGAAGTTTTCATTACCAGACTTACTGAAGAACATTTTTTGCTCTTAGTATATGGGTATTTTAATTTTCTTGATACTGTATCTGATACAAATTATAATACGAAAGTGTCCGTTTGAAAGAGCAGAGTATTCAGCATTGACACACTATACTTTTTGTTGATTTTTCCTTTAGAAAAATCAATTATAGACAAAAACCTCTTTAGAACTAGATCCTTCTTCCTCTCCTTGAATTAACTGCATGCATTTCTGAAAGGTTCTTCTTTCACTTTACCTCAAAAGACACTGAATCCAAACACCAGTGGTGAGATTGTCTGATCTGAACTCTGAGATAAGCTATTTTGCTTTAAAAAAACAAAAAACAGACAGGTTATTGAATTACTAATTGAAATACAAAAACTAAATTACTTACCTTTCCTTTCTTGGAAACAAGCAGAGATGAGGAAGTATACGTGTAACATGGTTTGTTATAAGTGACCCAGTAGATAGGAAATTGAAAGTGGACTCAGTTTACAGGGATCCTTCAAGTAGTGTTAATTCACTCAAGAAAATTTTAAAGTTATTTAAGTAAATAACAATTTAATGATTTATTTAATGTAATCATATGAAAAAGAACATTTGAGACCTGTCATTCAGATGCCAGGCCCTTTGCCAAGTGCTATAGATAAAGAGAGAGGTAGACTTACCATGAACCTAATGAAGCTTAATTTCAGGGCCCCTAATTTGCAGAAACATCTTTTAATGCAAATGTGTTCACATGATCAGTTTTCTATTTTTGCAAATAAAAAGTTGCTAAAGTAAGATATTTAAACCTTAATCAGTGAATTCTATTGTCTCTCTTTAGTCTTCACTTCCATCTGTGACACTTGCCCTTGTGTTGAGAGGTGTTAGAGAATATTCACAGATCTTTTTTTTTGGTACTGGTTAAGGAAGAGTATTGTTGAAGATACACTTAGTTTTGTAAGATATATTAATTTGATCACTTGCACGTGTAGTTGAATTATTGCAAAGAATTGTCCAGTATAGAAATGGCTTCCAGAGACACTGCAATCTCTACTGTGCTGATTCACACTGCATCATATGATATAGAGGTTGTATCTTAATTTAGCATGGTCCTACTGGATTTGCTTTTTATTACTAAATTACTAAATAACCTTAGAGACTAAAGACAATACAGCATTGTGAGATAATTAGGGGGTATTGTCTTTAGCCTCTAGGGTTGTGGTAAATCTGGGCATCGTCTCACTGGATTCTCGACTCAGGATCTCATAAGGCTAAACTCAAGGTGTTGGCTTGGTTGCATCCTCATCTGGCATTCAGAGTTCCTTTCCAAGCTTACATAGTGTGGCCAGATTCATCTCCTTGTAGTCATTATTTCCTTGTTGGCTCTTACCTGGGAGCTGCTCTCAGCAACTAGAGGCCACTTGAACGACTTACCACGTGACCTACTCTATTTCCAGAGCTGGCAATAGAGAATCTCTCTCATTTTTAATCCTTCATGCTTTGAATCTCTTTGTCAGGAAGGGTGCTGTTCCCTTTAAGGACTCAACTGATAAGATCTGGCCCATCCAGGATCATCTTTCTATCTTAAGGCCAACTGATTTGGAACATTATTCACATCTACAAAATCCCTTCACAGCAGCACCTAAATTAGTGTTTCAACAACTGGAAAAGCATATGTGTATGCCAGGGTGCAAAAATCTTGGGAGTCATCTTATATTTCTACCTACCACACCTGCTGTGCCCAGCATGGAAAGTATATGGGTTAATGAGTTTTACCTATTATAAAGCTTTTCAACTCAGAATGTATATTTTCAAAGACCTGGAAGGAACATTCAAACATAAAGGAAATGAAAACATTTTCCAAAAGCTCACACAGCTAGAATACACCATTTTAGTGGCAATGTTTCTATTAAAACTAGTAAGAATTTATAGACTCCTCATTTATTTATGAAAAACCTGGATATGCTTATTTATTAGAACAAAGAGTTCATAAGAAGTTAACAGCATGTGCAATGAAAGCAATAAAGATGAATAATAAAATGAATAAAAGCTAGGTACAGTGGTGTATCTTGCCTGTAATCCCAGCACTTAGGGAAGCTGAGATGGGAGGATTGCTTGAGCCCAGGAATTTGAAATCAGCATGGGCAACAAAGTGAGACCTTGTCTCTACAATAATAATAATAAAAAAGTTAGCAGGCCACTATGGCATGTGCTTGTAGTCCCAGCAACTTGGGGAGCTGTGGTGAGAGGATTGCTTGAGCCCAGGAGAATGAGACTGGCTGCAGTGAGCCATGTTCCTGCCACTTCACTTTAGCCTGGGTGACAGAGCAAGACCTTGTCTAAAAAAAAAAGACTCAGTGGCTTTCTTGAACTCAGAAGAAAGGGGCCCCTGCCCTGAACCCTGCGTTTTAGAGTACCTTGCCCATCACAAATGTAAAAGCACAAACATACTTGTTTTTGTTTCTGACCTCATGGTTGCAGGAAGCTGGCTGAGAACAGGAGAGAATGGCTTGGGGGAAAAAAAAGCTCTTTCAAGTTGGCCACCCCAAATCACCCAGATGGGTGTCCAGGCAAATCAGGGCCTCTAGACACTTGCTCTTCTTTTCCTCTTCTACTTGGCTGGTATTGTTTTGAGAGGTGAATTTCTAGGAGGGCAAGATTTTTGTGTGTGTGTGAAACAAGAGAAAGGTTATCTGCTTAACCTAGCTCCCTGAGGAACTTAATCAAGTCACTCCCATTCTGGCATTTGGGTGGGTCCAGGCAGCACCCAAGAGTCCAGGACCTCACCAGGTCCAGCTCAATGACAGACTTTGTATGGAAGAACTGGGAAGGAGAAAAAAGTAAGCATGATTCCTGTTTATTTTGCCTGATGAACAAAGTAATGCAATTAATTGAGGTAGGAGACCAGGTATGTGGGAAAAAGGAGAGTGAATCAAAGATTCTGTTTTGGACATGTTGAATTGAGATGCCAGTAGACTTCTAAGTGATCTCACATGAGCGATTGGACATTTGAATCTGGAGCTTGGGGGAGTGGCCTGAGCTTGAGATAGAAATACTACATAGCTGGCATAATTGTGGGGGCCAAATGTTTTTTTCAACTATGTGCTAGACATTTGTAGTTCCTCTATTGTAGATAACATGCTTGTGTCCTTTACCTATGTATCTATTGAATCTCTCACAGTTATTCTTAAAATTTCCTAAAAGTTTAATGCAATAAAAAATGTTTAACAAACTACCTTAAATCATCTAATTTTTACAGCAAGCCTGGTACAGCTTTTTAAATTTTTGACTAATGAGAGTTGTGACCTCCACAGACAAATTTAAAAATCATCAGCATATAACAAATAAGAAAAACATATTTGTCGTCCACAAGGAAATGATGTATGCTTTATGTTCACAAAGCAAGGCTATATTGTGTCTCCCAAGGGGGCTCACAGGCTGGTATGTATAGTAAATCAGGCTTAGAAACCTGATTTCTCTGTATATCAAGAGTGAATTCATCTTTCAGGAATGGACTTACATTAACCTAGTTTATGAGTCTGATTTTTAAAAGCAGAAGGTCAAATTGCAATGAGAAATCATTGTCCCAGAGACAGGGATATTTTAAATTTGTGCAACTAGCTTTTTGTTATCCTGGACAAAGAATAATGTCTATGGAATATTTAATGACCTTAAGCTAAGAGAACATGAGTCACCCATCTCACTTTTGGGATGAGAAAAACATTAATCCCAATACCTTTAATCAGCTCATTCGCTCACTTACTTCATCAGCCCTAACCACACCCTGTTATCTCCCTCTGAACAGCGCCATTTATCTCTTTGGCCTCTGCAGCATTTATAATCCTGGCCTAATGGCTTTGCCCAAGTATCAAATATTTTGATGAATGAAAAACTCCCATGAATCATGTTTAAAACAAGTTTTTTTTTGTGGTTGAAGTTCTTGAGATCTAAACCATGAATCATGTTTTAATAGAGAATACTGCTTTTTATCTCTGAGACCTTCCTTTTTTGAGGGTTTAAGGCTGACTAACCCCACTTGTGATAACAGTCATTTTAGATACTTTAACAAATTCAATCAAATTACCATCCAGTTCTGGCCCTGGGATCCAATCTGGATCTTCAGGTCACTCCCATAATTTTATTTGGCAGTATATTAAGCCTCCAGCTTCATTAGTTACTGACCATATGACCTGGCCATGCCATTGATTCCATCTGTATTTCAGTTTCTTAATCTGTAAAATGGGAAAAAGAATATCAAAGTGATAGGATTACTGTGCAGTGCCGAGGTTGTGGGAAGCACATGGATCATTCCATGTGGCAGGGAAATCCCCTTCAAGGGGCAGCTCACCAATTGCTGGGTAAGTTCCTGAACCCATCATTGGCAGGAGGCACGGTATTCTGTGTGAACTGGCCATTCTCAGGCTGAGCACTTCCATGCAAGTGTATGCTGGGCATTTTGAGTTGTTAGAGTGATGGCAAGTGGAGGTCAGGGATGCTAAACATCCTAAGATGCACCTGAGAGCCCTGCAGAGCAAATAACTGGTCAGCCCCAAGTGCCAGTTGCACCTGCTGCTAAGAAGTACTACTGGAGGGCCAGGCATCGTGGCTCATGCCTGTAATCCTGGCACTTTGGGAGGCCAAGGCGGGCAGATTGCTCAAGCTCAGGAGTTTGAGACCAGCCCGGGCAACATGGTGAAACCTCGTCTCTACAAAAAAATTCAAAAGTTAGCCGGGCATGGTGGCACACGCCTCTAGTCTCAGCTATTTGGGAGGCTGAAGCACGAGAATTGCTTGAGCCTGGGAGGCTGAGATCGTGCCACTGCACTCCAGCCTGGGCAACAGAGAGAGACTGTCTCAAAAAAAAAAAAAAAAAGACTGCTGTAGGCAAGAGACTGACCCTTGAAGCTCACTGGCTGCATGGGAGGATATGGGTGTTGAAAAACATCTGGAAGAAAGGGGGAAAAGGGAGCAGAGAAGGCAACCAACAACAGCTATTATAGATGCAGATTTTGGAGGCAGACAGCCTGGGATTTAAAACTTTGCTCTACTACTTTCGAGCCATGTGATCAAGCTAATGAAACTTTAAAAACCTTACTTTCTTTAATAAGTAAAAAATGAAAAATAATACCTGCTCTTGAGATTGCTAAGATTAATGAAAGAATGTATGAGTCTGTCAAATGTCCTGGTCCACAGAAGGGACTCAATGTCTGTGTTCCCTTTGTTCTTGCTAGGATGTGCATTAGTTTACAGTGTAGCCACTTGATAGCATCTGAAGGGATCAGTACCTTGCTATTTCCAACAAATGTGTTTTGAGGTGCTGATATCGTCTAATGAGGGTGTGAGCCATCATTTAAACCATTAGATTAGGAACATTGCAGATGGTCCCAGCACAATGTGTATATGTCACAGATGGCTCATAATAGCTAGTCTGTATTAATAAGCAAGACTAGACATATCAGTTTTAGGTCTGGGTTTTTGTTTCCTTCTTAAGTATACTATTGTATAAAGTCAATGTATGCACATGTTTGCTTCTCTCTCTCTATATATATACACACACACACATATATATACACACACACACATATATATAGCCTCCCCATATATATATATATATGTTTGTTTATATATATATATATTTGTTTTCCTTATATAGACGGAGACTCATTATGTTGCCCAGGCTGGTCTCAAACTCCTGGGCTCAGATGATCCTCCCGCCTTGGCCTCCTTCCTAAAGTGCTTACAGGTATAAGCTACCATGTCTGGCCTGTTTTATAATTAGGCAAAAATGCATAAGAAAATGATCTCCATTCTGTTTTTTAGGCTGGGTGTGGTGGCTCACATCTGTAATCCCAGCACTTTGGGAGGCTGAGGTGGGTGGATTGCTTGAGGTCAGGAGTTCAAGACCAGCCTGACCAACATGGTGAAACCTTGTCTCTACTAAAAGTACAAAAATTAGCTGGGCGTGGTGGTGGGTGCCTGTAATCCCAGCTACTCAGGAGGCTGAGGCAGGAGAATCGCTTGAACCTGGGAGGCGGAGGTTGCAGTGAGTCAAGATCATACCACTGCACTCCAGCCTGGATGAAAGAGCAAGACTCTGTCTCAAAAAAAAAAAAAAAAAAGAGAAAATAAAATAATAATCTCCATTCTGTTTTTTAGTGCATCTGCTTCCCTTCAAACACAGGCCATTATGGACTGTGTTCTCTGTTTGGAAGTTAACTCATACTTTTTTTTCTTCCATATTCTATGTAAATTATTGATTCCTCTGGAAAAGCCTCCTTGATTTTCCACATTAGATAGGTCTTTTGTTTTTGTTCTTATAGTCTTGCGTTTCTGTTGTTTATTGCTACTTTACAAATCACTCCAAAATCCTGTGGTTTAAATACTAACAGGATATCATTTCTCATAATTCTTTTGGTTGATATATTAGTCTGTTCTCACACTGCTATGAAAAACTACCTGATACTGGGTAATTCATAAAGAAAAGAGGTTTAATTGGCTCGTAGTTCCACAAGCTGTACAGGAAGCATGGCTGGGGAGGCCTCAGGAAACTTACAATCATGACAGAGGTGAAGGGGAAGCAGGAACAATCTTCACATTGTGAAGCAGGATAGACAAAGTGAAGGGGGAGGTGCTCCACACCATTAAACAACCAGATCTTGTGAGAACTCACTCACTCTCACGAGAACAGCAAGGGGGAAATTCGCCCCCATGATCCAGTCATACCCCACCAGGTCTCTTCCCCAACATTGGGGATCTCAGATTGAGAGATTTGGGTGGGGACACAGCATCAAACCATATCAGTTGATTAGGTGATTCTGCTTCATGGGGTGTTGTGTCAGCTGGAGTGCTGAGATAGTTGCAAGGTCACAAGGCTGGTATATCGTGCTGGCCACCTACTGGGAGCTCAGTGGGGGGTTTTTGGCCAGGCTCCTTGGTTAACTCTTACATGGACATCTTTATGTGGCTGCTTGGCTTCCTCACAGACTGGCAACTGGATTTTAAGAAAGTGCACTCAAAGAGGCCTAATCCTATGTGCAAGTTCATCAAACTTCTGCTTACACTATGTTTGTAATGTCCCAATGGTGAAAGTTAATTGTATGGTGAAAGTTAATGTAAATGGCCCAATACCAGGACGTCAGGGCTACAAAGTCCAGCGGAGTCAAAGGAATGAGAAAAGACAGATTAAGAGTACATAAGGTGGGTCCAGGGGGCCAACGGTGGTATGGAGGCTGCAAAGGCCCTGAGCTCTGGGAGCCCAAACTATTTATTGATGATCAAACAAAGAAGCAGGTGGTGAGGATGTGTGGATGTGGGGGTAAACAGGTGAGGGCGTGAAGGCTTTGGGATAGAAAGGTAGCAGTGCATCAAGCATAGCTGTGACAGTTTAGCATTTTCTTTGATGACACAGAATATGCTCTGCTGCCTTGAGATAATAGAGAACATGTTTACGAGCCTGGGAGAGCAACCAACAAGTCTGTGCACATTCCAGAGGCCATGGGGGGTTTTATGCCCTGAGCCCTGGATTCCATCCAAGCCACGAGGGGTTTTATGCCCTGGGCTTAGATTTGTAGTGCAACAGGGCAGCCTTTCACCCTTTAGCACAGAGCTTGGTGTTCCAAAGGCCACGAGGGGTTTTAGACCCTGGACCCCGGACATCTTCCAAGACTCTTTTATATTATGACAGACAAGCCAGTCCTGCCTCAGCTCTTCTAACAACATGTCTTCCTTTTCTTTTTTGCAAAACCACCACAGCTATCTTTGCTTATTCTTGGAGGTGGCTTTCTCTCCAGAGGCGGCTTCCGCATCTGCAGAGTATATAAAGACAACACAGATTAAAAGCACAATCATTATTGAAATCACAGAGCCTCCAAGTGTCTTGATCCATTTTAGCGGGTTAATAGCTGCTAATCTGTCTGCAGCTCCTTCAAATACTTCAGTTCCTGGCATTAGTGTCAGATGTGCCTGAGAGGCTTGAAATACTTGTTCCTTCAGTTTTGCAATATCCAAAGATAAATTTCCAGTATGACCTTTTAAATGTCTCTTAACTTTTTCACACTCATCCTCTCTTTTATTATACAGATGAGGAGTAATGTAAAACTCAGAGGTATTTCAATCACATTACATTTGAATTTTACTTTTTAAACTTACGATATGATCTCTCATTCAAATCACTGTCTGACGGAGATCATTATTTGGTTAACTATTTTTTGGTTTACTTGAGTTTGAGAGTTCCATGATTTTGTGGAATTCTTTTGTCACTTATTGACAAATTTAACAGTTTGTACAGATGACTGTAGAGCCACACCAGCTACTGCAGTAGTAGTAGTAACAGCAATGAGGCCAATTGTAGCAACTATGAGAGCAACTATAAATCTTTTTGAACAGGATAAAAGTTTTTTGAGAATTTGTTACTATATGAATGGATGGAGATGCCTCCTACAGTCTATTTAAAGACATAGGGATTCAGACTCCTTCCCTGGCTTTAATTATTAGGATAGTCTGATTTTTATTAAAAGTTGAATTAATGCAGGTAAAAAATGACATTTGAGGCATGAAATAAAGTGTGTATTTATATCAAGAGTAATATTTCCTATTGCTAGCACAAAAGGTGGCTGGACACAACTTTGAATCCAAAAAGTCCTGTTGAAAAGAAAAGAAAGAGCATATTTATTTTTACCTCCTTCCTCTTTATAGTTGTTATATTTACCCTATCAAATTTTGATTGAACTTTGAGCCATAGCTAATTTCCTTAATTCAGAACATTCCTGTTCTATGGCAGGAGATATTATTTTTGGACTAGGGGTGACAATGCCAGTAGGACTCCATATGATAGGTACCTCAGCTTTTGTCCGAATATATTGTGTATGATTTAATTGCCAGTGGTTACATCGGTTTATTATATTTGTTCTACAAGAAGGCCTTCTGGTGCAATTTTTTTTAAAAGATCCCATTAGGAGGCTAATTAATGATGACTCCATAGGAATTATTTTGTAGCACCTCAGCCTTACTTGCCATACAATCTTCCCAAGTTCAAGAATCCACACCTTTAAACTCTATTTTGTTTATATTTGAACTTATTCAGATGGAACTGCAGGGTTTTAGGATGGGAATGATTATATTTTAAACTATGCCCCGAAATCATATGCAAAGCAGCCCATGATTTAATTTTTTGGGGACTACTGCCAACCAGGCCTGTGAGTCAATCTGTAAACATCCAACAGCAGGTCCCAGGCATATTGGGGGATATTTATATTTTATGGATATATTTATTTTTATCCCTTCCTAATTAGGATGCATTGGCCCTCAGTTATCTATGGGTGCTGGCATCCAGGTACTGACGTTGGTGTACACCTTAATAACAGGGTCCATCCAACTCACAGACCTAATTAAAGGAGGAAATGAGACATATGCCCAATAAGTGAAATTCTGAGTTGCTCCTATAGTAAGGAGGCTTGCCGCCATGGTGAGTACTGCCAGCATGGCCACCATCAGGTTACTAGTTGTTTTTAGTTTGTTCTGTGCTTTCAAGTTGTCCTTTGCCATCTGCACCAGCTTCTTGATTTGTCCCCATGTTGGAGAATTTGCCTGACGACTATTCTCGGTTTTCTCCTTTGTCTCTGAGATGTTTGTTTGCGGAATCACTCGTATCAGGAGTTTTGGCTCTTCCCAGAGTCTTCTCTTCCTGCTGTAGCTCATGATAGATCTTCAGATGTTTGGTGGGCACCCATACAGGCACCTGATTGTTACCTGGAGAGACCCAAGCAAATCCTCTTCCCCATATAATTATCCATCCTTTGATTAAGTTTAGTTAAAGGGCCAGGGAGGTTAGTATGTGCTCTCATATGAGTGATATAGAAAGGGGAATGCCTTTGTTGTACTGCTTGCTATAAAGAATGAAATAAAAGATTAAGTTGGTCATTAGTCACATTTTGAATTAAGACACATTCAATATTTTGTCTGGCTTGCACTAAAGAGGCTGAATCAGAAACAATGTTTACTGGCTGTTTAAAAGATTTTAACACTGTTATCACAGCCATAAATTCAGCCCTTTGAGCAGAAGCAAAGTCAGTTTGAAAAATTTGTTGTTGAGGTCCCACAAATGAGGCCTTCCATTACTAGATCCATCAGTAAAAACAGTAATGGCCCGTTCAATAGGGATTTTTTGAGTAATGGAAGGCAATATTCATGATGTTAATTTAAGAAATTGGAATATTTGGGATTTAGGATAATGATTATCAAGAATGCCAATAAAACCTGCCAAATTAACTTGCCATTCCTGATAATTAATATCAGCTTGTTGAATTTGTTGTTTGTTTAATGGAACTATAGTTTGATTTGGATCATATCCCATTAACTTTGTTGTGTGCAGCCTTGCTTGTCCTACTAGTACAGCAATTTGATCTAAGTACAGAGTGAGCGTTTTAGTCGTATTGTGAGGTAGAAAAAGCCACTCAACCAGATCAAGATCATTCTATTGAACAGTAACTCCTGTAGGTGAATGTTTAGTAGGAAAAACTAAAAAAACTGTAATGGCTGCATAGAGTCAATTCGAGTCACTTGTGCCTGTTGAATTTTTTCTTCAATTAATTGAAGTTCTTCTAATGCTTCTTTGGATAAAGAGCATTTACCGTTAAGATCAGAATCACCTTGGCTGGGCGCAGTGGCTCACACCTGTAATCCCAGCACTTTGGGAGGCTGAGGTGGCAGATCATGAGGTCAGGAGATTGAGACCATCCTGGCTAAAACAGTGAAACCCCATCTCTACTGAAAATACAAAAAATTAGCCGGGCATGGTGGCGGGTGCCTGTAGTCCCAGCTACTTGGGAGGCTGAGGCAGGAGAATGGCATGAACCTGGGAGGTGGAGCTTGCAGTGAGCCGAGGTGGCGCCACTGCACTCCAGCCTGGGTAACAAAGGGAAACTCCATCTCAAAAAAAAAAAAAAAAGATCAGAATCACCTTGTAAGGCAGAAAACAGATGAGACATAGCATAAGTAGGAATGCCTAAAGTTGGACGAATCCAATTAATGTCTCCTAATAATTTTTGAAAATCATGTAGAGTTTTAAAATTATCTCTTCTAATTTGAACCTTTTGAGGCTTAATAGTATTTTGTTCTATTTTCATTTCTAAATATTGAAAGGGAGTAGAAGTTTGGATTTTATTGGGGGCTATGATTAATCCTGCTGCAGTTACAGCCTTTTCTAACTGTTTGTAGCATAGTATTACTTCCTCCCTAGTTTCAGCTGCGTATAAATTATCATCCATGTAATGGATAATATAACATTTTTTGAATTGTTCTCTAACTGGCTAGATAGCTTTTCCAACATAAATTTGACAAATAGTTGGGCTATTTAACATGCCTTGTGGTAATACTTTCCAAAGGTATCTGTCCACTGGTTCTTTGTTATTTATAGCTGGAACAGTAAAAGCAAACTTTTCATAATCTTGGGTAGCTAAGGGTAAAGATGCAATCTTTTAAATCTATTACTATTAGAGGCCAGTATTTTGGAATCATGGTTGGAGAGGGCAGCCCTGGTTGCAGCACGCCCATGAGTTGAATTACAGCATTAACAGCCCTTAAATCTGTTAACATTCTCCACTTCCCTGATTTTTTTCTTAATAACAAGCACAGGAGAATTCCAAGGAGAGAAAGTAGGCTCTATGTGTCCCTTTCGCAATTGTTCCTGCACCAATTTTTTTAAAGCCTCTAGTTTTTCCTGTTTTAGTGGCCATTGCTCCACCCAAACTGGTTTGGCAGTTAGTCAAACAACTGAAAGAAGGATATTTTTCCCCTGTAACATTTATTCTTTTCCATGCCTGTAAGCACACAGTGCACAGCTGAACAATGGCAACATTCTTCATTACTGCTTAATTTTCTAATCAACCCCAATTAGGGCCAACTCCCATTAGCTGTTCAAAAGAAACAGGCACAGGTGGCTGTGCTTGTGTGTTTTCTCTTACCTGAGTTTGAGCTTCATCAGCCCACCAGGTTTTAAACTGTAAGTACTGAGATGGAGTGAGAACAGATTTTGTTAAAGTATCCCAGTCATATGGTATTAATCTATTATCAAGAGCCACATTTTTTGGTAAAGTTTGTACAAAAGGAGAATTTGGCACATATTGACTAACGGCTTGCTTAAATTCCTTTAACTACTTAAAAAGAAAAGTGGCCCAATTAGCTATATTCTGTCGTTGGGTTATAGTAATTGGAAATTGCCATGCTTCAAGGTCTCTCTCGGCTCTAGCGTTTTGAATAGAATTTTGTATAGCACCACCAGTCGCTCCAGGTTTTAATGTTGCAACTACAAGAGCAGTAAGTTTTTCAGCTAATTCGTTTTCTCACCCATTAGGAGGAGAGGGAGGAGGTGGCCATTCACTTAATTCAGCAGGTGGAACCGACTGGCTAGTAAAATACACCTTTTTCAGCTTCCCTTTCTTTTCTTTAATTTCCTCCGGGTCCTGTCCCTCACATTCAGAATCTGAAGTTAGTTTTTTTATAGTCACCTGCCTCTTCCTCATATGAATCTGCCTCATCATCTGTTTCAAATGGCTCAAGAGCTGCCTTTATCAACACCCACGCTGACCAAACAGAAAATGGAATTTTGGCTCCTTCTTTATGCACCTTTTTAAAATCTCTGCCAATTCTTTCCCATTCATCCAACTCCATTGTCCCTTGTTCTGGGAACCATGGGCAAAACTGCTCTACTGTATTAAAGAGTGTTAATAAATTCTGAGTACTAACTTTCACTCCCCCTCTCTGTAATAAATGCCTTAAGCAATTTAAATAAGCAGAATGTTTAATTTCATTCTGTCCCATTGTTACCCTGGTTCTTCTGAGTGCCCAGCTTACCCGCCGAGCTTCTTTCAGTCATCCTCGGTGTCCTCTGACAATGCATCTTCTGCTTCCACATGCTCTAGCATTCCTTCACCGGGGTCTTCATAGCCCCATGTTGGGCGCCAGAAATGTTGGGGTGATCAGACCCAACACCAGGCCGTGGGGGCTACGAAGTCCGGAGGAGTCAAAGGAATGAGAAAAGACAAGTTAAGAGTACATAAGGTGGGTCCACAGGGCCAACACTGGTATGGAGGCTGTGAAGGCCCCGAGCTCTGGGATCCCACACTATTTATTGGTGATCAGACAAAGAAGCAGGTGGTGAGGACATGTGGATGTGGGGATAAACAGGTGAGGGCATGAGGATGTGGGGGTAGAAAGGTAGTGGTGCATCAAGCGTAGCTCTGACGGTTTAGCATTTTCTTTGACGCATATAGAATATGCTCTGCTGCTTGAGATAATGGAGAACATGTTTATGAGCCTGGGAGAGCGACCAAGTCTGTGCACATTCCAGAGGCCATGGGGGGTTTTATGCCCTGAGCCCTGGATTCCATCCAAGCCACGAGGAGTTTTATGCCCTGGGCTTAGATTTGTGGTGTGGCAGGGCAGCTTTCCACACTTTGGCACAGAGCTTGGTGTTCCAAAGGCCACGAGGGGTTTTAGACCCTGGACCCCGGACATCTTCCAAGACTCTTTTATATTATGACAGACAAGCCAGTCCTGCCTCAGCTCTTCTACCAACACAAGTTCATCAGACTTTGCTTACACTATATTTGTAATGTCCCAGTGGTGCAAGTTAATCGTTGGCCAAACCCAGTGTCAACATGGAAGGGGATTACTCAGGGGCAAAATACCAGAAGGCATGATTCACTGAGGCCACCAAAGTCTACCACATCTAGTGAATCTTTCCTTTATAGCACTCAACATTGTTTGCAATTATATATTTGTTTGTGTTATTTACTATCTATCTCTCAATAGATACTAAAATCCATGAAAACAGAGATCTTTTTTAAAAATTTTGTTAACCATTGTAGAATGGAACCTAAAATGCAATTTAAAAGTTCTGAAGGCTGGTCATGGTGGCTCATGTCTGTAATCCCAGCACTTTGGGATGCCAAGGTGGGCAGATCACCTGAGGTTGGGAGTTTGAGACCAGCCTGACCAACAAGGAGAAATCCCCTCTCTATTAAAAATACAAAATTAGCTGGGAAAGGTGGCACATGCCTGTAATCCCAGCTACTTGGGAGGCTGAGGCAGAGGAACCACTTGAACCAGGGAGGCGGAGGTTGTGGTGAGCTGAGATTGTGCCATTGCACTCCAGCCTGGCCAACAAGAGCGAAACTCCATCTCAAAAAAAAAAAAAAAAGTTCTGAAGATGTCCAAGTGGCTGAGAAACTAACAATAGACACCATCATGCAAGGCTTGCAATAGGAATTGTTCAAAACTGGTCTGGCCTGTGTTGGCAGATTCATACTATTTTGGAGAGAGTTGCAAGTATGTTGTGTTTTCTCTCCCAGCATGGGAGAGGGGACTGAGGTACGTCTCTGTCACCTCAAGTCAAGTAAGTAGATTTCAAAAATGACTTGGAGAACTTAACATATGGCCCTTGGATTTGAGTGCACCATCCAGGGAGAAGAGCCAGAGATTGGGTTCAGTCATATGACCAAGGATTTAATCAATCATGCCTTCATAATGAGACCCCAATAAAAACTCTGGACACCTAGGCTTGGAGGAGCTTCCTGGTTGGTGAATACAGTGATGTGCTAGGAGGGTGATGCTCCCTGACTCCCCCAGGGGAGAGGCACTGAAGCTGTGTGTTCCCTCTCAGACCTTGCCCTATGTAGTCTTTTATTTTATTTTTAAAAATTTCCCGTTTTTTTCATATCTTGGTACCTATATGTATTCTTCACAATAAAACTATTATTTCATATGTAGCATGTTTCTGAGTTCTGTGAGTCATTCTGGTGAATTATCAAGCCTGAGATGATCGTAGGAACCCTCAAATTCACAGCCAGTCAGAGTATGAGTGGCCTGGGATCCCCTGAAACTTACAGCTGGTGAGAGCTATCTTGTGGAGGACTTTGACCTTAACCTGTGGGATCTGTGCCAACTCTGGATGGTTAGTGTCTGAAATGAATTGCAGTGCATTTGGTGTTGCCCCAGTTGGGATTGAAATGAAACACTGTGTAATTAGCCAGCCAAATAGTTGTTTGTTTAAAATAATTTAAAAATTGGGCTGGGTACAGTGGCTCACACCTGTAATCCCAGCACTTTGGGAGGCCAAGGCAGGCAGCTCACTTGAGGTCAAGAGTTCAAGACCAGCCTAGCCAACATGGTGAAACCTCGTCTCTACTAAAAATACAAAAATTAGCCAGGCATTTTGGTGCATGCTTGTAGTCCCAGCTACTCGGGAGGCTGAGGTTGGAGAATTGCTTGAACCCAGGAGGTGGAGGTTACAGTGTGCCAAGGTCATGCCACTGCACTCCAGCCTGAGCAACAGAGTGAGACTCCATCTCAAAAGACAAACAAACAAAAACAAATAAACACAAAATTGATTTCTCACAGTTCTGTAGGTTCCTTGGGCTCAGGTGATTTGTCCTCACTTTGAGCTCTGCTATGCAGGTGTGGTGAGATAGCAGCTGAAGCCTGGGCAGACAGTGCCTGGGCTGGGTTGGCTGGAGCAGCCTGGGTTGGCTGGGCATCTCTCTCTCTTCATAGTTAACCTGGCCTTTCTGACAGCAGTGTGATCTTAGTGCAGTCAGACTTCTTATATGGTGGCTGACTTCTCTGAGATTGAATATTCCAAGAGACAGGAAATGGAAGCTGCCAGTCTCTTGAGAACCAGTCCTGAAAATGAACATAGCTTCACTTCCTGTCAGGCTATTGGGCAAAACAGTCACAAAACCCACCCAGACTTGAGAGGGGACATAGAGCCCCACTTCTTGATGGAAGGAATATCAGATAATTTGTGGTCACATTTAATCTGCTTCATGTTCTTTTGGCATTTGACAGTGTTCACCACAAATGATAATGACTTCATGTGGCCTGGTTTTTCTTTTATCTCAGACTATTCTTCATTGATCTTCAATTCTGTGATTTCCCTCATTACTTAAACATCCCCTTCCCTTTTCTCTCTTATTACTCATTTACGCTCAATACCATAACCACTCTTATGACACCAATCAGTACCTTTAGGCTGATGATCTCCCAGATCTCTAAAGATAGTTTCTCTGGTCTTCTGACTCACATAGTGAAGGACCTTTACAATATCTGTTGACAGCATCTGAGCAGGCTTTGTGTCCTTTAGAGACACAACTTGAAGGTGGCAGGATCTTCCTTGTATTGTCCTAGGAGTGACCTGCTTCCATCCAACTGTGCCCACATTCATGGCAACCTGCACATTTACAAGATGACCTAGGTCATATAACCCAAAAATTCTATTCAAGAGCTGTGGGAAGGCTGATTGGCTATGTGAACAAGAATGATTTATGTGAACATTTAAAAAATACTTACTATGTGACCTGCATTTAGTGATTTCCAGGTCACTCAGCTATAAGAAGCACACACATGGGTGGCATGTTTCTATTAATTGTACTTTGTCATAATTATGCCTTATCATAATTGGACTTTTGTAGTTCAGAAATGAACATCTCTATCAGCCAATTTATGATCCACAGCACTCATTCCTATTTTAAAAAAGCACAGCTGGATCCTTTCTCACAAAGTATGCAGACATGACATTCAATAGTAAAAACAAGCTGGTAGTTGTTCCTGAAAACATACTTAAAAAGGGATATAAATTTGAAAGACTCAGTTAAAAAAAAAAGAAATAGACTATTGATATGGTTTGGCTGTATGTCCCCACACAAATCTCTTGTCGAATTGTAATTCCCAGTGTTGGGGAGGGAACCTGGTGGGAGGTGATTGGATCATGAGGCAGATTTCCCCCTTGCTGTTCTAGTGATAGTGAGTGAGTTCTCATGAGATCTGGTTGTTTAAAAGTGTGTAGCACTTCTCCCTTAGCTCTCTTTTTCCTGCCATCATATGAAGATGTGCCTGCTTCCTTTTCACCTTCCACCATTATTGTAAGTTTCCTGAGGCCTCCCCAGCCATGCTTCCTGTACAGCCTGTGGAACTGTGAGTCAATTAAACCTCTTTTCTTTATAAATTACCCAGTATCAGGTAGTTCTTTATAGCACTGTAAGAATGGACTAATAAAACTATGAACATTGTTTAAGTCATATCACTGGTTATTTCCAAGGTACAAGGACTTATGTTCTGGAATGGAGCATCAATGTAGTTTCTTTCCTAGAATTATGTTGAATTTGGGACTAATCTCATAATCAGTCTATTCTACAAGTATTTGAGTTTATGGATGTATCATAATTTGGCACCCCAAGTCTGATGCCATCTTCAGTGAAATTCAACAAACATTGATAAGGCTTTATGCTCAGTGCTGTGGAGGACAGAAAGATGCCTAAGGGGTTCAGGTTAATGGAAGGGAGAGGAGTCACAGGTAACTATAAGACTGAAGCTAGGAGTGAGTGCCAAGGAGGTATAGGCAGTGTTGTAGAGTGCAGGTGAATTGACTGCTGCTTCTCGTTTGAAAAGAGGGAGAGATGGGGAGAACATTCCAGGCTGGCAGAGGAACAGAGTGAAGGAGGCATGGAGCAGGAGAGCTCAGGCTGTGGTTGGGAATAAGGAGTGAACCCTTGGCTTGATCTCAGAGTATATATGGGTGACTACCAAGGAGAAAACTGAACAAAAGGGTGGGCTGGGATCATGGAAAGCTTCTTTCAGAGACAGATGAGTCATCCAGGCTTTGGAGCATAATTGGAACTTGCTCCCAGTGCTGTTCGATGACTGTATCTCTCATGGAGTACCATATCTTGAGCTCTTGATTGCATGGGTGTCTTGTCTCACTCTCCCTTTAAAATAAAAAACAAACAAAAAATCCATCTTTGACTGAATCCCCTTCTAGTAAGTTTTTCCCTAAATTGGCAAGCCAATAAGAAGAGGTTAGAATCCCTGTCTCTAATTTCTCCATCTATAATTCATTCTTTAAAATCCCTCAACTCCACCTCAATCAACAAAACCTACTTAAAAAAAATTATGGCCAAGTGCAGTGGCTCACGCCTGTAATTCCAGCACTTTGGGAGGCCGAGGCAGGCAGATCCACGAGGTCAAGAAATAGAAACCATCCTAGCCAACATAGTGAAACCCTGTCTCTACTAAAAATACGAAAATTAGCCGGACATGGTGGTGTGCACCCATAGTCCCAGCTACTCGGGAGGCTGAGGCAGGAGAATTGCTTGAACCTGAGAGGCAGAGGTTGCAGTGAGCCAAGATCACACCACTGCACTCTAGCCTGGCGACAGAGCGAGACTCTGTCTCAAAAAAAAAAAAAGAATTACATGAGATACATATTTAATAAAGAAAATTTTAAAAATACACATGGGCAAAAGTATAATGTTAAAATTCATGTGTCATCCAATGCCTCAAAAGTAATTATAGGTGAAATTTGTTGTTTTTATGTTCTATCCTCTGTAAATGTATTCATGTATTGTCTATCTGAGCATACAAAGCTGGACTTATGAAAATGAATACTGATCGATACTATATGACTTGCTTTACTTATCAATACTATATGACTACTATTCTATGTATTTAAATATTTTCTACAACTTCAGTTTTTTTTTTGTTTGTTTGTTTGTTTGTTTGTTTTTGAGACAGAGTCTTGCTCTGTCACCCAGGCTGGAGTGCAGTGGTGTGATCTCTGCCCACTGCAACCTCTGCCTCCCGGGCTCAAGTGATTCTTGTGCCTCAGCCCCCCAAGTAGCTGGGATCACTGGTGTGCACCACCATGCCTGGCTACTTCTTGTATTTTTAGTAGAGATGGAGTTTCACCATGTTAGCCAGGCTGGTCTCAAACCCCTGGGCTCAAGTGATCCGCCCACCTTGGCCTTCCAAAGTGCTGGGATTACAGGCATGAGCCATCATGCCCAGCCCTTCAATTTTTTTTTTTTTTTTGAGGAATGGGGTCTTGCCATGTTGCCCAAGCTAGACTGCAATGGCTATTCAAAGACATGATCATAATGCACTATAGCCTTGAACTCCTGGGCTCAAGCAATCCTGCTTCAGCCTCCCAAGTAGCTATGACTAGAGAGGCATGAGCCACCATGCCAGGATAATTTGAATTTTTTACAGGTCAGATTTATTAAGGTATAATTTACATACATTAAAACTGTTTTAAAGTGCTCAGTTTGGTGATTTTGACAAATACATACAGTCATGTGAGCACCACAGAAACCAAGTTACAGGACATTTCTGTCATCCCCAAATTCCCTTGTCCTTCCCAGCCCCTGGCAACTATGGATCTAATTTTCTTTGCTAGTTTTATCTTTCCCAGAATGTCATAGAAATGGAATCATACAGTATGCAGCTGTGTGTGTGTGTGTGTGTGTGTGTGTGTGTGTGTGTGTCTGGCTCTTTTTCACTTCAAATTAGGCTTTTGAGATACATTAATGTTGTTGAATGTACTAGTAGTTCATTTCTACTCACTGCTGAGTGTTGTTCCATTGTGCAGATGTGCCACAGGTGGTTTATCCATTCACCAGTAGATGAACATTTGAGTTGCTTCTAGATTTTGGCAATCATTAGTGAAGCTGCTATAAACATTTGTGTGCAGGTTTTTGTGTGGACCTACATTTTCATTTATTTTGGATAAATTCCTAGGAGTGAGGTTGCTGGGTCCTATGGTAAGTACATGTTTAGCTCTGTAAAAAGCTGCCAAACTGTTCTGGGGTGGGCAGATCTATGCAAATGTACCCCAAAGTCCAAGGAGGCTAAGAGACGGAAAAAAAGAGGCTGATAAACGCAGTTTCTTAGAAGGAAACATTTAATAGGGACTTACAAGCAGAAGCCATGCCTGTGCCTGGGGCGGCAGCAAGAAAAGAAGGTGGATCCCAGCACCATTACACCCAAGACCCAGGGCTTATATGTACCATAGAAGAGGGTGTTTCAGAAGGGATGTGTAGGACAAATAAAGTATGATAACATCAAGGTTGTTTGACCTAAGGGCAGGATTTACAGTAAGTACCTGCTCTGACACAAAGAACAATAGATAAGCTGGCAATCTTAGTGGCCTTTCCAGAACGGGGTTTAATCAGAAGCCAACGTGGCGGATTAACTTTCAAGATGGAGTTGCTTTGTTCTGCACACAAACTGTTTTCCAAAGTGCTGCTACCATTTTGTGTTCCTACCAGTAATGTAGGAGAGCTCTAGTTGCTCTACATCTTCACCAGCATTTAACAAAATTAGCCATTCTAGGCTGGGGGCAGTGGCTCACGTCTGTAATCCCAGCACTTTCGGAGGCCGAGGCAGGTGGATCACTTGAGGTCAGGAGTTCAAGACTAGTCTTGTCAACGTGGTGAACCCCATCTCTACTAAAAATACAAAAACTAGCTGGGGGTGGTGGTGCATGCCTGTAATCCCAGCTTCTCAGGAGGCTGAGGCAGGAGAATCACTTGAACCTGGGAGACGGAGGTTGCAGTGAGCTGAGATCATGCCATTGCACTCCAGCCTGGGCAACAGAGCAAGACTCCATCTAAAAAAGAAAAAAATTAGCCATTCTAGTACATGAGAAGTAGTATCTCATGGTGGTTGTAATTTGCATTTCCTTATGCCATTAACATCTCTTCTGTGATAAAAATGCCTGTTCAAATCTTTTGCCATCTTTTTTGGGGGGAGGGGAGTTATTTGTCTTATTATTGAATACAACCTTATTTTTATAATTATATAAACAGACTCAATGGTAATCTAGATTTGGAGACCATAACATTTATACAATTAGGAGAGCTCTCTTTAAGGAAAAGATTATAGAATTATTTGTATAAAATTTTAAGGCCCTCTTTCTTGGTATGTATTTGTTTTGTTTTGTTTTGTTTTGTTTTAGAGATCTGGTATTACTATATTGCCTAGAATGGACTTGAACTCCTAGGCCGAAGGGATCCTGCCATCTGAATTTCCCAAGTAACTGAGATTACAGACATGAGCCACCATGTCTGGCTCTCTCCCAGTGTATTGAAGGGGTCCATGCAAGTAAGGAGCCCAAAGCTTAATTTTTATTAGCTTCATGGTAAATCTGCTCTGGCTAGAACATAATTGGTATACCTAATACCCTATTATTGTACATTGAAGTTGTTTCTTTTTTTCTCTTTTTTTTAAACTTTTTAAATTTATCTTTTTATTTGTTTACCATTAAAACCCACATTCAGATGAATAGCTTATAACTAAATCTTGGCATAGATATATATTCACTTCCTTGAGATAATTTTCTAGTAGTAGAATAGCTGGGTCAAATGGTATGATCCTATTAAAAACTTGACACAAAAATTCATATTATTTACACTTCTTCTAACAGTATATGAGCATCCTTTTCACTCTCACCAATTCAGACTTTAATCTTTGCTTTTGTTTTCTAATAATTCCATCTCCCTTTGACTTCACTCAAGTTTCTACCTCCATTACGTCACTCAGACTGCTTGGTACATTACCAAAGACCAAAGACCAAAGACCAAATCCAGTGAGTTCTTTTCACTTTTCATCTTCTAATTTCTGTGTCATTTAATATTGTTGACCATTGCAGCATTTTGGGGGAAAGAGCAGGTACGATGTCTGTGGTTCTCCTGGGGTCTCTGGGGTCACCCTCCTTGCCCTGCTGCCCTGGCCCTCTCTTGCTTTGCCCCACCCTAAGAACCATAATCTCAGGGTTCTTCCTGGACTCTTTTTTCCTTTTCCTTCCCTTCCTACCTACCTACCTGTGCTGTCTAATTTTATGTATCAATTTGACTAGTCTATGTCGCTGCTCTACTTTGAGGTAATGCCTGCCTTCCCCTATACAGGCTGTGGCCATCCCAAGCTGCACATCAGGCTATTTTTTGGATATTGATGATACTGTTAAACTGAATGTCATGGCCCCTGTGCAAGGATGACACACAAGTTCATGAAGCATTCCATATTTTATAAATTTTTGAATTAAAATTGTTAAAAAAATAAACTGAATGTGTTCTCTGCCATCTTCACCCAAAATATCTGTCCAGTGACCATTTACTCATCTTTCAAGACTCAGAAGTCAGCTGTGGTACCAAGCCTTTTCTGACCTTCCCAGGTAAAATCAGTATTTCTCATACTCACTTTTTTGTTTGTTTATTTATTTTTTTGGAGACAGGGTTTTACTGTGTCACCCAGGCTGGAGGGCAGTAGCACAATCATAGCTCACTGAAGCTTTGTATTTCTGGGCTCTAGTGATCCTCCTACCTCAGCCTCCTAAGTAGCTAGGACTACAGGCATGCCACTACACCTGGCTAATTTTTAAATTGTTTTTATTTTTTAAAAAGACCAGTGTGGTAGTATAATTTCTTTAAATTTTTTATAGAGACAGGGTTTCACTATGTTGCTAGGCTGGTCTTGAACTCCTGACCTCAGCAATTCTCCTTCCTTGGCCTCCCAAAGTGCTGGGATTATAGTCGTGAGCCACCAAGCCCAGCAACCAGACTCACTTTGAACATAGCATCTGAGACACTTTATTGCACTTATTTATTTACATGTGTGGCATCTAAATAAATAGCAAATAATTCCTGATTAGACTGGGAGTTAATTTTTCACTTTTATATCCTGAGTATCCAGCACAGAGTCTGACTCAATACAGATGTATATTTGTGCCTGATGAATAAGCAAATGAATTAATTATTGTGGAAACAGCATTGTTCTAGGAATTCAGTTACACAAGTCCACTCCTAGATCAACCTATTACTTATTAATTTACTTGCTCTATAGGTAGTCTTGGGATTCACTGGAAAGGAGCTGGTAAAAACATGAGCAAGTGACAGAATTTGTGACTGTCACGTGGACAGAATGTATTGTGACTGTCATGTAGGTCTCTAAAAATTGTGTTACCAATATTGATCTTATGACAATAATCCATGTTGTTGATGTCAAAAGATTTGGACTCCTAAAAGAGCTGAGGCTAAGAGTAATTCATGCTGCAAAAGTAATACATATCTTCCTGCTACTGATCTGGAGAGCCTGAAAGCAGAAACTGTATAAACAGAAGTCAGGGAGGCTGGACACAGTGGCTCATGCCTGTAATCCTGTTAGCAGTGGCAAATCTCTATGGGTCTGCAGCAACTTGATTCTTGTCTCCTAGGAGGAAAGAATTCAACCAAGGGACATAAGGCAGAGGGAGAAACTGAGGCAAGCTTTAGAGCAGGAGTGAAAGTGTAATAAAAAGTTTTAGAGCAGGAACAAAAGGAAGTGAACTACTCTTGGAAGAGGGCCAAGTGGGCAACCTGAGAGATCCAAGTGCCTCGTCTGGACCCTTGACTTGGGGTTGTAAACATTTGCATGGTCATGGTTCTGGGGCTTTGTCTCTCCTCCCTTGATTTTTCCTTGGGGTGAGCTGTCTGCATGTGCAGTGGCCTGCCAGCGGTTGAGAGGGGTCACATGCTCAGTGTGTTTACTGAAGTTGTGTGCATGTTCATTCGCGGCGTTTTCCCCTTACCAGTCGAATGTTTTTAGAAGAACATCACATACCAATTAGATTCCTCCATTTTGCTTCTTGGCATGCATGCTTGAGCCCACTTGCCCAGCTCCTGAGATCTTATTGGGAAGCTGCTGATCACCAGCTTCAGGTGTTTCTATCTGTTGGGAGACTGCCCTTCCCTGGCACCAGCTGCAACTAATTATTATTTCAGAGAGGCAGTTTAACAACTGCCTGAACATCACCTGGTGGTCACCTGATATACCTGGGGACTTGGGGGCTCTCATGTCCTGCTCATCTCTGCCTAGCTACCTAACAATCCCAGAACTTTGGGAGGTTGAGTCCGCAGGATCACTTGAGCCCAGGAGTTCAAGACCAGTCTGGGCAACATAATGAGACCCCATCTCTACAAAACAGTTTAAAAATTAGCTGGGCATGGTGGCATGTACCTGTGGTCCCAGCTATTTGGCAGGCTGAGGTAGGAGGATCGCTTGAGCCTGGGAGGTGGAGGCTACAGTGAGCCTGATTGCACGACTGCACTCCAGCCTGGGTGACAGAATGAGACCCTGTCTCAGGGGGGAAAAAAAGTCAGGGAGTGGCACCCTGTGGTGGTGGAACTGATGTTAGCTTCTAAATTACACAATCTGGAAACTGCTATAGGGCTGAGAAGGAACTTCCCCTTGCCTCTCACATACCTGGGGAGGCAAAGGATTGCCTTGTTCCTCCACACATGGTGCATGGTAAAGCCCCAGCATTGAGAATTATCCAGAAACCCTGGGTAGCTCTTGGGTTTCCTGAATCCATTCTAGGCTTTCAGGTAAATGTGTTGTTTAAGAAAAAACTTGCAGCTGGGCATAGTGGCTCACACCTCTAATCCCAGCATTTTGGGAGGCCGAGTCAGGAAGATCACTGGAGCCCAGGAGTTTGAGACCAGTCTGGGAAACATAGTGAGACCCATTTCTACAAAAATATTTAAAAATTAACCAGGCATGGTGGTGTGTGCCTGTAGTCCCAGCTACTTGGGAGGCTGAGGTGGGAGAATCGCTTGAGCCTGGGAGATTGAGGCTGTAGTGAGCTGTGACTGTGCCTCTACACTCCAGCCTGGGTGATAGAATGAGACCTTGTCTCAAAAAAAAAAAAAAAAAAAAAAAGAAAGAAAAAAAGAAAAGAAAAGAAAAAACCTTGCATTCAAGCTTGCTTTCACCCAACCATTGGAGGAAAACAAGTGAAAACAAAAGGCAGGATTCTCAACTAATCTTTGTTTTCATTCCTTTTTCTTGGTGCCACAATTTTCTTGAAAGATTAGACACCTTCTTGAAGCATAGGTCAGAATATCCTCCTTTCTTCCAGGGGTCTTATACTTCAGGCTTAGATATTCTATAACAACCATCCCAGTGACGATGGTGGCAAAAGCACAACAGAAGCAGCAGTCACTGTTTTAGTGGACTGTGTTTTCCGGGCACTGGGTTAATCATTTTGCCTGCATTACCTCAGGCAATGCCACTATGTGATAGATATTTTTATATATCCACTTTACAGATGAATAACCAATGCAGAGAGATGAGGAAATTTACCAAAGCCATACAACTAGTAAGTGACAGAGGTGTAAAATGAACCCAGGCGTGTCTGACTCTTAACTCCTCTAAACTACCTAGTCTTCTCTATTTCTCCTGAACTCTGATGATTCTATAGCATATACTCTAAGATTGATATTGATGATTTTACATTTCTTCAAATATTTGAGTTGACTGAACAAATTTATGAGCACAGTGATGTACAATGATAAAAAAAATGTATCACAACTTGAAAAAATATGTCCTTGGATTTTTCTAACTAAAAAAATATTCATCAGGCATGGTGGCTCACGCCTATAATCTCAGCACTGTGGGAGGCCAAGGCAGGCAGATCACTTGAGCTCAGGGGTTCGAGACCACCCTGGGCACCATAGTGAGACCTTATCTCTATAAATAATTTAAAAATTAGCTGGGCCTGGTGGTGTGCTCCTGTAGTCTCAGCCATTCGTGAGAGGATCGCTTAGCCCAGGAGGTTTCAGGCTGCAGTAAGCAGTGATCATGCCATTGTACTTCAGCCTGAGTGACATAGCAAGACCCTGTCTAAAAAAAAGAAAAAAAAGAAAAAAAGAAAAAATTCAGCCAGCCAATCCAATCCACAGACAAAAACCTCTCAGGGGTCAGGCACAGTGGCTCATGCCTGTAATCCCAGGACTTTGGGAGGCCGAGGTGGGTGGATCACCTGAGGTCAGGAGTTTGAGACCAGCCTGGCCAACATGGCGAAACCCCATCTGTACTAAAAATACAAAAACTATCTGGGCTTGGTGGTGGGCACCTGTAATCCCAGCTATTCAGGAGGTTGAGGCAGGAGAATCGCTTGAACCCAGGAGGCGGAGGTTGCAGTGAGCCAAGATTGTGCCACTGCACTCCAGCCTGGGCGACAGAGCAAGACTCTGTCTCAAAAACAAAAACCAAAACCAAAACCAAAAAGCCTCTCAGGTTGGTTTTTGTCCTAAGCAGAACTACATTCCACATATTGCTGGAGCTGAAGGTTCTCAGATGTGTGAGTCATCTGGCGAATCATTTTTTACCTCCAGTGTGCAATCCATTCCTAAATTCCTTATCAGTTAGAGATTAAAGCATGAGCTTTGAAAGTCTTAAAAATTATTTACTATATGTTTCACTGGCTGATCAGATGCATATTTTTCCTAGCAATGGTTCTGACCAACCACTGCTTCAAATGTGTTAAATTTCCAGTGAGGTTGTTTATCCTCCTACTTCTACAAGTTCATTTCTTCTAAGCTCTGTCTCCTACCAAATGCCTTGGGTTTTTTGTTTGTTTGTTTTGTCCTTTTCTCATGTTTAATGATCCTTCACTGCCAATGTGTGTAAATCATGGGTAATGATAAGCCTGGAAGGTGAAGGAAAGATGTTCTTGTTTTTACCCTGGTATGGTTGTTCCAACACTGATTTGGGGTCAGCCCTCGCACCTACACCCCCTTGCTGTGAGAATACCTGATTTTTTGGTTGAAATAATAAAATCTGCTGAGTTATGGGCATTAGATGCCAGTGGGAAAGATTAAGCTCATTCTCTACCTAAACATCTTATTAATCAAGGGAGAGACAATTCAGCCAGAAGGACATGTTGGTACCCATAAGCCCATGGAGCCAGCTATTACTTCCAGTCTTGGGAATCATAAATACCTCCAGGTTGCTGACACTCCCGACTCATCTTTGTCTCCTTGAAATTGGTATCCTGGTTCCAGATACCTGCTGCCATTCATGACTGACTCAGAATTCTCACAGGATCCAATCACAAAATTTGCCCTTAGGCAGAGCCATAGCCAACAGTTGTGGCACTTGGGGCAAAAAGTACAAAACCTTCCTGAAGTTAGTTTTGTAATTTTAGGCTGGGCACAGTAGCTCATGCCTGTCATCCCACCACTTTGGGAGGCCAAGGCAGGAAAACTCCTTGAGCCCAGGAGTTTGTGACCAGACTGGGCAACATAGTGAGACTGTGTCTCTGTCTATATATTTAAAATATAATTAAAAATAAAAATAGACTTTATAATTTTAAGTAATCATTCTTACTGATTAAGTGCTGACATTTATAAAATCACTATTTAAGGTGGTGTGGTTGCTACCTTTTGGGGGCCTGGGACAAAGTTTTTGCACCCCACCAGTACTGGGTGTCCCTGTGCTGGTCTCTGATATGCAGCTTCAGTCTCCTTTAGGAACCAGGATTGGTTACCCCCACACCCCAGAAGTGCTGTCTTCGGTAGCCCTCTGCTGTCAGTCCCTTCAGAGCAACCTCAGCTGAGGAAAGCTGTGTTGCCCGGGACGGTGCTCCCATCCTAACAAGGTGCACATCTGACTAATGGACCCCAGGGTATAAAGGCCTCCTCTCTTGCTCCAACTTGGGACTACTTTGAAGGTCTCCCGTAGCTCTAGAGCTCCCGTGGTTGTGGTGGTGGGTGTCAACTGAGGATGCCAGTGGGAGGGCATTGCAACCTGACTTCTTCCTTTGCTTCATCCTGCTTCCATGATCTCTAAGACACTCATTAATAAACATCCAAACAACCCAGTTACAACAGCCCCCAAGCACCAAGCTCTTCCCTCATACATGAGAGAGTAGCACTGCTGAATGAAGCCAAGCAGACTATCAGTCCAGTGATTAGAATCAGGAAAAATGTACACCAGTGATGAAATGACATGGGTGGCTTTAACTGCCCAGCAATCACTCCCTTCTTCTGGTAACAAAACCCATGTATTCTTTAGGGAATCACCCACTGCCCTTCCCATGCATGTGCTCTAGATGGGTTGATTTTACCCCAGGCTCCAGGGATGGGCATGTCACCCAGGGCTCTGTGTAGAGCATCTATCCACTTTCTCTGGCCACAGTGATTGACTCTGGAATGGACATGAGAGCCAAGGTGGCCTAATGCGACTCAATTCCAGGACTTTGCTTTCAGTGTGGAAGATGACTCACGTGTTCACACCATGCTGGAGGAGGTGAGCCTGGAGTTGCTGGGTGGTTCAAGGAAAGCCTGCCTGACACTAAAGATGGAAGAAAGCAGTGGGGTGCAGTGGTTCACACCTGTAATCTTAGCACTTTGGGAAGCTGAGGTGGATGGATCACTTGAGCCCAGGAGTTCAAGATCAACCTGGGCAACTTGGCAAAACCCCATCTCTACAAAAAATACAAAAATTTGCCAGGCATGATGCCTCATGCCTGTAGTTGCAGCTACTCAGGAAGCTGAGGTGGGAGGAACACTTGAGTCTGGGAAGTTGAAGCTGCAGTTTGTCAAGATCATGCCACTGCACTCTAGCCTGGGTAACAGAGTGACACCCCATCTCAAAATAAATAAATAATTAAGTAAAAATAAATAAAATAAAATATTTTCTAGAGATGGAGTCTTGCTATATCATCCAGGCTG
This sequence comes from Homo sapiens, assembly GCF_000001405.40. Lineage (NCBI taxonomy): Eukaryota > Metazoa > Chordata > Mammalia > Primates > Hominidae > Homo > Homo sapiens. Next base: position 60,478,717 of record NC_000008.11, on the reverse strand, counting down.
GTCTCCAGGCAATCCTCCAGCCTTAGCCTCCAAAAGTGCTGGGGTTATAGGGGTGAGCCACCAAGGCTGGCCATTTCAGTCTTTTATTATGGGTGTGTTAGGACTAAGGAAACAGGATCTCTCCAACCTTCTCCCTGTCTCCTTTTCATCTGCTCCCAGGCAAGATTCTAATCATTCCCTGCCTTTCTGATTGTGGGTCATAAGACACCCCACCCCCATGCCCTGGGGGAAGGAATGCTGACATCATGAAGCTTCCATAAAAACCCAACAGGACTGGGTTCAGCAAGTAACTCCATGGTGGATCTCACGGAGGTCCCTGGATGGTGGTGTGTCTAGGGAGGGCATGGAAGCTCTGCACCCCTTCCCCCATACCTCACACTATGCATCTCTTCATCTGTATCCTTCATAGTAAACTGGTAAATGTGTTTGCCTGAGGTCTGTGAGCTGCTCCAGCAAATTAATAGAACCCAAAGAGGGGGTCATGGGACCCCCAACTTGAAGTGGGTTGATCAGAAGTTCCAGAGACACTTCTTGGTGCAGTCTCGAGAACCGAGCCCTAAACCTGTGGGATCTGACACTACCTCCAGGAATTGAATTGGGGGACACCCAGCTGATATCCACTGCTTGGTCGTGGGAAAAACTCCTCACTCATTTGGTTACAGAAGTCTTCTGCTGTGTTGATGACTGTTGTGCTTTGAAAGCAGAGGAAAAACGTGGTTTGAGAGAGTTCTTCCCTAAACAGCAGAGAATACAAAATATATAAATTTCATAGCTTCTTGTACCATTCAAACAACCACGAAGATGGGTAACATGATAGTAAAACACAAAGAAGTTATCCTTCTTGAAAATTGAGCTTAATGCAGTCTCTGTGTCCTCCTTCACATGCAACTATCTTTACCAAGATTTGCCCTTCCTTTTTGCCAATTAGTTTAAATTCTCAACTCCATTCTCTACTCTGCCCAAGGTCACTCAAGGTCACTCTTTTTTTTTGAGATGGAGTCTCACTCTGTTGCCCAGGCTAGAGTGCAGTGGCACGATCTCAGCTCACTGCAACCTCTGCCTCCCAGGTTCAGGGGATTCTCTTGCTTCAGCCTCCCCAGTAGCTGGGATTACAGGTACATGGCACCACACCTGGTTAATTTTTTAAAAATATTTTTAATATTTTTCACAGAGATCGGGTTTCATCATTTTGGACAGGCTGGTCTCAAACTCCTGACCTCAAGTGATCCACCTGCCTCAGCCTCCCAAAGTGCTGGGATTACAGGCGTGAGCCACCGCTTCTGGCCCCAAGGTCATTCCTAGAAAACTATTGTTAAAGTTTAAATGCTATATAATCAATTCCAACTGGACTGCTGTAAAATAATTCTATTTTTTCAAGATGTATAGTACAGCCTCTCAAATTTGTGTAACAAGGAAGAGAAACGCATATGTAGCATTAAAGCTTAGGTTTAAACATTTTTTATCCCTGGATTTTCTGGATGTTAGAACAAGTTGCACACAAAAAACTACTGTCTCTTAACAGATTTTTTTTTTTTTGAGACAGGGTCTCGCTCTGTCACCCAGGCTGGAGTGCAATGGTGCAATCGTGGCTCTCTGAAACCTCGACCTCCTAGGCTCAAGCGATCCCCCCACCTCAGCCTCCCAAGTAGCTGAGACCACAGACAGGCACCACCATGCCCGGCTAATGTTTACAAAATTTTCTGTAGAGACACAGTCTCACCATGTTGCCCAGGCTAGACTGGAACTCCTGGGTTCAAGTGATTCTTCTGCACTGGCCTCCCAGAGTGTTGTGATTACAGGCGTAAGCCACTGTGCCCAGCCCCTTATAGATATTCACTGTTAAAATAACCATATATTTTTGTCTTTGTTATTAGTCAGGAATCTTGGTTGCAAGGAACAGAAATCAAACTCAAATTAGATTTAGGAAAAGAAGGAGGTAACTGAAAAAGGGGAGCTCAACCGAGATGTTGAACACGTAGTCTCTCTGCATCCCTCATCTCTGCTTTTCTCAGCATTGTCTCCATCTCAGACAGCCTCACCCTTGTAGGGGTGAGATGAATGGCTCATAATCACTTCACTTCAAGCTTATTTTGTATTTTCAGCAATCCTATGAAGTGGTTCAAGGGAAGGAAAGATGTTTTCTCCTCATTAATCCAATCGAAGTCTCAGAATTGAACTTCACGGCTTTAGTTGTACTCTATCCCTTCCTGTCTCAAACCCATTTAGTAACAGGGGACTATGATGCTCTGATTCTGTGTGGTCCAGGTTAGCCCCTCTCCTGAAATAGGAGGACGGAGTCAGCACACCTAAACCACATGAACTGAATTCAGATATTGTAATTCCCAAAGGACAGTTGGGAGTGCTACAACTGGAAGAAGGGGATTGAGAACTGGGCAGACCTCAAACAATGATGTTCAATATAGATTGCAAAATAAGAATTAGGAAAGTGAATCTTGACTTTTTATTTTTTTTTAATTTTTAAAATTTTGGGGAGAACAAGGTCTTACTCCATCACCCAGGATGGAGTGCAGTGACACAATTATAGCTTACTGCAGCCATGATCTCTGGAGCTCAAGTGATCCTGTCTCTTCAGCCTCCCAAAGTGCTGGGATTATAGGCATGAGCCACTGTGCCCAGCCGTCATGACTCCTTTTAAAGCTTATTTGTGTTAATAAAGCCTATTTTTATTCCACCTAGTACAAAACATATATTGATTGATTGGTTTTGGGAAAGAGGAAAAAAAGGTGAAACATAGAATAAAGCTAAGGGTAAAGTTGCTACTCAGAAATACAACAGAAATGGGTTGAAATTTGGTTCTGAGATTCATGGCAAGCAAAGTAAAGAGGAAAGCACCTTCAGTTAAAAGAGTCCTAGGGCTAAGATAAAAATGAAAACTAGATAAAATAAAATAAGATAAAAATGAAAACTTAGTCCTAGGGCTAAGATAAAAATGAAGAACTTACTTTGGAAGAGCACAATCTTTTTTTCTTCTTTCTTTTTCAAAGACGAGGAGAGATGGGGGAGGAAAGGGAGGAGGATGAGGAAGAGGGGATGAGAAGGTAAGAAGGAAGAAGAGGAGGTGAAGAAGGGGAGGAGAGGGGAGGAGGAGAAAGGAGGAGGAAGACAGGAGGAGTGGATAAGGAAGCAAAGAAGGGAGGAGGGAAGGAGGAAGAGAAAGAGGAGGAGAAAGCAGGAATAGAGAGAAGGTGAAGAGGAGGAGAGGAGGGGAGGAAGGAGGAGAGAAGAGGAGGAGGAGGAATAGGAGGCAAGGAGAAATAAAGAGACAAGAAGAGAGGAAGGGAGGAGGAAGAGGGGAGGGGGAGGAGAGAGGAGCAAGAAGAAAGGAGAAGGAGAGGAGGTAAGGAGAAAGAAGAGGAGGAGAGGGAAAGAGGAGGAATAGGAGGCAAGGGGAGATGAAGAGGAAGAGGTGGATGAGGAAGGGAAGAGAAAGAAGGGAAGGGGAATGAGAGACTAAGGAACACAATGCTTTTTGGCACTGAAGCCTGGGAGAAAAAAAACCCACCCTCATGCTTAGCATATCATATTACTATATGATATAATGGATGTCTTAGGTTGGATTTCCTGGAAGTGAAGTCTAAAATAGGGTTTCTTGCACAAATAATTGAGGGAGAGTTCTCAGGAGAAACCTGGAAGGAAGTGAGGAAAGAAGGATGAAGCAGAGGAAGAATCCCAGCAAAGATGTGGTTTCAGCTGACGACAACCTGGTCTCATGAGGACGGCTCTGAAGTCTGAAAGGCACCATGAAGTTGTCCTGTCTTGAGGCAAGAAGCCTGGGCTTTTGTGCCTTTATACACTGGAGTGGGGTCTGGTATATAATTTCCCAGACATCTCCAGATGACAAGGCTCCTGATAGTTGAGAACAGTTTTCTGGAGAAGAGTTATAGCTTTGAGCTGTTACAAGTTGATGTGCGTGGATGCTATGGATGGGCAGAAGTGGTGGGTGCATTAGCATGGTAAAGGGTTGTGGGTAGGGTACCACTAGTGTCTTCTAGAGTGAACAACATCCCATTGATATCCTCGACAAATGCACAGGGAGAATAACAGCTTATTGAAGGGTCTTTCTAGGCAAGGCAGGAGCATGGGACCAACACAACTCACCAAAAGCAATTCTATTAAGTGCCAAGACAATGTGGCAAAGTATAAGTCTCAGGGAAGACTTATTTTGACTCAGAGACATAAGTTAGAATATCTTAAAAATGGATGGACAGTTCATGCTTTAGATAAGCTTCCTTGAACACTAAATCTTACATCTAAGGTTTTAATAAGAAATGAGTCACCGAGAGTTTGTCAAGAACTTCAATTGCACGTATTCCACAATACAGACAGGGGTAAATCCATAGGCTTTGACGATAAATCCAAAGGTATTCATTTATCACGTCTGTGTCATTTACTTTGTACCAGGTACTAATCTAAGTGTTTTGCAAATATTAACCCTTTTAATCATCATAACTCTGTGGTGAATTTTACTATTATTCTCATTTTGTAGATGAGGAAATTGAGGCACAGAGTTTAAGTAAATAGCTCAAGGCATATGGTTAATAAATGGCTTAGGTCATTTACAAAATAAAATGAAATCTAATTATGACTGTTAAGATGCTCAATTAGGAGTAAAGTTAATTTAATTTTATATTTCTAGCTCAATTTCAAAGTGACCCATCAGAACCACGTGGAAGTACTCAGAGACTTCTAAGAACACTGAAGCCATAGCCTGCAAGAAATAGAATCAAGTTATCTGATTAATGCCTTTTGCTCACCTTTGTGATAACAATTTTTGTGATTGAAGTGATAGGAAACTCTCAAGTGAGTAATGGCAGGTCATAGATAAACTCAAATTACAATTAGAACAAATTTAGGAGAAATCTTTTTTGACTTACAGAGCCATATGAGAGCTTACTGAGAGTGATGGATCTTCTTTCTAGAAAAATGCACATAAAGATTCAAAAGTGACTCTTTTCCATATAGTTTCAGGGGATTCATGGACCCCTTGAAGCCTCTGGAACTTTTTAGAGTCCTTAAAATTAAAATCTTAGCCTTGTTGGTGACCTCAAAGATTTCTGAGACAAGACAAGATGTATATGACATTCCCCTTCACAAAAGCCCTGGGAAACTTGTATGTGTCTTTGGTGAACTCTTGATTTATTGAGCTGATGGAGCTGTTGGTAACACATGTGATGTTGGTCCTTTGCACATTCATTTCATTCTCCAGGGGAGTAGTTAATCACATGGTTTCCTATCCTTTCTTACTGTACTTTAAAGCCCCCTTGTGGCAAGGACAAAGCTTGCTCATCTTTGTAGACTCCACAAGTGCGTATTAGGATACCTCAAAGAGTAGGTGGTGAGGAATGGAAGCAGGACACTTTGATGCAGACATTTTCAAACGGAGAACATCTGAATGTATCAAAATTTGGCAGTGACTCTTTTCTTGACTAATACATAAACCAAACATTACTAGCTTTTACTCCCTCATCCCATTTTCAAGCCTTGCTTCATTCCCTAGGGAGCAAGTATCTGTTATGCACAACTCTTGATAAGTAAAAATACTCTAAAACTTAAATGCTTGATATCCATCAAAACACCTCATCAAGATCAACAGAAGAACATGTATTCTTTATATGTGAATTGACTGATTAACTCTAGGCATATTACCCATTCTATTTATGTAGATGTTCCAGTTTCCCTAATGGCCTTCCCAAGCTCAGACTGACTTAGTACCTCACATTTCCCACTCTGCAGGTACAACCTATCAGTACTTGTCATGACATGGTTAAACAGCAACACCAGGCAGTCATTTAAGTTTCAGTTGTCATTGGAGGAGGTGTTTACAAGCACAAGATACCAGTACTACTACTATTATAAATGTTTATTGAAAATGTACTACAGTATGAACCATTATTGCATTTAGCTTTCCCAATAAGCCCATGAGAGAGGTCAGTGGATATTTAACTTTATTAGAAACTATCCATTTTCCAAAGTGTTTAAAATATTTTACAGTCCCATCAACAATGTGTGACAATTCCAGTTCCTCCACATTCTTGCCAACCCTTGGCATTCTCAATCTTTTACATTTCAGCCTTTCTGGTGAGTGTATACTGACTGGTATCTTATGGTGGCCTTAATGTGCATTTCCCTGTTGATTAAGTTTATTGAACACCTTTTCCGATGCTTATTGGCCATTCAGATATATATATAGCCAGTGTGTGGCCTAGACTTTTGCACATTATTTTATTGATTTGTTGGTTTCTTTTCATTGACTTGTAGGAGTTCTTTATATATTCTGAATATGAATTCATTTTTAGATATTTATATTGCAAACAATTTTGCCCTGTCTTAGCTCAGGTTGCTATAACAAGATACCATAGCCTGGGCTGGGGGCTGAGAAGTCTAAGATCAAGGTGCCAGAAGATTCAGCGCCTGGTACAGGCCTATTTCCTGGCTTATAGACAGCTACTTTCTCATTGTGTGCTCACATGGCCTTTTCTTTGTGTCTGTACTTGGAGAGAGAGAGAAAGAGAGAGAGGGAGAGAGCAAGAGAGCACTCATATCTCTTCTTTTTTTTTTTTTTTTAGAGATAGGATCTCACTCTGTCACCCAGGCTGGAGTGCAGTGGCATGATCAAACTCCTGGGCTCAAGTGATCCTCTGCCTCAAACTCCTGAGTAGCTAAGACTACAGCTCTGTGCCCCCATGCCTAGGTAATTGTTTATATTTCTTTAGAGATGGGGTCTTGCTCAGTTGCCCAAGCTGGTCTCAAACTTTTGGCCTCATGTGATCCTCTGTGTCAGCCTCCCAAGTAGCTGAGATTACAAGAGCAAACCACTGTGCCTACTCTTCCTCTTCTTCCTAGGGTACTAATCCCATTATCAGGGCATGACCCTCATGACCTCATCTAAAATTTAATTATTTCTCAGAGGCCCCAACTCCAAACCAACCATCACATTAGAGGTTGAGGCTTCAACATATACATTTGGAGGGACGCAAACATTCAGGCCATAACAATCTATGTGGCTTGCCATTTCATTTTCTTAATGGTGTCTTTTGATGAGAGATTTTTAATTTTTATGAAATCCAATATACAGTTTTTGCTTATATGGCAATGCCTTTGTGTCTTGTCCAAGTTATCTTTGTCTGCCCCAGAGTTGTGTAGATAGTCTCCTATGCTTTGCTCTGGAAACTTTAGAGTTTTACCTTTCAACTTTAGGTCTATGATCCATCTCAATTCAATTTTTGTGTGTAATGGCAGGTAGGCATCAAAGGTTCATTTATTTTTCTTATAGATATTCAGTTGCTCCCATTCCATTCACTGAAAACTCCTTCCTTAACCTATTGCTTTGTATTGACACCTTTGTCAAGTATCAAGTGACAATCTATTTCTGAACTTTCTTTTCGGTTTCATTGATTGATTGATTTCTCTGTACTCCAATATTAAACTGTTGAGTTACTGGGGCTTTAGAGTAACTCTTGAACTACTCCGATTTTGTCCTTCTTTAAAATGGTTTTGGCTATTCTAGGTTTTGGCTTTCCATTGCCATACAAATTTTAGAGTCAGCTTATCAATTAATACAAAAAAGCCTACCAGTGTTTTGATGGAGATTTTGTTGAGTCCATAAATCAGTTTGTACAGAGTAGGTATCTTTTTAAATTTTTTATTTGAAAATTTTTTTTGCAGGTGCAGTGGCTCACACCTATAATTCTAGCATTTTGGGTGTTTTTGTTGCTGTTGTTTTTGTTGTTTTATAGAGGTGGGGTCTTGCTCTGTTGCCTAGGCAGGTCTTGAACTCCTTGCCTCAAGTGATTTTCCTGCCTTGGCCTGCTAAACTGCTGGGATTACAGGCATGAGCTACCAGACCTGATGGTTGGTATCTTAACAATATTGAGTTTCCAGTCCATGAATATGGTATATCTCTTGGCAATGTTTTCAATGTAAACAATTTTGCATATTGCTTAAACAATTTATTCCTAAGCATTTTACAATTTATGTTCTCTTAAATATATATCTTTCTTTCTTTTTTTTTTTTTTCTGAGACAGAGTCTCCCACTGCCGCCCAGGCTGGAGTGCAGTGACACAATCTCAGCTGACTGCAACCTCTGCCTCCTGGGTTCAAGCGATTCTTCTGCCTCAGCCTCCCGAGCAGCTGGGACTACAGGAGCGTGCCACCACATCCGGCTAATTTTTGTAATTTTAGTAGAGATGGGGTGTCATCATATTGGCCAGGCTGGTCTTGAACTCCTGACCTAGTGATCCATCCACCTCGGCCTCCCAAAGTGCTGGGATTACAGACATGAGCCACTGTGCCTGGTCTCAAATATATTTCTACATAATTTTCAAATTATTGTGAAAAGTATATAGAAGTGCAATAGATTTTTAAAAAATAAATAGAGACAGGATCTCATTATGTTTCCCAGGCTGATCTCAAACTCCTGGGCTCAAGTCTGTCCCAGCTTCCCAAAGTGCTGGAATTACAGGTGTGAGCTACTGCACCAGAGCAAAATTCAGTAGACTTTAAAATATTGGCCCTACATCCTGTGACTTTGCTAAATTCCCTTATTAGTTCAGTTTTGATTATTTTGGGTTGTCTAGGTACACAATCATGTTATATATAAATAAAGACCATTTTACTTGTATTTTGGATATGTGTATATATTTAAATTATTTTGTGCCTGGAATGTGCCAGTTGTTGCTGGGAGCTGGGTCTATGGTGGTGAATAAATCTTTGAAATGTCTTCCTGAATCTCATCACCTATGCCTCATTCCATAGTAAGTTTTTTAAAAGAAGTTAAATGTTGTGCTTTCTTTATAAAATCCCAAGTTGTTCATGTGCTATCTTCCTCACTAGTGAACTAGTTGAGGGTAGCTATTCTATAATTTTCACCTTTGTAATCAGAGCCTAGCATAATGGATTACTCTTGGTAGGTTCTTAAGAAATGTTTATTGATTTGACTCAGCCTCTGTTGGTATGATTTAGGAGAGTCCATCCGAACTGGCCAAACTTGACATTTACAGTAGGCAAACGTAAATCATGCTTCCTATGATTAGTTGTACTTAGGGAGCAGGCATACTCATGAAATAGGTAGTATTCTGTTGTGGGAGCCACCTAAGGCACCAGCAATGCTGTGTGGTACTACTCCAGAAAAAGTCATTTATTTCATGGTCTATGAAAATGCAATGCACAGCTTTTTGGCTGTGTTATGAGAAGCACCTAGTCTGAACAGCAGTCATATCAGTACTCTTTCTTGACCAAGGCAAATCATCTCAACTGGCCACCTTCCATTATTATGCAGTGCTCTTTGTCATTGACCACCTTTTTGCTTCCTATATACTACTATTTAAAACTGTATTCCTTTCAAGCTTTCTATCCTTCTTCTTTATCAACATAGTACCTTGGGTGTAGTGAAGAATTAACTTTACCCAAAGAGGGGTCTGGCCTTTGCCCTCAAGTACTTGGCTGTGATCTTTAGACCTTCAGAATATTCTGCCTGATGGGAGTATCTTTGTTTGCCTGGGGGCTTTAGCCACCAGACAGTCTAACAATGTGATTTATGATGGTGGCTTTGGGCCACGATGTATGTTTTGTCTCCAACAGGGACTGGGGACTAAAGGCAATAGCTTGACTTCTGAAAAGGGCTGGACTGAAGGTCAGCCACATGGGCAGTGTGAAGGATCCCCAGCAAAACTCTGGACATCAGTGGCTGGGCAAGCTTCTCTGGTTGGCGGTACTCTGCATATTGTCACACATCAACTCTGGGAGAAGATCATACTGTTCATGTCTCCACAAGGGGAGGACAGCTGGAAACTCAGTGTCTGGACCTCTTTCCTTGGCTGATTTTATTGTGTATCCTTTCATTACAATAAGCTGTAGCCCTGAATATAACAGCTTTCAGTGGGCTCTGAGAGTCATTTTAGTGAGTTATCAAAACTAAGGGCAGTTTGGGAATCCCCCTTACTCGTACTTGGTATCAGAAGCAAGGATGGCAACCTGTGGGGACTGGTCCCCCTAACCTACATAGTTGGCCTCAACTCCTGCCAACTCTGTCTCTCTCTCAAACTAAACCCTAGAGTACCTTGTAATTACTTACCCTTCTTTGAAGAAAGTTATATGCCTGATTTCGTCCTTTTCTCATTTCTCATTTACACTTCAGCTAATTGTGATTAGACTTGTTCTCACTGTTCCACTCTAAATGCTCTGACAGAGATCATGAATAATTGCCTGTTTGCAGCTCAGTCATCTATTTGGTAATTAAACACATTTTTATTTAGTGTCACCACAAGTCAGGTATAATGTTGGGCCATGAGAGTTCAGTGATTACCAAAATAAAAGCATTCCTTGCCCTCACAGCACTTATAGTCCAGTAGGGGGTTCAGGCAAGCCCTCAGAAAACAGCATGCTAAGGTCTATGTTATGGGAAATAGGGGAGCTATGGCAGACTTCCTTGGGGCTGGGGGGGGTGGGTGGTCCCAGCCCCCTCTCCTTAGCAGTTGACACTATTTTTTTTTTTTTTTTTTTTAGACGGAGTCTCACTCTGTTGCCAGGCTGGAGTGCAGTGGCACGATCTCGGCTCACCACAACCTCTGCCACCTGGGTTCAAGCGATTCTCCTGCCTCAGCCTCCTGAGTAGCTGGGATTACAGGCAAGTGCCACCACGCCCAGCTAATTTTTGTATTTTTAGTAGAGACAGGAATTCACCATGTTGGCCAGGATGGTCTTGATCTCCTGACTTCGTGATCCACCTGCCTCGGCCTCCCAAAGTGCTGGGATTACAGGCATGAGCCACTACACCCAGCTGAGCATTTGACATTATTAACTAGCGCCTGGTTCTTTCTCCTGGGACTCCTATTTTTCTGACTATTTCTTCTCATTTCCTTTGCTTATACTTTTCCTTTGTGTACCTCTTAAACCCTGGTGTTTTCTGGCATCTGATCTCAGAATTCTTCTCTCTCATCTTTCTACACTCTCTCTAGTAGGTCTCCTTCACTTTGACCACTGTAATTCCCACCCAAACACAATGACTCTGCATCTTTATCGCTCACTTAGGCCACACCCCTGAGCTGTAGACATGTATCATCAGCTCCCTTCTGGATGTTCTTGCATGACTCAAATGGAACTTCACACGTTTCCCCCTCAGAACAGCTCTGCCTTCTGTGTTTCTGACATTGGTGAATAATTAGTGTCGTCATCTACCTAGGCACAGATGCCAGAGACCTGGCTGTCGGCCTCCACTTCTCCCTCTCTTTACTGCCTCATCCAGTCACCAAAGCCTTTGAGCCTACAGTGTTACGGACATGTGCCATTTTCTCCATCCCTGGCAGCTGCGGTGCAGCCATATGACACGTATTTGGCCAATTGGTTGCTCACTTTGGATTTTAAATTTGGTTTCCCTTCTTCTATCCATGGCCTTTCAGTTTCGTTTCCAAAGAATGCTTTTTAAAAAATATTAGTCAGGCCAGGCATAGTGGCTCATGCCTATCATCCCAACACTTGGGGAGGCAGAAGCCAAGGGATCACTTGAGGCCAGGAATTTGAGACCAGCGTGGGCAAGATAGCAAGACCCTATCTCTACAAATTAAAAAAAAAATTAGCCATGTTTGGTGGTTCACACTTGTAGTTCCAGCTACTTGGAAAGCTGAGGCAGGAGGATTGCTTAACCAGGAGTATGAGGCTGCAGTGAGATTATACCACTGTGCTCCAGCCTGGGCAGCAGAGTGAGACCTTGTCTCTTAAAAAAAAAAAGTTAGATCATGTCACTCCCTGCTCAACATTGTCTAATAACTTTCCATCATATTTAGTATCAAATTCAAAGTCATGATTGGTTGCCCGGAACAATAATGTTCTACATGATCAACTCGTAGCTCACTCTCCATGTTCACTTCTGCCATTTTCCTATTGCTCAACTGCTCTCTAGCCCCCATGTTGTGCCTACAGCCTGCCAAGCACACTCTGGACTCAGACAGCTGTTCCTTTTGCCTGACATGTTCTTCTCACTGATTTTTTTTTTTTTTTTTTTTTTTTTTTGAGACAGGATCTCCCTCTGTCACCCAGGCTGGAGTACAGTGGTGCCATCTCAGCTTACTGCAGCCTCAACCTCCTGGGGTCTAAGTGATTCTCTCACTTCAGCCTCCTAAATAGCTGTAACTACAGGCATGCACTACCCCCAGCCCTGGCTACTTTTTTAAAATTATTAGTAGAGACGTAGTCTCCCTGTGTTGCCTGGGCTGGTCTCTAACCCCTGAGCTCAAGTGATCCTCCCACCTTGGCCTCCCAAAGTGCTGGGATTACAGGCATGAGCCACCGCGCCTGGCCCTTCTCACTGCCTCTTACGTGATTCACTCTCTTACTGCAGGTCTTCACTCAAATGAGAGAGAGACTTTCTATGACCATCCTACTGAGTAAAATAGCCACCACTCTCCCAAGTCATTCTCTGATCCGTACCCTACTTCATTATTGTTCAAAGCACTTCCCACGGTCCAATGTTGTATTGTTTACTCATTTGCTTACTGGTCTATTTTCTACCTCTCTGACTAGAATGTAAACTCCACAGTGGCCATGGGACATGCCAGCAACACCTCCTTGTCATCTAACGATCAAAATCATGCAATGCATTGATACCCCCTTGCGGGAAAGGTGCAGTGCAACCTCCAAATGAGAACCAGTGCTAGAAGTGAACTGGACACATAGGAAATTGTGGTTAGAGATGCAGATGCTCCCTTTTTAATTATTATTATTATTTGTAGAGATGGGGTCCTGCTGTGTTGCCAAGGCTGGTCTCTAACTCCTAGGCTCAAGAGATCCTCCCGCCTCAGACTCCCAAAGTGTTAGGATTACAGGCATGAGCCACCATACCCGGCCTCATTTTTATTGACCTGATTTCCGTCATAGCCTGCAAGATGCTTTGTTTTGATTGTTTATTTTCACTTCTGCCTCCTTCGGTAAACCTGTGAGTGTCCTGAGTGGGGGTCAAGATTTGTTTGAGTGTATGATCTAATCTGAATACACACGTGTGTGTGCATGTGTGTATTTTTCTCCCTGTTGGATTGCTCAGCCTCCACAGCCTGTTCTTCTCCACTGTGATACACCAGGTGTCCTTCAGCAGGTGTAGTGAAACAAAGCAGAGGCTTTGACGTCACCCACGCTGGCCCTCGTGTGACTCACGGCCCAGCCCTGAGCCAGAATCTGCTCCTGTTATTACGGGTATGATTGTCTCCATTTTACAAATGAAGATATGGAGGCTCATATTCTTCATCTGCAACTCATTGATGGATAACCAGGTAGCCCTTGCAACCTAACGTTTGCTGTTGCCTCCATTACAAAAACCTCTATGCTCAGCCCTCAGTCATGATTTTAGAGAGGGCTCCTCAGGTATCAAGAGAAAATGCTGACCGACAGTGTCATTATTTCAGGTCGAGGTGACTGATAGCCCTGCAGTCCTCTCTTCTCTCTATGCTGAGGGAGAATGACCTTTGATTTGTGGCACTCACAGGGGCTGGCAAGGCCTGCAGTCATTTGCAGCTGATTCTGCTGCTTTGTGTCATGAGACATTAAGTGACCTGCTTGGATTCACTGAACTAATTAGTGGCATAGCTGGGATTGGAACTCAATATTCCCTTCTCCAAATGATGGGGTTCCCTCTGTGCTTGGTGTCTTCTTGACTTCTAATGTGTCTGAAATGCATAATTGTTAGAACCCTGGGCCCCTGTAACCTTCACCGGTCAACTCTCATCACCCCAAGCACCCTGATGGATTCGCGGAGCACAGAGGACAATCCCAGCAAACGTGTTTATCATCAATGAGGGCTTTTGTTGCCGTCTCTTGTACCTTGGTGACTTGGGATAGAGCACACATAAACCTCCAGGATTATTTTTCACCCTTTTAGTTTAAGGACTAGGATGAATGAACAACTCTTGGCCTATTTTGTTAACCTTAACTCACACCTACTTTTTGCCCTGTGACCGAGGCATGAAAATACGTGTTTTTTTCCTTTAGGCCTAGAACAAAGCTGCCACCTTCCCCCACAGTGGTGTTTTTTAAATGCTTGGTTATGACCAATTAGAGGATTGTAAAATCAGTGTAGTGGGGTGACGAGCATTAAAAAATAGAACAGGATATAAAATAAAAAAGTAGTAGTAGAGTACTGTTCTGTGAAATCTTTTATCAGTCATGTGTGCATATGAATGAATGTGTACATGTGTATGTGTATATGTGTGCATGTGCATGTGATCACAATTTAAAATGTATTTCTCATTATACTTTGGGGTAAAATAATAGGTGTTTTCAACTTGCAGGTGATAATTATGATTTGGCAGAATGTATCCGAATGTCATACCACTCCAGGTAGATTAGAGTCTCTGGAGGGAGGGGCTAGGTGTGTATGTTTTTAAGTTCCTCAATTGATTATGGCATTATCTTTCTTGCTACCTCCCCAACTCTCTCTCCTCTGTCTCTCTTTCACACACACACATACACACACACACACACACTCCACAGTTGTTGCTAACAACCATATCTTATTCATCTGAGTATCCCCCTATGACTGAAGTAGTGGCTGGCACTCCCAGGGCACTCAATAAATGCTTATAATTGTCAAATGGCAAAGGCTTGAAGGCTAAAAAGTGAAATTTATATAGTTTTCTTTCATCATGCCCAGCACACATTTTGCACTTGGTAATGCCACTCAGTGTGTTCATGATGACTTATGGAAAACAAAAATACAATAATGAGAAGCCAAATGGCTAAAACACGCAGGTGTAATGAATAGCCATTGGACTGAGCTGGCCTTCACCACCCCAGAATAAAGCTCTTTCCCCCTCAATGCACTTGAACAAACCAATCCAAACCAGGAAACCTCAGAAAAGGAGTGACTGTCACCTCCCTAAGTAATAGAGTCGATCTCCTCTTAACCTTGGTGACCCTCAAAAACCAGTAAATTCCTTCTTTTATCTATCCTAAATCCTTTATATTACCCTTTAAGCCAATTTTCTGTTGTACTGTATTCAATGGGAATTGAAAACAGCTGGTCACCATCTGCTGTAGATTAATTCTTCATGTACTTGAAGCCTATAATTAGGTCATTCCTCAGCCTTCTCTTCTCCAGGCTAAATATCTTATTTCCTTTAGACTTTCCCAAAAGGTTTTATTTTCCAATTATTTAATTGTCTTCATAGTGTTACTCTCAATACCAGGATCCCTGTCTCCACACACCTCAAGTTGAGAAGGCTGATCAGTGTGAAGGGTCATGGGCATTTAAAGTCACCACTGCCACTTTCAGGGAGTTCTTTTCTGTGAGTTGTTTATTTTCTGAGGGCCATTTAGAAATGCACAGCAGCCTTCAACTGAACAGGACCCTGTCACCCTGAAATTGGAAACATGAAGCAGAATATTATGCTTTACTTCTCCCCTAATTTCAGATACAGATAAGCTGGACTATAACCTTGATTTTGCATCCCAAAGTCTCTGAATTAGCCAGTGCAAATTGTGGGATGTAATTCTCATCCTCAATTATAAATGTGTCATTATAATAGCATTCTTTTTTTTTTTTTTTTTTTTTTTTTTGCGACAGAGTCTCGCTCTGTCGCCCAAGCTGGAGTGCAATGGCGCAATCTCAGCTCATTGCAACCTCCTCCGCCTCCTGGGTTCAAGCGATTCTCCTGCTTCAGCTTCTTGAGTAGCTGGGATTACAGGCGCACGCCACCATGCCCGACTAATTTTTGTATTTTTAGTAGAGACGGGGTTTCACCATGTTAGTCAGCTGGTCTCAAATTCCGGACCTCATGATCCGCCCACCTCGGCCTCCCAAAGTGCTGGGATTACAGGCGTGAGCCACTGCGCCCAGCCTATAATAGCATTCTTAAAATGGATTTTTAACTTGACTAATCTCAGGTGGAGAGAAGTGTTAAGTGTTCATCCTATTCTTTTTTTTTTTTTTTTTTTTTTGATAGGGGGTCTCACTCTGTCACCCAGGCTGGAGTGTAGTGGCAAAATCATAGCTCAGTACAGCCTCGAACTCCTGGGCACAAGTGATCCTCTCACCTCAGTTTCCCGAGTAGCTGGGACTACAGGCATAGCTACCTGTAGTACCTGTAACCATGCCTGGCTAATTTTTTAATAAGTTTTTTATAGAGATGGGGGTCTCACTATGTTGCCCAAGCTGGTCTTCAACTCCTGACCTCAAGTAATCCTCCCACTTTGGCCTCCTATAGTGCTGGGATTACAAGCGTGAGCCACTGTGCCTGGCCCAAAGTGTTCTTCTTTTAAGTCCAGGAAATATTCTGCTGGTGGAATGTACCCAGAGAGGAAGAAAGCTTGTCCAAGCACCATTCTCCAAGGCAGTGGCTCTCCTCCTTTCTGGAACTAAGTGTATGTGACACATTCTATAGTGTCCAGATTTTGATGAAATACAGAAATATGCATGGATCAATAGATTTTTGAAATGATCAAAATTGTATCTTTATTTCTGTGGCCCTCTGTTCTGTCTATCGAAACTGTGTTGGAGTTTTATAGCATGACTTTTGGGTTGGAAAAAGTTACCCCTGGTTGTCTGTCCTTAGAAAGACTCCATCATGACTCAGAAATGATGGCCAGATTGTGGTATTTTTTGTCTTACTCTTAAACATCTCCTCTAGCTGTATCATGCCTTATTCAGAAACAGTAAAAAATGCATGGCTTCTGTTTACTGTGCACAATCCCTTCATAAGGTAGATATTATCACCAGGTCAAAAAAAATATATATATATGCTTATGGCTACTTAGGTGGAAGAGCTGGGATATGGATCCAGCCCTGATTGGTCTCTCTGGTGTCATCAGAGTCACCTTCAGCATGCTTGCTAAAATACAGATCCCTGGATCCCAGGCTCAGATTCTGACTTAGGAGGCAGGACTCAGGAATCTGCACTTTCAGTTTCCCCAGCAAAGTCCTATGCATTGAAAAACACTGTCTAACTATTAGATGCTGGGGCACCTGAATTAGAAAATCTAGACCGTTGTGTCTCAAACTCTGTTGAATGTTTACCCAGGAGTTTGTTGAAAAGAATCCTGGATTCCCCTCCACAGCTACTAAATCAGAACTGAGAAAAATGAAGTTGGATGTATTGTTGATGTGCAGCCTGGAGGAATTGGAGGCACAGTGTAGTTTGAGGGAACCACTAGTGTGAGTCTTCCTGCCAGTGGTTTCCTATCCTAAGCACTTCTGGATGTTTTGGTGGGAGATGGAGTCTGCTAGGGTGAAAGATGGGATGGTAGTGGCTTACAGCTCTTGGCTTCCTAAGTGTGGGAACAAGGGCTAAGGAAACAGTGGGAAGATGAGCCTTGAGAATGCTAGCTGCCTCACCAGGCAACTACCTCTTCTTTTTTTTTCAGAGACAAGGGTCTACCTATGTTGCTCAGGCTGGTCTTGAACTCCTGGGCTCAAGTGATCCTCCTCCCTCGGCCTCCCAAAGCGTTGGGATTAGAGGCATGACCTTTCCCAACTATCTCTTAAAGAAGGATAAAAAGGATAAAAAGCCATGGTTTTGAAAGCCAAGTATTGCATTTGCTAACAGAAGTATAATATAGTAAACTCGTTATGATGTTGTAGCAGGTACTGTTGCCATGGCAACATAGGAGGGGACTTACAGAGGAGATAGACAGAGGAACAGATGGGACGGGTGTTATTCCATTGAGAACTTAGGGGACGCAAGAAGGTTTACTGAAATGAGCAGCAAAAAAAAAAAAAAAAAAAATACTTGGCACACAGCGAAAGCTAGTCCTAGAAGATGAAAACTCAGAAGACTTGGTTCTATGAATATATTTTAAATCTACAAAATGTGTTTTAACAACAGGAGTCAAAGAATCCTCATAGCTGTCTGAGAAGTCCTCATTTGACAGATCTCAATTGCAAGCAGCTCTCTGCTAGTGAATCACACACTGTACCATATGTTCTTGGTATAATGTATGTGGGAAAATGAGTATGGTGTTTGTGCTGAAAAGTCAAAGCCCCACAAATATAATTAAGCTCTCACTAGATGACCTAGAGATAATTGACTGAATTCAGCATAGCAATTTCTTAAGTCAGTATTTACTAGGTAAGTGGATGGAAATAATTTAAGGTTCATGTATATTTCTATGTAAATTTCAGTATTATAATAATTATAGGCAATGTTTAAAAACAAATTGAATTTTAATTCCCTAGATTAACGTTGACTCCTATTTATTGAGTTCATTTTCACTTTGAACTAAGGAGAAGTTGTTATGTAACACTTCAACAGCTACTCTTCATCAGCACCTCAAGTTCACCTAATCAAAATTATGGAAAATAAAACACAACAACCTCTTTTTTTCAACAACTAAGCTTTATTAGTTCCTTAAATACATAATTGCTACATTAAAATAATTTAAGAAGAGGCTGAGTACGATGGCTCTTGCCTGTAATCCCAGCAATTTGAGAGGCTAAGGTGAGAGGATCGCTTGAGCCTAGGAGCTCAAGACCAGCCTGGGCAAGATGATGAGACCCTCTCTCTTAAAATAAAAAAAAAAAGAATTTACCAGGCATAGTGGTGCGCACCTGTAGTCCCAGCTACTCGGGAGGCTGAGGTGGGAGGATTGCTTGAGCCCAGGAGTTCGAGGCTGCAGTGAGCCATGATCCATGCCACTGCACCCAACCCAGGTGACAGAGACCCTGTCTCTATTTTAAAAAAATAAATAAAACACATGGATTCTATACAAATGTTGACCTCATTACTTGATCAAACAGGTTTTTTGCCATGGTGAGCAGTCAATAGATGCTGACTTCTTTTGGGCAGGAGAAAGGGAATTCCTTACATTTTTCTTGTTTAAATTGGTTCTTGAGCCAAAGTAAGGAAAAGGAAGGAAGGAAGGAAAGAAGGAAGGAAGGAAGGAAAGAAGGAAGGAAGGAAGGAAGGAAGGAAGGAAGACACCCTCCAAGTGTGACTAAATTTCCCCTAGAATGCTCCTTGGGACAAACTGCTGAGAGACTGAGTCCTCCCTAAGGATCTGCACCTTCCCAGTTTACCTTGTGCTTCTCCATAGATGCTGTGCATTGGACTCTTCCTCACTTGGGCTCCCTGCGATTTTCCAGGTCAGATGATTCCTTTTGCTTCCCAGCCTTCTAAAACGAAACACCTTCCAAGGCAGGCAATAAGGGGATCTCTCTGCTCCTCATGTGTTTGGAGACCTCTGCTTTTTCCTGCTCTGTGCATAGCCTTGCAAAGGCTCTGCGTTTCTGTGTTCCATGCTGCTCACAGATTGCATCTTCAGCCTTCCCAGAATGAACTTGAACTGCTCCCTCCTGTGCCCACACTTCCTGAGAAGTGCAGCTACTGAAAACCCACCCTGAAGACCGGCAACCTTGCTTGGGACATTGCTGAAGAGTTGAACTAAGCGCAGGGCTGTGTGGGACCAAACCTATCTATTCCCCACCGCCAAAATCTCACCCCTTTCTCATGCCAGCACTGAGGAAAACTGTTTTGGGGAAAAGTGAGATCTGCTTTTACAGCGGCTGACTATGTAAGGAAATTATGATTCCCTGACAGAAATAGATTGATATAGACATGGCCAGAATGAGAAATAATCTAATTAATGATCCATGTGCTCATTCAGTCTCTTCAGTTCATCTGTGTTTACAATCACCAAACCATTCCTGTGGGCAGAAAAGTCTCAAAACAGAGGTTATCTATAAGAAGAAAAGGAACATCGCAAATCCTGGGATGGATCTCTTTATGAGGCGGGAGTCCACTAGTTGCAAAAAACAGAAACTGATCTGAGCTGGCTTAAGCAAAAAGGGGGAAGTTTGTTTTAAAGGTAAGGGAGTGTCTCTGGAAATCCAAGTGCAGAAATGCAAGCCATGCTCAAGCTGGAAGCAGGGAGTGGAAATCCACGGCTGATCGCTCTGTGTTGGCCCCTGCTGGTCTTGCTCTTTCCTCTCTCTCACACAGATTTCCGTTGCTTCTCATTCTCTGTATGGGAAAACATGGCCATAGTCCTGGGGTTTTGTTTCCTGCATTCAGGAGAGAGCCACATTGAAGTGAGATAGATTTAGATATAGATATAGATATAGATATAGATATAGATATAGATATAGATATAGATACAGATAAACTGCATTTCCAGTTTCTTCTGAGAAGGGGTGTTTTAGCTCAGCTTGGGACACATGTGCACTCTTGATCTAATCAAACATAGTTTGGGGGAGGGATCACACTACAAAAACGGCTGCTAGGAGTCCTGCTGGCCATGTGGATGGCAATGGGATTAGGGGTACAGATAGGGCATTCCCAGAGCTGGGTAAATGAGTTTGAATTGGGCAAACTACAAGACTACCCTCTTTGCCTTGCACAAACAGACACCTTGTTTTTTTCCTTATGTGTTTAAAAATTCCCCACTAACATGATCTAACTGATACAATTGATATAAATATCAATTTATTCATTATACACCTCTTCCTTAGACAGGATATCCCAAATTTATGTTCTGCCACTGCATTCAAAAGATGTTTTTGTTGTTGTTGTTGTTGTTGTTGTTTTTGTGATAGGGTCTTACTATGTTGCCCAGGCTGGATTTGAACTCCTGGACTCAAGTGATCCTCCCCACTCTGCCTTCCAAGTAGCTGAGATTACAGATATGGGCCACCGTTCCTGGCCAAGAGCTTTTATGGAATAATTATTCAGGATTAGAGTTCAGGATTTCTTGGTGAATTCCATACCTCTTCCAGTTAAGTCTTGTTTCTGTCTACACATGATATCTCACTGCCTTGCAACCCATAGACTATTTAAAGATACACACTTCTTGCCGGGTGTGGTGGCTCACAGCTGTAATCCTAGCATTTTGATAGACCAAGGCAGGAGGATTGCTTGAGCTCAGGAGTTTGAGACCAGCATGGAAAACATAGTGAGACCTCGTCTCTACAAAAAATTAAAAATTAGCTGGCACTACAGCCTGGGCTACAGAGTGATACCCCATCTCAAAAAAAAGAAAAAATTAGCCAGGTGTGGTCATGGACGCCTGTGGTCCCAGCTATGCAGAAGGCTGAGGTGGGAGGATCATTTGAGCCCTGGAGGTCGAAGCTGCAGTGAGCTATGATCACGCCACTGTACTCCAGCCTGGGCAACAGAGCAAGACCATGTCTAAAATAAAATAAAATAAAATAAAATAAAATAAAATAAAATAAAGTAAAGTAAGTAAAGTAAAGTAAAGTAAAGTAAAGTAAAGTAAAATAAAATAAAAAAATAAATAAAATAAGACACACACTTCTAACACATCTGATATGAAATGGGAGAGGGAAAACTGGAATAAGTCTAATAAAAACCTCTTAGAAAGCAGAAAAAGGGAAGAGCCATCCTGGTAATAGATCTAGAATTCATGCTTTCTATTGTTAATAAATTATAGGATCTCAAAATCTCAAAGGCATCCATTGGTCATCTGATTACTGGTAGTGGAGTGAGTTCCTTGGCCAACTGATTTTGCTGTCTCGGGTTCTGACTGCTGGATTGCTCTTGTCTAGTGCTTTTCAGGGCTATCTGAAAGTGGCACTTGAAATGATGTGGGGTCTGTACAAACAAAGAGTCTACTTTCTGTTGGTGCAAATACTTGGGCCTTGAGATTGCTTTAGACGTTAAGAAATTTTGAGCTCCTTTTCATGAGGCTTGGGTTTGTTTTGTTTTTCCTGACAATGCAACTTCCTTAAATCTTAGTTTCATTTGTGGGGACTCCTTTTGCTAATAACTGCCACCAAAAATTCTGTGTATCTGTTTCTTAATATTGGGCCTAGGTTTCCTCTCCCTTGCCTTGGGCTCTCAGCTGAAGAGTTGAGTTTTCTTCCCTAATCTGCCCTGGAATGTTGCCCCAGCCTCTACTGGAAGTGCTGTCCCCTTTGTCTGCCATGAGAGAGTTTAGTTAGGGTCCCTCTACCCAAAGGATGTCTTCAGGAGAGCCTATCCAGATGTCGGGAATGAAAAGCAGTGCAAAGAACAATAATTATTCACTCCATTTCCTAGCACTTGAAGCTGGACAGACTCACCCACACACAACACAGCCTGGCTTGCAAAAGCAAGCTGCACATGCTATTGATGGAAGTAGTTGCATATTTTAAATAATATGCACTATTGCTCAGAATTAATCCTTTGTCACCCTACTACCCTTGGACTCCCTTCTTGGTAGTTTGAAGGTGTGAAGCTACTATGCATTTCATATTTGCCTGCTGCTCCAGTCTTAGAACCCTCCCTTAACCTTTGATCTTACTCTAGTCCTGGAACCCAAAAGATCCTTTACAAGCGCAGGGGATACTTCACAGTGGGGGAGACTTTTTTTCCTTCTTTGTCTTTTTTTTTTCTAGACAGGGGTCTCCTTCTGTCACCAGGCTGGGGTGCAGTGGTGTGATCATAGCTCACTGCAGCCTTGACCTCCCTCACTCAAGCAATCCTCAGCCTCCCAAGTAGCTGGTACTACGTGAGCGCACCGCCACACCCAGCTAAGTTTTTTGGATTTTTTTTTTATGGAGATGGGGTTTTGCCATGTTGTCCAGGCTGGTCTTAAACTCCTGGGTTCAAGCAATCCTCTCTCCTTGGCCTCCCAAAGTGCTGAGATTATAGGTATGAGACATTGTGCCTGGCCTGCCTTCTTTGTTTTTAACTACATTTTCTAGATTATTTGTTCCTGGAGAAACTGACTAATTCAGAGACTAAAGTTAGAAGAAAGCATATTCCTCAGAGACAGTGGAGAGTCCTCTGACACTTTCCTCTCAATGGTCATGGCTCTGAAAATCAGTCCTGGACCAGAAGTGAGGGTGTCATGAAGAAACGTTGCTTTGGGTAGAGGGAAAACTGAAATCCAGTTTCCCCCCTACCATGGGTAACTAAGTGGGGCTGTCCTTTGTAAGAAAGGTGAGTGTCTCATGCTTTGGTCGTGAGTGTAAGAAAGGTGAGTGTCTCATGCTTTGGCCTGTCTCCTAGATCCCTCTCCCTCTCCTTCCCTCTTCAGCTTGCTTTCTCCTTCGAAGAACATCTCTTGAGTTCCTGTTCTGTGCTGAGTGTAGTGCTCTGTCATAGGAATGGAATGGTGTACACAAACAGATATTGTTCCTGTCTTCATAGAGCTCAAAGCCCAGTAAGGGGAGACAATTGATGAATCACATATAATCATTGCGGAAAGTACTTTGAGAAAGGAAGAATGTATATTGTAGAGCAGAGCAGGGCTGCCTAATGTGGACATGCAAGGGCCAGGGAAGACCATCACTAACTTTTTTTTTTCTTTTTCATTTTCTTTTCATGTCTTTTTTTTTTTGTGTGTGTGACAGGGTCTCATTGTGTTGCCCAGGCAGGAGTGCAGTGGTGTGATCATGGGCTCACTGCATCCTCAAACTTCTGAGTTCAAGTGATTCTCCTACCTCAGTATCCTGAGTGGCTGGGACAACAGGCATGCCACCATGCCTGGCTAACTTTTAAAGATTTTCATAGGGATGGGGTCTCATTATATAGTCCAGGCTGGGTCTTGAACTCCTGGGCTGAAGTGATCTGCCCATCTTGGTCTGTAAAAGCTCTGGAATTACAGGTGTGAGCCACCACATTTAGGCTCAGTAACTTTATCTATTTATTTATTTTAATTTCACCAAAGCACTTGAAATTAACTTTGAAATTGAGGTCTGAGCAGTGAATAGGAGTGAGCCAGGGAGTTAGATTTGGTGGTGATGGTGATGATAAACAAGCAGTGAAAATAATCTAGGTAGCAAACATCTACAAGATGTCAATGGTGTCTCCCTTCTACTAAGATCTAGTTAGGATAGACTCTAACGCCCAACCCACATTCTGCAGAAGTTCAAAGCCTACCTCAAGATCTCAGAGGCCGATTCTTGGGTTTGTGCCTGCTACACCTGTAGCACTCTGCCCTTTCCTCGATTACCACAAAAATCCTCTCACACAAGGAATTTACTTATAAATGAAACTTTCTTCAGCCTTTCAGGGTCACCAGGAGGGATCCCACTGCACACCCTTTTCAGCCAAATTCAGCAGAAAAATAAATTAGAGATTTTTTTCTTCAAAGTCCTTTGCTCATTCACTCCCAGGAGGTTCTCACTTTCCCTTACCCCTTGAATGACTCCATCCTCCACCCTTTTTCTCATTCTTTCATTTCTTCTCCCTACTTCCTCTCAGGGACAAATCCTCAAAACTCCTCTCATTTTCCAAGTGCTGAGGGGCTCACCTTTTACCAGTGATCTCTTGGAAAGACAGCCCCTTGATTGTGATGGTGGGAAATCCAGGCTGTTGAGGAGGATTATGAGTAATGAGCTTTCTTGCTCTCCCCATATCATTCCATAGATATTCTCAAGTATGGGGATACCTATAATATTAGTTATCCATGTAACAGATTACTTTTGTTACTGCTACTGCTCTGCTATGTATTACTACTGCTATTGTTAACTCCTCCTCCTGTTACTACTACTACTTACTGAACACTTGCTGGACAAAGCACTTAAAGTCTATCATTTCATCTAATCCTTACAAAAATGCCATTAAGTAGGTATTATCTCCGTGTTACTGTAAAGAAAATGAGGCTTAAGGACTTTAAGTAACTTAAAGTCACTCAGCTAGAAAATGGTGGTCAATCCTAAAGCCATATATTTAATCATCATAATAGAATGTTGTTGTTACAAAGCAACATATTTTGGCTTTTGAATATAGTGATAAATAATGCCACATCCACATATTTTGGCTTTTCAATATAGTGATAAATAATCCCACACACACTCTAGCACAGTCTGCAACTGAAAATATGTACTTTAGTTGGAAAACATCTTCGTATTGGGAAAACATCTTCAAATCTATAATCAAAGTCAGTGAGAAAATATATTTGAAAATTTAGCTATCTGGTTTTTTTTCGTTATACTCTAAGTTCTGGGATATATGTGCAGAAAGTGCAGGTTTGTTACATAGTTATACATGTGCCATGGTGGTTTGCTGCACCCATCAACCCATCATCTACATTAGGTATTTCTCCTAATGCTATCCCTCCCCTTGCCCCCCACCCCCTGACAGGCCCTGGTATGTGATGTTCCCCTCCCTGTGCCCATATGTTCTTATTGTTCAACTCCCACTTACAAGTGAGAACATGCAGTGTTTGGTTTTCTGTTACTGTGTTAGTTTGCTGAGAATGATGGTTTCCAGCTTCATCCATGTCCCTGCAAAGGACATGAACCGATCCTTTTTTATGGCTGCACAGTATTCCATGGTATATATGTGCCACATTTTCTTTATCCAGTCTATCATTAATGGGCATTTGGGTTGGTTCCAAGTTTTTGCTATTGTGAATAGTGCTGCAATAAACATATGTGTGCATGTGTCTTTATAGTAGAACGATTTATAATCCTTTGGGTATATACCCAGTAATGGGATTGCTGGGTCAAATGATATTTCTGGTTCCAGATCCTTGAGGAATCACCACACTGTCTTCCACAATGGTTGAACTAATTTACCCTCCCACCAACAATGTAAAAGCATTCCTATTTCTCCACATTCTCTCCAGCATCTGTTGTTTTCTGACTTTTTAATGATCGCCATTCTAACTGGTGTGAGATGGTATCCCATCGTGGTTTTGATTTGCATTTCTCTAATGACCAGTGATGTTGAGCTTTTTTTCATATATTTGTTGGCTGCATAAATGTCTTCTTTTGAGAAGTGTCTGTTCATATCCTTCACCCACTTTTTGATGGGGTTGTTTGTTTTTTTCTTGTAAATTTATTTAAGTTCTTTGTAGATTCTGGATATTAGCCCGTTGTCAGATGGATAGATTGTTAAAATTTTCTCCCATTCTGTAGGTTGCCTGTTCATGCTGATGATAATTTCTTTTGCTGTGCAGAAGCTCTTTAGTTTAATTAGATCCCATTTGTCAATTTTGGCTTTTGTTGCCATTGCTTTTGGTGTTTTAATCATAAAGTCTTTGCCCATGCCTATGTCCTGAATGGTATTGCCTAGGTTTTCTTCTAGGGTTTTTATGGTTTTAGGTCTTACGTTTAAATCTTTAATCCATTTGAGTTAATTTTTGTATAAGGTGTAAGGAAGGGATCCAGTTTAGGCTTTCTACTTATGGCTAGCCGGTTTTCCCAACACCATTTATTAAATAGGGAATCCTTTCCCAGTTGCTTGTTTTTGTCACGTTTGTTAAAGATCAGATGGTTGTAGATGTGTGGTGTTATTTCTGAAGCCTCTGTTCTGTTCCATTGGTCTATATACCTGTTTTGGTACCAGTACCATGCTATTTCGGTTACTGTAGCCTTGTAGTATAGTTTGAAGTCAGGTAGCATGATTCCTCCAGCTTTGTTCTTTTTGCTTAGGATTGTCTTGGCTATACAGGCTCTTTTTTGGTTTCATATGAAATTTAAAGTATTTTTTTCTAATTCTGTGAAGAAAATCAATGGTAACTTGATGGGAATCGCATTGAATCTATAAATTACTTTGAGCAGTATGGCCATTTTCACGATATTGATTCTTCCTATCCATGAACACAGAATATTTTTCCATTTGTTTGTGTCCTCTCTTATTTCCTTGAGCAGTGATTTGTAGTTCTCCTTGAAGAGGTCCTTCACATCCCTTGTAAGTTGTATTCCTAGGTATTTTATTCTCTTTGTAGCAGTTGTGAATGGGAATTCATGCATGATTTGGCTCTCTGGTTGTCTATTATTTGTGTATAGGAATGCTTGTGATTTTTGCACGTTGATTTTGTATCCCGAGACTTTCCTGAAGTTGCTTATCAGCTTAAGGAGATTTTAGGCTGAGATTATGGCATTTTTAAAATATACAATCATGTCATTCTGCAAACAGAGACAATTTGACTTCCTCTCTTCCTATTTGAATACACTTTATTCTTTCTGTTGCCTGGCCAGAACTTCCAATACTGTGTTGAATAGAAGTGGTGAGACAGGGCATCCTTTTCTTGTGCCAGTTTTCAAAGGGAATATTTCCAACTTTTGCCTATTTAGTATAATATTGACTGTGGGTCTTGGTATCAGGATGATGCTAGCCCCATAAAATGAGTTAGGGAGGAGTCTTTTTCTATTGTTTGGAATTGTTTCAGAAGGAACGGTACCAGCTCCTCTTTGTACCTCTGGTAGAATTTGGCTGTGAATCTGTCTGGTCCTGGGCTTTTTTTGGTTGGTAGGCTATTAATTACTGCCTCAATTTCAAAACTTGTTATTGGTCTATTCAGGGATTCAACGTCTTCCTGGTTTAGTCTTGGGAGGGTGTATGTGTCCAGGAATTTATCCATTTCTTCTAGATTTTCTAGTTTATTTGCATAGAGGTGTTTATAGTATTCTCTGATGGTAGTTTGTATTTCTGTGGGATCAGTGGTGATATCCCCTTTATCATTTTTTATTGTGTCTATTTGATTCTTCTCTCTTTTCTTCTTATTAATCTGGCTAGCGGTCTATTTTGTTAATCTTTTCAAAAAACAAGCTCCTGGATTCATTGATTTTTTGAAAGGCTTTTCATGTCTCTATCTCTTTCAGTTCTGCTGTGATCTTAGTTATTTCTTGTCTTCTGCTATCTTTTGAATTTGTTTGTTCTTGCTTCTCTAGTTCTTTTAATTGTGATGTTAGGGTGTCGATTTTAGATTTTCCCCACTTTCTCCTGTGGGCATGTAGTGCTATAAATTTCTCTCTAAACACTACTTTAGCTGTGTCCCAGAGATTCTGGTATGTTGTATCTTCGTTCTCATTGATTTCAAAGAACTTATTTATTTCTGCCTTAATTTCATTATTCACCCAGTAGTCATTCAGTAGCAGGTTGTTCAGTTTCCATGTAGTTGTGCAGTTTTGAGTGAGTTTCTTAATCCTGAGTTCTAATTTGATTGCACTGTAGTCTCAGAAACTGTTTGTTCTGTTTCCATTCTTTTGCATTTGCTGAGGAGTGTTTTACTTCCAGTTATGTGGTTGGTTTTAGAATAAGTGCTATGTAGTGCTGAGAAGATGGTGTAGTCTGTTGATTTGGGGTGGAGAGTTCTGTAGATGTCTATTAGGTCTGCATGGTCCAGAGCTGAGTTTAAGTCCTGAATATCATTGTTAATTTTCTGTCTTGTTGATCTGTCTAATATTGACAATGGGGTGTTCAAGTTTCCCACTATTATTGTGTGGGAGTCTAAGTCTCTTTGTAGGTCTCTAAGGACTTGCTTTATGAATCTGGGTGCTCCTGTATTGGGTGCATACATATTTAGGATAGTTAGCTCTTCTTGTTGAATTGATCCCTTTACCATTATGTAATGCCCTTCTTTGTCTTTTTTGATCTTTGTTGGTTTAAAGTCTGTTTTATCAGAGACTGGGATTGAAACCCCTGCCTTTTTTTTGCTTTCCATTTGCTCAGTAAATTTTCCTCCATCCATTTATTTTGAGCCTATGAGTGTCTTTGCATGTGAGATGGGTCTCTTGAATACAGCACACTGATGGGTCTTGACTCTTTATCCAATTTGCCAGTCTATGCCTTTTAATTGCAGGCATTTAGCCTGTTTATGTTTAAGGTTAAAATTGTTATGTGTGAATTTGATCCTGTCATTATGATGCTAGCTGGTTATTTTGCTCATTAGTTGATGCAGTTTCTTCATAGCATCAGTGGTCTTTACATTTTGGTATGTTTTTGCAGTGGCTGGTACTGGTTGTTCCTTTCCACGTTTAGTGCTTTCTTCAAGAGCTCTTGTAAGGCAGTCCTGGTGGTGACAAAATCTCTCAGCATTTGCTTGTTTGTAAAGGATTTTATTTCTCCTTCACTTATGAGGCTGAGTTTGGCTCGATACGAAATTCTGGGTTCAAAATTCTTTTCTTTAAGAATTTTGAATATTGGCCCCCACTATCTTCTGGCTTGCAGGGTTTCTGCAGAGAGATCTGCTGTTAGTCTCATGGGCTTCCCTTTGTGGATAACAATACCTTTCTCTCTGGCTACCCTTAACATTTTTTCCTTTATTTCAACCTTGGTGAATCTGACAATTGTATGTCTTGGGGTTGCTCTTCTTGAGGAATATCTATGTGGTGTTCTCTATTTCCTGAATGTGAATGTTGACCTGTCTTGCTAGGTTGAGGAAGTTCTCCTGGATAATATCCTGAAGTGTGTTTTCCAACTTGGTTCCATTCTCCTCATCACTTTCAGGCACACCAATCAAACATAGCTTTGGTCTTTTTACATAATCCCATATTTCTTGGAGGTTTTGTTTGTTCCTTTTCATTCTTTTTTCTCTAATCTTGTCTTCACACTTTATTTCATTAAGTTGATCTTCAATCTCTGATATCCTTTCTTCTGCTTGATTGATTCGGCTATTGATACTTGTGTATGCTTCACAAAGTTCTCAGGCTGTGTTTTTCAGCTCCATTAGGTCATTTATGTTCTTCTCTAAACTGGTTATTCTAGTTAGCATTTCCTCTAACCTTTTATCAAGGTTCTTAGCTTCATTGCATTGGGTTAGAACATGCTCCTTTAGCTTGGAAGAGTTTGTTATTATCTACTTTCTGAAGCCTACTTCTGTCAATTCGTCAAACTCATTCTCCATCTAGTTTTGTTCCCTCACTGGCAAGGAGTTTGATCCTTTGAAGGAGAAGGGGCATTCTGGTTTTTGGAATTTTCAGTCTTTTTGCACTGTTTTTTCCTTATCTTCATGGATTTATTTACCTTTCGTCTTTGCTGTTGGTGACCTTGGGATGGAGTTTTTGCATGTCATCCTTTTTGTTGTTGTTGATACTGTTGTTTTCTGTTTGTTAGTTTTCCTTCTAACAGGCACCTCTGCTGCTGGTCTGCTGGAGTTTGCTGGGGGTCCATGCTAGACCCTTTTTGTCTGGGTTTCACCAGGTGGAGGTTGCAGAACAGCAAAGATTGCTGCCTGCTCCTTCCTCTGGAAACTTTGTCCCAGAGGGGCACCCATCAGAGGCCAGCCAGAGCTCTCCTTTATGAGGTGTTTATCTACCCCTGCTGGGAGATGTCTCCCTGTCAGGAGTCATGGGGGTCAGGGACCCACTTGAGGAGGTAGTCTGTCTTTTAGCAGAGCTCAAGCGCTGTGCTGAGAGATCCACATCTTCAGAGCTGGCAGGCAGGAATGTTTAAGTCTGCTGAAGCTGTGCCCACAGCCGCTCCTTTCCCTAGATGATCTGTCCCAGGCAGATGGCAGTTTTACCTATAAGCCCCTGACCGGGGCTGCTGCCTTTCTTTCAGAGATGCCCTGCTCAGAGAGGAGGAATACAGAGAGGCAGTTTGGCTACAGTGGCTTTGCCGAGCTGTGGTGAGCTCCATGCAGTCCAAATTTCCCTGAGGCTTTGTTTACACTGTGAGGGGAAAACCACCTACTCAACCCTCAGTAATGGTGGACACGCCTCCCCACACCAAGCTTGAGTGTCTCAGGTCGACTTCAGACTGCTGTGCTGCCAGTGAGAATTTCAAGCCAGTGGATCTTAGCTTGCTGGGCTCTGTGGAGGTGGGATCTGCTGAGCTAGGCCACTTGGTTCCCTGGCTTCAGCCCCCTTTACAGAGGAGTGAATGGTTTTGTCTTGCTGGCATTCCAGGCGCTACTGAAGTATGAAAAAAAAAAAAAAAACTCCTGCAGCTAGCTCAGTGTCTGCGCAAACAGCTGCCTGGTTTTGTGCTTGAAACCCAGGGCCCTGGTGGTGTAGCACCCAATGGAATCTCCTGTTCTGTGGGTTGTGAAGACTATGGGAAAAGCATAATATCTGGGCCAGATAGCTCCATCCCTCATGGCCCCTCACAGTTTCCCTTGGCTAGGGGAGGGAATTCCCCAACCCCTTGCACTTCCCAGGTGAGGTGACACCCCACCCTGCTTTGGCTTGCCCTCCATGGGCTGCACCTACTGTCTAACCAGTCCCAATTAGATGAACCATGTACCTCAGTTGGAAATGCAGAAATCACCCACCTTCTGCATTGGTCTCACTGGGAGCTGCAGACCGGAGCTGTACCTATTCAGCCATCTTGCCCAGGAATCCCTCTCAGCTATCTTTTCGGGAACCCATCTATAAAGTAAGGCACACTCGTAATGGTTGAATTGTGTTCTGGTTAATTTCCTAAAGGACTTCACAGTTGCACTTATGAAAATGATTTTATATTGAAATGATATTTGCATAAGAAAAAGCATGTGATTAATTGCATATTGCTTGAGTGTTCATCTGTGAATGTGAAAAATAAGCTGTTTTTATTTATTCCTAGCATATAAGTAAAACAATAAAAGTCTTTGCAAATATCTAATATATTTTGGGACCACATGTACCAATTTCTGCGTTAGTTTTTCTCTCACTTCCTACCACCAAACTGATCACTCAGAATCACTCCAACTGAACTTCCAAAATATTATTTGTGAACTGTGACTCAAAATGCTTCACATACTCCTATAGCACCCTCTTTTCCAAGCTTTGAGAAATACGGAATTAAAATGCAAGATTTTCATGGTTCAGTGGATAGAAGGTGAGATTTATAATCAGAAAACTAGTATTTGCATTTTGGCTCCAACATTTTCCAGCTGTATGATTTACCAACATCAGGTTACTTTTCTGTCAAATGGTGTTAAGGAAATATGGAGGTCTAGATAAAGAGTGGATGGACATATACTGAATACCTCATGTCAGAAACATGCTGTGTTAAGTCCTTCACATCCGTAATACCATTTCATCCTCATGACAATCCTCTATGGTAAATACTATTATTCTTTACTTGCAGAACAAGAGGCAAAGGCTTAGGGAAGTCACGATATATCCATGAACTTATTAACTGTCAGGATCAGTGGTAAAGAACTCCCATGCAATTTCTTGCTGGAGAAGGAAGACCATGGAAGCTGTGCTTCCTTTAAAACCTTCTGTTCCTTATCTCTTCTTTGACCAAGTTTGTTTTTGAAGCTTTCCCTTTGGTCCCCAAATTAGTCCTTTTCCTCTTCACTTGCAGATGTGGCCCCTTCCCCTACCCACTTTAGGTTCTTGATATTCTATCTTTTCTATCTCTCAATCTACATTTGGTGGCAGAGGGAGTGGGGTTGTGTTTTCATCCCTTCTCTCCTGAGTTTCTTGTCCTCATGCAGACATCCTGTCTGGGACGTTTTCCTTTGTCCTAAGATACCTGTTCAGGATCACTATCTCCTTAAAGTATTGTCTAAGAAGCAAATATAAAACATAGAAAATAGTAGCAACATATATTTTTTAAATTACATTTTTAGTTGTTTGTTGCAGATGATAAATAACACAATTACTTTTTGTATATTGACTTTATGATCAGGAAACTTGTTGAATGTTGTTATTATTTGTGGGAATTTATCTGCAGATATTCTTGGATTTTCTACAGTCAATTATATTTTTTGCCAATATACTAGTTTTGTTTATGGTGTTACTGTACAGGCTAGTATATCCATTATAATATGAAATAGATGAAGTGATATAGGGCGGGGCATGCTTTTTTTGTTGATGGTAATAAGTGCTCCTGAATTTTTATGAGTAATTACAATTTTCTGCTCTCAGTTTCTTGAAATGTCTCTTGTATATCTGTTGAGATTATCAAAGACATCAAGATGTGAAAAAAGCATTTAGAAAAGTAACTATACACATTTACTATTTTTACTGTTCTTTTTTTCTTTTCTTTTTTTTTTTTTTTTGAGATGGAATCTTGCTCTGTCTCCCAGGCTGGAGTGCAGTGGCGCAATCTCAGCTCACTGCAACCTCTGCCACCTGGGTTCAAGTGATTCTCCTGCCTCAGCCTCCTGAGTAGCTGGGATTACAGGCGTGTGCCACCACACCTGGCTAATTTTTGTATTTGTAGTAGAGATGGGGTTTCACCATGTTGGCTAGGCTGGCCTCAAACTTCTGACCTCATGTGATCTGCCTGCCTCAGCCTCCCAAAGTCCTGGGATTACAGGTGTGAGCCACCGTGCCCTGACACAAATTTACTATTTTTAAAAGTAATTATTTTGGCATAATATCAGAAGTTTGACAATGCACCTGTTAAGGAAGCTATGGGGAACAGGTAGTGCCATATATTCCTGGTGAGAATACAAACTGACACAATCCCTATAGAGGAGAATTTGGTGGTTTCAAGCAAAATTCCATATTGATTTACTCTTTGACTCTTTGATTCACTGTGTCACCCAGGCTGGAGTGCAGTGGCACAATCTTGGCTTACTGCAACCTCTGCTTCCCAGGTTCAAGTGATTCTTGTGCCTCAGCCTCCTGAGTAGCTGGGATTACAGGAATGTGCCATCACACACAGCTAATTTTTGTATTTTTATTAGAGACAGGGTTTCACCATGTTGATCAGGCTGGCCTTGAACTCCTGACCTCAAGTGATCCACCTGCCTTGGTGTCCCAAAATGCTGGGATTACAGGCATGAGCCACTGTACCTGGCCTAACTCTACATTTTGAAGAAGCTATATCCCAAGGGCAAAAAAATCCACCAAAAAAGCTTTTGCTACATTCAGTGGTTTTATTTTTAGCAATAGCAAATTAGTCTATATTTTAGACTTAGTTGAGGTATTATTATTTTTAAGTAGAAATGTGAATATATACAAAATTAGTAGTAATTATGTGAATGTCATTAGGACCTAAGATTTGTAGTATAAGATAAATTAAATACAAATATAAAATAAAATAATTTAAGTCCAAGATGGCCAAATAGGAAGAGCTCCAGTCTGCAGCTCCCAGCATGATCTACACAGAAGATAGGTGATTTCTGCATTTCCAACTGAGGGACCTGGTTCATCGCATTGGGACTGGTTGGACAGTGGGTGCAGCCCACAGAGGGCGATCCAAAGTGGAGCGGGGCATCGCCTCACCCGGGAAGCACAAGGGGTCAGGGGATTTCCCTTTCCTAGCTAAGGGAAGCTGTGACAGACAGAACTGGGAAAATTGGGACACTCCTGCCTTAATACTGCGCTTTTCCAACAGTCCTAGCAAATGGCACACCAGGAGATTATCTCCTGCACCTAGCTTAGCAGGTCCCACGCCCACAGAGCCTTGCTCACTGCTAGCACAGCAGTCCAAGATCGAACTGCGAGGTGGCAGCCTGGCTGGGAGAGGGGCATCCCCCATTGCTGAGGCTTGACTAGGTAAACAAAGCGGCTGGGAAGCTCAAACTGGGTGGAGCCCACCGCAGCTCAATAAGGCCTGCCTCCCTCTGTAGACTCCACCTCTGGGGGCAGGGCACAGCTGAACAAAAGGCAGCAGAAACTTCTGCAGACTTAAACGTCCCTGTCTGACATCTTTGAAGAGAGCAGCGGTTCTCCCAGCATGGTGTTTGAGCTCTGAGAATGGACAGACTGCCACCTCAAGTGGGTCCCTGACCCCTGTGTAGCCTAAATGGGAGACACCTCCCAGTAGGGGCCGACTGACACCTCATACAGCTGGATGCCCCTTTGAGACAAAGCGTCCAGAGGAAGGATCAGGCAGCAATATTTGCTCTTCTGCAATATTTGCTGTTCTGCAGCCTCCGCTGGTGATACCCAGGCAAACAAGGTCTGGAGTGGACCTCCAGCAAATTCCAACAGACCTGCAGTTGAGGGATCTGACTGTTAGAAGGAAAACTAACAAACAGAAAGGAATAGCATCAACATCAACAAAAAGGACATCCAACCAAAACCCCATCTGTAGGTCACCATCATCAAAGACCAAAGGTAGATAAAACCACAAGGATGGGGAGAAACCAGAGCAGAAAAGCTGAAAATTCTAAAAACCAGAGTGCCTCTTCTCCTCCAAAGGATCTCAGCTCCTCGCCAGCAACGATACAAAGCTGGATGGAGAATGACTTTGGCGAGTTGACAGAAGTAAGCTTCAGAAGGTCAGTAATAACAAACTTCTCCGAGCTAAAGAAGGATGTTCGAACCCATTGCAAGGAAGCCAAAAACCTTGAAAAAAGATTAGACAAATGGCAAACTAGAATAAACCATGTAGAGAAGACCTTAAATGACCTGATGGAGCTGAAAACCATGGCATGAGAACTACATGACACATGCACAAACTTCAGTAGCCGATTCAATCAAGTGGAAGAAACGGTATCAGTGATTGAAGATCAAATTAATGAAATAAAGTGAGAAGAGAAGTTTAGAGAAAAAAGAGTAAAAAGAAATGAATAAAGCCTCCAAGAAATATGAGACTATGTGAAAAGACCAAATCTACATTTGACTGGTGTACCTAAAAGTGATGGGGAGGATGGAACCAAGCTGGAAAACACTCTTCAGAATATTATCCAGGAGAACTTCCCCAACCTAGCAAGGCAGGCCAACATTCAAATTCAGGAAATACAGAGAACACCACAAAGATACTCCTCGAGAAGAGCAACCCCAAAACACATAATTATCAGGTTCACTGAGGTTGAAATGAAGGAAAAAATATTAAGGGCAGCCAGAGAGAAAGGTCGGGTTACCCACAAAGGGAAGCCCATCAGACTAACAGCTGATCTCTTGGCAGAAACTCTACAAGCCAGAAGAGAGTGGGGGCCAATATTCAAAATTCTTAAAGAAAAGAATTTTCAATCCAGAATTTCATATCCAGCCAAACTAAGCTTCATAAGCGAAGGAGAAATAAAATCCTTTACAGACAAGCAAATGCTGAGAGATTTTGTCACCACCAGGCCTGCCTTACAAGAGCTCCTGAAGGAAGCACTAAACATGGAAAGGAACAACCAGTACCAGCCACTGCAAAAACATGCCAAATTGTAAAGACCATCGAGGCTAGGAAGAAACTGCATCAACTAATGAGCAAAATAACCAGCTAACATCATAATGACAGGACCAAATTCACACATAACAATATTAACCTTAAATGTAAATGGGCTAAATGCCCCAATTAAAGACAGAGACCAGCAAATTAAACAAAGATTCAAGACCCATCAATGTGCTGTATTCAGGAGACCCAACTCATGTGCAGAGACACACATAGGCTCAAACTAAAGGGATGGAGGAAAATTTACCAGGCAAGTGGAAAGTAAAAAAAAAGCAGGAGTTGCAATCCTAGTCTCTGATAAAACAGACTTTAAACCAACAAAGACTAAAGGAGACAAAGAAGGGCATTACATAATGGTAAAGGGATCAATTCAACAAGAAGAGCTAACTATCCTAAATATATATGCACCCAATACAGGAGCACCCAGATTCATAAAGCAAGTCCTTAGAGACCTACAAAGAGACTTAGACTTCCACACAATAGTAATGGGGGACTTTAACACCTCACTGTCATTATTAGACAGATCAAGGAGACAGAATGTTAACAATGATATCCAGGACTTGAACTCAGCTCTGCACCAAGCAGAACTAATAGACATCTACAGAACTCTTCACCCCATTTCAACAGAATATACACTCTTCTCAGCACTATATCACACTTATTCCACAATTGACCACATAGTTGGAAGTAAAGCACTCCTCAGCAAATGTAAAAGAAGAGAAATCACAACAAACAGTCTCTCAGACCACAGTGCAATCAAATTAGACCTCAGGATTAAGAAACTCACTCAAGGCTGGGCGCGGTGGCTCACGCCTCTAATCCCAGCACTTTGGGAGGCCGAGGCGGGTGGATCACCGGAGGTCAGGAGTTCGAGACCAGCCTGACCAACATGGAGAAACCCCGTCTCTACTAAAAATACAAAAAGATTAGCCAGGCGTGGTGGCACATACCTGTAATCCCAGCTACTAGGGAGGCTAAGGCAGGAGAATCGCTTGAACCTGGGAGGTGGAGGTTGTGGTGAGCCGAGATTGTGCCATTGCACTCCAGCCTGGGTAATGAGTGAAACTCCATCTTAAAAAAAAAAAAAAAAAGAGAAAAAAGAAACTCACTAAAAACTGCACAACTACATGGAAACTGAACCACCTGTTCCCAAATGACTACTGGGTAAATAACGAAATGAAGGCAGAAATAAAGATGTTCTTTGAAACCAATGAGAACAAAGACACAATGTACCAGAATCTCTGGGACACATTTAAAGCAGTGTGTAGAGGGAAATTTATAGCACTAAATGCCCACAAGAGAAAGCAGGAAACATCTAAAATCGACACCGTAACATCACAATTAAAAGAACTAGAGAAGCAAGAGCAAACAAATTCAAAAGCTAGCAGAAGGCAAGAAATACCTAAGATCACAGCAGAACTGAAGGAGACAGAGACACAAAAAAACGCTTCAAAAAATCAATGAATCTAGGAGCCGGTTTTTTGAAAAGATCAACAAAATAGATAGTCTGCTAGCAAGACTAATAAAGAAGAAAAGAGAGAAGACTAAAATAGACACAATAAAAAATGATAAAGGGGCTATCACCACCGATCCCACAGAAATACAAACTACCATCAGAGAATACTATAAACACCTCTACACAAATAAACTAGAAAATCTAGAAGAAATGGATAAATTCCTGGACACATACACCCTCTGAAGACTAAACCAGGAAGACATTGAATCCCTGAATAGACCAATAACAGGGCTCTGAAATTGAGGCAGTAATTAATAGCCTACCAACCAAAAAAAGTCCAGGACCAGATGGATTCACAGCCAAATTCTACCAGAGGTACAAAGAGGAGCTGGTACCATTCCTTCTGAAACTATTCCAATCAATAGAAAAAGAGGGAATCCTCCCTAACTCATTTTATGAGGCCAGCATCATTCTGATACTAAAGCCTGGCTGAGACACAACAAAAAAAAGAGAATTTTTAGACC
Source organism: Homo sapiens (assembly GCF_000001405.40). Classification (NCBI taxonomy): domain Eukaryota; kingdom Metazoa; phylum Chordata; class Mammalia; order Primates; family Hominidae; genus Homo; species Homo sapiens. The sequence goes on along the minus strand of NC_000008.11, from coordinate 60,441,073 downwards.
AATATCCCTGATGAACATCCATGCAAAAATCCTCAATAAAATACTAGCAAACCGAATCCAGCAGCACATCAAAAAGCTTATCCACCAAGATCAAGTTAGCTTCCTCCCTGGGATGCAAGGCTGGTTCAACATACACAAATCAATAAATGTAATCCATCACATAAAGAGAACCAAAGACACCAACCACATGATATCGAAATAGATGTAGAAAAGGCCTTCGACAAAATTCAACAACGCCTCATGCTAAAAACTCTCAATAAACTAGGTATTAATGGAACGTATCTCAAAATACTAAGAACTATTTTGGACACACCCACAGCCAATACCATCCTGAATGGGCAAAAACTGGAAGCATTCCCTTTGAAAACTGGCACAAGACAGGGATGCCCTCTCTCACCACTCCTATTCAACATACTGTTGGAAGTTATGGTCAGGGCAATCAGGCAACAGAAAGAAATAAAGCGTATTCAATTAGGAAAAGAGGAAGTCAAATTGTCCCTGTTTGCAGATGACATGATTGTATATTTAGAAAACCCCATCGTCTCAGCCCCAAATCTCCTTAAGCTGATAAGCAACTTCAACAAAGTCTCAGGATACAAAATCAATCTGCAAAAATCACAAGCATTCCTATACACCAATAACAGACAAACGGAGAGCCAAATCGTGAGTGAACTCCCATTCACAACTGCTGCAAAAAGAATAAAATACCTAGCAATCCAACTTACAAGGGATGTGAAGGACCTCTTCAAGGAGAGCTACAAATCACTGCTCATCAAAATAAAAGAGGACACAAACAAATGAACATTCCATGCTCGTGGATAGGAAGAATTGATATTGTGAAAATGGCCATACTGCCCAAGGTAATTTATAGATTCAATGCCATCCCCGTCAAGCTACCAATGACTTTTTTCACATAATTGGAAAAAAACTACTTTAAATTTCACATGGAACCAAAAATGAGCCCACAGTGCCAATACAATCCTAAGCAAAAAGAACAAAGCTGGAGGCATTATGCTACCTGACTTCAAACTATACTACAAGGCTACAGTAACCAAAACAGTATGGTACTGGTACCAAAATAGAGATATAGACCAATGGAACAGAACAGAGTCCTCAGAAATAATGCCACACATCTACAACCATCTGATCTTTAACAAACCTGATAAAAACAAGCAACTGGGGAAAGGATTCCCTATTTAATAAATGATGCTGGGAAAACTGGCTAGCCATATGTAGAAAGCCTAAACTGGATCCCTTCCTTACACCTTATACAAAAATTAATTCAAGATGGATTAAATACTTAAATGTTAGACCTAAAACCATAAAGACCCTAGAAGAAAACCTAGGCAATACCATTCAGGACATAGGCACGGGCAAGGACTTCATGACTAAAACACCAAAAGCAATGGCAACAAAAGCCAAAATAGACAAATGGGATCTAATTAAATTAAAGAGATTCTGCACAGCAAAAGAAACTGCCATTAGAGTGAACAGGCAACCTACAGAATGGGAGAAAACTTTTGCAATCTACCCATCTGACAAAGGACTAATAACCAGAATCTACAAAGAACTTAAACAAATTTACAAGAAAAAATCAAACAACCCCATCAAAGAGTGAGCAAAGGATATGAACAGACACTTTTCAAAAGAAGACATTTATGCAGCCAACAGACACATGAAAAAGTGCTCATCATCACTGGTCATCAGAGAAATGCAAATAAAAACCACAATGAGATACCATCTCACACCAGTTAAAATGGCGATCATTAAAAAGTCAGGAAACAACAGGTGCTGGAGAGCATGTGGAGAAATAGGAACACTTTTACACAGTTGGTGGGAATGTAAACTAGTTCAACCATTGTGGAAGACAGTGTGGTGATTCCTCAAGGATCTAGAACTAGAAATATCATTTGACCCAGCGATCCCATTATTGGGTATATCCCCAAAGGATTATAAATCATGCTACTATAAAGATACATGCACACGTATGTTTATTGCTGCACTTTTCACAATAGCAAAGACTTGGAACCAACCCAAATGTCCATCAGTGATAGACTGGATTAAGAAAATGTGGCACATATACACCAAGGAATACTATGCAGCCATAAAAAAGATGAGATCATGTCCTTTGTAGGGACATGGATGAAACTGGAAACCATCATTCTTAGCAAACTATCACAAGGACAGAAAACCAAACACTGCATGTTCTCACTCATAGGTAGGAATTGAACAATAAGAACTCTTGGACACAGGGCGGGGAACATCACACACCAGGGCCTGTCATGGGGTGGAGGGATGGGGGAGGGATAGCATTAGGAGAAATACCTAATGTAAATGACGAGTTAATGGGTGCAGCAAACCAACATGGCACGTGTATACATATGTAACAAAACCGCACATTGTGCACCTGTACCCTAGAACTTAAAGTATAATTTAAGAAAAGAAGAATTTAAGTAAAAATCATGTAATTGGGAATATCAATATGGAATAGTTTTTTTTTTAAGAGATTGTGTCTTGCTTTGTTGCCCAGGCTGGTCTTGAACTCCTGGCCTCTAGTGATCCTCCTGCCTCAGCCTCCTGAATCACTGGGAATACAGGCATGAGCCACCACATCCAGCCTCAGCTTTCTATTTCTAAAAACTTTGGGCCAGGCATGGTGGCTCACGCCTATAATCCCAGCACTTTGGGAGGCCGAGGCGGGCAGATCACGAGGTCAGGAGATCAAGACCATCCTGGCTAACACAGTGAAACCCCGTCTCTACTAAAAATATAAAAAATTAGTTGGGTGTGGTGGTGGATGCCTGTAGTCCCAGCTACTCCAGAGGCTGAGGCAGGAGAATGGTGTGAGCCTGGGAGGCAGAGCTTGCAGTGAGTGGAGATCACGCCACTGCACTCCAGCCTGGGTGACAGAGCGAGACTCCATCTCAAAAAGAAAGAAAAAAAAACTTCATATTTCCTAGCTCTGTCAACTGAAAGCTCTAAAAGCAATGACAACCCAGTAGTGATGAGTGCCTGTAGTGTTGAGATTGTGTTCCCTAAATAACATTTTCTAGTAAAAGGAACCAGCACTCTTTTGAGAAATTGCTGGCTCCAAGTGTGGAACAAGAAACATAAGATAAGCCTAGGATATCTATTCATGTGAGATAGCAGGGAAGTGCTCGAATACTACTGGGGTAGTGTTAAAAGCGCAGAAGAGCAAATGGTCAGAAAGGGGACTAACTGACAGTTAAAAAAAAGTCTCCAATGAATTGATATAATTCTAATATATAAATCTATGAATTAAATATGAAATTGAAAGTGACATTTTATTTATCATTTTTTTTGAACTTGCTAGGAGACCAAATTAGTATTTTAAACACAGATGCACAAAAAGAATTAAGCATGTATACTGCCTTTTGTAGGTTACCTCTGTTTCAGGGTAAGCAAATAGTTGATGAGAGAAAATTCCTCATCGAAAAACTTCAACTAATAAATGTTGGGGAAATGGTAAAACTTTCAAAGCATTGTTTTACAGCTTTATTGGAATAATGGATCTAGGCAATGCTCATCAATGGGTACTAACACTCTCATGCATACAGTCGATTGGACACTTTATAAGGGATGAATCAGACTGATCAACCTTTACTGCTTTAATAATGGGACAATCAGATATTATATGCCCTTTGCTGAGATTAGTTAGGAAGTACACAATATCATCTATTAAGTACTCCTGCAAAAAAAAAAAGAAGAAAAAGAAAACATTTCATCTAAATCTGATTAAACCTTTAAATCTAATGAGAATTGACAGGATATACAGGAGATAGAATAACGTGGTAACCAATACCGCATGAATGCAACCAGCTGAATCCAAAAAATGAAAAATTCCTTACATTTCTCCAACAAATAAATAGCAATACAATGCACCATGAAATGAACACAAAATACAAAATAAAAACAATAAAGAAAGTGGAGGGAACTGTGATGGGCATAAAGAGATTATAAAGACATCAATAGAATGTAATGCATGAATTTAACAAAATCCTGATTTGAACAAACCATGTGTATGAAAAGTTTAATTTAATTAATTTATTTTTAAACTTTTTTTTATGTTCACGGGTACATGTCCAGGTTTGTTATGTAGGTAAATTGTGTGTCACCAGGGTTTGGTTTACAGATTATTTCATCACCCAGGTAAGCATATTACCCAATAGGTAGTTTTTTGATCCTCACCCTCCTCCCACCCTTGACCTTCAAGTAGGTCCAGTGTGTATTGTTCCGTTTTTTTTGTATTCATGTGTACTCAATGTTTAGCTCCCAATTATAAGTGAGAACATGTGATTTTTGGTTTTCTGATCCTGTGTTAGTTTGCTCAGGATGATTGCCTCCAGCTGCACCCACGTTCCTGCAAAGGACATGATCTCATTCTTTTTTATGGCTGCATAGTATTCCATGGTGTATGTGTACCACATTTTCTTATTCCAGTCTACCAATGATGGGCATGTAGGTTGATTCCATGTCCTTGCTGTTGTGGATAGAGTTGCAATGAACATACATGTGCATGTGTCTTTATTGTAGAACAATTTATATTCCTTTGGGTATATACTCAATAATTGCTGGGTTGAATAATAGTTCTGTTTTAATGTCTTTGAGAAATTGTTAAACTGCTTTCCACACTGGCTGAATGAATTTACATTCCTACCAGCACTGTATAAACTTTCCCTTTTCTCTGCAACCCTGCCAACATCTGTTATTTTTTTGACTTTTTAATAATTGCCATCCTGACTGGTGTGAGATGGTATCTCATTGTGGTTTTGATTTCCATTTCTCTAATGATTAGTAATGTTGAACATTTTTTCACATGCTTTTTGGTAGCTTGCATGTCTTTTTTTGAAAAGTGTCTATTCATGTCCTTTGCCCAATTTTTAATGGGGTTAAGCAAATTAACAAGCACAGACCACATCATTATTTCAGATAGCAAAATTATCAAAAATGCTTCAATATTTTTAATACCCAATCTGTGTTCAATTTTCCCTAAATGTCTCAAAACATTTTTTATACTGGGTGTGGTGGTATACACTTTTAATACCAGCTACTTGTTTTAATGATGTTATGGTTTGTTTTTGGCTTATTAATTTGACTAAGTCCCTTATAGTTTCTGGATATTAGACTTGTATCAGATGCAAGTTCGCAAATAATTTCTCCCATTCTGTGGGTTGTCTGTTTACTTTGTTAATAGTTTCTTTTGCTGTGCAAAGGCTCTTTAATTAGGTAATATTTGTCAAATTTTGTTTTTGTTGCAATTGCTTTTTGCATTTTCATCATGAAATGTTTGCCAGGGACTATGTCTAGAATGGTATTTCATAGGTTTGCTCCAAGGATTTTTTAAAAATAATTTTAAGGTTTTACATTTAAGTTTTATTTATTTTTGTTTTTGTTTTTTGATTTTTTAAGCCCCCAGACAATCAGGCAGAGTATTTATTTATTTATTTTAGAGGCAATGTCTCACTCTGTCACCCAGGCTGGAGTGCATTGGTGTGATCCTAGCTCACTACAGCCTTGAACTCCTGGGCTCAAGCCATCCTCCTGCCTCAGCCTCCCAAATAGCTGGGATTACAGGCATGCAACACCACACCTGGCATGAAAAACGTTTTGAGACATTTAGGGAGAATTGAACACCGATTGAGTAAAAATATTGAAGGATTTTTGTTAATTTTGCTGTTTGAGATAATGATGTAGTGGTTTGTTTTGAAAAGTCCTTTTGTTAGCATTGTTGGTGTTACATTCTGAAATATCAATAAATGACATAATATGATGCCTGTGTTTGCCTTAAAACAATTTCACAAAATTTTTCAAAAAAGGTGACAGAGGAATTAGATGAAACAAAGATGGCAAAATGTGATTATTGTTGAAGCTGGAAAATATGACACGTGAATTCATTATACTATTCTGTTTAAAAATAATCATGTTAGAATTGATAAAATATAATATTACTGTCAAACTATATGCAGAACAATGAAATTGTGCTCCTACCTCTCACCTTATACAAAAGTTAGGATGGATTAAAGACTTAAATGTAAGACCTCAAGCTATAAAAAATCCTAGAAGACAACCTAGGAAATACTCTTCTAGATATTGGCCTAGGCAAAGAATTTATGACTAAGTCTTCAAAAGCCAATGCAACAAAACAAAAAATTGACAATTGGGACCTAATTAAACTAAGAAGCTACTGCACAGCAGAAGAAACTATCAACAGAGTAAAGAGACAACCTACAGAACAGGAGAAAATATTTGCAAACTATAAATCTGACAAAGGACTAATATCCAGAATCTATAGAGAACTCAAAAAATAAACAAGGAAAAGCCAAATAACCCCATTAAAAAGTAGACAAAGGACAAGAACAGACACCTCTCAAAAGAAGACTTATAAGTGACCAACAAACATATGAAGAAATGCTCAACATCACTAATCATTAGAGAAATGCAAATCAAAACCTCAATGAGATACCATCTCATACCAGTCTGTTGCAGGAAGTCAGGAACCCTGAAAGGAGGGACCAGCTGAAGCCATGGCAGAACATAAATTGTGAAGATTTCATGGACATTTATTAGTTTCCCAAATTAATACTTTTATAATTTCTTATGCCTGTCTTTACTGCAGTCTCTGAACATAAATTGTGAAGATTTCATGGACACTTATCACTTCCTCAGTCAATACCCTTGTGATTTCCTATGCCTTTCTTTACTTTAATCTCTTAATTCCGTCATCTTCGTAAGCTGAGGAGGATGTATGTTGCCTCAGGATCCTGTGATGATTGCGTTAATTCACAAATTGTTTGTAGAGCATGTGTGTTTGAACAATATGAAATCTGGTCACCTTGAAAAAAGAGCAGGATAACAGCAATGTTCAGGGAACAAGAAAGATAACCTTAAACTCTGAACGCCGGTGAGCTGGGTGGAACAGAGCCATATTTCTCTTCTTTCAAAAGCAAATGGGAGAAATATCACTGAATTCTTTTTCTCAGCAAGGAACATCCCTGAGAAAGAGAATGCATACCTGAGGGTAGGCCCCTAAAATGGCCGCTTCAGGGGGCAGCCGTCTTTTATGGTCGAAGCTGTAGGGATGAAATAAGCCCCAGTCTCCCATAGCGCTCCCAGGCTTATTAGGATGAGGAAATTCCCACCTAATAAATTTTGGTCAGACCAGTTGTCTGCTCTCAAACCCTGTCTCCTGATAAGATGTTATCAATGACAACGTGTGCCCGAAACTTCATTAGCAATTTTAATTTCGCCCCAGTCCTGTGGTCCTGTGATCTCGCCCTGCCTCCATTTGCCTTGTGATATCTTATTACCTTGTGAAGCATGTGATCTCTGTGACCCACACCTTATTTGTACACCCCCTCCCCTTTTGAAAATCACTAATAAAAACTTGCTGGTTTTATGGCTCAGGGGGCATCACGGAACCTGCCAACATGTGATGTCTCCCCTGGACACCTAGCTTTAAAATTTCTCTCTTTTGTACTCTGTTCCTTTATTTCTCAGGCCAGCCAACACTTAGGGAAAATAGAAAAGAACCTACGTGCCTAATGGGGGCAGGTTCCCAATACTAGCCAGAATGGCTATTATTAAAAAGTCAAAAAATAACAGATGCTGGTGAGTTTACAGAGAAAAGGGAAAGCTTATACACTGTTGGTGGGAATGCAAATTAGTTTAGCCCTTGTGGAAAGCAGTTTGGAGATTTCTCAAAGAACTAAAAATGGAATTACCATTTACCCCAGCAATCACATTACTGGGTATATACCCAAAGGAAAATAAAATTGTTCTACCAAAAAGAAATTTGCACTTGTATGTTTATTGCAGCACCATTTACCATAACAAAGACAGGTTCTCTTCAGTCGTGGATTGGATAAAGAAAATGTGGTACGTGTACACTCTGGAACACCACACAGCCACCATAAAAAAGAATGAAATCACGTCCTTTGCAGCAACATGGATGCAGTTAGAGGCCATTATCCTAGGCAAATTAATGCAGAAACAGAAAACCAAATACTGCATGTTATCACTTATAAGTAAGAGCTAAACATGGGGTACATATGGACACAAGGATGGGAACAATAAACACAGGGGATTCCAAAAGTGGGGAGAGCTGGGAGAGGTGCATGGGATAAAAAACTGCTTATTGGGTACTATGTTCACTACTTAGGGGATGAGATCATTAGAAGCTCAAACCTCAACATCATGCAATAAGCCTATGTAACAAACCTGCACATGTACCCCTGAATCTAAAAATAAAAAATAAAAAAATACAGTTAAACTTTTTTTGTACAATACAAATTTCAGCTAGAAATTTTAAAAACCACATTGTTCCTTTTTGTATTCTACTTTATTTTGCTCCTTTCTTGTCTTTCTTTTCCTCTGAGAGGTTTGTAAATTTCATTAATCAGAATCCTATTTCCATTTTTCAGTAGTTCATATTTTATCATTTATTAACTTAATAAAATCATGTTTATTAATATCTCTACATACCTTCCTGTGAAACAATACAAGGTTCTAGGAATGCTTTAACTTCAATTACTGTCCACCACAAATTTACATATTATTATTGTCCAGTTGGTTAGTTCCATCTTAGTTTTGTAATTCTCATTACTTATGATTATTGTATTAGACAAAGTTTTCATTAGATATTTATTAATTTCTGTACTCATCATTTCTTTTTACATTTAATTTGTTTTGCTTTCCAGTTCCTTCTTTCCTAAGATATTCACTATTAATGTTTTCTTTAAAGATCTATTAGCTAAACACTTTTGTCTTCACTTTTCCAAAAATGTCTTTATTTCATTCTAATTTTTTTTTTTTTGAGGTAGAGTCTCGCTCTGTCACCCAGGCTGGAGTGTAGTGGTGCAATCTTGGTTCACTGCAGCTTCAACCTCTGAGGCTCAAATGTCCTCCCACTTCAGCCTCCCAAGTAGCTGGGACTACAGGTGAGCACCACTATGCTCAGATAAATTTTTTTTTGTAAAGTTTTTTGTAGAGATGGAGTCTTGCCATATGGCCCAGGACAATTTTTAATTTCTGGGCTCAAGTGATTCTCCTGCCTTGGTCTCCTAAAGTGCTGGGATTACAGATGTGAGCCATGGCACCTAGCCTCACCCTAATTTTTGAATGAGAGTTGGATATAAGTGGTTTTTTGTTTTTTGACTTTTGAAGATATTATTCAGTAGCCTTCTATCTTCTGTTATTGTTAATAAGAAATCTGCTGTTGATTTGTTACTCCTTTGTTAGTAATTTATATTTACTTATTGTTTGCTTTTAAAATTTCTTTTTAACTGGTGTTCTACAGAGTAACTATGATATATGTAGATATGAATTTATTTTTGCTTATCTTGCTCAGGAATTTTTATACTTTTAAAATCTGAATTATTGGATTTCATTAATTTTGTACAATTCTCAACAATTATCTGCTTGAAAAAATTTTCTTTTTCATGTTTTCTGTTTTCTACTTTTGGAATGTTCACATTTTCTGTATCTTTGTCACTTTATGCTGCCTTGTTGATTAGTTCTTCAGATGTGTTTACAGAGTGTCTGGAAAGAGTGTCAAATCTGCTGTTTAACATATCATTGAGTGCTTGAAATTTTGATAACAGCATTTTACATTTCTAAAAGTTTCCATTTTTAACCTTTAAAATATTTTTTCAGTGTCTTATTTTCTTCTCATATCTCAATTCTTTTGAAAATATCTATAGTCATATATAGTGGTTTCTATGTGATTATATGTTATCTGAAGTTCATGGGGACTGTTTAATCATAAAATTTACTTATGGCAGACTTTTGGTTTTGTGTTCTGTAATGTTGGATTGTGAGCTCATCTTCAGCAGGCTTTTACCTATGGGAATACTGTGAGATCCAGATCAAGTCATCCCTAAGAGTGGATCTGTTTACTTATACTAGATTTCAAGGAAGTATCACCAACGTAGGACTACATTTATTTTTTGTGTGTGTTTTAGATATTTTGATTTTTTGTTGATTCTTTTGAATAGTTAATGTAAGTTGCAACGTGAAAGAGGTTTCTTTCCATCTCTGTACTCCATTCACACAATTTACCCTCCCAGATGGAACTGCTGTTGGCAGTTTCTTATTCTTTTCTTCATTTATTTAACAAATGCTGAGTGTCTATGTTCCAGGCCTTGTTCTAGGAAGTTGGGATACATCAATTAAAAAAACAGACAAAGGCTGGGCGTGGTGGCTCACTCCTGTAATCCCAGCACTTTGGGAGGCCGAGGCGGGCGGATCACAAGGTCAGGAGATCGAGACCATCTTGGCTAACACGGTGAAACCCCGTCTCTACTATAAATACAAAAAATTAGCCGGGCGCGGTGGCGGGCGCCTGTAGTCCCAGCTACTCGGGAGGCTGAGGCAGGAGAATGGCGTGAACCTGGGAGGCGGAGCTTGCAGTGAGCCAAGATTGTGCCACTGCAATCCGGCCTGGGCTAAAGAGCGGGACCCCGTCTCAAAAAAAAAAAAAAACAAACAAACAAACACAAAAATTCCTGTTTCCAGAAAGTTTACCTTCCAGGGGAGCGTGTGTGTGTGTATATATACTGGGAGGGGGGCAGAAAATAAATAACAAACACAACCAATAACTAAATTGTATAAGGTGATTGACAGTCAGAGTGATAGGTGAATGGGACAAGTAAAGCAGTGTTAGAAGAGTAAGAGTGCTGGGGCCAGGGACCAGCTGCCTTAATACATGATATCCTCATGGTAAGTCTCCTTGACTTGATGAGACTTGATCAAAGACTTTAAAAGGCAACTTGTTAGCAAGTGGATAAGTGGGGATGCATGTTCCAGGCCAAGGGAACAGCTAGATCAAGGGGTATAAGGAAGGAACATGCCTGGCGTGCTCACAAAATAGCAAGGAGCCTAATGTGCTGCAGTGGAGGGCAGGAACGGGGAGTAGTGAAATATCTAGAGGTATGGGAGTACAGATCAGACAAACTCTTGTAAGCCATTGGGAAGACCTTGGCTCTTACTTTGGGTGACACTGGAAGCCATTTCAGGAATTTGAGCCAAACAGTGGCATGATTTTATATATATATATATATATATATATAATTATTATTATTATTTTTTTTGAGATGGAGTCTTGCTGTATTACCCAGGCTAGAGTGCAGTGGCACGATCTCAGCTCACTGCAACCTCTGCCTCCTGGTTCAAGTGGTTGTCCTGCCTCAGCCTCCCAAGTAGCTGGGATTACAGGCATACACCACCATGCCCAGCTAATTTTTGTATTATTAGTAGAGACAGGGTTTCACCATGTTGGCCAGGCTGGTCTCAAACTCCTAACCTCAAGTGATCTGCCTGCCTCAGCCTACCAAAGTGCTGAGATTACAGGTGTGAGCCACCGCCCCCAGCCATGATCTTCTATTTTTAAAGGCTCACTCTGGCTTCTAAATTTAAATTACAGTGTGTGAGTGTGGTGGGGGGAAAAAGGTAGAAGCAGGGAGACCTGTGAGAAGTTGGTGCAGTGATGCAGGTTGTCTTATATTCTTTCATGAGATGATCAGTTTGAGGAGGCCACAAAAAGGGACACAAAAGAGGCATAGGAAAACATAGTTTGTTATCCTCACAGGTCCTAGAGAGATAGAGTCACTGCACACCACAAGAGGGTCACACAGGAAGGGTACCAAAGGAATAAGCTCAGCCAAGCAGTGGGGAGAAGTGAAAGAATGAGGACACTGGGCCAAGTAATTCGGGGTTAGGGTAGAGTATATAAGAAAAGTTGCAAGGTGATTTCACTGGTGTATTTGAATATCACTGGTCGCAGTCTGGGAAGAGCAAGAAGGAGAACTTACGTCTTGCGTCAATATTATCACATAGGCTCATCTGGTTGCCTGGGTGGAATGCTCCCAGTCTATTCATGGAGATGTTGAGGCAGCAGGAAAATATGATGTTTCAAAATTTACAATACACAGGAATTCTTATGATGTTGATTTTGTCCAGGGTGGTGGCCATGGAGAAGGTGTAATGCAGTAGGATTCTAGACATATCTTGAAGATAGATCCAATGGTCTTTCCTGATGAATTGGATGTGGGATGTGAGAGCCAGCACAGACTCAAGGATGACTCTAAGGGTTTAGAACAAAGCAGCTGGAAGGATGGATTTACTGTCAGTGAAAATGGGGAAGGATGTGGAGGAACAGGCTTGAGAGGATATAAGAAAAGTTTTGGATTTTAGATGTCTCATGCATCTAAGCGGAGATTTTGAGTTGGCTGTTGAATATCCGAGTCTGGGTTGTGGGAGAGAGGTCTGGGCCAGAAGTATAAATTTGAGAGCAACCAGTTTAAAGTGATCAACAAGCCTTGAGACTGGGTGAGATCACTAATAGAGTGAGTATCACTAGAGGAGAGATGAGGATCAAAGACTGAGCCTGGGACACATTTTTAGGTAAGATGGTCTGTGCATATGCAACATATATGTACCTGGCTATTATTACCTTTTACATTAGTGGCACTCTATTACCTGCACTGTTTTGTATCTTACTTTTTTTTTCTCACCATAGATCTTATTTTATACTGTTCCATGTTTATGTTATTTTCTTAGGCTCCATGCTCCAGAACCCTCACAAGGTGTAAATTTCAACCACAAGCTTAGGTGAGGGCAGACCTATTGTTTCAAATTATCAGGGAGGGTTTTTTTCCATCAGAGCTTGTGTTAGGATAGACCAGCTTCCTTGTCATCTCCTTGTGTTTGTGGACAGGTTTTTCTAGTCTTTACTTTTCTTGCTGTTGTTGTTGTTGAACATCTTTTCTTTTTGAATTTTTAAAATTTAATTTAATTTAATTTTAAATTCCAGGATGCATGTGCAGGATGTACAGATTTGTTACATAAGTAAATGTGTGCCATGGTGGTTTGCTGCACCTGTCAACCCATCACCTAGGTATTAAGCCCTGCATGCATTAGCTATTTATCTTGATGCTCTCCCTCCCCCCATCCCCCACCTTTACTTTTGCTGAGTTGTAGGAGCCTTCTCCTTTCTCGTGAGCTATTCTGTGCATTCAAGGGATTGTTATACTCCATGCAGTATTTGTGCATAAGGCTTTTCTTTTAAATTTAGTCTTCTGTATAGCCTTAAGTATACCCACTATCCAATCTTTGCTGTGGTCACTGTCGTAGTTCAGGCCCTCTTAATTTATTGTTTTACTACTTCACAAGCCACCTGGCTGAACTCTTTTTGCCAGTCTCTCTTCTTTCATGTTTTCATCAGATGGATTTTTGTGATGCAAATCTGAAGATTCTATTCCCTGGCCTACAGGTTGGTTGTTTTTTTGTTGCGGTTTTTTTTTTTTTTTTTTTTGACTTTCTCTCCCAAGAAAGATAAATCTCAATGTCTTCAGTAGGGGTTGTAAGAGATCTTTGCTTCCTCTTTTATTTAACACTCTCTACCCATGGTTTTGTTCCATTTAACCTAAGTGGTTTTTTTTGTTTTTGTTTTATTTTTGAGGCAGAGTATCACTCTGTCACCCAGGCTGGAGTGCAGTGGTGCAGTCTCAGGTCACTGCAGCCTCTGCCTCCCAGGCTCAAGTGATTCTTGAGCCTCAGCCTCCTGAGTAGCTGGGATTACAGGCCACCACCATACCCAGCTAATTTTTGTATTTTTTAGTAGAGATGGAGTTTCTTCATGTTGGCCAGGCTGGTCTCAAACTCCTGGCCTCAAGTGATCTACCCGCCTCAGCCTCCCAAGGTGCTGGGATTACGGGTGTGAGCCACCATGGCTAGCTGAACCTAAGTGTTTTTTAAACACATTATGCTCTCTTATGCTTTCTTAGCTTTGCTTAGTCTACATTATTATCCTGGAAGGATTTTTCTGCCTAGTTATCACCAGATGGCCTCTAGGACTGGCTTCAAATGCCTTATTCTTTGAAAGGTCTGTTTTCAGAATGGATCAGGATGCTTTCTTTTGGTTTCCAACTCCTTGCTCCATAGTTCCAGTACACACTCTTATTATTATTCTCATTTTTCACATTGTGATGGGAGCTTCCCCATTTAGAAGGAGCAAACCTTGAGACAGGAACTGTCTTCTCATCCCTGGTGCCTAGCACTGAATGTGTCTGGTACATAACACGTACTCAATAAACATTTGTTGAATGATTGGAAATATGGAAACAGGAATGGAATGCATTGTATCTTTGCAGAATTGAAGATTTTGTGTTGATTTAGAAGGTCAAGATGCTAAAAAATATGGAGATTTAAACATGTTTTGAAAAATCCACTTTTTTGTGTTAACACCTAAATGATACCTGTGTGAAATGAGAATTGTTAAATAACAACAGGAAATTGAAATTACTACACTTGTTCAAATCTAGCAAAAATAGAAGCCCATTCAAAACAGAAGAACACTTTATGTATCTTAGGACTACTTATATAAATATAATGTAAAACAAATCTTCAGGGTGCATTAACAGTGGCCAAAAATGATAAAATGATGAAATGGCATTTGCAATTTAGGATGGGAGGGTGATGTGCAAAGCTGAGGCCATCAGGACTGTTGAGATTGTGTGATTTCTTCTGCTTTAACTGACTGTAAGCTCCCTTAGGGCGGGGGTCACATGGGGCTTGATACCTAGCAAGTGCATAATATGTATCATTGAACTAAAATGTTCTTGAGGATACTGTGCGGTTTTTTTTTGTTTTTTTTGTTTTTTTTTGAGACAGAGTCTCACTCTGTTGCCCAGGCTGGAGTGCAGTGGTACAATCTCGGCTCACTGCAACCTCCACCTCCTGGGTTCAAGGGATTTTCCTGCCTCAGCCTCCTGAGTAGCTGGGATTATGGACACCTGCCACCATGTCTGGCTAATTTTTGTATTTTTAGTAGAGACAGGGTTTCACCATGTTGGCCAGGCTGGTCTCGAACTCTTGACCTCAGGTGATTCACCCACCTTGGCCTTTCAAAGTGCTGGGATTACAAGCGTGAGCCACTCTTCACCACCAGCCTACTGTGGGTTATTCTTAAAGAATATGAAATATGTTTTAGCAACAATATCTAAGAAGGGGATTTTTAAATTCTAATTTTTATTTATTATAAAGGTTATGATAATGATATGATGGGAAATATTCTAATGACAAAGAATCAGAAACATTCACATAGCACTTATGTGCGAGTTTTCTAAGCAGTTTTATGTACAATGACTCATTTAATCTGTACACCAACATTACTAGGTAGGTATTATTACTTTTTCTGTTTTACAAACTGAAAAACTGAGGCACAGAGATTAAGTAATATTTGCAACGCCTTACAGCTGGTAAATGGTAGAGCTGGGATTCAAATACATCACACTTTATAAGCAGGTACTTAGATTTTTGTTTAGTGCATTCTAAACACTTTCCCAAAGTGTTACAGATGTCTAAGCATTATAATTTTAAATGACTGCATTACATTCTACTAAGCTGGGCTTAGTAGAATAATCGGCTTGATTGTTTCATAATTGTTGCAATTTGGGTTGTCTTTAATTTTTTTCTATTATGCGTAATACTAAAATGTTCATGTCAATGCACACAGCTTTTTAAAATTTAAGTATGTGGGCAACCCCCTTTGGGTCCCCTCCCATTGTATGGAAGCTCTGTTTTCACTCTATTAAATCTTGCAACTGCACACTCTTCTGGTCCGCGTTTGTTACAGCTCAAGCTGAGCTTTCGCTCACTGTTCACCACTGCTGTTTGCTGCTGTCACAGACCCATCACTGACTTCCACCCCTCGGGATCCGGCAGGGTGTCCACTGCACTCCTGATCCAATGAGGCGCCCATTGCTGCTCCCAATGGGCTAAAGGCTCGCCATTATTCCTGCATGGCTAAGTGCCCGGGTTTGTCCTAATCGAGCTGAACACTAGCTGCTGGGTTCCACAGTTCTCTTCCGTGACCCACAGCTTCTAATAGAGCTATAACCTCATCGCATGGCCCAAGGTTCCATTCCTTGGAATCCATGAGCCCAAGAACTCCAGGTCAGAGAACAAAAGGCTTGCTGCCATCTTGGGAGTGGCCCACCACCATCTTGGGAGCTCTAAGAACAAAGACCCTCCGTTAATATTTGGTGGCCCATACAGGGATTCTCCAAAGTGATGGGAAATATTTCCCCCAAGGCAAAAAAGCTCCTAAGATGTATTCTGGAGAATTGGGACCAATTTGACCCTCAGATGCTAAGAAAGAAGCGGATTATATTCTTCTGCAGTACCGCCTGGCCACAATATCCTCTTCAAGGAGGAGAAAACTGGCCCCCTGAGGGAAGTATAAATTATAACACCATCTTACAGCTAGACCTCTTTTCTAGAAAGGAGGGCAAATGTAGTGAAGTGCCATATGTACCAACTTTCTTTTCATTAAGAGACAACTCAATTATGTAAAAAAGTGTAATTTATGCCCTACAGGAAGCCCTCAGAGTCTACCTCCCTGCCCCAACATTCCCCTGGCTCCTTCCCCAACTAATAAGGACCCCCCTTCAACCCAAATGATCCAAAAAGAGATAGACAAAGGGGTAAACAATGAACCCAAGAATGCCAATATTCCCTGATTATGCCCCCTCCAAGTGATGGGAGGGGGAGACTTCGGCCCAGAGTGTGTGTACCTTTTTCCCTCTCAGACTTGAAGCTAATTAAAATAGACCTAGGTAAATTCTCAGATAACACTCATGGCTATATTGATGTTTTACAAGGGTTAGGACAATCCTTTGATCTGATGTGGAGAGATACAATGTTACTGCTAAATCAGACACTAGCCCCAAATGAGAGAAGTGCCGCCATAACCGCAGCCCTGTGAGTTTAGCGATCTCTGGTATCTCAGTCAGGTCAATGATAGGATGACAACAGAGGAAACAGAATAATTCCCCACAGGCCAGCAGGCAGTTCCCGGTGTACACCCTCATTGGGACACAGAATCAGAACATGGAGATTGGTGCCGCAGACATTTGCTAACTTGCGTGCTAAAAGGACTAAGGAAAACTAGGAAGAAGCCTATAAATTATTAAATAATGTCCACTATAACACAGGGAAAGGAAGAAAATCCTACTGCCTTTCTGGAAAGATAAGGGAGGCATTGAGGAAGCATACCTCTCTGTCACCTGACTCTATTGAAGGCCAACTAATCTTAAAGGATAAGTTTATCACTCAGTCAGCTGCAGACATTAGAAAAAACTTCAAAAGTCTGCCTTAGGCCTGGAGCAAAACTTAGAAACCCTAATGAACTTGGCAACCTCGGTTTTTTATAATAGAGATCAGGAGGAACAGGCCGAACGGGACAAACGGGATAAAAAAAGAAGGCCACCACTTTAGTCATGGCCCTCAGTCAAGCGGACTTTGGAGGCTCTGGAAAAGGGAAAGCCTGGGCAAATCTAATGCTTAATAGGGCTTGCTTCCAGTGTGGGTCTACAAGGACACTTTTAAAAAGATTTTCTGAGTAGAAATAAGCCACCCCCTCATCCATGCCCCTTATGTCAAGGGAATCACTAGAAGGCCCACTGCCCCAGGGGATGAAGGTCCTCTGAGTCAGAAGCCACTAACCAGATGATCGAGCAGCAGGACTGAGGGTGCCTGGGGCAAGCGCCAGCCCATGCCATCACCTTCACGGAGCCCTGGGTATGCTTGACCACTGAGGGCCAGGAGGTTAACTGTCTCCTGGACACTGGTGCAGCCTTCTCAGTCTTACCTTCTTGTCCTGGACAACTGTTCTCCAGATCTGTCACTATCCGAGGGGTCCTAGGACAGGCAGTCACTAGATACTTCTCCCAGTCACTAAGTTGTGACTGGGGAACTTTACTCTTTTCACATGCCTTTCTAATTATGTCTGAAAGCCCCACTCCTTTGTTAGGGAGAGACGTTCTAGCAAAAGCAGGGGCCATTATACACCTGAACATAGGAGAAGGAACACAGGTTCGTTGTTCCTTACTTGAGGAAGGAATTAATCCTGAAGTCTGGGCAACAGAAGGACAATATGGATGAGTGAAGAATGCCTGTCCTGTTAAAGTTAAACTAAAGGATTTCACCTCCTTTCCCTACCAAAGGCAGTACCCCCTTAGACCCGAGGCCCAACAAGGACTCCAGAAGATTGTTAAGGACCTAAAAGCCCAAGGCCTAGTAAAACCATGCAATAGCCCCTGCAATACTCCAATTTTAGGAGTGCAGAAACCTAATGGACAGTGGAGGCTGGTGCAAGATCTCAGGATTATCAATGAGGCTGTTGTCCCTCTACACCCAGCTCTACCTAACCCTTATACCCCGCTTTCCCAAATACCAGAGGAAGCAGAGTGGTTTACAGTCTTGGAACTTAAGAATGCCTTTTTCTGCATCCCTGTACATCCTGACTCTCAATTCTTGTTTGCCTTTGAAGATCCTTTGAACCCAATGTCTCAACTTACCTGGACTGTTTTACCCCAGGGGTTCAGGGATAGCCCCCATCTATTTGGCTAGGCATTAGCCCAAGACTTGAGCCAGTTCTCATACTTGGACACTCGTGTCCTTTGGTATATGGATGATTTACTTCTAGCAGCCTGTTCAGAAACCTTGTGCCATCAAGCCACCCAAGCGCTCGCCACCTGTGGCTACAAGGTTTCCAAACCAAAGGCTCAGCTCTGCTTACAGCAGGTTAAATACTTAGGGCTAAAATTACCCAAAGGCACCAGGGCCCTCAGTGAGGAAAGTATCCAGCCTATACTGGCTTATCCTCATCCCAAAACCCTGAAGGAATTAATAGGGTTCCTTGGCACAACAGGTTTCTGCAGAATATGGATTCCCAGGTATGGCGAAATAGCCAGCCATTATACACACTAATTAAGAAAACTCAGAAAGCCAATACTCATTTAGTAGAATGGACACCTGAAGCAGAAGCGGCTTTCCAGGCCCTAAAGAAGAGCCTAACCCAAGCCCCAGTGTTAAGCTTGCCAGTGGGGCAAGACTTTTCTTTATATGTCACAGAAAAAACAGGAATAGCTCTAGGAGTCCTTACACAGGTCCTAGGGACCAGCTTGCAACCTGTGGCATATCTGAGTAAGGAAATTGATGTAGTGGCAAAGAGTTGGCCTCATTGTTTATGGGTAGTGGCAGCAGTAGCAGTCTTAGTATCTGAAGCCATTAAAATAATACAGGGAAGAGATCTTATCGTGTGGACATCTCATGATGTGAACGGCATACTCACTGCTAAAGGAGACTTGTGGCTGTCAGACAACCATTTACTTAAATATCAGGCTCTATTACTTGAAGGACCAGTGCTGCGACTGCACACCTGTGCAACTCTTAACCCAGTCACATTTCTTCCAGACAATGAAGAAAAGACAGAACGTAACTGTCAACAAGTAATTGCTCAAACCTACGCTACTCGAGGGGACCTTCTAGAGGTTCCCTTGACTGATCCCTACCTCAACTTGTATACTGATGGAAGTTCCTTTGTAGAAAAAGGACTTCGAAAGGCAGAGTATGCAGTGGTGAGTGACAATGGAATACTTGAAAGTAATCCCCTCACTCCAGGAACCAGTGCTCAGCTGGCAGAACTAATAGCCCTCACTCAGGCACTAGAATTAGGAGAAGGAAAAAGGGTAAATATATATACAGACTCTAAGTATGCTTACCTAGTCCTCCATGCCCAAGCAGCAATATGGAGAGAAAGGGAATTCCTAACTTCCGAGGGAACACCTATCAAACATCAGGAAGCCATTAGGAGATTACTATTAGCTGTACAGAAACCTAAAGAGGTGGCAGTCTTACACTGCCAGGGTCATGAGAAAGGAAAGGAAAGGGAAATAGGAGGGAACCGCCAAGCAGATATTGAAGCCAAAAGAGCCGCAAGGCGGGACCCTCCATTAGAAATGCTTATAGAAGGACCCCTAGTATGGGGTAACCCCCTCCAGGAAACCAAGTCCCAGTATTCAGCAGAAGAAATAGAATGAGGAACCTTACAAGGACATAGTTTCCTCCCCTCAGGATGGCTAGCCACTGAAGAAGGAAAAATACTTTTGCCTGCAGCTAACCAATGGAAATTACTTAAAACCCTTCACCAAACCTTTCACTTAGGCATTGATAGCACCCATCAGATGGCCAAATCATTATTTACTGGACCAGGCCTTTTCAAAACTATCAAGCAGATAGTAAGGGCCTGTGAAATGTGCCAAAGAAATAACCCCCTGCCTTATCACCAAGCTCCTTCAGGAGAACAAAGAACAGGCCATTACCCAGGAGAAGACTGGCAACTAGATTTTACCCACATGCGCAAATCTCAGGGATTTCAGTATCTACTAGTCTGGGTACATACTTTCACTGGTTGGGCAGAGGCCTTCCCTTGTAGGACAGAAAAGGCCCAAGAGGTAATAAAGGCACTAATTCATGAAATAATTCCCAGATTTGGACTTCCCCAAGGCTTACAGAGTGACAGTGACAAAGGCCTTGCTTTCAAGGCTGCAGTAATCCAGGGAATATCCCAGGCGTTAGGCATACAATATCACTTACACTGCACCTGGAGGCCACAATCCTCAGGAAAAGTCGAGAAAATGAATGAAACACTCAAATGACATCTAAAAAAGCTAACCCAAGAAACCCACCTCACATGGCCTGCTCTGTTGCCTATAGCCTTACTAAGAATCTGAAACTCTCCCCAAAAAGCGGGACTTAGCTTAGTGGTTAAAGTGGCTGGAGTGGAGTCTTGGATACATCACACTCGAGTCAAACCCTGGATACTGCCAAAGGAACCTGAAAATCCAGGAGACAACACTAGCTATTCCTGTGAACCTCTAGAGGATCTGCACCTGCTCTTCAAGTGACAACTGTGAAGAAAGTAACTAGAATCGTAGATCCCCATGGCCCTCCTTTGTCATGTTTTTCTTTTTACTGTTCTCTTACCCTGTTTCACTCTCATTGCACCCGCTCTATGCCGCTGTACTACCAGCAGCTCCCCTTACCAAGAGCTTCTATGGAGAATGCAGCTTCCCAGAAATATTGATGCCCCATCATATAGGAGTTTTTCTAAAGGAAACCCCAATTTCACCGCCCACACCCATATGCCCCTGCACTTCAGGCCATACTCTTCAATCCCTGTATCTTTAACCTCCTTGTTAAGTTTGTCTCTTCAAGAATCGAAGCTATAAACCTACAAACAGTTCTTCAAATGGAGCCCCAGATGCAGTACATGACTAAGATCTATCGCAGACCCCTGGACCAGCCTGCTAGCCCATTCTCCAATGTTGATGACATTGAAGGCACCCCTCCCGAGGAAATCTCAACTGCACGGCCCCTACTATGCCCCAATTCAGCAGGAAGCAGTTAGAGCGGTCATCGGCCAACCTCCCGAACAGCATTTGGGTTTTCCTGTTGAGGGGGGCACTGAGAGACAGGACTAGCTGGATTTCCTAGGCTGACTAAGAATTCCTAAGCCTAGCTGGGGAAGGTGACCACACCCCCTACCTTTAAACACGGGGCTTATAACTCAGCTCACACCCAACCAATCAGGTAGTTAAGAGGGCTCACTAAAATACAAATAAGGCTAAAAGCAGGAGGTAAAGAAATAGTTAAATCATATATCGCCTGAGAGCACAGGGGGAGGGACAATGATCGGGATATAAACCCAGGCATTCAAGCAGGGAGCGGCAACCTCCTTTGGGTCCCCTCCCATTGTATGGGAGCTCTGTTTTCATTTTATTAAATCTTGCAACTGCAAAAAAAAAAAAAAAAAAAAGTAAGTATGTTCAGGCCAAGTACAGGGGCTCATATCTATAATCCCAGCACTTTGGAAGGCTGAGGTGGGAGGATTGCTTGGAGTTTGAGATCAGCCTGGGCAACATAGCGAGACACTGTCTCTACAAAAAATAAAAAATTAGCCAGGTGTGGTGGTGCATGCCTGTAGTCCGGCTACTTGGGAGGCTGAGGTGGGAGGATCACTTGAGCCTGGGTGATTGAGGCTGCAGTGAGTGGTGATCTTACCACTGCACTCCAGCCTGGGTGACAAAGACCCTTTCACAAATAAATAAACAAATAAATAAATAAATAAATAAATAAATAAATATTTTCCTTAGCGTAAATATCTTAAAGTCAGAGTAGTTGTAAAAGAATGTAAATGATTCCATTACTCTTGATGTATAATAGAAAGAATCATGTAAATATGGGCTGCTAACAGCTGCATGCAAGAATCTAACTCTTCCCAACTGTGCTTGCAATGGATATTAATCTCTTAATTTTTGTTAGGTATATTTGCTTACTTTTTAATAGGCATATAATAATATTTCTCTCTTTTTAATTTTCATTCATTTATTAGGCAATTCAAATAGTTTTCAATAAAATTTTTGCTTGTTTATTGCTGTATTTGCTGCAAATATATTTCCAATATGTTTGCCTTTTAAATTTTAATTTTGATAGTTAACTTCACAGAAATTTGAAACTTTCATAGGGTCAAATTTGTTTGTCTTTTTAGTTATAATGTCTCCTATTTCTTGATTTTTAAAATGTTATCACATATTTTGGGTCATTTGTTTAATGGCCAGAATACTATTTGATTTTTGGTACAAAAGTTTTAAATTGTTAAGAAACTATAAAAGTCCCAGAAGTGTCTAAAAGGCTCTGAAGGAAATGTAGTTGGAGCTACATAGAAAACTGTACTGATTGCTCTGTGACTTACCATATCTAAACTATGCTGTAGCAGTTCACAATTTAATGCCCAGTGTTAACTGAATTTATTTATAGTTCAAAGACCCTGAATCCTTTCCTGCAGCACAGATCTGGCCCAAGACAATAACATCTCCAGTTTTACAGGCTTCAAGCTGTTTTACAGTGTGGAACATTGGAAATGAACTGGCACATACACACCCAACACTGTTATACTGTTATTTGTTTAAATTTAAAACGTGGCATGTGGCAATGTTGGGATGTTATCAAGGGAGGTTGGCTGTGTGAATGCTTACATAGCTCGTCAGTTGGCATTTACCTTCTGCAGATTCTACACTATAGCAGGTCAGCTTTTCAGCTTTGCAGCTTCAAATGTTATAAATTTTAAGGATACTTGGTGTGAATCTGGTTCTCTGGGGGCAAACTCCCATTAACCAACATGACAAGAGACTGATGTATAAATCAAAGTACCAGTATCATTTTGCAATAAGAACCTTGAGCATCCTTTTGACTGAGATATTTCAGGCAATATGATGAGCCTATTATCTCTCTCAGCAGCTTTCCTAGGGGAGTCAAAATTATACTCAGGAGGCTCCCTGATGAATACAGAATTGGAGCAAAGTGAAGGAGTTGTCTAATTTAGTTAATAAATCAGTGTGTTTCAGAGGCCATATATATTTATGTCCACTGATTATAGTGCTAGGCTCTATAGGCCACCCTGCCTCCTCCCTTCATTGAGTTTGTGTGGGTACTAGCCCGCCCGGGTCTTCAAGTTTACGTATTCTGTGTGTGAGGTTGCCTGTGCTTTCAAGTTCAAACAACTTTTCTCCTAACAGAATTCAACAGAGTTGACCAAGTTCCTGCTTACCTGATTGCAGTCACAATTTAAGTCCTTTCCAGTGGTGATCCTTGGGTCCCCTTTACTGCATCTTGGGTGTTTTCAAACACATTTCAACAGTCTTGGTGAGACCAGACCATGAAGAACTAGAATCATAGATCCCCTATCTGATATCACAAATAGACTTGCTGATTTAGCTCTTTGAGGACAAGCTTTTCTTCATGTTCTTGGTTGGGAGTTCCCTCCATGCTACCGCTTTTGGCTCTCTGCATATGGTGCACGGAAAACGAAGGGTTTCCATCCCTGTGTCCAAGTCCAAATACCCTTAATTCCTGGCATCTCCTGTTTGCCCCTTCTTGGGAATGTTCCTTAAGATAAATATCTTAAGATGCTTGGACTACACCTCTCTTTTTTGGCAAATGTTAAACCACACCAATTTGGGGCTTGCTTCTTCCCCTGCAAAAGTCCCACATGAACCCTCCTGAGCTGAAGCAAAGGACCCAGACCTGTCTGTGGAGCTACTTGAGCCCCAAAATGCTGCATCCCAACTGTATCCCTGGTCTGTCCTGGTCTCCCTCTTGGGCCACCCTGGTTGCTCCTGTCGTGTGGGCCTGGCTCCAGGCTGCACACCTGGCTCATCAATGCCGAACAAGCTCTGCCAGCTGCTGCATGATTGTTGACACTCGGCGTGCACTGGCTGTTTGACCACATCCCGGAACACTCTTTGCTGAAACCGACAAAGTAAAATATTCCTGAACATATAATGTAGTACTCTGGGGGGAAAATTAAACATTTTAGTGGTATATTAAAAATAGTAAATAAAATTTCAGAAAATTTCAGAATATATCACATTGCCTAGTGCAATGACCTAATAGACCAGGGAGCTAGCAAACAAGAAACCAGTATTGCAAAAGTGAAATGATTTTCATTGTAAACATATAAAATGCAGTTACTGTGAACAAATATAATCCCCAAACAATAACACTTTTGTTATCAGAACTCTGTTAAGTAATCAAGAACTTATAAAACAATGATTTTTTTGAAAATGCCCCCTTTGGAGAATACAAGCATGCCCTGTATCGGCATAGCACTTTTAAACACTTTCATGTCTCTGATCTTATTATAGCCTTAGGATGCATGTGAAACTCATGTTTTCGTAGACAAAGAGGTTCCCTTTATAAGAAGCACATCTGGGACTCTAATTTCAGGACTTTCCCTCCATGTGGTGGCCACTCCTGGAGAAATGATGCTTGTGCGTGACTAATAAAAGGCAGGCTTCCCACAGACACACTTTTCTTGCTAAGAGCCTATTCCTTCAGGCTGTTGTATTTTGTTAACAGTGACAATGACAAGCACTAACAGGATGCTCCCGCTGTGATTGAGAATGTGTAAGTGCTTTTCTGTGTGTGTGCTAGGCATTTGCTTGTTTGCTCTCAGGCCCAATGTCTGCCCTTTCTCTCTGCTCTGTGTCTCTGGATACACTGCCCAGGCTCCTGTATCTTCTGACTTCTACCTCCTCTGGGCAAGGAGAGGCATTGGTAGGAGACTACAGGGTTGGGGGAAAAGAGAAGCCTGGGCCTTTCTCTCCTTCCCATCTTCCTTGTCTGGTATCTCCACATCCAGCAGCAGTTAATTCTCCGTGGCATTAGCTCCCCTGCCCCACCATGCTCCAGCACCTACTGGGTTGCCTGGCTTGACTCCCCGGCTCTACAAAACAGCCATCTTCCTTTGTCCTTCCAGCAGCCTATCTCTAGATGGCCTCTGTTCTGTTTGGCAAAGCTCTTCTATCCCCTGTGGAACTAAATCCCTGCCTTGAAATCTGTCTGTTGAAAGACCTACAGTGGTTTCGTTTCATGACTAGACTGTGCCGCTACAACTTGATATTACTTTTTACCTTCACAGCATTCCTGGGAGGAGGTAATATTATCTCCATTTACGGATAAGGAAGCTGAGGCTTGAAAGAGACAAATAATGTGCCCAAGCTCATACAGTCTATAAGTGGGGGCTCTGGGACTCCAGAAATTGTGTGTTGTGCTTGCCTCTAGAGGACAGGTGACACTGAGAGAGTGCTTCCTTGTGCCAGGCCCCAGGACCTGAGTGGGCCTACATGCACCATCTCACGATGTCTCCACAGCAATCTCCCCAGTGACCGATGAGGAAATGGAGCTCAGAGACATTACCTTGCCAAAGTAGGTGAGTTGGTAGGCAGCAGAGGTGGGATTCAAACCTATTTTTTTTTTCTTTTTTTTTTTTTTTCAGATGGAGTCTTACTCTGTCGCCCAGGCTGGAGTGCAGTGCCTCAGTCTAGGCTCACTGCAAGCTCTGCCTCCTAGGTTCTAGAGATTCTCGTACCTCAGCCTCCTGAGTAGCTGGGATTACAGGCACGCGCCACCATGCCCAGCTAATGATTGTATTTTTAGTAGAGACGGGGTTTCACATGTTGGCCAGGCTGGTCTCCAATGCCTGGCCTCTGTTGACCTGCCTGCTTGGGCCTCTGCCTAAACGGTGCTGGGATTACAGGCATGAGGCACCGCACCTGGCCCAAACCTATTCTTTCTACTACTAGTAGTTCTTCCCAAAAGTTAATGTTTATCACTATGTGGAATGTAGTTGAAATGTACATTCCCAGTTCCCACTCCAGAAGCTCCAATTCGGTAGATTTGGGAAGGGTATAATATGCATTTTGCACAACTGCCCTAAGTGATGCTGAGGCCACATGGGGCCAACCCTGCTTATTCTTTTTTTTTTTTTTTTTTGATACAGAGTCTTGCTCTGTCACCCAGGCTGGAGTGCAGTGGTGCGATCTCGGCTCACTGCAAGCTCCACCTCCCGGGTTCATGCCATTCTCCTGCCTCAGCCTCCCGAGTAGGGATTACAGGCACCCGCCACCGTGCCCGGCTAATTTTTTTTGTATTTTTAGTAGAGACGGGGTTTCACCGTGTTAGCCAGGATGGTCTTGATCTCCTGACCTCATGATCCGCCCATCTCAGCCTCCCAAAGTGCTGGGATTACAGGTGTGAGCCACCGCACCTGGCCCCAACCCTGCTTATTCTTTATGGCCTTCCTGTTCTACCGGTGATGCCCTGTGTGGCTGGTGCATGCCTCGCCTTGCTGGCCTCAGTTTCCCTGTCTGTAGAGTGAGGGGCTGGACCAGAGAATCTCCCAGGTCCTCCCAGGTTTTGGCTGAGTCCCCTAAACACGTGTGCTGCAGAGATGCAAGGCACATATTGTGCTTCCAGGGGGATTGCTGCCTCCACTGAGCTCTCCGAGGGCAGCAGCCAGACACGGAGAGCAGGGGTTTCTCAGGCACCCCCGGGCCATAAGGCTCCACAGGAGCCCTCTGGCTTGCGGGTAAAGGAAAGCCCTGTTTATTGGTTTGCAGCAGTTGGCAAACTGACATTTAAAAAAGGAAGTGAATTGTGAGGTGGGGATTTTAATTCAGGGAAATATTTGAAGAACTCAGTGTTTGCTCAGAGAGGTCATTAAATAGGTTTTGTTCCCACACCCTCTGGAAAAATGATGCTTCATTAAAATGGCAACACGAGGTGTAGTGAAAATGGTGAAATTGGGAACGCTGAAAAGACACATTCACTAGATTCCACTTAAAATGTAAAAGGAGTGTAAAGAAAACAAATGGACATTTTCCTGAGGCAGCTGAGCTATACAAAACACAGGCATCTTTGTCTCCTTCTTGAAAACTTCCACAATGCGTTCTCCTTTCTTCCTCTCCACTAATCTGTACTTCTAAGAGGTGTTGAGTTTCGGCCAAACTTTCTGCTCGGCTCGCATCAAAGGCTGCCCTCTTGTGAATAGCCAGCTCTCACCTAATGATCTCCCTACTCACTCCTGACCAGGACGCAGGTCATTCCCCATAATAATTAGCTCACAGGCAGAGTTTCCAGGCGCTTCCAGGAGCATCAATCACCGGGATGAATGGGAAGCCCGTGTGTGGGAACTGCAGGGGGAGCTGGGTGCAGAGCCACCTCAGCCCTGTCACCCTGCGCGTGTCTCTGCCATGCTTCCTTGGATCCCTATCTACCCCGTTTTGGGTGACAGGACGAGTTGGGCCAGTTACCAGGTAAGTTAAGAGAGGGCTGTGGAAGCATCAGCCCCAACACCCCACCAACGCAACCCAGGCTGAGCTTCTGTTTTCCTTGTGACAGGATCTTGTCGCCTGGTTCTGATGGTGTCTTGGTTCCCGGCTGGGGTTTTGTGTTTACCACGAGCGTTGCCTGCTGTCGGGGAGCTGCGTGTGTTTCACAACAAACAGGGAGCCAGGGAGACCACCCTGCGGGGCTGCCCCTTCCCTCAGCGCTTTCTGCTTGGGTCGCTGGCGTCTTGCAGTGCCTTCGTTCGTCTGTGGTGTGAGGTGCTGGTCCAGGCTTACGCGCTAACAGTGAATTAGAAGGAGAAAACGCTCTGCGAGTGCAGCGGAAGGTCAATATGGAGCCTGGTTTGCTTTTAGAATCTTCCCAAGGCCGATGGGCTTCCTCTTCCCTCCTGACCAGAGGCTTTGATGCCCCTGCCCTGGGCTGCCTGGTTCCTGCCCCGAGTCTTCAGAAAGATCCCCGGGCCTGGAGACTGTGAGTTCAGGTTCAGATGCCTTGCGTGGCCTGTGAATCCTGGGTCTGGTCTCTGTCCCCAGGCCGGTGTTCAGGGACCACCTTGAGCACCAAAGGCAGCCCAGTCCGGCTTTGACTCAGCTCCCAGGGCGGAGTCCCTTGCCCAGCACTGGGCAGGAGGAGGGCATCCTCAGGGCAAGGTCTGCCATCAGCAGACCAGAGCCAGAGCCCGCAGCCCCTGAGCACTTTCAGATTCCTGCAGCGCAGAGAGGTTTTCCGGGAGGGAAGGGAGGACCCTGTGGCTGGAGAAATCCCGCCGCGAACACCCAGCGACCAGGTCTACAGCAGCACCAGGTCTGTGCTTCCCCCTGGTGGTCACAGATTTTACTACACGCGGCCCACAAGTAAAATGAGTTTCTCTTCAGTGGCCCGGTTATCTTCTGTCGTGTAGGAGGAAGTCCAGAGCCACGGAAATTCGGTAAGGATCGGATAAGGGCAATAAAATCGCAGCTCTAAATCTTTTCATGGAGTTGAAGACAGACGTTTGACTGTGGGAGCCATCTCATCTTTATAACCTGGTAAACAATGCCAGAATAAAAACAACAAATTCAATGTATTTAAGTCGGTTTCGACAGTGAGGAATTAAAATTAAATTTATTTAAACTATTTTGACTTTTACCCAAGTTTTTCTTACAGTTCCATCTCATTTTTCCCTCCTTACATAGTTTGGGGAGTAGAGAACAGTCTATTTTTGACTCCTGTGTAACTGACATGGACACAGAGGCCTGCGGTCCCTTGGAGGATTAGTGGCCCACGCAGGTGTGCAGACCACGGGTCCCTCAATCAGAAGCGGGATGTGTGGCAGGGAGCTTTGGAGAGCTTTCATTTTGGATTAGTGATTTCCTGTCGACTTTTCCTCGTTTTTGTCACAGCACACTCGGAACATTTCTCATCAGCTGTGTACACTATGTCAGGCATTTCAAATATGTTTCTGGAAGTTGTCAGTGCTGTTCTCTATGAGGCCTGAAGGAAAAATTCAATGTTTGTAGTAAATAAAGTACAAAAATTATATCAGCTATTAAGAGGATGGATTATTTCCAAGTTGCTTAGCCATATTGGTTGAGCGTTGAATGCAGCAATGATGCCAACATATTAAGCACAAGAATCTTGTATTCCTGGATACTGGAAATTCCCTAGAAGATGGTGGCGCAGGGTCAGCTGGGTGGGGATGTCAAGGGATGTACAGTGGACTTCAAGAAGGAGTTTATGGAGATGCAAGAGAAGGTTCTGAAAACTTTGCTAGGATGGACCCTTTGTTGAATTAGTTCTCAGGGAGGCTGATTTGGAGGAGACAGGTGGCATCGGAAGCTAGAAATAGTGTTCCACAAACAATGAGCTTCCAGGGAATATTCATGCCTAGAATTGAAGACACATGTGTATGGGTTCTGTCTTCCCCTCTGTCTCAGTCTCTGTTTTGGGTGAAATTGGGTCCCCACCCCAAATTCACATGTTGAAGTCCTAACCCCAGTACCTCAGAATGTTTATTGCATTTGGAGATGTTTTTACAAAGGTGATTAAGTTGAAATGAGGCTCTTAGGGTGGGCTGCAATCCCACATGACTGCAATCCCACGTGTCCTTATATGGAGAGGAGATAAGGACACAGACACACACAGAGGGGGAAAGATCATATGAAGACCCAAAGAGAGAGGCCACAGAAGAAACAACCCTGCTGATGTCTTGATTTTGGGTATCTAGCCTCCAAAATTGGAGAATATATATTTCTGTTGTTTAAGCCACCTGATCTGTGGAGCTTTGTTACAGTAGCCCTAGCTGACGAATCCAGTGTCCTTTTGAGTTTAAGGAGCATGACTGGATGACCCATCCATTCAGTATCAGCACCAACCAAGTAGAAACCATCAAAGGAAGTGGACGCAGTGGCTCAGGCCTCTAATCCCAGCACTTTGGGAGACCAAGGTGGGAGGATCACTTGAGCCCAGGAGTTTGAGACCAGCTTGGGCAACATAGGGAGACCCTGTCTCTAAAAAAATTAAAAAATTAGCTGGGTGTGGTGGCATGTGCCTGTTGTCTCAGCTACTTGGGAGGCTGAGGTGGGAGAATTGCTTGAACCTAGGAGGTCGAGGTTGCAGTGAGCCAAGATCACTGCCACTGCACTCCAACCTGGGCCACAGAGTGAGATCCTGCCTCAAAAAACAAAAACAGGCTGGGGGCAATGGCTCATGCCTGTAATCCCAGCACTTTGGGAGGCTGAGGCAGACGGTTGATTGAGCCCAGGAGTTAGAGACAAGGCTGGGCAAGATGGCAAAACCCCGTCTCTACCAAAAATACACACACACAAAAATTAGCTGGATGTGGTGGGGTGTGCCTGTAGTCTCAGCTACTCAGGACGCTGAGATGGGAGGATGTTTTGAGCCTGGAAGGTGGAGGTTGCAGTGAACCCAGATTGCATCATTGCACGCCAGCCTGGGTGACAGAGTCAGATCCTGTCTCAAGAAAACAAAAAACAAACAACAAACCCAAACCCCAAACCAACCAAACAAACAAATAAAAACAACCAAAAAACCCATCTGATATGGTTTGGCTCTGTATCCCCACCCAAATCTCATCTTAAATTGTAATCCCCGTGTGTCGGGGGAGGGACCGGGTGGGAGGTGATTGGATCCTGGGGGCGGACTTTCCCCTTTCTGTTCCATGATAGTGAGTGAGTTCTCATGAGATCTGGTAGTTTGAACGTGTGTGGCAGTTTCCTCTTTGCTTTTCCTCTCTCTCCGGTCTGCCGTGTGAGATGTGCTTGCTTCCGCCTCACCTTCCACCTTGATTGTAAGTTTCCTGAGGCCGCCCAGTCATGCTCGCTGTTAAGCCTGTGGAACAGTGAGTCAGTTAAACCTCTTCTTCATAAATTACCCTGTCCCAGATAGTTCTTTATAGCAGTGTGAAAATGGACTAATACACCATTAAAGTCCACTCTGTAAGGAACCAAAAATCTTAAAAAACAGAAAAGTGACTTGTGTGAATGGCATCCAGTATCTTTTACTAGACAAGATATATTAGCATGATTTCTAGAGAAAAGCCCAAATACATGTCTGAAATATCTATACCACAGTTATGACTGACTATAAATCTTCCCCCCGCCCCCAGTTTTGTGGTGTCCTAAAAAGGAATCCAAATAGTTTGGAAAATATCCTCAAGTCTAAATGAATCACGCAGCCAAGTTTTATGAAACCAACCTACAAAGTTATCGATTGCTACAAGAAAGAAGATATTCACTTGTTACTCCTAGTTTTGTTTTAGCTCTTCTGAGATATCTGGGGTTTAGCTTACGGATTGCATGATTTGATGAAACTCTGCACAACAGTTAGCGAGGAAAGGAACTTTAGCTCTGAGGACTTAGGGTCCAGCCAATGGTCTGGGTACTGCGGCATATCTTTCACTCATGGTGGTGGTGAAGTTAACACTGATGATTAAGCTAACCTCTACCAAGCACTTCCTTCCCATGGGCTCTAAATTCAGTGCTTGACATATTTCATTTATGTTTCACAGAAATGCTAGGACCTGAGACATGGTATAAGGGAGTGGTTCAGTTTTGGTGACACTCAGCTATGTGACCTTGAGCAAATTGCTTCACTCTCTGTGCCTTGGTCTTCTCATTTGTAAAAGGTTGTTGGTAATGCAGGTGGGGCGCTTGAAGCAGTGCCTGGCACTGACGAAGGTTTTCGTGAGTGTTGGCCACTAGTATTTTTCTTCACACCCTCAGCTGAGGAAATGAAGGGCACTGGAGGTGTTAAGCCATGTGTGTAACCACTTCTATGCCATCACGAGGGGGGAATCTGGCAGCACAAGAGGCTGCATCACTGAGGCTCTGCACCGCCTCCCAGTTGGGCTTGCTATCCTTGCAGGTACTTGTCTCCTTATTCCTGCTGAGATGCACGAAGGTGACTTTAATATGCATGGCCCGGCTGGGTGCGGTGGCTCATGCCTGTAATCCCAGCACTTTGGGAGGCTGAGGCAGGTGGATCACCTAAGGTCAGGAGTTCAAGACAGCCTGACCAATATGGTGAAACCTTGTTTCTACTAAAAATACAAAAATTAACTGGGCATGGCAGCAGGTGCCTGTAATCCCAGCTACTCGGGAAGCTGAGGCAGGAGAATTGCTTGAGCCCAGGAGATGGAGGTTGCAGTGAGTCGCGATTGCGCCACTGCACTCCAGCCTAGGTGACAGAGCAAGACTCTGTCTCAAAAAAAAAAAAAAATGTGTGGCCCCTGCTCTTTTACCCCCGGTACTTCAGTGTGTCTTCTCCAAAAACAAGATCATTCTCCTCTATAATGATAAAATCAGGAAATTGATGCATTTAATCTATAGATCTTATTTGAATTGTATTAACTGTTTCTCTTATGTACTTTTTAGGAAAAGAAAATGGTTCTTTTCCTGGTCCAGGAGCCAATATCCAACCTGGGGTTTCACATTTCATTTTGCTGTCATGTCTCTCTGTCTTTCTTCTGTCTGGAACAGTTCATCAGCCTTTTTGTTTTTAACTTTTATGACCTTGACTTTTAGAGTACAGGACATTTACTTTGTGGACTGCCATTCAATTTGACAACAGATTTGTTTTTAATGTGCACTTTCTGGAAACAAGATATTGTTCCTCAAAGAAATGAAAAAAATGTTGGGAATACATAAGACATCATAACAGACACCAGGTAGGAATTTTTGAGGTTGGGTAGGTCTGAATAACATTCAAATTGGACTATAAAATGGATATCATGATTGACCCTGCTATGAAAGTTGTTCGTGGTTTGTCTTGGTAATTCAGTTGCCTTATATAAAATTATGGGTTTGATGTATGTGGTCTCTAATATTTTGTCAAGCTCTGGCATTATTCTAATGTGAAATTCTGACATATTGTTAATGATGCTATTTACATGCTTTCTTTTTTGTTTGTTTTATTTTATTTATTTATTTTTTGAGACAGAGTCTCTGTCGCCTGGGCTGGAGTGCAGTGGCACGATTTTGGTTCACTGCACCCTCCTCCTCCTGGGTTCAAGTGATTCTCCTGCCTCAGCCTCCCAAGAAGCTGTGATTACAGGCACCCACCAGCATGCCCAGCTAATTTTTTGTTTTTAGTAGAGACAGGGTTTTGCCATGTTGGCCATGCTGCTCTTGAGCTCCTGACCTCAAGTGATCCACCTGCCTCGGCCTCCCAAAGTGCTGGGATTACAGGTGTGAGCCACCATGGCTGTTTAAACCTTCCCACACTGGTTTCCCATGGTAAGGAACACCCTCATTCATATCACTTTAAGACACATCTTAGTTAATATCCCGTATCTCCAGCTGTTCAATTCCCTCTCCCTCTAACTTTACAGTTTTTACTCCATTTTTGCTCAAATGCCTTATTCTGAGCATGCCTCTGCCACATGGCTGCTCTTGGAATGTAGGAAAACCATCACATGCTAGGACTGGGATTCCAAAACATTTCCTCCATAAAGGAAACCACCAGCCACTGTGGGGCAGCTCTATGTGTAGAACTCTCAGCTCACTGTCACCTAAGGGGCTGGCTGTAGCTTAGTCTTCCCAAGAAATCCACTGCTGTGTATATACACGCAGTAGCCACTGAACCACCTGCTGAGCCACAATGCATGCTTGGGTTGGCCTTGATGCCATTGTTCCCTGGGTGGAACCCCACCCCCTCCAACCCCCAACCCAAGAGGCCTATTTGCTCCATGTTTGCTTTTTAGGGTAAAAGAGAGAGGCAAAAGGCCCATGGTAATGCTAGACTTTGGAAGTAAGTCTCAGAGAATAATGATGCTGAAAAGAAAGATAAAATTTTGCTGACAATTATAATACATAGTGAAGGTGTAGAGTTTCTAGTTCCTGTTGAAATGAAAAAGAATTGGGTCTCTACTTGGAGGGTGAGAAGGATGGAGTCTAGGGAAAAAGGGATGTTTGAGTTCCAGATATCCGTTTATGTGTGAGAGTTATAGAGTGGATGGAAATGGAATGGTTTGCACTTTACAAAGCACTTCTAAGTATCCATCCATCCATGCATACATCCATCATTTATTTATTTAGCATATTCCAGGGTTCATTCTAGGCCATGAGAATGCAGAGGTGGAAAGAGGAAAATCTCAGTCTATTTGGTGGTACAGGCAGCACAAAAGGTCATTACAATGTGATATGCCAAGAATTGTGAAGAGGCCATTGATGGCTGGGCGCAGTGGCTCATGCCTGTAATCCCACCACTTTGGGAGGCCAAGACAGGTGGATCACGAGGTCAGGTGTTTGAGACCAGCCTGACCAACATGGTGAAACCCTGTCTCCACTAAAAATACAAAAATTAGCCAGGCGTGGTGGCACCAGCCTGTAATTCCAGCTACTCGGGAGGCTGAGGAGGTTGCAGTGAGCCGAGATCGCGCCACTGCACTCCAGCCTGGGTGACAGAGTGAGACTCCGTCTCAAAAAAAAAAAAAAAAAAAAAAAGCCATTGATAACTGTAAAGAGGCCTTTAATGGGATATTAGGGCGCACAGAAGGACTAAGTCAGGAAACACAAAGTGGAGACAATTAGCCTGGATTTTGCAGAACATGTAGGAGTTTGCTATGTGGAGAAGAGGAAGAGAGCATTTTAGATGCAGGCAAAGGCCTGGAGTTACATACAAAAAGGAGCTGATCTCTGGAGGTTGGGATTTTGACCAGTTCTGTGGGTGATTGGAGCGATTTTGATTAGGCAAAATCAGCCCAGATGAAGTAAGGAAGGGGGGAGAAGAAACTCACCTGACCCCCTTCCTGCACCTTTGCTGGGTTTCATTCTTTTGTTGTCAGAGGGAATGGGCTTGGAAAGTGTGTAATGAAATAACAAAATGAATAACACTTTGAGAGAGTTGTTCTCACCCAGGGATGCACTTCAGAATCTCTTTGGGAAGTTTTTGAAATTTACATGGCCAGGCCTGACATCTGACTCAGAGGCCCAGGGTGGAGTCAGCACTGACCTGCTCTGCAGAGCTTCTCATGGTGTCCTTGGGTGGGAACACGTGTCACGTGTGTTTCCTCTACTGGGAGTATCTGCCTATCGGAAGAAAGGGCACAGGTGCTATACAGCCATCTCTGGAGATAGTGCCTGTGGAATTTTTCAGGGTAACTACACCCTTTATTCTGCTAGCTGGGTGAGAATTCTAATGATAGCAACGTCTGCCAGTGTTCCCAGGAATCTCAATTTCAGAAGATAGTTTCAAATAAGATTTTCTAATCTCTTCTAGAGTTCCAGAGTCTATTTACATCCCATTCCTTTGTTAATGTTTATAGTCAGGTTTTATCATCATATTAGAGATGGGGAAGAGGCTGATGGGGGCCTCCTTGGGTGTTGGCAGTGCTTGATTTCTTGCCTGGTTATTGATTCCATGGGTGTATTCATGTTGTATAAATTCAGTGAGGTGCTCATTGAGCATTTGTGCACTTTTCAGTAAATATATGATACTGCATTTAAAAGTCAATTTAAAAACAAATGAATATATTTAAGAGTTGAAATTACAGTACCATGAATGCAGAGACCGTTTTCCCCATGACTAAGTCCCCAAAGGCTGATGTACTCCTAGGATGACTGGCCCAGTGGCTCTGTGCTTTGCCAAGGATGCAGTCTGGCGCCCCAGCAGGGACACAGGGTCACCTGTGCAGAGAGCCTCCGTGGGCGGTGGGAATGGCAATCTTGGGTTTCCTGACTTTTGTGCGTTGATGGCTTCACTCACAGAGTCACATTAACCCAGTTTCGTAGACTGAATGAAACCATTGGCAACTTTCTGATTTGTTTTTCAGCCTGAGTCGAAGCTGTTAAAGAGGCCAAGAATTCCCAAGCTTTCCCAGGCAAACGGGGAAGAACACTGGGATGCCTTTTCCTCCTCCTCTGTCCATCTGCAGGCCAAGTGTGCATCAGTCACAGGCAAACTCTGAATTGAGCTTTGTGCAAGTCTCTGGAAAGAGACCCAAGATCGTGTGATGAGCAAAAGTGACAGTGCTGGAGGCAGCGACATCTGCAGAGCCAGCCCCATCCCTATCTGCAGCAGAATATGTATGGGGATCCTTTATGTGAACAATCCACCCAGGGTAGAATGGGGCTTTTGACATCAGCTGAGACCCAGGCGGCCTTACAATGAGAGGGCTGTTGGTCAAAGGAAGGACTGTTTAATGAACTGAGAATCTGAGGCCAGCTCTGGCCATCTGCACTTGGAATCATTAGAGCAACTCTACTGTAACTGGCAACCTTGAATAATGCAGCAAATTCATATTCCAAAATTGTGAACTTTAAAATTTTGTGTTTGTGTCTATGATGAAAAGCATTATATAAACATTTGATACTACAATTTTATTAGTAAGGAAGGCTGAAAAAGTATCTCTCTTTTGACTCTGAGGTCAATAATGATAATGGCTTTTCCCCTACACTGGGATAGAAATGTTCTGTCAAGGATATGAAAACACTTTATGAAAATGAAATTCATTAAAGCCCTTAATAATCAGGTAGGGAAGGCAGGTGCTCACAATTGTCACCTGTTGGTGAGTGAACACCTTAGGCTCGGGGAGGACAA
Organism: Homo sapiens; assembly: GCF_000001405.40. Classification (NCBI taxonomy): domain Eukaryota; kingdom Metazoa; phylum Chordata; class Mammalia; order Primates; family Hominidae; genus Homo; species Homo sapiens. The sequence continues at coordinate 60,404,482 of NC_000008.11, read as the reverse complement.
TGACTCAAGAACAAGGTCGAATTGCAGGTGGGGGGTGAAGCTGATCCCTAACAGTGTCCTCCAGCCCCTGGCACTGAGGAAGGACATGGAGGGCTTGCATCGACTTTTCCTGGCAGGCTTGTGATTCCCAGCCAGAATGCAGGTGGCAATGTTGTGATTCCTGGCGTAACCTTCAATGCTTCAATGATAATCTCTGCTGGTGCCAGGCACCAGCTGAGTGTCACTGTGCAGCTCCCAGGCTTAAGTGATGCATGCCGAGGTTTTCAGAGCAGTCTCTCATTTATTAGTTGTGTTGGAAAGAAATCTGTACTACCTAACTGGGTACCTCTGGATTTTAACAGCTGTGGTTTATAAGAGATATGAGAGGGGGTTTGTTTTCAAAGTGCCTTTCACAAAGTAACACCTTAGACTGTAGTTTACATTCCATTCCAGTAGGATAACTTGCAACACTTCTGTGCTCAGAAATCCAACTGTGCAAGAAAAGTCAGGTTATATTTTCATACAGCCCGTTCTGGCAAATATGCCTTCACACCACTTTCCCTCCTCCTCACCGCTATTGGCAATAGTCCCAATGGAAGAGTTTTATGTCAAATGCTGAGTATCTTGGAAGCTGTCCTGCACAGACACGACTGCTTGGCTGCGTGTTGGAGAGTCGCGGTTGGACTGGGAGACCAGGAAGGTCCCTTCTGGTCTGAGATGTGATGACTCTAGAACTAATTAGTTTCAACTCATAACACGAAATGATACTAGCTACCATTTGGTGGGCTTTTTCTGTGTTCCAGGCTCTGTGCTAAGATCTTAGCATTACTCTAATTACAAAATCCCTGCCAATATTATCCTCAGTTTACGCAAGAACAAATGGGTTTAGGGAAATCAAAAACTTGTCCAATGACACAGATTTAAGATTTAGCAACTGATGGCCACGTGGAAATGGATTACAGATTATTCTAATTGGACACTCTAAACGTGCAATTTAACCAGAATGAAATTTAGGGCTGCGTGCTGTGGCTCATGCCTGTAATCCTAGCACTTTGGGAAGCCAGGTGTATCCCTTAAGCCCAGGAGTTTGAGAGCAACTTGGGCAACATGGTGAAACCTGTATCTACAAAAAATACAAAAATTAGCCAGGTGAGGTGGTGTATGCCTGTAGTTCCAGCTACTTGGGAGGCTGAGAGATGGGAGGATTGGTTGAGCCTAGGAGGTCGAGGCTGCTGTGAGCTGTGATGGTTCCACTGCACTCCAGCCTGGGCGACAGAGACAGACTCCATCTCAAAAAAAAAAAAAAAAAAAGTAGCTACCTTGTGGTTGCACTCGTCTGAGACTAGCTCATGGCTCCAGCTCTCAGGGTGGTGAGTAATGATTCTGTGGTCAGACGCAGTTTTGAAGTCAGGCAAGAAAACCTTCAACAAGAGTTAGAGATGTCCTGTCTATGAATTTCTCCTCTAGGCTTAGGGATAGCCCTGGGATTCATGTCATGCCAGTTAGGGATCCACTCATTGTAAGCAATACAAGTGCCCCCGAAGAGACAGTGCATTAATTGTCACCCCTTAGGAGCATTGTGTGAATTAGTGTGATTTAGCACATGCCCAGAGGGATGAAACTCTAGCTCCATAGGGTAGGTCCTGATTACTCCTGGAGCAGGCAGCCAGCTCAGCTCATGGGGAGCTCTGAGAAGTCTCTCAATGCCTCGCATGCAGCCCCTGCTCAGGAGTCATGTGTCACTTCACAGTCTTGCTTTCCAGTGGGTCAAAGCATGATGTTTATGAGAAACAAATACACAAAATTCTGACTTGTGTGAATACAGAACACGTGCAATAAAACGACTGCAATCTATTTTTAAAATGTGGTCTGAGAAGTCAGGTTTAATATGACTATGTAATATATAAACAATATATTTTCCACAGAAAGGAAAATATAAATAATAAAATATGTCTATTTCTTTTTTTTGGTGGAAAATTACTCCCACAATTTGGTCCCAAGGGGGTCTTAATTTGTCATCAGGTCTGTGGCTAAATGTCTTATAAAGGAATGCTTCTTTCTTTCGAGAAGTGTACAGGAACAGTCTGCACTGACTGCTTTTACCTGTAAATGTTTTGAGAATTCAGAAGTCACTTTCCTTCCACAATAGGTGCTAGGCATTTTATTTAAATAAAGCAAAAACATTTCTGTCATAAAGAAGGTGTTAATAACCTCAAAGCTATGCGAAATATACTAGTACAATCTAATACTCATGGTGAAAAATACAGTAATTAAGAGCAATTCAAGTTTTTTTGTTTTGGTTTAACTTCAGAATTAAAATAAACTCAGAATTAAAAAAATAAAAAATGGTTTTATTACATGTCAGAGTATTGAGATACAAAATATATACCAGATACTGCAAGAAAATGTTTCATCTCATCACTCAATGCCCATTAAAAAATCAATGCCAAATACAGATTTCATCCATGAAGCTAACATTTTCTCAGATTTTATGAGGGCTGTTTTTCAGCTCTGATGGTTTCAAAAACACTTTGAGGCTCAGGTGGAAGCTGTGTGGTGAAGACGGGCTGCCTCCTACAGGCTGGCAAGAAGATGGGGTGTTCTGAGCCCAGCACAGGGCCAGTGACTGCTGCATAACTGCACTTCTGTGAAAGCAGTAGGACCAAATGCTAACCATGAGGGCCTTTTGGCTTCTGCAAGATCACTGAGACTCTACAGATCACACAAAGTAAACAAGGAAAATGAACTCCCATATGTATCTCTCTCACTGCCACTGTACCATTTGAAAGATGTCCTAAAACTTCAAACGCATGCAGGCAGGTGAGATCTATTCTACCTTTAAGACCTATGAACTATTATGAGATTATTTTTGTTCAAAAAGTGAGGGGAACATTTATAAAATGGGAAAAAATTATTTTGGAAAGCATCCTCACTGGTAGAAGTACCTCATTAAATAGAGGTGCAAAGGGTGGGGAATTAAGGTGGGCCAAGGTTGGAATTGCATCCTGACCCCACACCCAGTCCTATGTGTCCTGAAGCATGTGCAGGCCCCTCAGAGTCTCCCTCCTGCTGCAGGGCTCAGGCTAAGGGCATCTCTTGATGAGGACATGTGCTCCAAGGCCAGTGCTGCTGGGGGAAGTTCTGCAGCTTCAGTGTCTCCTCTGGATTTGCTGACCTTCTAGATCTATTGGACTTCCCTTGTCCTTTGTAAAATTTGAGTCTTTGCTGCCTTCCTGAGCACAAGAATTGCCATGGTATATAGAAGGGGGAAAGCATTGGAGGTGAAATCAATCCATCAGTCAATCAACAAATCAATTTTGAACTCAGAGAATAAAATGTCTGGTGCAAGAGAGGCTGGCTAAAATAGGATTTTGAAGGAGATATACTTGAAATTTAATTATTAATCTATGTATCTTTGACACTGACATTTCACCCAAACATCCGTTCAGTATCTCCAACACCTGTCATGTTTCTTCTGTTTTTGTCTTATTAATTACCTTATTAAGGTAACAGTGTAAATCTTTCAAAATTATTTTAGAGCTGGCTGGACAAATGAATCCTAAATTAGGGAAAGCAGATAGATTTCAACTGGTACTTCTGTCACAGCAAACTGACCAACTACCAAGTGGACCTTGTGTAGCTAGCTCCATCTCAATCCTGTTTATGATTTCTTTCTATGTGTTTATCAGTAGATCCACAATTCTCCTATTTACTCAGACACTATATTTGGGGACCTGTCACTCATTCATTTATTCATCTATTTGTTTTCTTAATCAATGAATGTTTATGGAACACTTATCAGGTCCCAGCTATTGTTCTAGATGCTGGGAATACAGCAGTCACCAAAACCGTTCATCTCTGCTTTCCTTAGCTTATAGATTAGTAGGGTAGAAAGTCAATACACTTGATAAATAAATTTTATATTGGATAGTGATATATCTTCACATGGCCTCTCCTTCTGGGTCTCTGTGTCTTCTCTTCTGTCTTTTATCGGCACATACCGGATTTAGGGTCCACCTGGATAATCTGAGATGATCTCATCTCAAGACCCATAACTTAATTTAATCTACAACGACCGTCTTCCCAAATAAGGGCACAATCATAGATTCCAGGTGTTAAGATGTAGATATATTTTTGCGGGAGCCACCATCCAACCCACTACAAAGAACAGTGGGGCATTTTTTTTTTTCAATTTAAAATTAGACCTTAATTGGGTCTAATTTTATTAGATTATTTTATTAGATCTAATCTAATTTTATTAGATTAGATTATTGGGGATGCCTTTCAGAGAAGGTGAAATCTGAATAAAAATCTGAAAGGAGCAAAGGAGCTGCAGACTCCTGGGGCAGATCATGCAGGTGGCAGGAAGGGCAGGTGTAAAGGACTTGCTTGCGTTGTTCAGGAACAAAGAGGTCAGGTTGGGTGCATCACAGGCCCAGGTAACAACATAGGATTTAAAAAAATTTATTTTAAGCCAGGCACGGTGGCTCACACCTATAATCCCAGCATTTTGGGAAGCCAAGGCAGGAGAATTGCTTGAGCTCAGGAGTTTGAGACCAGCCTAGGCAACATAGCAAGAACTCATCTCTACAAAAAATAAAAATAAAAAAATTAGCTGAATGTGGTGGTATGCACCTGTAGTCTCAGCTACTCTGGAGGCTCAGGCAGGATGATCACTTGAGCCTAGGAGGTTGAGGCTGCACTGAGCCATGATTGTGCCACTGCGCTCCAGTCTGAATGACAGAGTGACACCTTCTCTCAACAATTTTTTTTGAATTTCATATATATATTTTCATTATTTTTCTTTTATATTTCAGAGATGGGGTCTTGCTATGTTGCCCAGGCTGGAGTGCAGTGGCTATTTTTTCTTTTTTCTTTTTTTGTATTTCTAGTAGAGACGGGGTTTTATCTTGTTGGCCAGGCTGGTCTCAAACTCCTGACCTCAAGTGATCTGCCTGCCTTGGCCTCCCCAAGTGCTGGGATTACAGGAGTGAGCTACCGGGCTCAGCCTTGCAGTGGCTATTCACAAGTGCAGTCATAGCTAATTGTAGCCTTGAACTCCCATGCTCAAGTGACCCTCCTGCCTCAGCCTCCTGAGTAGCTGAGAGTACAGGCATGCACCAGCACTCCAGGCTGACACGACCTGACTTCTGCTTAACACCACAACGCTGGCTGCTATTGTGAAGAACAGACAGAAAAGGCAAAGAGAGAGGCAAGAAGATCTGTTCAGAGGCAATAGTCACACAGGAGTGGATGGTGGCTTGAACCACAATGGTCACTGCAGAGATGGTTGGATTCTGCCTGTGTTTTAAAGACACTGTTGACAGGATTTGCTTATTGATCAAATGTGGGGGTGAAGGGAAAAGAGGAGTCAAGGATGACTCCACATTTTTGGCCTGAGCAACTGGAAAAAATAAAGTCATTACTGAGACGTGGAAGACTGGGGGCATCAGAAGCTTAGTTGTAGATGACTGCGTTGTGAGATGCCTGCAGGCCATCCAGATGACATGACGAGGAGGGAGTGGCGTATGCAAGTCTGCAGGACATAGGAGATCTGAGCTGGAGATGTAAATTTGGGACTTACAAGCCTAGAGAAGATACTTAAAGCCACGATATGGGGTGACACCACCAAGTGTGGAAAGGAAAGAGAAGTGTGCCGGGAACTGTGCTCTGAGACACTCCAGCCCTTAGGGTCCTGAGGAACCAACGGAATCTGAGAAGAAGGGGAAGGTAGAAAATCAGAAAGTATGGTGTAGGCCAGAGGTGGTGGCTCACGCCTATAATCCCAGCACTTTGGAAGGCCGAGGTGGGTGGATCAGCTGAGGTCAGGAGTTTGAGACCAGCCTGACCAATATGGTGAAACCCCATCTCTACTAAAAATACAAAAAATTAGCCAGACGTGGTGGCATGAACCTGTAGTCCCACCTACTTGGGAGGCTGAGACAGCAGAATTGCTTGAATCCAGGAGGTGGAGGTTGCCACAGAGTGAGACTCTCTCAAAAAAAAAAAAAAAAGAAAGAAAGAAAGAAAGAAAGAAAGCATGGTGGGCTGAGCCTGGTGGCTCTCACATGTAACCCCAACACTTTGGGAGGCAGAGGCGGAAGGATTGCTTGAGCTTAGCAGTTCAGGACCAGCCTGGGCAATACAGTGAGACTCTGTCTCTGCAAATAATAATTAAAAAAAAAAATAGCCAGGCATGGTGGCGTGCACCTGAAGTCTCAGCTACTAAGAGGCTGAGGTGGGAGGATGGCTTGAGCCTGGGAGGTGGAGACTGTAGTGAGCTATGATTGCGCCATTGCCCTCCAGTCTGGGTGACAAAGCAAGGCTTTGTCTCTAAAAATAAAAAATTTTTTAAAAAGCATGAAGCATGGAAGGCAAGTGGAGAAAGTTCTCAATTTTCTACTCATTCATCCTCTCTCCAGATATGGCCCACGCACATCCTCCAATGCAGCTATTTCTTCCTTTCAATCATTTCGTATCCCTCTCCTATTCGTCCTACACTCACGCTCTTCCCCATTTCATTACCTAACATAGGAGTTCTAGTACTAGAATCAGTTTGAGGTACAAAAGTTGAGATTGCATTTTTAAAGTTTTGAGAAAAATAAAGAGTAGGAAAAAAAAAAACCAACGGCGGGATTTCAGACCCCCATTCTTCCACCACAGGCATACCGGTTCTTCCTCTTTTTACTCTGTCTGCATGGTGGGGGTCCTTCTTGATCGCTGGTGGAGGAGGAGAAAGGCCAAACTTAGTTTGTGGATGGGTCAGCGTGGGATAAGATGCAAGCCGACACTGGACTGCTGCTGCGCTGCAGCTTCTCTCAGGCTGGCCCTGAAACACAGAGGTGATAGGAACGCCAAGGGGTGGTGAGTTGGGCAGTGCGCCCCATCATCAACTGAGCGCTAAGGAGAGTGGCAGGGATTCCTGAACTGGGGCAGACGGCTGGGCTGGTGGGCCTAGGCCTGCAAGGAGAAAGCCTGGACCATCAGGGACAAGCAGGTCTGGGGTAGAAGCGAGTGGCTGGGCACTGGCATGAAGGTCTTGGTTTCTCTCATTGGAGCCTGCCAGAGAGCATCCACCATGCCTGAGGCACTGAACAAGCAGGAAGAGAGAAGGGCTCACTCCACAGAAGCCAGCCAGCCTTGTCATTGGCCATCCATGCTGGTGGCATGGCAGCACTGCAGTTGGAATAGCCGTGGTGCCGGATTCCAGGAGGCATGGGCCCATTCTTGAGACTCCGGCATGGAGCAATCCGTCTAAGCGACCGCCTGGGGCAGGTGGATCACATTGAACTCTGTAGCGCCTGGGTGGAAGAGAAAAAATAGGAAAGAAAAAAGATGAACACCTGATAGGATGTCACTGACTGATATGGAGTCCGGTCACCACTACTCTTGGTGTCTTTGTGTCTGTATCACAAACAGGCATGCCTATTTACATTTTATTACACTTTTCAAAATATCCACTAGGTGGAGAACTTGCACCAAGTTTGCCACAAACCGTGCTGCCCCCTCTAGAATCAAGGGAGTTGCATTTATTTATTTATTTAACCATTAATGAAATAAAATGATAGGTTCCAGCCGACAATGAAATGCATTTATGATTCTTCTTTGTGGCCTAAGCTTTTCATACATTTTAGGCCTGAAAACATTATATAGAATTACATTTCTCTCATGATTGACTGTTACCACTGTTGAATGTTTTAAGTAGGAAGAGATGAACTGTGTGAGGACAAGACTAACATTTTCACATAATCGTTTTTGCTGAACACTGCCTCTTGATTAGTTTATTGTGATTTATTCTAAGCTTTAAAAAATTTTCAAGATGGTCTTTTTTTTCTGAAAGTGACTATTGATTGAAAGATAACTGTAGATTAAGAAAACAATTGTATTCATTAAAAAGCCTTATCCATTGATATGCTTTTTACATTTCAATTTTCAAACACCGGGCAGAGGAATTTCTTTCCCTATGCATTGTTATTCTTGCTGATTATGGAGAAAGTTTTATGGAGGTCATAGAATGTAGGTTAATAGAATTTAGTATACCGCGCATTCCTGGTTGCAGCTCCAAGCAGTGGGAATGTGGCCCCAATTTAGCAGCCAGTCAGCCCTGCTGTGAGAACATTGTACCAGGAATCCTTGCTGGCTCTGGAGGCTGCTGCTGTGTAGGCCTGTTTCCTGTCACCAGGGTTCAGAGCCAAGAGCAGCATCTAGTTAGGGTCAACCCTACGCACAGTCATAGCAGGGTCTCCTGAAAATAGCCTAGACCTCGGTCTCTAGCTCTTCAGAGCAGGGATTAGCAAACCAGCCCTTAGGCCAAATCCAGCCCACTGCCTGCACTCCTAAGGCCCTCAAGCTAAGAATCACTCCTACAAGCAAACATCTGCCATGGATTTGGGGATAGGGAATGCTAACTTCCAATCACAATTAGGTGAGCTGTTTTTCCTTCCCCGCCACGTCCATTCTTCCCATTAGTAGACTTATATTACAGAAAGATTATACTCAATTATTATTACTATATTTTGAATTTTATCAATTAAAGTGTGTGGGAATTTATTTTCTCTCTTAATATATAAGTACATACATAATGTCCAAGATTTTACCTCTTGACCTACAGAGTCTAGAATAGTTACTATCTGGCTTTTACAGAAGAAGTTGCTGACAGCTGCTTTAGAGGGATATTAACTTTTTGCACCTCCTAAAATTATAGATAAAATAGTGTGTGAAGCCTGTGAAGCGTTTCTGGAGAGAAGCTACTGCTTTTCTTTGATCTGAAAGGTGACTGTGATTAGCTACTTGTTAAGAACCACCAGTCCCACTGGACAAAGGCCTGTCCATGCCATAGTAGTAGTAATAATAATAATAATTATTATTATTATTATGGTAATAGTAGTAGTAGCTCGAGGTATTATGGGGCCAATACACAAAGATTGATCATGCATGCAAATATGTGTCTCCACAGTGAATTTAGGGGACCAAGTGGAGGGCTGAACTGAATTATTAAGAATTTGAGGACAGTTCTTTAGCCATAAACACAAAATATACAGATGCTCCTCAATCTATGATGGGTTATCTCCCAATAAGCCCATCGTATGTCGAACACACTGTTTAAGTTGAAAATGCATCTAATACTCCTCACCTACTGAACATCACAGCTTAGCCTTGCCTGCCGTCAACACTCTCAGAGCACTTACATTATCCTACAGTTGGGCAAAATCATCTAACACAAAGCATATTTTAAATAAAGTGTTGAAGATCTCATGTAATTTATTGAATTTTTATTGAAAGTGAAAAACAGAATGGTTGTATGTGTATTCAAAGTACAGTTTCTACTGAATAAGTCAAAAACAGGAGTTACTCCCCCCTCCCCTTTTTGAGACAGGGTCTCACTCTCTCTCCCAGGCTAGCATGATCACAGCTCACTGCAACCTTGAACTCATGGGCTCAAGTGATGTTTCTGCCTCAGCCTCCTGAGTACCTGGGACTACAAGCATGAACCACCACGTCTGTCTAATTTTTAAGTTTTTTGTAGAGACGGGGTCTTGTTATGTTGCCCAGGTCTCGAACTCCTGGCCTCAAGCAATTCTCCCACCTTGGCCTCCCTAAGTGCTAAGATTACAAGCATGAGCCACCATGCTTGGCAGGGGCACCCTTTTGTGATGGATTTAAAGAAAAGCACAGACCTCAGCACTGAATATGCTCATAGTTTGTGTCTATAACTGAATGACCTATTGAATATGATTAACTCAGCATTTTTAAACAGGTTACAATTAAATGCATACAATGAGAGTTAATGAAGTTATTTATTCTTATGAATTTGAAGCTAACCTAGCTATGATAGTACCCACAAGGAGTGAAGATATAAATTATGTTATTTGGCATTTTCTGTGTCTCCTAGGGCCTATTCTGTTGTTCTAGTAATGACTGCAAGACTCTGAGAGCTAATGCCTCTTAGAAAGCAGAGAGGGGCAGATAACCCTCTGACAACCAATAGTGAGTCCTTAGAATGCACGTTCAATATTTTAGTCCCATTCAGTTAGAATTTCTGGGAAGCTGAGCCTGTTCTAGGCTTTTCAGATCACACCCACAGGAATATTCAAATAGTCTAAATGAATGTTGACCAAACACACCCTTCACCTTCTTGGTGGCATGTGCCTGTAGTGTCGTGTCAGCTACTCTGGAGCCTGAGGCAGGAGGATCGCTTGAACCCAGGAGTTTGAGGCTGCAGTGCACCATGATAGAAGCTGTGAATAGCCACTGCACTCCAGCCTGGGCAACATAGCAACATCCCATGTCTTAAAAAAAAAAAAAAATCAAAACCCAGAAAATCCCACAATGCCTGCTTCATTTCTGGAGGTGGCTCAGGTTTATCCTTTTTGCAAAGATGGGTGAAAACACTGGGTCTTTATTCCACCCACTAGAAAGAACTAGGGCAGAAAGGAAAACAGATAGGACTATTACCTGTAATCCAAGCCAGCATATTCTTGCCCAGCAACCTGGGAAGTGGTGTCTCAAATGACTGTCTTTTTCTTTTCTTTTCTTTTCTTTTTCCAACAGGATACTTGCTCCACTTTATAAAAAGAAGGAGGATTTGCACTCCTTCTTTGATTGAGCTGTTTATGTTGGTGTGATTTCTGGCAAATGCCTCTGAAGGCTTAGCTGAGTGATTTGGATACAACATTGCCGACTGTTACAATTTAGGAAACTCTCAAGAGATTGCACGAAGACAAAGACTCTGCAGAGAGGCGCAGCCCTGTAGCGCTCGAATGCCCTAATCTGAGTTCTGCTCTGCAAAGTTCCTTCTAATCCTCTTGTACCCTGCTATGGCTAGCAGTCTAGGGAAGGGCAGCAAGAGTGAAAGCTGCAGGATACAGATTTAATTCAATCTAGCAAACATTGACTGAGCACCTCCGATGTGCCAGACACAGGGCTAGGTTCTGGGGCTACAAAGATTAATGGGATATGGTCCCAGAACTCAAGGAGGCCACTGTTTACAGGCAAAGAGCCACATCCACAGTGGATAATAAAACAGAAAAGGGGATGGAAGGGAGTTTGTCACTGAAGGAATGACATGGATATGACTTAAATGATAAGGAGACCTTGACAGGGAGACAAGGGCAAGTGGCCATCCGAGGCAGAGAAAACCTCAGCAAAGTTAAGGAGGTATCAAAGTCCATGGTATTTACGGTAAAAGTTGAAATTACTTTGTCTTGGGGAAAGGTGGGAGAAAAGACTAGAAATGTGGTCTGAGGGGCAATTGTTTGTTCATTCAACAAATATGTACTGCTGGGATATAAGAGCAAAAAGAAACAAACAAATCCCTACCTATGTAGAGCTCACCTTTGGAGGCAGCAGGTGGAGTGGGATGAAGACAGGTAATAAATAAAAAACCCAAGCAAATGATATAGTATATGTTTCAGTTTGCTAAGGTTGCCATAACAAAGTACCACAAACTGTGTTGTTTAGGCAACAGAAGTTTATTGTCTCATAATTCTCGAAGCTGGAAGTCCAAGATTGAGGTGTCAGCAGGGTTGGTTCCTTCTGGGGGCTGTGAGGGAGGATCTGTTCCAGGTCTTATCCCCAGCTGCTGGTGGTTTGCTGGCAATCTTTGGTGTTCCTTGGCTTGTAGGAGCATCACCTAGATCTCTGCCTTCATCTTTGTGTGGTGTTCTTCCTGTGTGTCCCTGTATCCAAATTTCTTTTTATATAAGGACACTAATTGTATTGGATTAGGGCTCACTCTAATGACCCTATCTTTAGTTGGTAATCTACAAAGATCCTGTCTAAGTCCACTTTTGTGTTGCTACAAGGAATACTGAGCTGGGTAATGCATAAAGAAAAAAGATTTATTTGGTTCACAATTCTGCAGGTTGTGCAAGAAGCCTGGTGTCAGCATCTCCTTCTGGTGAGGCCTCAGGAAGCAAAGTGGAGCCTTGCAGAGGTCACATGGCCAGAGCCAAAGCAAGAGAGGGAGGGGAGGAAGTGCCAGGCTCTTTTTAACAATCAGTGCTCATGGGAACTAATAGAGCTAGAACTCAACACTGTGAAGACAGCACCAAACGTTCATGAGGGACCTGTCCCCACGAAACAAATACCTCCCGCCAGGCTTCATCCCCAACACTGGGATCAAACTTCAACATGAGGTTTTGGGGACAAGCAGCCAAAACATAGCAGACCCTCTTTCCAAATAATGTTACCTTCTCAGGCTCTGGGGGTTAAGACTGCAACATTTTTTAGAGAGACTTAATTCAACCCACAGCAGTCTGTGAGAGTGTAATGAGGCTTTGGAGAAACATGAAACAGCAACAGTGTATTGAGGAGGGCATCTGTCTGTGGCACAGGAAAGGAAGAGGTTTGCAGATTTCAATAAGGTGGTCTAGGATATGGTTCACTGCAGAGGAGACATTTGAACAACATCCAGAAGGAGGCGAGGGAGTGAGGTTCACAAATGCCTGGGGGACGAGTGTTCTTGGCAGAGGGAAAAGCAGTGCAAAGGCCTTGAGTTAGAGTGTGTCTGCTGGATGTGAGAGGGGAGGAGGCTGGTGAGGCTGGAGGAGGGTGAGAAGAAGGCCTTATTAAGAGATGAGGTCAGTGATCATGGGCAGCAGGGGCAGGCAGGGTCTTACCACCACTGGGAAGACTTTGACCCTAGTCAGGGAGTGGTGTGGCACAGAAGAGTGAGATAATCCAATTTCAGCTTTAAAAGCTTTTCAGGTCCGGCATGGTGCCCCACACCTGTAATCCCAGCAATTTGGGAGGCTGAGGTGGGAGGATGGCTTGAGCCCAGGAGTTTGAGGCTGTAGTGTCACTGCACAGCTAGGGCAACAGAGCAAGACCTCTAAAAAATCTCCCAAAACAGTTTTAAAGTAACTTCCAAAATGCTTTTCTTAAAATATGAAATCTATTCCATATATTCCTATCAGATGATAGGCATCACCCCTTGCTCCCTCTTGACAACCGCATGATTTTTTTTTTTTTGAGATGTAGTTTCACTCTTGTTCCTCAGACTGGAGTGCAGTGGCGCGATCTCAGCTCACTGCAACCTCTGCCTCCTGGGTTCAAGTGATTCTCCTGCCTCAGCCTCCTGAGTAGTTGGGATTACAGGCATGTACCACCACACCTGGCTAATTTTGTATTTTTAGTAAAGACAGGGTTCTACTATGTTGGTCAGGCTGGTCTTGAACTCCTGACCTCAGGTGATCCACCTGCCTCGGCCTTCCGAAGTGCTGGGATTACAGGCATGAGCCACCGCAACCAGCCAACCCCATGATGTGTTATGGCAGCTGACTTTCCCTGTCCTGGCCCACAAAGCTGTGCCCTCCCTACCCAGAACTGCCTTCCCAGTCTGCCTGCCATGGCTCTTGACCTCAGATTCCATACCTCGTCCTCACTGGACGGTGCCTTTCCTCCAACCCCCACTTCTCTATGCCCAGAAGAAGACTGTCATCGGGAACAGTAACCATGGTTTAATATCCTGCCTTTCTACTGATGTCGTTCACCTTTGTGGAACAGTGGAAAGAGCATGGATGTCTGGGGTGGGCACATTGGCTCACGCCTGTAATCCCAGCACTTTGGGAGGCTGAGGTGGGTGGATCACGAGGTCTGGAGTTCGAGACCAGCCTGGCCAACATAGTGAAACCCCATGTCTACTAAAAATACAAAAGTTAGCTGAGTGTGGTGGCACACGCCTGTAGTCTCAGATACTTAGGAGGCTGAGGCAGAAGAATCACTTGAATCCAGGAGGTGGAGGTTGCAGTGAGCCGAGACCACACCACTGCACTCCAGCCTAGGTGACAGTGAGACTACATCCAAAAAAAAAAAAAATGCATGGATGTCTGAGCCAGGAAGACTTGTATTACAATGATGGCTTTGACAAGTGACAAGTGATCAAAGTGTGCCTTGATCACTCTCTGATCTCCATCCTGATGATGGAGATAGCAATGTTTACTTAGTAGGAGTATTATAAAGGTAGAGGCCAAGTGGTTAGAATCATACTCAGTACCAGACTTGTAAGAGGCACTCAAGAAGTGGAAACTATTAGTATTAAATATTAGTTTGGAGCTCAGGGGAGAAATTGTCTGGAATTAGACTCTCAGGAGTTGTGAATATCTGTGGAAACTTGGGCAATTTACAATTTCCCGGGCAGATGGTATAGAGAAAGAGACAAGGACCCAAGACAGAACATGCACAATTAATTTAAATTTTAAATGACACTTAACATTTCACCACATTTCACCGGTTTAAATTCAACTAATTTAGATTTTATGATATTGCAGGCAAAACTGGGTTGCAACTTACTTTTGTGCTATTTATGAGAAAATTAATAGGGAGAATGTGATTCAGAGTTCCTAATGTGGGGATGTTTAACCTACTTAAACAAGTAAACTTTTTAACGTTTTGTGAGGATCAATTTAGCAGGATCCATTTATGTAGAGACCATGTGCTACTTGAAATGATGTAGAGATGTGAAATTAGAATTTTGGAGTAAAAAAGAATATAGATGATTAGCACAGCCCCCTCATTTTAAAGATGAGAAAATAGAGGAATAAACAGGTCAACTGATTTATGCAAGCCCACACAGAATAAGCCACAAAACGGAGTTGAGAAGCCAGGCCACATGACTCCTGAAAAAGGTTCCTTTGGTTTGGCTGGGCATGAATTTTTGCATTAAAAGTCATCAACATTTTTTTTCTAGGCCACACCTGGTTAGCCATTAGCGTTTTTGCAAATTCTTATTGGCAGTTAAGGGGGTGCTATTCACAAATTATTGTGTAACTCAGACTTACTATTAATTCATGCTGGTGTTCCCAGTGTGATTCTGGAATGGACTACGGGGATTTGGCTGGTTTACTTGGGCAGAGTTGTAAAGAGAGACCAGTACAATGAATAAAATCCTGTTGGCAGTATCACACCAAACAAATGTTCTTTATTTAAAATTAAAAAAAAATTGGCCTCTAAACACTCAATTTAACTCACTGCTCCTTAATTAAGACCATTGTAAGTTTAAGATTTGCTGTCCAGAGTAAATTTTCTGAACCTTAAAGTCTGGCTTGCTTAGCAACTTAGTCTCAGCTAAGATCCAGAGCATTTTATCCACAATACAACATCTTCCCCTTATGATCTCACAACAAGGAGCTATGGGAAATGCACTTTCAGCACCATGGCTTTTCAGGCTTCCTCATTGGCTGAAATATGAACATGCACACATTTATCACACTGGTTGTGTTCTGAGGAAAATCAGCTGACTAAGACGAATGGTCTTAAAGAGTGAAGAGTTTATGCAGATTATTGTTGTTTGTAAAACCTTTTTGGCCCATAGTGTATGAATTCCCCAGAATTCTTATTACTTGACTTCAGGAGAATCTGGAAAGAAGGAATCCAGTGTGATTCATTTTCAAAAGGTCTGTGTGTTTGTTTGTCATAAAAATGTGTACTCTTAGCATTGTTGCTCCAGGCTGCCAAGACAAAATAAATCAGTGTGTTAATTACTTGAATAAAATAACAGTAGAAAACAGCTGCAACTAATGGAAAGAAAACAAATAGAAGTCTTAAGTATTATTCCACTGTGGAAGATTACAGACTATGCCAGAATTATACACATTAAGAAGTCATTAAAAATGGACACTTCTGACCTCTCTAAATCACATGACCACAATTAACTGTATGGACTTCTTTCTACCTGGGAGGAAGCAGACAAATTATGACTTACCCTTTAACATCCAAGATATGCATGACTTTGTCTTTTCTTCTTTTTTTTCCTCCCTTACTTTCTCCTTGAATTTATAATTATGATGGGAAGAAAAATGTAGATAAGACATAAACATATATTTTTGGTCAGAAAGACAAAGAATCTATAAAAGATGTTGGCATGAACCCTACTGCATTCATCGTTTTTCCAAACTGATTCAAACTTCAGCATGTGGCTGGGATGTTCCAGATGCCCCAGGGCCAGTCTTCCATGCTGCAGGGTACTGGAACATGCTGTTCCCTCTGCCTGGAACCTGCCCTTTCCTTGTCTGGTGAACTCTGACTCATGATGCAAAATTCAGTTCAAAGACTTCCTAGTGACCCTCCCTGTAGACCAGGACCCCAATGTGTGCTGTCATTTCCTCCTGTACTTTTCCTTCATAGCCCTTCTCAGACATTGTAATTAAGGATTTACTCTTTAATTTGGTCAATGTCTGCCTCTCCCTCTCAATGGTAAGATCCACAGGGCAGGGTCCTGGGTTGTTTTTCTCATCACTGTATGCCCAGGGCCTGGAATAGTGTTGGATTTTTTTCTTTAATACCAATAGCTGGTTTTAATTTTTTTAAAGGAAATACTACAATTTAAAAAAAAGAGTTCCAAAAAAATTAACAAAATTTCCAGCAATGATTGCTTCTGAAATGTAAAGATTTGAAACATAATCTATACAAAACTAAAAACCAAAAGGATTAATTCTTACTTTTTCCTTTTTAAAAAAATCCAGACAATTTGTCACAAGAAAGTTCAGCAAGTTACAGCAGCTGCAGCCTCAGTCACCCTTGGAATCACTGTCCCTCTTCATGAGGACAGAGCACCACACTAAGGACAGCAACACATCTTCAGTTGGTTTCTTAGGGTTTTCCTCCAAGTCTGTGTTAATTTCTCCAGATTGAGACAGTTTCCACTCCAACTCATCTCTTGTCAGGTTCATGCCGCCAAACACCAGAGGACGGATAAACTGAGGCTTGATATCTCCTTCCAGGTAAACAAATTTCGTGGGCAGATTCCTATCAGGATAATTGGGTGTGCAGGTTGTTGTTGAAATGGCTTTGATTAATTTGACATCAGGAAACTTCCTGGCAAGTCCACTGAGGTGCTGTTTGATCAAGGCACAGAGGGGAAGTCCTTGTTTGTAAAGGTGCAAGATGACCCACAAACCCTCACCAGGTAACTTCTTGAACATAATCCTTTCCTGAGACCTCGAAGACTTCTCCACATTTATTCTTCAGTTTAATTACTTTCCACTCACCCAGTCTCTGCTTTCTGTACATTTCAATAGCATGTTCATTCTTCTCATTACATTCGTCTTCACAACCCTCCAGCTCTTCAAAGTCATATCTTCATATGTTTTTACCACTGACTGCTAGAGGACACACTGCTACTCTTCTGCCTTTTTCTCCAATTCTTTCAGACTTTCCTTGGCGGGAAATTACATCTTCCACAGGGGCATCTTGCCTGCCAAGGAAAGTCTGAAAGAATTGTGTCTGCGTTGGGGTCCTGCATCTTGTTTGCAATCGCTGAAGCCAGTTGTGCCACGGTGCCCCCAACCCTCAGCTCCCTTTTGCCCAGAGTTGGATTCTTAATCAGTATTTGTCGAGTAAAATAACAAACCTCTGCCTGCTCATGCCTGTAATCCCAGCACTTTGGGAGGAGGCTGAGGCGGGAAGATTGCTTGAGGTCAGGAGGTCAAGACTGGCCTGGGCAACATAGTGAGACCTTGTCTCTACAAAAAGTACAAAAAATTAGTCAATGTGGTGGCACTAGCCTGTGGTTCCAGCTATTTGGGAGGCTGAGGGAGAGGATTCCTTGAGCCCAGGAGGTTGAGCTGAAGTGACCGGTGATCATGCCACTGCACTCCAGCCTGGGTGACAGAGCAAGACTCTTTCTCAAAAAAAAACAAAAAAAAACACTTTAACTAACAATAATGCCCACTATTTATGTAATGTTGGTGTGTCAGGTACTGTAATAAATGCTTGCCATATTTTAATTAACTATCACTTCACAAAGTTTTACTTCATTCCCACATATATAACACTATCTTCATTAGTCAGTGATTTGATATAAGTCCAGAGCTCTTCTTTGATTATGAGTTCATTGATTATGAGTCCATTGATTGGAAGTTCTGTAGTTTTTTTTTTTGCATAAAATACATCTATAATGCCTCATTTATAATTTCTAAAATGTCTGGGATATAAGCACACCTGCAATGGAATTTGAGGGCAGAATCTTTTTTTTTTTTTTTTTTTTTTTGAGACGGAGTCTTGCTCTGTCACCCAGACTGGAGTGCAGTGGTGAGATCTCGACTAACTGCAAGCTCCACCTCCCAGGTTCACGCCATTCTCCTGCCTCAGCCTCCCAAGTATCTGGGACTACAGGCACCCGCCACCACGCCAGGCTCATTTTTTGTATTTTTAGTAGAGACGGAGTTTCACCATGTTAGCCAGGCTGGTCTCGATTTCCTGACCTCGTGATCCACCCGCCTCGGCCTCCCAAAGTGCTGGGATTACAGGTGTGAGCCACTGCGCCTGGCCGAGTGCAGAATCTGTTTAGATTTTTAAAACTTCTCCCATACCAATTTTTCTAGCTCATCACCAACAACTGATTTGACAGTATTTTTAAGCGATTTGTCTTTTATTTTTTGCCTTTGTATTTTACGGGTATATAACATGTTTGTTTTGTAATTAAAATAGCAACTAAAATTGGCACATTTAAAAACAAACGCAATTGTATTTTGGTGGTGAACCACTGGCAGGTGGGGCTTTATCTTCCTGTGGGCGTGCTTGCATGGGGGATTCTGGGAGTGTGCGGAAAAGATAATGACACTAAAGGGAGCTGGGAAGATCTTTTTCCCTCTGGAAATGCTGAATAAACTTTGTGTTACGTGCCTGTGTTTCTACTGCGACTCATCACATGAGGTCAGGTGTGAAACTTTCAGCTTTCCACTAGTGGCATCATGTTGGCATTCAAAAAGTTTCAGATTTTAGAGCATTTTGGATTTCAGATTTTCAGGATTTTAGGAATGTGCAACCTATAATAGGAATCTCGGAAGACAGTACAGAAAAAATGGGTGGGAGGAAATATTTCGAGAAATAACAAAATAGGTTTTCCTACAGCTGAATGACACTAGTTTCCCAGAACAATGAATAGATAATAGACTCATTTCAACTTACCACTGTAAAGTTTCCAGAAAAATATTAAAAGAGAACAAGAAATTTCCAGAGATAAAGAAAACAAATAAGCAAAAAAACAAGGTCACTTATAAAAGAACAAAAATCAGACCATCTTTTGAACTTCCCCTCAGCAACCCTGGATTTCTAAGAAATACTGGTATGAACTTCCTCTTCTTTTCTTTTTTAAGAGACAGAGCTGCCCCGTGTTGCCCAGGCCGGAGTGTAGTGATGCGATCTTACCTCACTGCAGCTTTGAGTTCCTGGGCGTGGCACAAGCAGTTCTTGAACTCCTGGCCTCAAGCGATCCTCCTGCCTTGGCCTCCCAAGCTGCTGGGATTACAGGCGTGAGCCACTGCACCCAGCTGGAATGCACATTCTAAGTTACAAGGTAAAACTATTTTCAATCTCACATTATATACTCAGCAAAGCTCTCAATCAAGAATGAGGGTAGAATGAACAGCTCTTCAGGTATGTAGGATTTAGGTTTACTTGTTCCATATAGTTTCTTAGGGAGTTACTTGGAGGACATAGTCCAGCTAAAGAAGGGAGTAAATCAAGAAAGAAGGCATGGGGTCCATCTCAGAGGAATAACAAAATAAGGTTCCCGCATCATAGCTAAGGAGCATATCTGCAGACCCTCAGTCTAGATGGAGGCACAAAGAGGGAAAGATCTGGAAAAATGGGAGGCTGACGATTTGTGGGATCTTTGAGAAACTGGAAAAGTAAAGATTTGATAAAGGCAAGCAATGCAAAGAAGCAACTGAAGCAGAAGAAAGAGGAGAAATAGGAAAAGGGAGAGGAGGAGGAGGAGGAGAAACTCTTAAAGAACACGAAAATTTGGAATGTAATAATAATACTTGGCTGTACAGACAATAATATTACATAGTCATAATAACATAAATACTGTTTGCTGATTTTCAAATTTTCAGATCAAATAACAAGGGAAAGAAGACTTGATTATGTATACACACACAAAAAGAAAGTGTTATCAAAACTGACAAGAAAAAGTAAGTCAAGGTACTTAAAGTAGTGCTGGAAGTTATAAGGTAAGGTGGGGAGAAAAGAAGAAAGAGGTTGGGCGTGGTGGCTCACGCCTGTAATCCCAGCACTGTGCGAGGCTGAGGTGGGCGGATCACGAGGTCAGGAGATCGAGACCATCCTGGCTAACACGGTGAAACCCTGTCTCTACTGAAAACGCAAAAAAAAAAAAAATTAGCTAGGCATGGTGGCAGGCGCCTATAGTCCCAGCTACTCGGGAGGCTGAGGCAGGAGAATGGAGTGAACCCGGGAGGTGGTGCTTGCAGTGAGTGGAGATCACGCCACTGCACTCCAGCCTGGGCAACAGAGCAAGACTCAGTCTCAAAAAAAAAAAAAAAAAAAAAAAAGAAGAAAGAAAAAGATCACTAATAATCCCTTTTTACCACGTGAGAGCTCAAGAGATATTTGCATATTTATATGCAGTATTTAAGTTAAAAGATAATCAAAAGAGGAAGGAACGATTCTTACCTTCAGTGGCAGGAGGGGAGGAGAGAGGAAGGTTGTCGTGCCTTAGAAAGTCCATAGGTGTTGAGACTTGATGTATCAAACTATAGTGATTTAAGCCTGTTATTTAGAGAGCTGGTAACTATCAGAAAAACTAAAAATAAAAAAATTATCATAGTTAATATAGTGCCTCTGATACACAGAATTGAGATTATGGAGGCCTGAAAAAAAGAATTGTTGTTTTTCATTTTAAACTCTTCTATCTTGTTAAATTCGAACATCTTATTAGCTTCATCAGAATTTAAAATATAGCTATTTAAAAATAATGCTAGTGGGCGGAGCGCAGTGGCTCACGCCTGTAATCCCAGCACTTTGGGAGGCCGAAGTGGGTGGATCACAAGGTCAGGAGTTCAAGACCAGCCTGACTAACATGGTGAAACCCCATCTCTGCTAAAAATACAAAAATTAGCCGGGTGTGGTGGTGTGCGCCTGTAATCCCAGCTACTCAGGAGGCTGAGGCCGGAGAATCGCTTGAACCCAGGAGGCACAGGTTGCAGTGAGCCGAAATTACGCCACTGCACTCCAGCCTGGGCGACAGAGTGAGACTCTGTATCAAAATAATAATAATAATAATAATAATAATAATAATAATGCTAGTGAACATATCACATTAAACTTTGGTTACTGCTCGGTTATTTCTTCTATTTTTTAGGAAAAAATTTAACTAGGTAATTATAACAATTCTTATTATTTCTAATACTGAGAAAATATTTCAGCATAGGCATGTGTCTAGGACAGGGGACTCCAAAAGCTCTAGTCGGTCTTTTGTTTTTAGTAAGTCTAGGAAAATGTTTTAATGTTCGGCCACAAGGCAGTCTTTTCAAGGGTGAGATGTTTTTGTAGCTTCCACTATTATTTTCTCCAGAGGACTGCAGAGTGTGAAGACTATAGACAATTGCTGAGTTGCTTCCCGGGGTGTTTCCAGCCAGTGTCAAGGAGATGGCCACCTTTGTGCCTCTCTGGATGGGAGCTGGGGTGCATGAAGGCTTGGTATTTGTCCTTGTACTCAAGGGTGCTAGATGGGGCATCCTGTGCTTTTGCTCAAGTGTCAACTTTCCAGAAAGGCTGTCCTGGGCCCTGCTATCTGAAGAGTGTTCCCTGACCCCACTCTTTTCTATTCCTTTACCCACTTTGTATTTTCTAAACTTCTCCTCACCTGGCATTATGCTACACAGGTTTTGGCTTTTGTTTTTAGATTTGGGGTCTTACTGTTTTGCCCAGGCTAATCTTGAACTCCTGGCCTCAAGCAATCCTCCCACCTCG
Source organism: Homo sapiens (assembly GCF_000001405.40). Classification (NCBI taxonomy): domain Eukaryota; kingdom Metazoa; phylum Chordata; class Mammalia; order Primates; family Hominidae; genus Homo; species Homo sapiens. The sequence goes on along the minus strand of NC_000008.11, from coordinate 60,382,789 downwards.
GCCTCACAGTGCTGGGATTACAGGCACGAGCCACTGTGCCTGGCTGGTTTTTGTTTATTATCCATCTATTCCACACCAAAAAGTATGTACCTTTTGGGGGAAAAATATTATTTTGCTCACTTCTGTATCTGTTGTTCTTTCTGTTATATTTCTGTTTTTTTCTTTCATATTAAGTCTTTGAAATCTGGTGTATATTTTACATTTAAGTTACATCTTTATATTACTCAATAGCCACATTATAAGTGCACATTGGACACAAGGCATGCTCGGGGTAATTCCTGAGTGTCTTCTCAAACATACTCTCTCACTTACTTAGGTCTGTCTTCTGGGGCATTTGGGGGCTTCCTTTCTGGGGAAGCAGATAGGAAGAAGCAATTAGCTACCTGAAAAAGTTGCAGGTTCTAAGAAGCTGTGAAAGTCCAGAGCAACAGCCCTCCTTGGTGTTTATTGGATTTTAAATGGGTTTAGCCTTAAGTTTTCTTAGTGACTGTCATGTCTTTACCAACATGTCTCTTGGTGGTTTTTCTGGAGGTCAGTAACACCTAACTCCTCTCTCCTTTGTTATTGACTGGGCAAAAGACTTCTGAAGTTCCCTGCCTCCTACCTCTTAAGATGTTCTTTCATATCTCTACTGCTGTGTCTTGGGTGACATTAGCTGGTAATGGGGTTGTGCAAAGGGCTGAAACCACAGATTTAGATCCTTCTCCTACAAAACTCCAGATTAAGCACTTTGCTCTCAATGTCCCATTTTATTTACGGAAATCATGTTAAGTCTATTTTTGTATGTCATTTCTAGGACATCCTTATTTAACCGCTTTTGCACTCTTCCTTTTTTCATAAGACACAGGATTGTGTTGATTACAGGAAGGAGGCAACGCTGTCTTGTCATTGCCACTGAACATGATTAGCGTCTGTCTGCAAAGCAGCTCCTAAGGCATTGAGGGAAGGGGCTCATTATCAGAGCGCCAGGGCCCAACACATAGCCATGCAGCAAGGTTTGTTGGGTGCTAAATAAATATTTCCATAACACACTCTAACAACTACTTTTTTCTTTTGGCTAATTACTTGGGAACAATATTAATTATGAGCAACTCTGATAAGTTTCACTTGTAAAATTATTTATTCAACTCTGACATGGGTATTGGGACCCCATAGGAACGGAAGAGCAATCTGAGTATATGTGAACCTGCAGTTCTTCTTAAGTTACCCAGTACTGAAAAATGGAAAGTTTTTGAACATTCTTGAAACATTTTAAAAACTAAGACCTAAAAGCCTGTTAACAGAAATATGATTTAGTTTAGAAAATGATTCATAAAGCTCACGACCTCTTTTTACCTCATGTTACCCCAGTCTGAGCACTGTCTTTTGCACAATTGCTAAGACTAAGATCTTCATGGGAACACTGGGCCTCAGCTGTCAGAACTTTGTCTGCTCTAGGTATTTTTTCTTGAATACGGTATTCCCATTTAACAAGTGTGATGGCTCAGGTAGAGATATGCTGCTGATAGGAAGAAAGGATTTCCTAATAGTGAGTTTTTACTCTGCTTATGGCTGCTTACATACCTGCTGGAAGTCAATTTAATCTTGCAGACTTCTATTTGGCATTTCAGCCACGTTCCCTATATGTTTCCAAATGTCAGTTGTTCTCTCTGTAAAACTTGCGATGAAATTTTTACTAGCACACAAGTGTAGATTCAACCTTTTTGCTTTTTTCTTCGATCTCTATCAGCAAAATGAGGTCTGGGATTTGATGGGGTCATGTCAGAATCAAATTCCCTTAATTCTCATTCTAACACAGTGTTCTATCTAGTTGAAAGGTCTTCTGCTCTCCTGACATTTATTTTTTCTACATGAGTTGTATCTGAGGAGGGAGTATGAGAGTCTTGGGTTTTACATATCAATCGGAAGTGTGTCAGGGATGGCTGATGTTAGTCCTGTCATGGATTTTTAACTACAGCCTATGAGTTGGAAGTTGTAATTATTGAAGGCCTTTATCTAAAATGACTTTGCAAAATACTGTGTTCATTACATTTCCAGATTTTATCCATATTTTCAGTCAAGATTCCTGTTTCATCTTGTAATACACATTTTAGAGTAGCAACATTAAACTATTCATTTGATGTTTACAGCTTGATGGTTCATTTTCTAAGGAACAATTCTGTTTTCTATTTTGTCATTGTGTCTCCAGTGTTTTTTGAACCCATTTTTGTGGCTTTATTCTGGATTGTTTGAAAATGTTTTCCTTCTCTGGGGGGTCTGGAGAAAGAGCCTGAATTTCTCACTATTCAGTTTCTTTACTGGCAAGAATAAAATTATATCTGTAGTGCTTGGACTAAATTATGTGATTTCCTCCTCCTAAGCCATAAACCATAAATGATGTTGAAATCATCTGTTATGGAAACAAAGTTTCATAATCTGAAATATCTGGCTTTAATGGTCATATAATAAGTGGCTGGGTGTGGTAGCTCACTCCTGTAATCCTAGCACTTTGGGAGGCTGAGGCGGGTGGATTGCTCAAGGCCAGGAGTTCGAGACCAGCCTGGCCAACGTGGCAAAACCCCCTTTCTACTAAAAATACAAAAATTAGCCAGCACAGTGGCACACACCTGTGGTCCCAGCTACTCTTGGAAGCTGAGGTGGGAGGATTGCCTGGGCCCGGGAGGTAGAGGCTGCAGTGAGCCAAGATGGCACCACTGGGAAACAGAGGGAGACCCTATCTCAAAAGAAAAAAAAGTTGTATAATAAATGATACTGAGATAACGGTAGAGCTGTCTGGGATGAATAGAAATTTGACTCCAGAATTGATGCCAAAATGAAAGAGTTTGCAGATGGAGGCACAAATAGAGGGTCAATTTCCATCTTTCTGTTTTACATTTTCCCAGGGCATCGTATTTAAGATACATTGGCTTCTTCTGTTTTGCATTGGTAAAGATGGACAGATGGTGAAATGGGATCAAATAACAGAAAGCTGACACATCCTGTTCTCAAGCAGTTTAGCAGGTTCATAGATTAAAGGTTAAGCCCTTTCCCCACCAAGCCTTATCAAGTCTCTGACTTTGCGCCACAAATTTGATGAAATTGGGGAGGCAGTGGTCTAACTGCAGATTGACATGGCTCTGAGCTTGTCACCAAAGAAACATTCCCGTCTGCCAAAATAGTTAACAATAAAATACATAAACAGCCCTTCTTTCCCCTGGAACTAGTTTGTTCTTTTATTTTCTTAAGCTCAAAGTCAAACCACAATATCTTACCAGCACCTTCTGATGGGGTTTATTATTGCTTTTCTTTTAACATGGAATTTTTACATTTGAATTGTTGATATGCTTTAAAATAAAAGTACTCACTTTTTATTGGGCTTGCAAGGGTTCTGCATTTTCTGGAAAGTTTAGGTAGGAACAAAATGCTTACTTTTCAGTTGAATATACCTAAATTGAAAATGACTCAATAAAATTCACACCCTTGGTCCCTGAAAATAAGTCTAATCATTTTATTATATGCAGATCACGTGGTTTAGTTTTATGAACAATGAATGACCTTAGTTGAAAACTGGCTTCCCTTTGAAAGTATTTCCAGAAAGAGGGTCTTCGGAAACAAAAAAACCTCTTAATTTTTAATAGACTCCTCCAACCTACAACTGGCTTATAGTTAACAACCCTATAAAACAGGTAAATCCAGTTAATTACACTGAGGCCAATTCAGCCAATGATCTTAGTGGTTTGATAGATACTTACACTACTTAAAGTTGGGTGCTTAACTGGTGTTTTAATGAGGTGGTTTTGTTTTTTTTGTTTTGCTGAGATATTAGTAAATCAATTTCCCTGCAAAGATTATTGTTTCTATGTTCTGAATAACAGAGCTTTGAGACCCAGCTACTTCTTTTTCTGTGTACTAGAGTAGAAAACCTTGTCTGTGTCCCCCTGTACTCTCTGCCCTCCTCCGTGTAGGAACTGAGGCTTTCTATTCTGTATGTGACCTTTTTAGGTGCCCCTTTTTTTTTTTTTTTGAGACAGAGTCTCACTCTGTCACCCAGGCTGGAGTGCACTGGCGGGATCTGGGCTTACCGCAATCTCCACCTCCCATGTTCAAGTGATTCTCCTGCCTCAGTCTCCTGAGTAGCTGGGATTACAGGCACGCACCACCACACTTGGCTAATTTTTGTATTTTTAGTAGAGATGGGGTCTCGTCATGTTGGCCAGGCTGGTTTCAAACTCCTGACCTCAGGTGATCCGCCCACCTTGGCCTCCCGATTACAGACATGAACCACTGTGCCCGGCTCAACTTGTAAGAATCTGTTAACGTCACTCCTGGCTCAGCTGACTGAGCCTGAAGTTTATGTGTCAGCTTTTAAATGGCAACACAGAATATCTGCATGTGTAAGTCCTTGTCAAGAAGGGTTACCCTGATTCTAGAGCATTCTGAAATAAGATTTATGGAAATTATGGAATTATGCCTGAAAATTTTGCAGGCCATTTCCTAGATACTCACTTTGATTTTCGTCTGAAACTTAAACCTATAGTTTTTTTCCTCCTACAGTGAAATTACTGAACTCTGTTTATATAACATGTCATAAATACACTTTGAAGCAATATTACAAATGACCTTATGAATATTCTTGTTTTTACTATAAGAGTAATGGTAAAGATTAAGGGTACTAAATTAAAGAGAAACTTCCTTATAAAGCTCTATCCATAGGAGATGTTTCTCAGATTTCAGATACTGAGGATGAAATAGATTTTGTTTATGATTCACTTTTTTGAAGTGGCTGCTAGACAGCTCAGAGATAAATATTCAGGCCACCCCAAGCAAGTGCACGTGATTATATGGCATGCATTCTATGCATTAATTTCACTTATAGCTTCATTTTTTCTCTTTCTAACATTATGTTTCTATAAACTCACTTCCTACTTGTTATCTAGTTTCCTCGTACATATTTTTAAAATTTTAAATCTTTCTGGAAGTAGGTAAGGTACAAATAAAGAAATAGCACAGAACTAATTACATTTTTTTTGGGTTTAGAACCAATTAAAATGTCCACAGGGTACGATCCCAGTGGTAGGAAGTGACTCCAGCATTCATGACAGTGGGTGGAGCCTTCAGTAGCTTGGAGGCAGCAGGCTGTGTCCCTCACTAAAGGGACCAGGAACAAGATAGCAATAAAATGACAGGCACAGACAGGATATGAGTCCCCAACCCCCCAAAAAACATCACAGAAGTAATTGGGGATGGGGATGCTTTCTAACGGGATGGGCTATAACTGCAGACGGATCGCGGAGTGAGGGATTCACACTTGCCTACTGTTTGAACAGCTCTATTTTAAACCCCAAATTGGGCTGGCCTAAGGAGACATGCTTTAATATACAAATGTAGCAAGCAATTCTTCAGTGTGGATTTTGAAGGAAACTCTGTCTTCACCAACCTGCTACAAAGACTGACATACCATGATATAAACTTACCCCTGAGGATGAAAGTTTTGTATTTTCAAGAGTCTTTTGTTGAAGATCAGATAAATGAGAAGGTAACATGGTGAGACTTGGCTATCGCTAACAATACGTGGGAAGGAGGGAATATGAAACAAGGCGTGTTGTAGGGGAAAGCGTTTGGGACTTTAGGCCCAGGCTGGGGAAGTGGGAGGCTGTCTGGTGCTGGGAGAGACAAGAAAATACCATTAGGGCACAAGGGAGGATTTTCCAACAAAGCCTCAACCTCACTTTTATTATTGACGGTAATTCTCACTTGGCTCAACTCTCTACCTTCTTCCCCTTTTTCTTTACGTTTCCTGCCTTTTCTTTATCAGTTTCTAAGACCTGTTGACTATTTGCTACTGACACCACTTTTGGAGCCCATACAAACTCTGGCAGCAGCTGCAGCCTACAGACTTCTTTCCTGCCTCTGTGCTGGGGCCACCTGCCATCCTCGCTCCGGTTCTTCTCAAGAGGGGTTTCACTTACAACCTGGAGCCTTTCCTTTATCTACCCTGGCTGGGGGGATTAATTTTTCCCAGGTGTGTCCCTGTAACTGGCCATCTCCACAGAGACTGGAGATCCAGACCTCTCTGCCTGTGAAGCTGAGGGGGCGCCTGCCACTTCCGCTGGCGTCGCCCTGTTCCCTGGGTAGTTTCCTGAAGTCACGCTCTCTCCGCCACTGCCTTCATAGAGAGTCCCACCCCAGCTCACACACCTAGCTCTATGCTTGTCAAGAAGCTGTTAAAACAATGCATCCAGGGCTCCCGAGGCCCCACGGAGACATAGGGTCACGCCACCCTCTGCCTTTTCTGCATCTACCGTTGTACCCAGGACTCAGATACTACTCCATGAAGTCTGTTCAAGGACCCATGTCAGAATAGACACAGATCTTTTCCCAAATATCTTGAAGTCCATAGTCAGCTCTCCCTGATAGAGAACTCGCATTTCACTTTGAAGCTTTAACTACACGCATATAAGCCCATCTCTGTGGACCTGTTTCAGCCATGAATCGAAACATCATGGCTGGGCATGGTGGCTCATGCCTGTAATCCCAGCACTTTGAGAGGCTGAGGCAGGTGGATCACTTGAGGTCAGGAGTTTGAGACCAGCCTGGCCAACATGGTGAAAACTCGTCTCTACTAAAAAATACAAAAAATTAGCTGGGTGTGGTGGTGCATGCCTGTAATCCCAGATACTGGGGAAGTTGAGGCATGAGAATCGTTTGAACCCGGAAGGCGGAGGTTGCAGTGAGCCGAGATGGTGCCACTGCACTCCTGCCTGGGTGACAGAGTGAGACTCTTTCTCAAAACAAAAAACGAAAAACAAACAAACAAAAAACCCAAAAGAGAGTGCAGCTCCATCTTTTGAAGCGGTAAGAGGGATTGAGATGTACCTCTGGGCCTGCATCTGGGCCCATCATTGGTCAAATGTGCTGACAACAATGTTCCTCAATATGTGGTCAGTCCTACTTCTGGCTTTTGTTTTTGATAAATCAATTTGCCAAATTGTTTTCCAGTGTGATATTTAAGCTGTAGGGAGTCCTTACAATTATTGCAACCTGATAGATAGGTCATGTAGGTATATATATATACATATATGTATTTTGCTGGGGTTTTGCCATGTTGCTTAGGCTGGTCTTGAACTCCTGGGCTCAAGTGACCCTCGTGCTTTGACATCCCAAAGTGCTGGGATTACAGGCCTGAGCCACCATGCCCGGCCTAGTTGATTAACTTTTTAGAAAACAAATCTGTTTATTTGTAATCACTTGTAAATGAGTCCCAGATGCCATATAAAGAACTTTGGCACATTATTTTAATTTCAACTTTAGAGCCCAATGGGAAGGGGTTGCACGTATCTACTAGATATTCATAGCATCCAGCATCATCAATGTTCTTGCTGAATTATCTCATTTGTTTTCTGATGGTCCCAATCCCCTTCTTAGAGAAAGTAATCAGGTTTACTAATGCTGGTCTTAGTCCATTTGGGCTGCTCTAACAAAATACCATAAACGGGGTGTCATAAACGACAAATTTATTTCTCACAAATCTGGAGGCTGGGAAATCGAAGATCAAGGCACCAGCAGATTTGGTATTTGGTGAGGGCTTGCTTTCTGTTTAATAGGTGGCACTTTCTCACTGTGTCCTTATATGGTGGAAGGGATAAATGTAACCTCCCCCACCGTACCCTCCCCCAACAGCCTGTTTCCAGGCAGAGGGCGAGAGGGGCTTGAAACTTTGCCCGAGGCTATCCACCTCCCAGCTGCGAGAGAAAAGGGCTTTAGTTCTTCCCGTGCCTGTGAAGTCTGTACACCAGATTCGCGCCCTCCCCTGAGTTCTGGCCAGGAGGCTTCTCGCCTGTTCAAATTGCTAGGCTTGGCTCTCTCACTTGACTCAACTCCAGGTAAAGTTGGAAACTTTTCCCGCAAACAGATCTTCAACTTCTCCAGTAGTGGTGTGTGTTCGGTTTCCCTTTCCCACTTCCGCAGTTGGGGCAGTCACAATACTTGAGGTGTCTCCCGGGTCCTGCAGGAACAGTTCGCTTCCTTCAGAGGGTCTGTGGGTCCTCTCGGGATTGCTGGTTTGCTCTTGCAGTCGATCTGGAGCTGAAATTTACAACGCAAGCCTCTGCATGCTGCTCTGTCCAGAGCTGCAGTCTAGTCCTGCCTCCCGTCAGCCGTGATCCTTGGGCCTGTTTTATAAGGGCACTAATCCCAGGAAAGCGACACCCTCATGACTTAATCACCTCCCCAAAGGCCCCACCACCTATAACTATCACCTTGGGAAGTTAGGATTTCAAAATATGAATTTCAGGGCGAGACAAAAAACCTTCAGACCATAGCAATGCTTGTGGTTTTATTTTTACTCTTTTGATCCTTAAATCTCTGGTGATGGTGGCCCTGTCCAGTTAACCATTCCCAAGATGCAGAGTCTAGAGTGTTGGAAGGCTGGGGAGTTCCTCTTCTGTGTTTGAACATGCGTTGTTGTCAACATGGCTGGGAGCTGCAGGAAGCCAGGCTTCCTCTATAAGGGGCCACCAGACTATTTAGCCGGATGCCAACAAAGCTAAGTGAATGACTCTACAGGACACTGGGGGAGGCTGTCCTGAAAAAGCACTGATACCTGTTTGCCATTCAAATGACAGCCTGCACGACAGTAAAGAATGCAGTCATTCAATAACATTTTGGGCTTTTTCAATCCTCTGTTACAGTGAAACAATTCTGATGTGTCATTGTTATTTAAATAGCAAAAATCTATGAGTGTTATTTGAAGAAAAAACCATGACAATGTTTTTGATATCAGTGGGATATTATTAGTTAGGTAACATTGTCTCTAAAAGTTCATCTGCTGACTACGCAGTTAGACTGTACAAGCCTTTTATAGTTGTCAAGAATTTCTGAAAATTCTTTTCAGAGGCATGTGAGATTGGGGAATAAATCCAGGAAAAAGAAAACAGGAACTACTGAAGTTGGGCCCTGCATAGGGGATCAGTGGAGAAAAATTACGCTCCCAGGTGGCCTAGTGGGAGGGTGGAACTTTGGAGATAGACTGATTTTATGGTGATTTCTTCTTAAGTAGTAAATTTTACGGTATGGGATTTGGTCCTGTTCTTCCATGTCTTCTATGAAATATTTAGAAAAATTACTACTGTTAACTCATATTTTCAGTGTGACTACAGTCAGTCTTTTCTGGACTTGTGAAGACTGCTGAGTTCAGAAATACAGTTAACATAAAGGAAAACAGGTGATGCAATGGGTTGAGCTGACTCTTGGGCATGTCAACAGAAGATAGAACCTCGGACAGAAATGAGAAGGACCATGGAGAGATGGGAAAATATTGACACATATTCCAGGACACATTCAGGTCAGAATTAGGAGGCACAGTTTTTAGATTGAAATTAGGCTTACAGGAGGCATGGACCACATAGAAATCCAGAGAGGTGCTAGGGAGACAGAGTTACTACAGCCTTTGGTCTCTTAGTGACTAGGAGGAGCTGAGCTCGTTTCTACATGGAATAATACCACAGTCAAGAAGACCTTAGCTTGTAAAACTGCGTTCCCGATAAGTGACAAGCATAAGAAGCAAAAAGGCACCATCTAAATCTAGAATCAAAAGGAACCATGTAAACACACTGAGATAGCATCCTAGGTGTTTCTGCCATAGCCAATAGTTACGTAAACCAGAAACCCAAATCTACCAAAGGAATTACAGGATTCTGTTTGTTGGATGGTGTAAGATAAGGGGGTGTTCTCATAACCAGGAGGCACCAGGATGGCTCAGAGAGAATGGAATTAAATGAACAAAAATGTAGACAATAGCTCAGAAGTTAGTTTTCTTCCTTAACATCACTATACTACAAATTTCTTGTTGCCTCTACTTTTGTAACAAAACATATCCATTCTTTAGGACAGTGATTTTTGGACTCTCTTTTTAAAGTAAGTAAACACTTTCTTTGAAGATATCTTTAAAGATAACTCATGTGAAATCCTACTTCGTAAAATTAGTAAAAGTGGATCTTTTCTGGTTGAAGTTGATTCTCATAGCCAAGGGCTCTGCCTCTTTGACCATCCTCCTTTCTCCCCATCCATCTGTCTGCTTCCTACATTCCTCCAAATCCAAGCCCCTTTTAAAACTTTTTGAATCTGAGAACACTGTATGAAGGTGCTTCTTTAATTAAAGTCTTCAGAATTGTTTTTGTATATTGGTTAGACCTCTAAGAATTTCTACTTCCAACCTGAAAGTATATATGCAGAAATGAATGTCGTGATGAAACATCTGCCTAAGAAGTTTAATTATTGGCTGTGATTCTGACTTGTTGATTATTATACTTAAACATGAAGCGATTTCTAGCTCTGACTTAGCTTCTTTAATCGGGGGGTCACCCACACTACCTTGCCCTGAGCATACTTCAAGGCTGCAAGTCATTTTCTTGTTTGTTTTGTTGATGTTCTGTTTTCCATATTAAAAATATTGTCTCACAGATCTGGAACCAAGCATAACTTTGATAAAATAAAATAAAATGTAAAATAAAATGACACGGTTACTCTGGTCTCCTGCCAGTGAATTTGTGTTGTAAGTTTTTCCCAGTCATCAAATCTCACAAGTTATATTTTTAATGATAGTTCAATTTGTTGAAGCGTATTTCACTTAATTATGTTGATGAATTATTTGTCTGTCATCTGTGATGTCTGTGTGGCAGCCAAGTGTCCAAATCTGGCAACAAATTTTAACTTCTGTGATTCTCTAATACTCAACTGTCATTACCAGGATCTCAACATGCTCTATACTTAAAAAAAGATATCTGCATTTACTTAAAATACATTATTCAGCATATTGGGACATTATTGGAAGATAAAGGTATGTTAATAACATTAGATCACTTACACGTTGTCTCCTGAATCCCACCTGGCCCATTAAAGTAAAGAGATTTCTTAAAGATATTATGTGTATTACCTTTGAATTCTATCATTCAGTACTTTGCTGTATCAGGAGTTGCCAAACCAAGATTTAGAACACAGAAATTCAGTCAGGGTTAAACGTGATTCAACATCTCACACGCCATCTATTTTCTAGTGTGATTATGCGTGTCTGCATAGTATACTTGAGTTTATTGCATTTAGATAATGCAATAAAGTAGTGTGCACTAGTTCTTAGAAATATGTATTCCATGGAGTCTATGGAATATCTGATTAAATATTATATTCTGGATCTTTTTCATTCTCTTCCTCTCTCCTGCAATCATGTGGTATGCAGAGTGCTCCAATAAGGCTTTAAGACTGCAAATGCTGGTGAGTGTCACTTCCTGACTTCAAAGATATCTTAGTCAGATAGGAGGAAGATGTGTGAGCAAAGTTATGTAAAGGAGAGAAAAATGCTTAGGGAGATTTGTGCAGGGTTGTGGAATAATGTATTTTGGCCCCTAAAATTTATCTTTCTTTGTCACCCTCCCCCAATCCCTTCTTTTGCCCCTTGGGTTTGTAGTAGTTTTCTATTGCTGCTGTAACAAATTACCACAAAGTTAGTGGCTTCAAACAACTCAGATTTATTATGTTACAGCTTTTGAGGTCAGAAGTCCAATAAGTCTCACTGGGTTAACATCAAGGTGTGAGCAAGGTTTCCTTCCTTGGGTGGGTTTTAGTGGAGAATCCATTTCCTTGCCTTCCCAGCTTCCAGAGGCTGCCCCATTCCTTGGCTGGCAGCTCCCTTCCATCTTCAAAGTTGGAAATGGCATCACTGTGACCTCCACTTCCTCTCTTTCTCTGTGACTCTCCTCCCTCCTTCATCCACTTATAAAGACCCACTTATAAAGACACTGTGCCTACCTAGATAATTCACAATAATCTCCCCTTCGCAAAATCAGCTGATGAGCAATTTTAATCCCATCTGCAACCTTAATTTTCCTGGTCATATAACAGAACCTGCTCACAGGTTCTGCAGATTAGGTCATCGGCAGCTTTGGAGGCTGTGATATTGTGAAATATATATTTGGTCTTCTTTCCCCTTTCCTTGCATACAACCCCTAAAATCCTTGGACTCTCCAGAGTGCTGTCTTTTTATGTGTTGACTGACAGTGTCAGGGTGGGACTGGTCACTGGAAAGAGAAAAGCATGATTCAAAGGTTGAGACCTTCAGCTTTGCCTCCTAAACTCTAGGGAGAGGAGAGAGGCTGAAGATCAAGTTGATCACCAATGGCCAATGGTTTAATCAATCATGCCTACGAAATGAAGTCTCCATAAAAACCCGAGGGGACAGGGTTGGGAGAGCTTCAGGATAGCTGAACACATGGAGCTTCCTGGAAGGTGGCGTGCCCAGGGAGGGCATGGAAGCTTCGTGCTCCTTCTCGCATACCTTGCCTTATGTATCTGTTCATCTGTATCCTTTGCGATATCCTATGTAACAAACTGGTAAACGTAACTGTTTCTTTGAGTTCTGTGAGTCACTCCAGCAAATTAATCGAACCCAAAGAGCGGGACATGGGAACTCCAACTTGAAACTGGTCAGAAGTGTCAGAGTCCCAGAATAATGACTGGTATCTGGGGTGGGGGAGTCTTGTGAGACTAAGCCCTTGATCGGGATCTCACAGTATCTCCAAGTAGTGTGGGAATTGAGCTGCAGTCTACTGCAGAGTCAGTTGCTTGCTTGCTGGTAGGGAGAAACCCATCCCTCCACATTTGGTTACAGAAATCTTCTGTGTTGATGATTGTTGTTGTTTTAAGTGAGAGAATAGGAACGATGGTTTGAGATTTTTTTTTTTCCCCCAAAACAGGGGCCATTATTTTGTCTATCCCAAGGCTACTCCCCTGATTCAAACTTTATACTTTGTGACCATATCTTTTAAAGAAACCCATAGTAGTTCTTCTTTTTTTTCTTTTTTTTTTTTTTTGAGACGGAGTCTTGTTCTGTTGCCTGCCCAGGCTGGAGTGCAGTAGCGTGATCTTGGCTCACTGCAATCTCAGCCTCCTGGGTTCAAGCAATTTTCCCATCTCAGCCTTCTGAGTAGCTGGGATTACAGGTGCCCGCCATCATGCCTGGCTAGTTATTGTATTTTTAATAAAGATGGCATTTCACCATGTTGGCCAGGCTGGTCTTGAACTCCTGACCTTAGGTTATCCACCCACCTCGGCCTCCCAAAGTGCTGGGATTACAGGCGTGAACCACTGCACCCAGCCAAGAAAACCCGTAGTAATGCTTTAATAACATCTATTATCCAGGAGTATTCACATTTCCTGGGTTGTCCCGTAAAGATTTGTTTTTTCCTCTGGAAGTTTGTTGTTTTTTCACTGAAGAAACCAGGTCACTTCTGTAAATTTTTCATAGTCTGGGTTTTGCTGACTACATTTCTGTGGTATGAGTTATATGTTTCCCTGAGCCCTGGATTTCTTATAAATTGGTATCTATAAACTGGTATCTAGAAGTTTGCTTAGATTCAGATTCTATAGTTTGGCAAGGTTTTAATAGGTAGTATTGAGTGTACTTCTACCAGATTTTAGCTTGATATTTTTTGGCAAGAAGACCTCTTCGTGGGGGGTGGGTGGTTAAGTCCAGTCAAGTGGCAGAAACCACACCACACTGAACACAGGTCACTTAATATAAAGGATTGTTAATGGGCACAGAGTTGTTAACGGATGTGTGGAGAGGTAAACAGAGAACGTGAAGTTATCACACAGTAGCAACCTCAGAAGCAAACAAAGTTGGAAACAAGAAAAGGAATGGGTTAGACTTATGAATATTGAGGAGTGTAAGAGGAACCTTGAGGAGTGAGCGTGGACTCTGTGGAGAAAGCCTGGTGCTGGCGGGTGTGTCTGAGCTTAAAATAGCATCTCTTAGTGCCTCCTTTCTTTTTATTGTCAAATAATATTTCATTTCTTTATTTTCTCATCAGTTGATGGACATTTTGGGTTGTGCCCACTTTTTGGTTGTTATAAGTAATACTGCTATGAATATTTGAGTACAGGTTTTTATGTGGACATATATTTTCATTTCTTCTGAGTAATATACTGGTAGTGGATTTTCTGGACCATATGGTAATTCTGTGTTTATCGTTTCGAGGAGTTGCCAGACTTTTCCAAAATGCCTGCACCATTTTACATTCTCACCAGCGATGTGTGAGGGTGCTAATTTCTCCACATCTTTGCCAACGCTTGTTATCCAACTTTCTGATTATAGCCATTCTAGAAGGGGTAAGGTGGTGTTTCATTTTGGTTCTGATTTGCACTTTCCTGATGGCTAGTGATGTTGAACGTCTTTCCATGTGCTTGTTGGCCATTTGTGTATCTTTGGAGAAATGCCTATTCCTATTCTTTTTCTTTTCCTTTGCTTTCTTTCTTTCTTTTTTTTTTTTTTAAAGATAGGGTCTCATTATGTTGCCCAGGCTGATCCTGAACTCCTGGGCTCATGTGATCCACCCACCTTGGCCTCCTAAAGTGCTGGGATTACAGACGTGAGCTGCCATGCTCGGCCTCCATTCCTATTCTTTGCTCATTTTAAAATTAGGTTGTCTCTTTATTATTGAGTTATAAGGGGACAGGCCCGTTGGCTCATGCCTGTAATCCCAGCACTTTGGGAGGCCAAGGCAGGAGGATCACCTGAGTTCAGGAGTTGGAGACCAGCTTGGCCAACATGGTGAAACCCTGTCTCTACTAAAAAAATTAGCCAGGCATGGTGGCACACGCCTGTAATCTCAGCTACTGGGGAGGCTGAGGCATGAGAATTGCTTGAACCTGGGAACCTGGGATGTGGAGGTTGTAGTGAGCTCCGATTCTACCACTGCACTTGAGTCTGGGAGACAAGAGTGAGACTCCTTCTCAAAAAAAGAAAAAAGAAAAAAAAGTTATAAGGGTTCTTTATGTATTCTAACAAGTTCTTTATCAGATATACGCTATGCAAAATGAGTTGGGAAGTGTTCCGTTGTTACATTCTCTTCTATTTTGAAAGAGTTTGTGAAGAATTGATATTAATTTTTCTTTAAGTGTTTGGTAGAATATACCGGTGAAGCTAACTGGTCTTGGGCTTTTTATTGCAAGTTTTTTTTATTACTAATTCCATCTATTTATTTGTTATAGATTTGTTCAAATTTTCCATTTCTTTTGAGTTAGTTTGGGTAGTTTGTGTCTTTCTTGGCATGTGCCCACTTCATCTAAGTTACCTATTTTTTTTTTTTTTCTGAGATGGAGCCTCACTCTGTCGCCCAGGCTGGAGTGCAGTGGCACAGCCTTGGCTCACTGCAACCTCTGCCTCCCAGGTTCAAGCGATTCTTCTGTCTCAGCCTCCCAAGTAGCTGGGATTACAGGCATTCACCACTACGCTTGGCTAATTTTTGTATTTTTAGTAGAGATGGAGTTTCACCATGTTGGCCAGTCTGGTCTCAAACTCCTGATCTCAAGTGATCCACCCGCCTCAGCCTCCCAAAGTGCTGGATTACAGGCGTGAGCCACCACACCCGGCCCTAAGCTACCTAATTTGTTGGCATAAAATTGTTCATAGTATCCTCTTATAATTACTTTTATTTCTGAAATGTTGGTAGTAATGTCCCCTCTTTTATTTACACTTTTAGTAACTTAAGTCTTTTCCTTTTTCCTTGTTTAGTTTGGCTAAAAGGGTTTGTCAATTTTGATCTTTTCAACCAACTAATATTTGATTTTGCTGCTTTTCTTTACTGTTTTTCTACTCTCTACTTAATTAATTTCCACTCTTGTTTTTGCTATTTTCTTTCTCCTGATTGCTTGTATTTAGTTTGTTCTTCCTTTTTCCAGCATCTTAACATGGAAGCATAAGATTAGGTTGTTGATTTATAATCTTTTTTTAATGTAGGCATTCCCAGCTATAAATTTCCTATGAGATTTACTTTAGCTGTATCCCATAAATTTTGGTATGTGTGTCTTCATTTTTACTTATTTCAAGGTACTTTCTAGTTTCCCGTGTGATTTATTCTCTGGCTCATTGGCTATTTAGTAGCATGTTGTTTACTTTCCACATATTTATGATATTACAATTTTTTTCTGTTATTAATTTTTTATTTCATTCCATTCTGAGAGAGAAAATACATTAATTGATTTCAGTCTTTTAAAACTTGTGGAGGCTTATTTTATGGCCTAATATATGGCCTATTCTAAGGAATGCTCCATGTGCACTGAGAAGAATGTGTTCTGCTATTGTTGGGGAAGTTTCCTGCTATGTACAGTTTGTGTAGTCCTCTATCTTTTCCTTTATACATTTTCTTTATTTTAAATTGACAGCATTTTGTTTTTATGGGTATAGTATGATGTTATGAAGTACATATACATTGTGGAATGGTTAAATGTAGATAATTACCAGGTGCGTTACCTCACATTACCTTGCTATACAAGAGGTCTCTTGAAATGTGTTCCTTCTATTATGCAGCCATGAAAAGGAAAGAGATCATGTCCTTTGCAGGGACATCGATGAAGCCGGAAGCCATTATCCTCAGCAAACTAACACAGGAGCATAAAACCAAACAATGCATGTTCTCACTTATAAGTTGGAGCTGAACAATGAAATCACATGTATACAGGGAGGGGAACAACACACACTGGGGCCTGTCAGTGGGGGTAGGTGTGGGAGGGAGGGAGAGTATTAAGAAAAATATTTAATGCATGCTGGGCTTAGTACCCAGGTGATGGGTTGATAGGTGCAACAAATCACGATGGCACACTTTTACCTATTAACAAACCTGCACATCCTGCACATGTACCCCAGAACTAAAAATTAAAATTAAAATTAAAAAAGAGAAATGTATTCCTTCTAACCATAATTATGTATCCTTTGACTAACATCTCCCGTTTCCTCCCAAATCCTCTATTTTCTTTCTTATCTGCCTAGTTGTTCCATTCATTATTGGAAGTGGAACATTGGAGTGTTCAACTATTATTGTGGAACTCTATTCTTCCCTTTAATTCTGTCAGCCTTTCCTTTATGTGTTTTGGGGTGCTGTTGTTAGATGTATTTATAATTCTTATACCTTCCTGATGAGATTTACCATTTTATCATTAAAAAAGTCCCCCTTTATCTTTAGTAACTTTTTTTGTTTTAAAGGGTACTTCGATATTAATATAGCCACTCCGCTCTCTAGTGGCTATTGTTTGCATCATGTATCTTTGCCCATCCGTATGCTTTCAACCTATTTGTATCTTTGTACCTAAAGTTTGTAGGAATATTATCGTATAGAGAGCATACAGTTGGATTTTGTTTGTTAAATCCAGTCTTACAATCTCTGCCTTTTGAATAGATCATTTTACCCGTTCACAATTAATATTATTATTGATACTGCTGAATTTAGTCTACTATTTTTTTCTTTATGTCACATATCTTTCTTTTGTTCTATTCCTCCTTTACTGGATTCTTTTGCATTAATAAAGTATGTTCTTTTCTCACATTTTAATTCTTTTAATAACACTTTCACTTTTTAAAGTTAATTCCTTAGTAGTTGCTCTAGGGATTACCTTGTACACCTTAATTTATCAGAAACTAAATTAGATGTAATTTCAGTGACATATAGAGATGCTAATTCTATATAGCTTTATTCTCTCTTCTTGTTTCCTGTGCTAATATTATTATATATATTACATCTTTTAATTTTATAAACCAATAATATATTGTCATAGTTATTACTTTATATAATTTTATGTCTATTGAAGAATCCAATAAAAGAAAGGAGAGGAGGTATTTATTTATAGTTTGTTATACTTCTTCTAATTCTTCTAATTTACAGTTTCTGGTTCACTGAATTTGTTCCCGTGTGTTCCAGTTACTATCAGCTGTTATTTTGCTACTCCAATACAACTCTGCTCCCACCCATTTCCTTGGTGCCATGGATGTCAAATATATTACATTTGTATATGCTATAGACACAACAAAGTAATCATGTACCCATTCTTTTATATAATTGGTTTTAAAATCAGTTAAGAGAAGAAAGAAAAAGTAAACATTTAGATTGCCTTTTATAGTTATTTAATTACTTTTCCTGGTTTTGTGTGTGTGTGTGTGTGTGTGTGTGTGTGTGTGTGTGTGTGTTGTTTCAAATTACTATCTGGGGGGGTCACATGATTTCAGCCTAAAAATCTTGCTTTACTATTCTCTGTAAGATGAGTCTTCTAGCAACAAATTATCTCAGATTTTATTTGCCTGGAGATAGCTTTATTTTGACTGCAGTTTGAAAAGATGTTTTTGCTGAACATAAGATTCTTGGTTGATATAATTTTCCCCTTCCACTTTGAATAGGACATCTCACTGCTTTCTGGCCTACGTTGTTTCTGAGAATTTAGCTGTCTATCTTATTGGAGGCTGCTTGTGTATCAGTTTTCTCTTGTGCCTTTCAAAATTTTCTGCTTAATTTTATCTTTTAGCATATTGACTATGATATGTCTGGGTGTGGACTTCTTCGTGTTTGTCCTGCTTGGAGTTTGTTGAGCTAGTTGAATGTGTAGATTACAGATTTTCAGCAAAATTGGAACGTTTTCAGCCATTATTACTTTGAATATTTTTTCTGTTTCTTTTTCTTTCTCCTCTCTTTTTGATATTTCTATTATACTTATGTTGGTGTAACTAAAGATGTCTAATATTTCTCTGAGGCTCCATTCATTTTTACTTATTCTTTTTTCTTTCTGTAATTCAGATCATGTGATTTACAGAAAACCAAAATAAAAGGTATCTGTAGCTCTGCTCTCCCCCCCATGTTTATTTGGATTCCCTTTTTCTTTGATCCACATGTCCCTGTCCTGCTCAGTTTATTAATTTCTCCTCAGTGAAATTCAATTTATTCTCAGTGAGAGTGCTATAGACTGAAATATATCCCCTTCCTCAAAATTCATATGCTGAAGCCCTAACCCCCATGTGACCGTATTGGAGACAGAGCTTTTAAGGATGTGATTAAGATTAAACAAGATCATAAGAATGGAGCCCTGTATTTAGGGTTCTTTAGAGAAATAGACCCAAACTTATTTTATATATAAAAAATAAGTTATTTTGCAGAATCCCATCTGGGAATATTCCCAACTCCTTAGGCTCATATGATTATGGAGGCCAAAAAGTCCTGTGATCTACTGTTTGCAAGCTGGAGACATAGTAAAGCTGGTGGTGTAGTTTGAAGGTCTGAGAGTTAGAGAGTTGGTGGTGTAGCTTCCAATTTGGGACTAAAGTCTGAGAACCAAGTGCACGAAGGGCAAAAGACTGATGCCTCGGCTCAAGCAATCAGGCAGAAAGTGAATTCAACCTTCTTTGCCTTTTTGTTCTATTCAAGCCCTCAACAGATTGGATGATGCCCACCCACACTGGTGAGGGCAAATCTTCTTTACTCAGTCTAATGATTTAAATGTAATCTCTTTTGGAAACATCCTCACAGACATACCCAGAAGTAATGTTTTACCAGTTGTCTGGACATTCTGATGCCCCATTCAAGTTGACACATAAAGTTAACCATCCATAAGCCCTGAACTGGTAAAAGTGTTATCCTTATAAAAGAGAAAGTGACATCAGAGTGTGCTTTTTTTCTCTCTTTGCCATGTCTGCACATAGTGAGAAGACAGCCATCTGCATGTCAAGAAGAGGACCTCACCAGAAACTGAGTTGGCTGAAACTTTGATCTTGAACTTCCCAGCCTCAAGACCTGTGAGAAATCAATTTCTGTCATTTAAACCACCCAGCATATGGTATTTTACAATGGCAGTGTGAGCAGATAGAGGAGTTTGCTCTAGAAGTGAGCTCAGGATTGCAAGGTTTGAGAATTCCTAGAACCAACATTATTTCTGCATGTGATGACCTTCCCTCATGTCCTTGCCTTTACCTGTGCATCAGTTTGCTGATCCCATCTAGGAATGTTCTTAACCTCTTAGGCAGTTACTAAGAGTGATTTTAGATGCTCTTGTTCTCAGGGCACTCAGATTCCCCATTTTCCTCTTTCCATTTGCTCCCACATGAATACCAAGTGAATCCTGTCAATACTGGTGGTTCATTCCTTCTTCTCATATTTTTGGATTCTTATCCACTAGTTTTATTGCAGATCAGTATATCCTTTTGATAGTGTAGTTTTAGCCTAGGGATCACTATATCAATAAATATGTGACTTACATGGACTTCATAGGCCACACCTACAAATCATTCTGTACTTTTAGTCTTGATGTGAACTGAAGAATACCACTTATGAAGCAGAAGGGTGATAATAGACTATCCGGGAGCTTTATCGTACTGGACAGGTCTCTGAATCAGCTTAAGCCTAACGAGCTAGTTGATCTAAATTTCACTATATTTAAGCTTTATCTCTGAGCCAGATCTAACCATCTTCAGAACAGAGAAATGAGAGTTTTGGATTTCATTCCACTTCTGTTTTAAAAAATATTCTCCAACCTCGAAAAATATATGTCTGCACCCAGTGAAATTCTTAACCTCTTGGAATCACTTTGTTCTTAAATAACAAGGCCTTGATCCTCTAGTAGAACTAAAATTTACAAAGTTATTAACTGTAAAGGTATCCAATTATTTTCAAAGTAAGTCTGAAGTTATGAGCTAATCATATATATGAGAAAAGAAATCATAGTTGAATCATGGTCAATTTTTCCTTATCAGAGAAGAGACATGGATTTACACTGAGTTCTCTAAGTCAGCTATTTTATATGCATATGAGTTTTAAATAGTAAATATTTCTTTCCTGAAACATTGATGTGTAAATCTGGGACATATCCTACTTTAGGAAGTTGTTCTGTAATAAAATATAAGGCTTGGAGCTATTTAAAAAAAACCAGTGCCCTACCATTGCTAAAAGTTTCAATTGTTCAGGGACAGAATAAGTGATGGGATTTAGAAAATCATAATGATGGCTT
Organism: Homo sapiens; assembly: GCF_000001405.40. Taxonomy (NCBI): domain Eukaryota; kingdom Metazoa; phylum Chordata; class Mammalia; order Primates; family Hominidae; genus Homo; species Homo sapiens. Next base: position 60,361,999 of record NC_000008.11, on the reverse strand, counting down.
TGACATTTCTAGTTTATTTTGTCCAATTATTAATTACAAGTGTTATTTGATTTTTCTGCATATTTCTCCATCAATGAGTAAAAGCTTTTGATCTGTGTTCTATGTGGAACCCCATGGGGAGAGAGAGATAAATAATAGGAAAGAGTGAAATAAAAGGAAATGGAAATTAGAAAAATATTTGCTTTTATAGATTTTAAATACTGAATTCACATTCCAATAAATTTATCTTTTTTGAAGGTTTTAAAAATGCGAACTCAATAATCTACAAATAGACTGTTTTTGTCTATCTACTATGTTTTATAGGATTTTTTTCCCTTAGTGATACAAAATAGTTTCTAACTTGGTCCCCAAATTGCTTATTGATATGTCTCCCAAGGTACTTCTGTCCTCTGTGGTGGAGAATAAAGGGAAGCCAGGAAGTGTGGGTCAGGATCTCTGGGAAACTGCTGGCTTCTAGCAAGGCTGGCACGGGTGTGTTCCCATGGAAGGAAAGAACCAAAGGTGCTGGTGAGTAGCTCACCACAGGGGTCAGCCCTGCAGCCCTCTCTGTGAGATTGTCCTCAGCCTGTGCCTTGGGAAGTAGAATTTCCTATATGTTCTCCACTTAGCATGTTATCAACAATATACCCCATCAGGCACTCCATAAATAAATGAATGGAAATCCTCCAAATCAGGATAAAGCTCAAATACTGTCTCTTCTGTGAAGACTACTTGGATCCCCCAATCAAGAACAATCCTTTACACTTCCCTTCTCTGGCTGCCTGACATGAGACATATTTCCTGGTGTTGACTAAATCCAGGGCTCACCCTAAGATTTTTACCAGAGAGTAAGAATGTGGGAATAATTGTATATCCCATGGGTGGCCACATGTATATATTTATCCCATCCCACATGCTCTTCTTGCAGTCTGACAGACACTCCCCCACCAGGAGCTGGGAGTGACGGGAGTGATGTTCTCTACTCTTTAATTGGGGTATAGTCTTGTGCATCTCTTGACTGCCGCAACAGGGTATGGTGGAAGGAATCCCATGTGGCTTCTGAGGCTAAGAGGCTAGATCACAAAAAGGAGAGGTTTTTTTTTGTTTTGTTTTGTTTTGTTTTGTTTTCTCTCTATCTCTGTCTCCCATGAAGCTTACCCTTGGAACTCAGCTGCTATTTTGTAAGGAAGTCCATGCCTCTGCTAGATCTGCAGCCAATAGCCAGCCTCACCACCAGATGTGTAAATGAGCCTCAGATGATGCCAGCCTCACCCTTCGAGTCTTCCAGTTGAGGCCCCATTGTGCAGAAGACATAAGGCATTCCCACATGCCCTGTCTGAACTTCTGACCCACAAACACTATCAGAGATAATAAATGATCATTGTTTTAAGTTACTAAGTTTTAAGTTACTTAATTATGCAGCAATAAATAGATAATCAATACAAAGGCGCATACTGTTCCATGTATAAATGTCTACCGTATCTTTCATGCCTTCTTCCAACCCTAACTTGTAACACTTTTGTAGCAATTAGTGCCCAATTTGCACATGAAATACAAATCATATTTCTGTAAATGGTCATGAGGGTTAAATAAAGATCATACATGAAAGAGCCAGGCAGGGTGTTCAGTAATATGAAGTACTCAGTAAATGTTAACTACACACGAATTTGCTGAAACATGTTTCTTATGTTTAAATAATGAATTTGCTTTTCCTTGTATATCTTGCCTGTATGACACAAAAGGACACAGTCTGATCACATCAGTTCAGCAAAGGCAAGCCTCATCAGTTGGTAAAAAAAATTGGTTTAATGAATTGCAATCACACAAACAAAACTACAACTTACTTGATTAAGTTTTCCACCTCTCATCTGGTTTCTCTACCTTATATTTGTATTCTGATTCTGTCCTTTTATTGGTTTTCCTTTCCTTTTAAGTCCTTGGATGAATTTTTAAATATCTATTGCATTTTTTTATGTGGCCAAAGTCTCTTGAATAAGGTCTTATTGAAATTTCTTCAATGGCTGGATAAAATTGCATCCCAACTCAATTTTTGCATCCTGGCACAGGAAGTGGTCTCAAGTATTGCAGAACTGGATGGAGACTCGTAGGCCCTCTGGGCAGGCTAATACTTTGCTTTCCCATCACATGGATATTCATAAAATATTTGTTAGATGTTATGTAGGAGTGAGGCTAGAGAAGGCTAGCAGGACCAGGGCTTACTCACATTCTGGCTCTGTAAGACAGTGATCTGGCTGTGATGGCCACAGTTGATTGGCTGTCTTCTCAGCCCTCCGCAAATGCACTCATCGGGAGCAGGTTAACCTTCTCAAGTAGAGGATGTTCCTGTGTTCTGTCAAGGATATACAGGACACAGTCTGTGCCGATGCTTTTTTCGTGCATGAAACATATCATCTTAAGAAGATTTGCAAGTCCGTTTGTGTGTAGTACAGCAGCAAGGATCGTAGACCTGGTGTCAGCAAGCCTGGACACACAGTTTCTCTGAGCCTTTCAAATGAAGGTCTTGGATAAAATCACTTTTAAAGCTCTTGCCTGCTATATTATTTCATCTCTTTCTTATATGAGCTGCATGATAAATGAGTATAGAAAAAAGAATACACATGCTTTACAAGAGAAATTCAAAAGAATTAACCTATATATCCTTTTAGGTTAATTAAAATAGAATTCTGACTTACGAGGTTTCCATCTAATTCAGAGCTAATACTTTAAAGTTTTTACAAAATCTTCGTAAAACAAAACCAGTGAGTAATATATTACCAACTATAGGATTCATGAAAAAATGGGAGTCAAATGAAGCACTGCCACATTGATCAAATCATTGTACAATTTTTAGAAATAACAGCATGTGAACCTTGATGTCACTGCTGCAAATGCATTTCTATATTTTGTGTATAGTTTTGAAAAATTTGTAGCCTGATGCTACAAATATGTAATATAATTTCCTTCAGAAAATAATATTTATAATTATCAGTACCCAATGATTGCATGCAAGAGAAGTTTACTTGTTGGCTGAATTACATTTATTGAGAAGTAAGAAAATAAAAGATCCTGGAACGATCACTACAGTAACGAAACGGCTGAGTTGCCCACAGTTAAACTGCTGGGACTACCAGTTGGAAATCAGACAATGAAGAAGGAGAAGACATGAGTTCTAATAAGGTGAAAATTGTTCTTCAGGGAAAATGGAATATTAAACATAGTTTGGTTTTGCAAACACTCTAGGTTATGTAAAATGTAAAGATGAAGCTAGAAATTCAAGTCTGGAAAGAACTATAGATACCTAGATACACTGAGCTTTGACTACAGTGGCCTATTTATACATAGCTACTGGTTACTTCCACTGAATTGTATTTACGATTTAAAATTTATGAGATTTTAATGAATTAAATAAAAGTCTGTGGCTGTAGAAAAGCTATTTCTCTTGTCCTGAAAATGCTCTGATTGCTTTAATTTTCTCACAACTCCCTTTTTTTCTTTTCACTCTTCTCTCTCTCTGCCCCATTCTTTCTCTCAAGGTTGGGGTGTTCTTTCTTGTGTAAGCTGCTGCATAGAGGTGAGATATAGGATATATAGAGAGTGCTGATTAATTTATAAAATCTTGAAGTTCCTTTCCATTGTTAATTTATTTTAAAAGTTATTTCATCATATTAATGAAAATTAAATAATATTCTGCAAAATAACTGGCTTGTATTTGTCAAAAATTCAAGTTCAAGAAAGGCAACGAAAAACTGAGGAGCCATTTGAAATTGCAGAAGACACAAGAGTTGACAACGAAATGTAGTCCACCTGATTTGAGATTTCATCCTGTACTGGTAAAATTTTCTTTTTCCTATAAAGAGAATTATTGAGAAATATGACAAAATGTGAATTAGGTCTGTAGATTAGATTATAGTAATGTATTGATTTCATGATAGATATGGTGATATTCTAATTATATAGAATAAAGTCCTTGAATACCCACTAGAATAATTAGGATATCATATTTGCAATTCCTTCTCAACTGGCTCAGAATAAAATTATATTTATGAGAGAGAGAGAGAAAGAGAGACAGAAGAGAGAGAGAGACAGAGAGAGAATTAGAAAACCAGTGTGGTAAATTGTTTATAGTTGGGGGAACCAAGTGAAAAATATACAGGCATTGTTGTACTATTCTTGTAAGTTTTCTGTAAGTTTGAAATTACTTTAAAATATAAGTTTAAAAAACAATAAAAAGGGTTTTTCAGAATATTCTCTATAGCTTTTAATTTTGGGGAGGAAAACAAAGTCAGGATTAAATAGTAAAAACTAAAAATGAATGACTCACCTTCTGTAAATATTCTTTATAATTTCAAAAAATTGATTTTTAGTTTTAATTATCCCTTTTTTCTTTTTTTTGAGACAGGGTTTCACTGTGTCACCCAGGCTGGACTGCAGTGACATAATCATAACTCACTGTAACCTTGAGTGTGCACCTGAGCAGCTAGGACTACAGGCACATACCTAGCTGATTTTTAAATTTTATTTATTTATTTTTTTAGAGACAAAGTCTTGCAATATTGCCCAGGCTGGTATTGAACTCCTGGCCTCAAGCAATCCTCCTACCTGGGTCTCCCAAAATATTGGAATATCAGGCATGAGCCACCGTGCCTGGCTAATTATCCCATTTTGAATCACAAATTTCCTAGGGAATTTATGACTTTCAGCTCTGTACTCTTATCTAAATTGTTTAAGATTTATTAGCCTTTTTCAAAAATAGCAGTTTTTCATGAGAATAAAAAGATTCCCAATTTTATGTTATTTTAAACTTATTATCACTGAAATTAAGCATCCTAATAAAGAGAATTCTAAAACTTTAAGCAAAATGTTGGACTTCTAGCTTATGACCATAATCTTGATAGCAACAGTGCTAAGCAAATAAGACATGGTCCATGAACTTATTTATGTATTATTAAAAAACATACCAATTTGAGCTCAGATTTAGCCTAAATATTTAACCATGGCATATGTATGCACATTTATGCTTTAATTTACTTTTTATTTTGAGTTTTTAATAATATACAGGCTTGAAGACTAGTGCTGTTTTCTGTTCTTTTCCAAATGCCTTCTTCCCCCATCTCCACCACCTTCGATTTTACTTTTATTTATTTATTTATTTATTTTTTAGAGATGGGGTCTCGCCGTGTCACCCAGGGTGGAGTTGGAATGCAGTAGTGTGCTCATAGCTCACTGTAGCCTCTGAACTCCTGGGCTCAAATGATCCTCCTCCTTCAGCCTCCTGAGTAGCTGGGACTACAAGTATGCACCACTGCACTAAATTAATTTTTTGGGGGTTGGGCTGGGGGTAGAGGCAGTGTCTTGCTTTGTTGCTCAGGCTTGTCTTGAACTCCTGGCTTCAAGTGATCCTCCTGACTTGGCCCCCCCAAAGTGCTTGGATTACAGGCATGAGCTACCGTGCCCTGCCCCAACTTAGATTTTAGACATCAGAAACACTTTCCCTTTTACATTATCATGGAGTGATATGACATAGAGAAAAATAATCAAGTAACTCAATCATAAATGAGAATTTCTTAGAAACACACAGTTACAGAACACTAAATCTCTAACAAAGTTAATTCCTTGCCAATATTATTTTTATTCTACTTAGAGTTCATTGAGCTTGGATGTGTAGTATTGGTTTTCATCACATTTGGGAAGTTTTAAGCTATTATTTCTTCAAATATTCTGTCTGGCCTTTTCTCTCCTCTCCTGGAACCCTTATTTTGCATATATTGTCATGCTTCATGGCATACCACAGCTCAGTGAGGCTCCCTTCATTATTCTTCATTCTTTTTTCTTTCTGTTCATCAGACTGATTAATCTCAATAGACCTATCTTCAAGTTCATTGATTATTTCTTCTGCCTGCTCAAAACTACTGTTGAACCTCTTTAGTCCAACTCCAGAACTTGTATTTTTTTTGGTTCTTTTTTAAAGAAATAATTTTAATCTTTTTATTGATATTTTTCATTTGGTGAGATATCATTCCCACACTTTCCTTTAGTTCTTTAGACATGCTTTCCTGTAGCTCTTGAAACATATTTAAAATAGCTAATTTAAAATCTTTGTTGGCAAGTGGAACATCTGGGCTTCCTCAGGGACAAGTTGTATTGACTGCTTTTTCCCTGTGTATGAGGAATACTTCCTTGTTTCTTTCCATGTCTTATAATTTTGTTGTTGAGAACTGAACATTTTCAGTTCCACAAACTCTGGATTCTCCTCCCTCTCCAGGGTTGTTTGTTGTTGTCGTTTGTTTAGTGACCTTTCTGATCAAATTCTGAGAGTGTATTCTTTGTCATATGTGGTCATTGAAGTCTCTGCTCAGTTACCTTAGTGGTCAGCTAATGATTGAACAGAAATTTTCTTAAATGCCTGAAACGAGTAAGTCTACCAGTTTTCACCAAGGGTTTCTGTGTGTTGAAGCAAGGCTTCAGCACTCAGTCAGGCAGTTGACAGCTCTGCCTTAGCCTTCATTTCCTGCTTATGCAGAGCCTGCAGGTTAGCCAGATGTAAGGGCTTAGTTGCTTCTCAGGTCTTTCCTGAGCATATGCACAATTCTGGACATGCTCATGACCTTTTAAGTTCCCAGGAATATGTCAGAGCTTATCAAAGCCTCTATAAACACCTCTTTTCCCAGCTTTTCTTCTTTTAAAGCTTTTTAGTTGGCTCATTGTTTGTCTCAACTATTATCTACCACCTAAGGCAGCTGCAATCTTACACCAGTGCTTTTCACACTGGGTCAGCTATGAAACAGGTCGAATAAACAAGGCTTTATGAGTGGGGTCTTCCAGGGAACCACTGGACAGGTCAAATAATGACAGTTCTTTGAGAATGGGGCTTCAAAGGAGATCTAATCCTTTTCTGCCTCCTCTTGTAGCTGCCAGGCTATTGATTTTTACTGTGGTAATGTACTTTTAGTTTTCAAGGTTACTGTGGAACTGGGGAGGGAAAGATGGGAATAGAGTAAGTTAAGTCATCACAAAGCTCACTTTTCTTCATGAGATTCAGCCATTTCTTGAATAAACACTTCCTGGGTTGCTGCAGGCCTTTGATTAGTTTCTAGTGTTCTGAAAAAGTTGATTCTGATTATTTATTTATTGAGACAAGGCTGGAGTGCAGTGGCAGGATCTTGGCTCACTGCAGCCTCAAACTCCTGAGCTTAAGTGGTTCCCCTGCCTCAGCTACCCAGGTAGCTGGGGCTACAAGTGTGCGCCAGCATGCCTGGCTAATTTTTGTTTTGGGCTCAAGTGATCCTCCCAGCTTGGCCTCCCAAAGTGCTGGGATTACAGGCATGAACCACTGTACCTGGCCTTGATTCTGACAATTTTTGTGAGTTTTCTCATTGTTTTTGTGGAGGAGAAAATTTTTGGAGATCCTTACTCTGTCATTTTTGCAGATGTCACTTTGTCAGTAATATTACCTTTTTTCTTTTTGTGTAGTCTCTGTCATTGTTATTAAACAACCAGGAAGACGGATAGTAAAGTAAGCCATATCAAGAAATGATTTACTCCTTAAGAAAGAATAAAAGGAAAATTTCAAAAACAGGAACCCCTTTTATAAGATTATAATTTTGAACAAAACACCTTGTCAGATGTAGAATTGAATATGTAAGCACACATCTGTTCACACTTAACAAAAGATATTAAGTCCATACTTAACAAAAGGTATTATGATGTAGTTATTTGCATTTTGTGTCTTATATTTGTCCGATTTAAAATAGAGAATTAAAAACATAAACAAATCATTCTGTTTATTTATTTCTAATAAAACAGGTAAGAAATTGTACCAATGGTACTTCATTCACACAGGAACCATTCAGTAGTTAAAAAGTTGTAGCTGGACTCTCAATACACTCAAGGAAAATAAAATCATGTTTACCTTGATTTAAAATTAAGAGTTAAATAATTATTTATATTTGCAGTCAGAGGCTCAGAGTCTTTTATTATTACATGCAGAATATACCTTAGCTTATTTCTTGTTTCCATTCATATGATATAGCATCATATCAGCAGAATAATAATGGAAAAATGAAGCTTGCAAATCTTAAGTTTCAATGAAAAGTTGATGATTAAATAAATACGCTAACTTTCTGAACTCTTAGAAACTGGATAAGATTTCAACAGCAAATGTTTTTGAGGCTAACAGAATGTTAAATTTTAATATTTTTTAGTTTTAAAAGTACTTGTGGCCAGGCGCCGTGGTTCACGCCTGTAATCCCAGCACTTTGGGAGGCTGAGACAGGTGGATCACCTGAGGTCAGGAGTTCGAGACCAGCCTGACCAACATGGTGAAACCCTGTCTCTACTAAAAATACAAAAATTAGCCAGGCGTGGTGATAGGCGCCTATAATCCCAGCTACTTGGGAGGCTGAGGCAGGAGAATCGCTTGAACCTGGGAGGCGGAGGTTGCAGTGAGCTGAGATTGCACCATTGCACTCCAGCCTGGATGACAAGAGCAAGACATAGTTTCAAAAAAAAAAAAGTACTTGCGTGTGTGTGAGTGAGTGTGTGTGTATTAGTCTGTTTTCACACTGCTATAAAGATACTACCTGAGACTGGGTAATTTATAAACAAAAGAAGTTTAGTTGACTCACAGTTCTGCATGGGTGGGGAGGCCTCAGGAAACTTACAATCACGGTGGAAGGTGAAGGGGAAGCAGGCACCTTCTTCACAAGGTAGCAGGGGAGAGAGAGAGAGAGAAAGTGAGAAAGCACCACACTTAAAACCATTAGGTCTCATGAGAACTCTCTCACTATCTTGAGAACAGCATGGGGGAAACCACCCTCATGATCCAATTCACCTCCCACCAGGCCTCTCCCTCGAAATGAGAGGATTACAGTTTGAGATAAGATTTTGTTGGGGACAGAGAGCAAAACCATAGCAGTGTGTGTGTGTATTTTTCAGTGCTACAACAATACTGTAAGATTTGTAGGAAAGAAAAATTGACATATTTTATTGATATTCAGAAAGGTTAACTAACTTGCCCCAAATCAAATAACAGTGTGCCGGGACTGGGTGAGAGGATTAGGAGCTGGCATTTGCTAGTGCTCACTACTGCACTCATAAAGGTATATTATGCAAGTGTTCTATACAATTAGCTCCTTTCATTCTCACAATTATCTTTTGAAATAGAAATTAATATCCTCATTTTTCAGGGATGGTAGCTAAAGTTTAGAATGGATAAGTAATTTGATGCAGATTAAAAACCTAACAGGAAGAGGGCCTAGGAAAATGTAGAAGCTTAGGTCTGAGATTGCCTGACTTAAAGCACAGATCATACATATTACTCCAGACCCAGTATCTCAGGATTGGGGTATGACTGATATAGGGGTACAAACACTGACCCCTTTGCCTCAGAGGTGGGGCAGCTCTGCGTGGAACAATGCTCCTGGACACCCATCTCCACAGGGTTCAGGCTAAGTTTTGATTTGTCCTGAGACCACAGCCTTGCTCTATTCCTTCCCTTTCCTTATGCTACTTCTCTCCCAACCCTTCCAATTTCTCCGGAAGGGTACTCCTTCAATAAATCACATTCACCTATATTTTGTCTCTGATTCTTCTCCCAGGAAATCCAACCTAAGGCAGCAGGTACCAGGAATGTCCTAGATGTAGATGGTAAGAATAGGACACTGGAGTTTGTCAGCCACTGGCCGGCTGGCAATGAGGAGCCCGCCCTGGTGCAGGGAAGGTGTGGGTGCCCCTAGCATGTGGCAGCATGTGATGGCTGAGACACTCATGTATGCTGAGCTACAATGGAGTGCAGGTGGAAGGGGATGCTGCTGTGTGATAGCTCTGTCATTTGAAAAGAATGGGGGTGGGAGGAGATAGAACATACAAGGACAATGGAATCGGACAGCTGTTGCTGGGCACTGTTGATGCGTGGAAGAAAGAAAATGGCAGGCTTGGGCAGGCTAATCACAATTTAAAATGTGAGAATCAGAGAGGTTCCTTAGCAGCATCTAAAGAGACTCTGCACCCCACTCCCTTACTCGGTTCAAGTTGCTATAACAAAATTCCTTAACTGGGTGGCTTATAGACAAATTTATTTATCACAGTTCTGAAGGCTAGAAGTCCAAGATCAAGGGGCTGGTAGGTTTAGTGTCTAGTGCGGGCCCATCTCCTTGATCATAGATGGATGTCTTCTTGCTGTGTCCTCACACGGCAGAGAGAGAGAGCTCAACCATCTTGTCTGTCTTCCTTCCTTTCTTTCGTTTTTCTTTCCTTTCTTTCCTTTCTTTCTCTCTCCCTTTCTCTCTCCTTTCTTTCTTTCCTTTCTTTCTTTCTTTCTCTCTCTCTCTCTCTTTCTTTCTTTCTTTCTTTCTTTCTTTCTTTCTTTCTTTCTTTCTTTCTTTCTTTCTTTCTTTCTTTCATGGAGTCTCACTCTGTTGCCCAGGCTGGAGTGCAGTGGCACAATCTCTGCTCACTGCAATCTCCATCTCCTGGGTTCAAGCAATTCTCCTCCTACCTCAGCCTCCTGAGTATCTGGGATCACAGGCATGCACCACCACACTCAGCTAATTTTTGTATTTTTAGTAGAGACGGGGTTTCACCATGTTGGCCAGGCTGGTCTCAAACTCCTGACCTCAGGTGATCTGTCTGCCTCAGTCTCCCAAAGTGCTGGGATTACAGGCTTGAGCCACCATACCCAGTCATGTCTTTTCTTATAAGGGCACTACTATCATTCACAAGGGTTCCACCCTCATGACCTAATAGCCTAACATGGGGTGGAACATTTATTTCTTCAGAGCAGGGACCAGAATTGCTCTTAGGAGGAGAACTGTCTTTAAGTGGAAGATGAGTGATGATGTGGGAAGAGGGCATGGTTTAGTAGCAGCCAAGGAGACAAAAGAGTTAGTTAAGCCAGATGTGGTGGCACATTCCTGTATTCCCAGCTAATCAGGAGGCTTAGGCAGGAGGATCGTTTGAGCCCAGGAGTTTAAGTCCAGCCTGGGCAACATAGGGAGACAGTGTTTCTAAGAAAAAGAAAAGAGACAGAGATAGTTAACTTTTCATGAAGGAATGGACTAGATGCAGTTGGGAGTTGAGCTGGGTGCTGGGAGGAGGGAGTGAAGGAAGGAAATAGGAGGGCTGGATACATGGCCGGAGGCCAAGCCTGACTTCAGCAGTGGCTGTGGCCTATTGCATGTCCCCGGTAGTTAATGCTAAATCCTCACCAATAACATATTCTATTACACAAATATCTTGAGTGGGGCTGCATTTAGTGGAAGTTGAAGTAGAAATCTGCATCCTAGTTCTGAGATGGAACAGCCCAGAGCAACAGAGCTCAGCAGGACAATCCCTGAGCTGAGCTAATTCAGTGGCAACAGAACCTTCGAGCTTGAGCTGCTGACAACATAATGAATGATCTGGGACATTGAAGATGACTTGGGTTTGGGGGTACAAGGGGCATGAGGCAGAACTTCCATGATCTATGGTGAGGGGGTTTGAGTTCATCTCACTCTTTGGGAGTGACCAGACTGTGTGTGATCTTGATTCTATGTGTCTGGGGTTCAGAGAATGGTTTCTAGAGAAAACAATGTCTCATTGGTTCTATTTCTAGAGAATGAGTTTGGCTAAGTAGACACTTTAGTAGAATGGTGGAGATGTAAGTCAGACTGCTGGAAACTGAGGGATTTAATAAGGAAAGAAGAAAGGCAGTATATGTAGGTAATTGTGTGAAGTGTAGCAAGAAAATAAGAAAGAATCAAATACAAATGAGAAATTGACCATGGTTGAACAGATTGATTAATTTCCCATTTGTTTCCTTAAAGAAATTGAGCCAGATGATTTGAGTTGACTTTCTATAATTCTAGTAATTATTTTGTTCTATAACTTAGCATGCAGATAAATTGGCATTAAATCTACTATATGGACTCAGTATTTTGGTTCTCCCAAAATTAGTAGGTGTGAAGCCCTAACCCCTAGTGTGCTGGTTTTAGGAGGTGGGGGCCCTTGGGAGGTAATTAGGGTTAGATGAGCTCATGAGAGTGGGGCCCTCATGATGGAATTAGGGTCTTTATAAGAAGGGGAAGGGAGATCAGAGCTTGCTTTCTTTCCACCATGTGAAGATACAGCAAGAGGTGGCCATCTGCAAGCCAGGAAGTTTCCAGAAACTGAACCCTACTGTACCTTGATCTTGGACTCTCCAGTCTCCAGAACTGTGAAAAAAACAAATGTATATTGTTTTAGCCACCCAGCCTGTGGTATTTTGTTATGGCAGCCCAAGCTGAAACATGTGCCTTCCTCTTCTCTTTAGCTCAGATGCCAAGGCAAATTTTTCATGCATTTTTCCACAGCCTTGTCGGTTAAAAAGTAGATAGTGATCCTTCAGTAACATGGGAAAATGTGATGATTAGTAGCCACTTCTTAGAAATAGTGTGGTACAGTAAACAGAACCCAGGGTGCATAATCAGAAGTGTGCCTCAACACTGGCCAGCTCTTCCGAACTGCGTGGCCCTGGCAGAATCATGATCTCTATAGCCTCAGTCTATACAGCTCTTTAATGAGAGAATGAGGACACTTGCGTCTTGGATGTTTCAGAGAGTCAAGCATAGTTATTTGTATTGTAAATGGTAAGTATTAGATACATGATTCTGTAAGACTTTCTACAAACAGAAACTCACATAAGTACTATAAGTTATTTTACAGATGGACAAACGAAAGGCATGAAAGTGAATTAATTTACCTCTCAGGATTAAGTAACAACAAAAAAACTCCTAAAACCGACTCTATGGTGTTATTCACTTACTTACTTCACTTATGTGGGTATTTGCCTTGTTTGGGTTGTGATTTTTTTTTTCTTTCACTGAGTTATTCAATTTTCAAAAATAGGACTAGTGCATGAAAACAAATTAAAGCATGAAATACGTTGTTCCTTCATGATTGACTAGAACATGGTAATCAAAGGAAAATGAGAAGTAAATGAGTCAGGGAAGAGATAAGAAGAGGAAGGAAATGAAGAGTGGATTGGGAACAATGTTGTTCTTGATTTTTTTTGCAGTTCTTTCAACATGTATTGTTTTAACCTAACAAGTTTGTAAATAGAAAAAGTAGTTAGCAATAATTTTCCCAAGAAGAAACAGCAAGAAGAATGCAACTTTCAAGGTCAGTTAAGATATCAGGAGTACAAAAAGGAAAACAAATTGAGAAATCTCCAGTATCTCAGTGTAATTTGGAAATTATCATGTTCTTGATTTTCTCCTCCCGTGACAGCACATTAGTGACAAACCACATCTCTTATGTGTTCCCCACCCTCCACATTCCCTTAACATATTTAATTCTGAAATTAATTCCCCACCTCAACTCTTCCTTACATTTAATTACCAACTATTGTGGACAGTAGTAGTGGTAACTTAGTGTGTTTTATTTACCTTGGCACAAAACTCAGAGGTGAAGGACCATCCCTTACATAGCTTTTTGCTATTTTAGCCTTCTTATTATAGCATTGAAACCCTTCACCATTTCCTCTCTTTTGGGGGATAATAGAAAGCATTCTGGCTATTATATTTCATTGCCTATCTTGGTGTGGTCATACCAATAAAAAATAAATATAGTGGTTGCCAATACCTGGTCTTGGAGACAAACAGAATCTAGTAGACACTTTATAGAGTGTTGTAAATACAAAATACATTGGAATATGAAAGCTATAACTTAAATATAAATTAATACAATAAAAGGAAGCATTACATATCTTGCAAATATTGTATATTGTAGATAGATCGATGTAAAGTTTTGTGAGTAATTATCTAAATTTGGAAGCTGGGAATAAAGAGACGCAGCAAATGTCAGATTGTGTATGGTGCTTTTCTGGTACATTGTTATATTTTCTCCCCAATAGTGAAAAAGAGATGTCCAGGGCTTATTAAGTGTTCTTTGGCTTAAAAGGTAAATGGATTACAGATAATTCTCTACTGGCTAGATAAATATTTTGATTTGCATCATTGCCAAGTCTTTTCTTCCCAAGAATACAGGAAAGTTTTCTGCCTTAGGGGACAAGGACCAGTGGAAAGCTAGTCTTGCCCTGATGGACTGGAACTGGGGGCGTGGCAGAGGAGATGGAGCGGGAGGAAGCACTTCGAGAAGGTTTACAGTGGGGCCTGGAGGCGGAGCTTCTTTCTTGCACATGTGACTTGCTCAGATTCTGTTTGAGATCTAATTAGACAACAAGCCGAGTAACCAGTTCCCCCAAACCATAAGTTGAGTAACTTGCCCAAACCTCAGCCACCAACTCAAGAAGAGAGTAGCGATATCTGTTTTGTCTGTTTGTCCAGACACTCAGATAGGTAGCTCTATTTTTTTCTTTTTAGTCCCTAGTATTAAAGGTATATTAATTCACCTTTGAGATTGGGTAATGGAGAATTGAAACAGGTTGTAACATTTTTAAGTTAACTCAAGAGTCAAGGTAGCTATACTTTTATTTTTAGGAGGTACATCATATCTTGTAGGTAACAAAAATGATCATATTTTATTTCTACTTAACAAATTATTTGGTGTTTTTAATATTACTTTTCAAAGAGGACTTTGAATCAGGGAGAAGTTGTAATATTTTTCTCTCATGTCTTGGAGAATTTGCAATATAGTGAAGTTGGATGTAACGGCTAAATTCAGAGCAGTGACTGAGAATTAATAGATATAAAACATCAGCAACTGAGTATGTAAAATGGAGATCTGCCTAAAGTCTTTTACTATATACAATTATAGTTTTTTAAAAAAATTCTAGTTGCATGCACAAAAAAGCAGTCAATTCAGTTTAGAAGGGAAAGGGAAGAGCTATTCATCTGGATTTTTAAAAAATGTCCTAAGTCATAGAATTTAATCAATTCATTTAATTTTATGTCAAAAAGGAGAGAAATTCTCAGAAACAGGCTTTTAAGGCTTCCCAGAAAATAGCTGCAGTGCTATTTTCTCTCAACATTATAAACTTCCTTTGAATTCACGCCCAAATTGTTCATTGCTGGAATTCAGATATTTGGGGCTGACAGCAAAGTCTGCTTCTTTTGGTATATATTCCCTAAGCGCATTCATTTTAATCTTCAGAGAATTGTACTACAGCCTCATTTGGAATGGGAGCTATGTTTTTAAAATAAAAATTAGTGAAGAACGTAATGCTTTACATTTTGTGTATAATAAGCACTTAACACACATAGCAGGTTTCCAAATAACGTTATTTCTTTCAAAGTGGTTTCGTTATGTTGATGAGAAAAAAGAAACAAAAAACAAAAAACAAAAAACAGACTCCTGGCCAGGGCCGCTGGCTGTGTGGAGTTTGCATGCTCTTTCTCCCCTTTCTGCATGGGGTTTCTTCTCCAGCTCCTTTGGTGTCCTTCCACATCCCAAAGATGTGCAAGTTAGGTGAAATGGCTTGTCCACGTGGTCCTAGTGTAAGTGTGTGTGTGTGTGTGTGTGTGCGTGTGCCCTGTGATGGGATGATGTCATGTCCAGGTGGGCTCCCACCTTGCCTAAGAGCCACTGGGATAAGTTCTGGCCACCTGCAGACTTGAACTGGAACAAACAGTTTGGAGAATGAATGAATTAATTATGAATTATTGTCAAATAAAAATGCAGAAAGTCTACAATAATCAATACAAATATACGACAATAAATGAAGAAAGCTCTGTGGGAGTCGCCACATTTGTGATGGTTTGGTTTTGAACTGCCTGGTGGGAGGAGATGCTCCTGACAATTTTCGATTTTCAAACATTTATTTCTTGATTTAACTCATCACCACAATGACTGCTGTCACTTACAGATTCACCAGAAATTGGAAAAATTATCCTTCTTGTTTTTATTAATCTTTCTTAAATGTATGCACAGCTCCCATGGTTAATATTAGAGGTGTTTTGGGTCTTTATTTAGAAGTTTGGTGATGTTTGTGACCATGAATTTGCCACAGAAACTTAACTCTTGCTTTTTTGTTTTGAGACAGGGTCTCACTGTGTTGCCCAGTCTGGAGTGCGGTGGTGTGATCATAGCTCACTGCAGGTTCGACTTCCTGGGCTCAAGGGATCCGCCTGCCTCAGGCTGCCAACTGGTACCTGGGAATAAAGGCACACACCACCATGTCTGGCTAATTTTTTTTTTAAAATTTTTGTAGAGATGGGGGTCTCACCATGTGGCTCAGGCTGGTCTCGAACTCTTGGGCTCAGGTGATCTTCACACCTCAGCCTCCCGAAGTGTTGGGATTATAGGTGTGAGCCACTCCACTCAGCCTAACTCTTGTTTATATCAATTAGCTTATGGGAAAATTGATTTTGTTATACATTGTTTTACTTAAAGTCACCAACAATAATAATATCAAACAACAGCAGCAACAGCTATACCCCTTTACTTCCAGCTGCAGGTGGAGGGTGAGAGGTTGTAATGACTTGAGGCCTGAAGTTTCTGCCTGCTTTTTTTAAATAAGTTTACCACTTTAAACTTTGGATCTTAGCTTTAGGAAATAATGCTGAAATCTGTTGAGCAATGAGTTTCTTCCCCATCTGATTCATCTAATCTCAGAGCCATCTCATAAGGTGTGGCCTTTGGTGGACCTCAGTGGGCCCCATGTTTCCTCCATCACGCACATAGGGCTACCTTGAGCAACTGGTAGTAGAGAAGAGAAATGTCCCCTAAATGTGTCCTATTTTACATATACAAAACCCTGATTTGTATTAAAATTATCTTTTTCCTAATTTCAACACCCATTCTGTCAATAACTACTTGGGAGACAAGATAGCACACAGTTAATCATTCAAATATTTGTATCAGATAATCACAGATTTGAATTCAAATTCCCATACATAATAGTGGCCTGGAAAAGTTTATCCAAGTTTTCCGGAACCTCTGAAATGAGGATATTAATGTTTATCTCATAGGGCTGTTGGGAAAATAAAAATTTGCATATTATCTGATATATATAACCTGTGTGACGTTAGAGAAAGTTAATTTTTCTCTTTCATTCTCTATTTTCCTCCGGAAAAATGTTAAAATGATTTTGCTACAATTCTATGAACTTTTGATTTGTTGAGAAATCTTTGGGTTATTTTTTAGTTTTACTTTTCTTTATATTTTTTACTTCAGAATTTGTCTTTATTGGCCGGGCGTGGTGGCTCACGTCTGTAATCCTAGCAGTTTGGGAGGCCAAGACGGTGGATCACCTGAGGTCAGGAGTTCGAGACCAGCCTGGCTAACATGGACAAACCCCGTTTCTACCAAAAATATAAAAAATTAGCTGGGCGTGGTGGTGCATGCCTGTAATCCCAGCTACTCGGGAGGCGGAGGAAGGAGAATCGCTTGAACCCAGGAGGCAGAGGTTGCAGTGAGCTGAGATTGTGCCATTGCACTCCAGCTTGGGCAACAAGAACGAAACTCTGTCTCAAAAAAAAAAAAAAAAGACTTTGGCTTTAAGTTTTTTAAAAAAATTTTAAAACTTTTTAAACTTTTATTTTAGGTTCAGGGGTACATGTGAAAGTTTGATACATAGGTAAAGTTGTGTCCTGCAGGCTTGTTATATAGATTATTTCATCACCCATGTATTAAGCCCAGGATCCAATAGCTATCTTTTCTGCTCCTCTCCCTCTTCCCACCCTCCACCCTCAAGGAGGCCTCAGTGTCTGTTGTCTCCTTCCTTTGTGTTCATAAGTTCTCATCATTTAGCTTCCATTTATAAGTGAGAACATGCAGTATTGGTTTTCCGTTCTTGCATTAGTTTGCTAAGGATAATACCCTCCAGCTTCATTCATGTTGCCACAAAAGACATGATCTCGTTCTTTTTTATGGTTGTGTAGTATTCCATGGTGTATATATACCACATTTTCTTTATCTAATATGTCATTAATGGGCATTTAGGTTAATTCCATGTCTTTGCTATTGTGAGCAGTGCTGCAATGAATATTCACGTGCATAGGTCTTTATGGTAGAATGATTTATATTCCTCTGGGTGTATGCCCAGTAATGAGATTGCTGGATTGAATGGTAGCTCTGCTTTTAGCTCTTTGAGGAATTGCCATACTGCTTTCCACAATGGTTGAAGTAATTTACACTCCCACCAACCAGTGTATAAGTGTTCGCTTTTCTCTGCAACCTTGCCAGTATCTATTATTTTTTGACTCTTTCATGATAGTCATTCTGACTGGTGTAGGATGGTATCTCATTGTGGTTTTGATTTGCATTTCTCTAATGATTGGTGATATTGAGCTTTTTTCATATGCTTGTTGGTCACATGTATGTCTTTTTTTGAAAAGTGTCTATTCATGTGCTTTGGCCACTTTTTAATGGGGTTGTTTGTTTTTCTCTTGTAAATCTGTTTACATACTTCATAGATGCTTGATATTAGGCCTTTGTCAGATGCATAGTTTGCAAATATTTTTTTCCATTCTGTAGCTTGTCTGTTTACTCTGTTGATAGTTTATTTTGCTATGCAGAAGCTTTTAAGTTTAATTCAATTACACTTGTCAATTTTTGCTTTTGTTGCAATTTCTTTTGGTGTCTTTGTCATGAAGTCTTTGCCTGTTCCTATGTCCAGGATGTTACTGCCTAGGTTCTTTCCAGGGTTTTTATAGTTTTGGGTTTTACATTTAAGTCTTTAATTCATCTTGAGTTGATTTTTGCATATGGTGTAAGTAAGGGGTCCAGCATCAATCTTCTCCATATTGTTAGCCAGTTATCTCAGCACCTTTTATTGAATAGGGAGTCTTTTCCCCATTGCTTGCTTTTGTCAGCTTTGTAAAAGATCAGATGGTTGTAGGTGTGCAGCCTTATTTATGGCCTTTCTATTCTGCTCCATTGGTCTATCTGCCTATTTTTGTATCTGTACCATGCTGTTTTAGTTACTGTAGCCCTGTTGTATAGTTTGAAGTCAGGTGACATGATGTTTCCAGCTTTGTTCTTTTTGTATAGGATTGCCTTAGTTATTCAGGCTCTTTTTTGGTTTTATATACGTTTTAAAATAGTGTTTTCTAGTTCTGTAAATAATGTTATTGGTAGTTTGATAGGAATAGCATTGAATCTGTAAATTGTTTTGGGCAATATGGCCATGTTAATATTGATTCTTCCTATCCATGAGCATGGGGTGCTTTTCCCATTTGTTTGTGTCTTCTCTGATTTCTTTCAGCAGTTAGTTGTATTCCTAGGTATTTTATTCCTAGGTATTTTATTCCTAGGTATTTTGTCCCAGATTAGTTGTATTCCTAGGTGTTTTATTCTTTTTGTGGCAATTGTGAATATAATTGCCTTTTTGATTTGGCTCTCAGCTTAGCTGTTGTTGGTATATAGGAATGATAGTGATTTTCGTACATTGATTTTGTATCCTGAAACTTTGCTAAAGTTTATTAGCTGAGGGAGCTTTTGGGCCAAGACTGTGGAGTTTTCTAGATATAGAATCATCTCTGCAAATAGAGATAGTTTGACTTCCACTCTTCCTATTGGGATGCCCTTTATTTCTTTCTCTTGCCTGATTGCTCTGGCTAGGACTTTTAATACTCTCTTGAATAGGAATGGTGAGAGAGGTTACCCTTTTCTTGTGCCAGTTTTTTGTTTCATTTTGTTTTTTGTTTCTGAGACAGAATTTCACTCTTGTTGCCCAGGCTGGAGTGCAATGGCATGATCTCGGCTTGCTGCAACCTCCACCTCCAGGGTTCAAGTGATTCTCCTGCCTCAGCTTCCTAAGTAGCTGGGATTACAGTGCCACCATGCCCAGCTAATTTTTGTATTTTTAGTAGAGACATGCTTTTGCCATGTTGGCCAGGCTGGTCTTGAAATCCTGACCTCAGGTGATCCGCCCGCCTCAGCCTCCCAAACTTGTGCCAGTTTTTAAGGTGAATGCTTCCAGCTTTTGCCCATTCAATATAATGTTGGCTGTAGGTTTGTCATAGATGGCTCTTACTATTTAGAGACACGTTCCTTCAATACTTAGTTTATTCAGAGTTTTTAACATGAAGTGGTGTTGAATTTTATCAAAAGCCTTTTCTGCTTCTATTAAGATACTCATTAGTTTTTATCTTTATTTCTGTTTATGTGATGAATCACATTTACTGATTTGCATGTGTTGAACCAATCTTGCATCCCGGTGACGAAGCCGACTTGATTGTGGTGGATTGGCTTTTTGATGTGCTGCTGATTCAGTTTGCAAGTATTTTGTTGAGGATTTTGCATCAGTGTTCACCAAAGACATTGGCCTGAAGTTTTCTTTTTTTGTTGTTCTCTGCCAGGTTTTGGTATCAGGATGATGCTGGCCTCATAGAACTAGCTGGGGAGAAGTCCCTCCTGTTCAGTTTTTTTGGAATAGTTTCAGCAGGAATGGTACCAGCTCTTCTTTATACATCTGATTGGATTTGGCTGTGATTCCATCAGGTCTTGAGATTTTATTGGTTTCAGGGCTGTCATCTATTACTCATTCAGTTTCAGAGCTCATTATTGGTCTGTTCAGGGAATCAATTTCTTCCTGGTTCAGTCTTGGGAGAGTGTATGTGTCCAAGTATCCATCTCTTCTAGATTTTCTAGTTTGTGTGCATAGAAGTGTTCATAGTGGTTTCTGATGGTTGTTTTTTTTTTTTTTTAATTTCTATGGGATCAGTGGTAGCATTTTCTTCATCATTTCTAATTGTGTTTATTTGGATCTTCTGTCTTTTCTTTTTTATTAGTATAGCTAGTGGCCTATCTAGCTTATTAAATTTTTTTTCAGAAAATCAACTCTGTTTTGTCTGAAGTTAGGATTGCAACCCTGCTTTTTTTCTGTTTTTCATTTGCTCGGTAGATTTTCCTCCGTCCCTTTATTTTGAGTCTATGGGTGTCATTATGTGTGAGAAGGGTCTCCTGAAGACAGTATACCATTGGATTTTGCTTTTTTACCCAGGTTGCCAGTCTGTGCCTTTTAAGTGGGGCATTTAGCTCATTTACTTTCAAGATTAGTATTGATATATGTGGATTTGATCCTGTCATTTTGCTGTTAGCTATTTATGTTGGCTCGTTTGTGTGGTTCTTTTATAGTGAGACTGGTTTGTGTGTTTAAGTGTGTTTTTGTATTAGCTGGTAGTGGTCTTTCCTTTTTATATTTAATGCTTCTTTCAAGATAGCTTGTAAGGTAGGTCTGGTGGTAACAAACTCCCTCGACATTTGTATATCTGAAAAGGATCTTATTTCTCCTTTGCTTAGGAAGCTTAGTTTGGTTGGATATGAAATTCTTGGTTGAAGATTTTTTTTTTTTAAGAATGTTGAATATATGCCCCCAATCTCTTTTGGCTTGTAGGGTTTCAGCTGAGAGGTTCACTGTTAGCTTGATGGGGTTCCCTTTGTAGGTGACCTGCCCTTTCTCTTTAGCTGCCTTTAACATTCTTTCATTTTGACCTTGGAAAATCTGACAATTATGTGTTTGGGGATGATCTTCTTGTGTAGAATCTTGCAAGCATTCTCTGCATTTCCTGAATTTGACTGTTGGCCTCTCTATCAAGGTTGGGGAAGTTTTCATGGACAATATCCTGAAATATGTTTTCCAAGTTGTTTGCTTCCTCCCCCTCCCTTTCAGGCATGCCAGTGATTCTGATATTTGTCCTCTTTACATAATCCCATACTTCTTCGGTGTCTGACTGTCTTATTTCAGAGAGCCAGTCTTGAAGTTCTGAGATTCTTTCCTCAGCTTGGTTTGTTCTGCTGTTAATACTTGTGATTGCATTGTGAAATTCTTACATTGTGTTATTCAGCTCTGTCAGATCTGTTAAGTTCTTTTTTATGCTGGCTGTTTTGTCCTTCATTGGCTCCCCATTGCCCACAGAATAAAGTGCTGCCTCTCCTTTGCTTGGCAGTGAGATTCCTCATGGGCCAGTCTACAATCCTCCTTTATAACAAAT
Organism: Homo sapiens; assembly: GCF_000001405.40. Taxonomy (NCBI): domain Eukaryota; kingdom Metazoa; phylum Chordata; class Mammalia; order Primates; family Hominidae; genus Homo; species Homo sapiens. The sequence goes on along the minus strand of NC_000008.11, from coordinate 60,340,169 downwards.
GTCTCACAATTTTCTTTCATGAAGCATGGGCCAGACCAAAACAAACTCTTGTAGCTCTCTGTCGTTGCATCCAGAAATCTTGACTTTGTTCCTTTCCTGCTACATCCTTTCTGTTTACATTTTCCTTCACTGCGACTCTGGGTGCTCCACTGCTAATGCTTGTTTCAGGCCTAACTCAAATGCCACCTCCTCCCTGACATCTTTCCTAATCCAGGCCCCCATAGTCACCTTTCCTTGTGAGGTCACAGTGCATGCTCTGAGCCATGCTCATAACCTTGCTTTGTCGTGATTTAGGATTTTAGTATGAGATTCTTCAACAGGGTAAATGGAGATTTTTGTCTACATTGTGGAAGGAATATGGGAACTGAGACATTCAAAAGGAATGAAATTTGAGTTAGACAGATGTCAAATACACCTCAAGCGTGTTCTGGGAAAGAAAAACTGAAGGCCTTTACTTAGTAACCACCTTTCAGCGTTTTTTTCCTTTAGGATATCATTTTCTATATCGGGACTGGAGAACAATACCCCTTACTTTTTAAAAAGACATTTCTTTTACCCATAGAAGAGGGAAATTTTAGATAAAATAGAAGATTATGTTTTGACTCTAAAAACATCAGTAACAAAACTGCAGCATTTCTGATGAAAGAGCTCATGAGTAAGTATACAATGTGGCAAAAAAAAATCATCTTCATTCCAAGAGAGAACCATTATATGACTACAATATGGAGATCTGAAGTGCTTCAAGGCAAGGTGACCCTGTGCATTCTGAAGAACTGAAACTCCAACTGTTGCCTGGTGGACAATATGTTCCATGGAAAAGAACGAGATGTGGAAAGGATTTAGATAGGGAGCTCCACATTTGAGAGTTTGTCTTAGTCTATTTTGTGTTGCTATAACAGAATATTTGAGACTAGGAATTTCTAATAAACATAAATTTATTGGCTCACAGTTCTGGAGGCTGGGAAGTCCAAGATTGAGAGGCTAGCATCTGGGGAGGGCCTTCTTGCTGTGTCATGCCATGGTGATAATAAAATAATACTTTATAAAAATGAATTTGGTAGCCACAGGTATGATGGTTTGGGGAAGATGATGGAAGGGTGATTACAAAGTTATTGCCTTGGCTCTGGCAATAAGAATTGAGAACTTCAACTAGGACAAGGGCAATGGGAATGGAGAGATGGGGATGGACAGAATGCATGCTGTAATGTAGCCTCAGGATAAAGAAGTTGAATGAGTTTGGCATGCAGCAATGAAGAGGAAGAAGTAAAAGGTGAACCCAACGGTACAAGCCTGGGCAACTACAAGAATGGTGATCCCATCACAGAAACCAGAAATGCGGGAGGAGTGGGTTTTGGAGTTGAGACAATGAAAAGAAATGTTATAGATACTATAGATAGACTATTACTAATATTTTAGATAAGTTAAACAAACAAAAAAAGTTCAGTGAAGTTTTGAACACAAAATCCTGAAGACAAGAGGTTTCAAATGTTGTAGTGAGTTGTGAAGGATAAGTTAGAAGGAAATGCCTACCTAGCCACACTGGAAAGGAAGTTTGGTTTCCAAATCATCTCAATCCATCGGCTCAAGCAGGTAAATATTTTTGTGGAGAAATCTCTCAGGAAATTGTTTTTATAGCTGCTTATATAAACATCAAATATTTACTTTCTGGCAAGGAAATTTTATGCTAAATAAAGGGGATCCCTTGTGTTTACTATTACAACAAAGTAAAAATAAATGCCAAACAAGGTGGTTGTTAAAGTAAAAAAAAAAAAAATACACTGAAACATCCTTTACTGAATCCTGTTAATATTGAGGAAGTAGCACTATTTACTTCTGAGTAAGGGTTAATTGTCTCTGTTAGGGACTGGAGGATTGGGGAGCAGTTTTTATTGCAAAACAATTAATTTGCTCCTCATTCCCACCTACTTCCAGATCTCCCGAGGGTCTTAATTTTAATTCAACTAACTTGCTATGAAAAACACATAGGTAGCTTCATTTTAAGTGTTTTTTTAAAGTCATTTTTAAAAAGTTGTGGCAAAGAAACTGTACCTGTTTATCAGGTAATTTTAACATTAGGCTGTTTTTGTAGTCTTCCTTCTAGAGTACCCATTTACAGTATATGGTAATATTCATAGTTATATACTTAACACCTTAATAGTGGCTTCAAATATTTGGCAAAAACAGTTACTTGTTCAGTACATATTTGGTATATATGTACCACATGCTGTTAAATGTTTGACATGGATTATTTCATTAATCTCCACAGCTTGTATTATTATTATTACAGTCAATCTTCACTATTCATCACTTCGGTATTTGCAAATTTACGTATTTGCAAAAATTGATTTGCAACCCCAACTTCAATACTGGTGATTTTGCTGTTTGAGATGGCCCCGAAGGGTAGTGCTGCAGTGCCTTCTGGTGTTTTAAACACAAGAGGCTGTGAGGTACCTTATGGAGAAAACGGGTGTGTTAGATAAGCTTCCTTCAGGCAGGAGTTGTAGTGCTGGTGGCTGTTCAATGTTAGCTAATCAGCAATATTTTATTGAGGAAATAGCACTATTTACTTCTGAGTAAGGGTTTAATGTCTCTGTTAGGGATTCAATATGCTGTGTTTAAACAGAAACACACATTACAAAAATGTATTGATCAGTTGATGGAAATGTGACCAGAGGCTGGCAGGGATCTAACCCCATATTTCCCATAAAAGCACTGGCTCAGTATTCACAAATTCAGTGTTTGCAGTCACTTTAGAGTGTAACTACCATGAATAATGAGAATCAACCATCATCTCCACTTCGTAGATGAGGAAGCTGAGACCTGGGTCACATGCCTGAAGGCTTTCTGAATCTAAGTGGACCCCATTTCAGCTCAACTTAAGGACCTCAATCCTCTGCTGCTTACAATTGTCCCTTTGCTCCTTGCCGTGCTCTCCTGTTGTTGATATTTTCATTTCAGCCATTCAAATTGTGAGTAACATTTCTTCCACTTTGAGTTTTTTTTTTTTTTTTTTTTTTTTTTTGAGATGGAGTCTTGCTCTGTCGCCCAGGCTGGAGTGCAGCAGCGCGATCTTGGCTCACCGCAAGCTCCGCCGCCCGGGTTTACGCCATTCTCCTGCCTCAGCCTCCTGAGTAGCTGGGACTACAGGTGCCCGCCACCGCGCCCAGCTAATTTTTTGTATTTTTAGTAGAGACGGGGTTTCACCGTGTTAGCCAGGATGGTCTTGATCTCCTGACCTCGTGATCCGCCCGCCTTGGCCTCCCAAAGTGCTGGGATTACAGGCGTGAGCCACCGCGCCCGGCCTCTTCCACTTTGAGTTTGAAAGTTCTCATTTCCTGGCCACCACCACTGGTGCATAGGAATTGGAGATGGCTTGACAAAACAGCCTAGTCTTGGGCATTGGGACTTCTCAGCTGTGTGTTGTCTACTCATCCTGGTCGACAGGGTGTGTGTGCCTAGAGCAGCTGGAAGTGTGGGCAGTACGGTGGTGGGGGCAGAGGAAAAGTCAGTCCTCATATGGGGTCAAAGGAATTGTCAACCTTTGTTCTTATCCCCAGTAATTCTGAGCACAGCACCTTCAAACCTAGTGTTATTGTCTACATTTTATCTTTGGCCAACATTTTTAAGATTTATGATGGGCACATTGTATTAGTCCATTCTCACGCTGCTAATGAAGACATACCAGAGACTGGATAATTTATAAAGGAAAGAGGTTTAATTGACTCACAGTTCCGCAGGGCTGAGAAGGCCTCAGGAAACTTACAATCATGCTGGAAGGGGAATCAAACATGTCTTTCCTCACATGGTGGCAGCAAGGAGAAGTGCAGAGTGATGGGTGGGGAAAGGCCCCTTATAAAACCATCAGATCCCATGAGAACTAACTCGCTACCATGAGAACAGGATGGAGGAAACCACCCCCATCATTCAATTATGTGCATTGGGTCCCTCGTGCAACATGTGGGGATTATGGGAACTATAATTCAAGATGAGATTTGGGTGGGGACATAGCCAAACAATATAATTCTCCCCCTGGTCCCTCCCAAATCTCACGTCCTCACAATTCAAAATACCATCATGCCCTTCCAACCATCCCCCAAGGTCAACTCATTCCAGTGCTAAGCCAAAAGTCCAAGTCCAAAGTCTCATCTAACACAAGGCAAATTCCTTCTACTTATAAGGCTGTAAAATCAAAAGCAAGTTAGTTAGTTTCCAGATACAATGGAGGTATAGGTATTGGGTAAATATACCCATTCTAAATAAGAGAAATTGGCCAAAACAGTGGGGCTACAGGCTCCTTGCAAGTCCGAAATCCAATAGGGTAGTTATTAAACCTTAAAGTTCCAAAATGATCTCCTTTGACTCCATGTCTCATATCTAGGGCGTGCTGATGCAAAAGGTAGGCTCCCATGGCCTTGGGCAGCTCCGCCTTGGCTTTGCTAGGTACAACCCCACGGACTAATTTACTATATTAGTCCATTCTCACACTGCTAATAAGGACATACCCAAGATTAGGTAATTTATAAAGGAAAGAAGTTTAATTTACTCACATTTCCACAGGGTTGGGGAGGCCTCAGAAAACTTACAATCCTCATGGAAGGGGAAGCAAACACATCCTTCTTTAGATGGCAGCAGCAAGGAGAAGTGCGGAGCGAGAGGTGGGGAAAGCCTCTTATAAAACCATCAGATCTCACGAGAACTAACTCACTGTCACCAGAACAGGATGAGGGGGGAAACCACCCTCATGATTCAATTATCTCCACCAGGTCCCTCCCATGACATGTAGGGATTATGGGAACTATAATTCAAGATGAGATTTGGTTGGGGACACAGCCAAACCATGTCACACGTGATCATTGTATATATTTATGGATTACAGTGCGATGTTTCAATACATGTGTAAATTGTGTAATGATCAAATCAGGGTAATTAGCATACTGATCACCCTAAACATTGATAAATTTATTTGTGATGAGGACATACAATATATTACTGCAAACTCTAGTCATAATACTGTGCAATAGACCACCAGAACTTACTCTTTCTATCTAACTGGAGCCTTGCACCCCTTGACCAATCTCACCATTACCCCCTTCCCTCTGCATCCTCTGGTAACCACCACTCTACTCCCTACTTCTATGACATCAATGCTCTTCACTTCAACTCATCAGCATCATTAAATACTCATCATCCACAACTTCCTAAAAAGACATGTCTGTTTGCAATCACTTAAGGTAGTTGAAGAATTACATTTTGTTAAAAGCACAAACAGCAACAGCACACATTTCCACCTAACAGTTTACTAAGTCTGGCATAGACACCTTAATTTGCAAGCCTTTGCTTTCCTGGAGCTCTGAGCTTCCAGCAACTAACATCTGCACTCCCCAATTTACTTCATGTTTTAGAAATTACTTTTTTCTAAATACAAAATTAATTCATATTCAGTATAAACTATTCCTGAGAAATACAGAAAAACAAGGAGATTATAAAAGGTATTTGTCAGTTCCATCACTCATGTGTAATCCCTCTTAGCATTTGGGTGTGTCCTTTCAATGTTTTCTCCCCTGTGATTTATATAGTAACATAATGTTGCATTCTAAGCTCTTTTTAAACTTAATATTATACTATAAATATTTTTCCATTTTTAAAGATTTAGCTAATACTATTTAAGTGACAGCAAAATATTCTACTGTATGGGCTAATCACAAATTATTTAGGAATTTCATATAGTTGCATATTTAGGTTGTTTGCTTTTTTTTGACATTATACAACTTTACCATAAGAATTTTTATAGCAAAATCCTTGAACAAATTTTCTCTGTTGTTTTCTTTGGAAAAATTATTAGAAATAAAATTGGTAGGTCAACAATATGCATACTCCTGAGGCCTTTGAAAAACTTACACCCAGTTGCAGTATAAATATTGGTTAGCATCCAAAAATCTTTTACTCTTGAACTGAATTTCCTGTATGTCAGCAAACATTAGTGGTATGGTGGACAGGCAGTGTGAGGCCCAAAGAAATATACTTCGAGGACAGTGTTTTAGAAGAGAAATCACTACCTCTTAAAACTTTTAAATGTTGATGGCAGAAATATAAAGGCAAATTAGAACCAGATTTGGGGTGGGAGAGCTCAGTGGGCAGCTGTCATAAGGGACCCATTTCTTCCCACAAAAAGTTCCAGATCATCCTGACATAGGGTGTGTACTTAAACTTGCCTGGAATGCCTGCTGTAATGGGATAATGACTTTTGAACACCTTATTTTTAAATCAGAACCTGCCACCTCTCCATTAACTAGCCAAATTCCCAAACAATAGTCAATCTGGAGCTTGGAGCACTTATTAAAAAGTAACTCTTGCAGAAATGTTTGCTGCAGGGTACAGCTCCATTGGGCACATCCTCCTTAGTGATGAAATAGAATCGTTTAGTACAACTAGTCTGTATCTGCAGCTGCAGATGTCTGTTTTCATCTATTTATTTTCATCTCTTGGAAAGATAACCATGTGTCATCAGTAACTGATACCATTGATTAACTTTTAACCATTATGCCTAAAGAAAAACAACCACCACCATATCAGTCTTCCTGCTTAGAGAGAAATTAAGAATCAATTCATAGGAGGGGATATGTGTTGCTTACATCTATCAGCCAGGCCCACTCAACTGCTTCTTCCATGGTGTTCATGTGAATTGCATTAGATCCAGGAAAGAATTACATATGGTTTATATGTCAGATCAAAATTTCTTTTTTGGGGCCTGAAAAACTCAGATAGCAGAGAGTAATAACATTCTTCCTTTTCATCAGGGAAACTTTTATTGTAGGCATTCTTAGTTTATGCATACCCAAATTTGTCACAAAGACAAGAATTGGGTGCTTTCTTGCCTTCTGAGTAGCTAGTGGTGGCAACAAATAAAATTCACTTTGGGGATTGTGCTTATGCTAAAGCAAGCAATTTATGCATTCACTTATGCATTAGTGAGCAATTCAAATCTGGTTGTCAGGGATGGAAAAGGCAGTAGGCTGTTTGTCTTTGAGGCCACTACTTCCTCTTCTTGGACACTTGCTTCACTTTCTGTTGTTCCCACTTCCTCTCTCACAACCTGGGTCACAGAAAATAAGGATCTGATAAACAAATTTTCATGAGATGATAATAATGTATGTTACCTCTTCTAGGAATATTTAGAAGAAGGAGCACAAGAAAGAGGACACCCTTAACAGAAAAGTTATTCATTTCCAATGTGAGTTTCTGTGCCATAGTTGTATGTATATATATGCTTGTAGAGATGTGTAGTTACTTTGGTGGTAAGAGGCATGTGGGAAACATCAGAATCAAGACTAGAAGAATATGTCTCTCTACAATTCCATTGTTTTTATTTGGCCAAAGGTATTGTCAATTAATCAAATTGTCAATGTGAACAGCCAGGTGGTTTGTGGAAGATTCATTCCCTTTTGATTTATAGTTCTGTATACTTCATCCACTCTCCTACAATTGCAGGAGCAGAATTTAGAAGCTGTAAAGATTTGATTACTATGAAATCACTGACTCTGTTTTTGCATTGTTAAAAAAAATTCTACATGGTTTATTTCGGCAAATTTATGCTTGATTATACTGGAAATGTTTCCATAGCTCATTGTTTTCTTTTTGAAATAGAAACAAATATATGTGCTTAAATTTAATTGGCTACTGTTCCTAGTCAGTAGTGAAGCACACAGGATTTTAGAAGTGATCAACAAGATTAATGTATCAGTTCCTCCATGTACACTCCAGCACTTACTGTTCTATTAGAATTCAGATTTCTTTATAGGTACGAATATCTACTTGTAAGAGGCAAGGAAAGATGAAAGAGATTGTATGCAATAGGCTGGGCATAGTAGTTCACGCCTGTAATCCCAGCACTTTGGGAATCTGAGGCGGATGGATTATGAAGTCAGGAGTTCGAGACCAGCCTGGCCAACATGGCAAAACCCTGTCTCTACTAAAAATACAAAAATTAGCTGGGCGTGATGGTGGGCACCCGTAATCCCAGCTACTCGGGAGGCTGAGGCAGGAGAATCACTTGAACCTGGGAGGTGGAAGTTGTAGTGAGCCGAGATGGCACTATTGCACTCCAACCTGGGCAACAGAGCAAGACTCCATCTCAAAAAAAAAAAAAAAAAAAGAGATTGTATGCAATAAACAGGAGCTTTTCTACCCTAATTTCATTGGATGTATCTTTTATTTTATGTGTCTGTCTTTCTTTCTTTCTTTCTTTTTCTTTCTTAATTTTTTTTAATGGAGTCCTGTTCTGTTGCCCAGGCTGGAATGGAGTGACACAATCCCGGCTTACTGCAACCTCCACCTCCCTGGTTCAAGTGATCAAGTGATTCTCCTGCCTCAGCCTCCTGAGTAGCTGGGATTACAGGCACCTGCCAGCATGCCCAGCTAATTTTTTTTTTTTTTTTTTTTTTTAGCAGAGACAGGGTTTCACCATGTTGGCCAGGCTGGTCTTGAACTCCTGACCTCAAGTGATTCACCTGCCCCGCCTCAGCCTCCCAAAGTGCTTGGATTACAGGCGTGAGCCACTGCACCCAGCCATTTTTCTTTTTATTAAAAAGAAAATCTTATCTTTTTGGTAATAAACAGCAAACATTTGGGTCTAATAAAAACTTGGGAGCATTTTGTTATGTGTGTGCGTGTGTGTGTGTGCACGTGTGTGTTTTAGAGATGGAGTCTTGCTATGTTGCCCAGGTTGGAGTGCAGAGGCTATTCACGGGCATGATTGTGCACACTGCAGTCTCACACTATTGGACGCAAGCAATCCTCCCACCTCAGCCTTATGAGTAGTGTGAACTACAGGTATGCTCCACCATGCCTAGCCTGTTTCATGTGTTTTTATCTTTAATTTGGTTTAAAGGAGTACATCCAGGATTGAATAAGAGCAGCACTAGTAGACACAAGCCAACAGATGGTCTACCCAGACCCCAAGCCACCCGCAGCACAGCCCTCCTTTTGTGTATGATGCCAGCTACATAGGGGATCCTACAGGAGGAAGGAAAAGCCCATATTTGCTTTATAGCAGGTGGGCTTGCTCTGTGGGTGCAGATGGAAAGTACATGAGGGCTGCAGCCTCATTCAAAGGTGGCTTGCAGAGTGTGGCGAGAGGAAATCCTCTTAATGGGCAGAGGTTCAGGCAGCAAACTTGGTCACTCACTTTATAATGAAGGAAGATGCAGCCCACAGTTAGAAAATAATGACAATCATGGGAAGTACTGGAAGATCATAGATGCATGTGGATGGATAGAAGGAGTGGGCCTGAAAGTGAAGATTTTTATGCCATGTTAACACTCACAAGAGTGTCCACGGAAGAGGCACTGAATGACTGAGCAGACAGAATGACCTGGCCTATTGACATCAGCCCACCCCTACCCTTCACCACTTCTAGAGCTGACTCCATGAGCCCATGAATACAGTGGCCGTGGAGGCTATGCATGGGGCCCCACAACCCGGACCACCACTCACCAAGCCCATCTAGCTGCTACCATCTAAACTGCCAGCTTCAGAGAACACTGTGAGAGCTCCCATCTTCTCCAGGGTGCATCTCCCTGTCCTGGTCCACTTCTTCCCCACCCCTGCCCTGCTGCTGGCTTCAGTCTATACCAAAGAGGCCTGTACTGTAAATTTTAAAAACTTCATATTTTCCCCATGCCTCAACATCACACAGGCCATGAGCACCCCACCCAGGGCCCAGGTGCACTAGTATGATAAGGTTGGTTCAGCCACAAGTTCCTCTTCTTTTTCTCCTCTGACTGTGAACTAGTGACATTTAAAAGCACCAACAACACTCCCTCATGCCTCTTGCTTGTGTACTCCACTGGGACCCCCAGTAAAGGCATTCGCTCATTGGGGCTCACTCTCTTGTGCCCCCACCTGCTTCATGGAGCGCTGGCTTAGTGCTTCTTCCACATGGCCTCCTGCATGGCGTGGTGTGGCCTGTGTCCTTCTCTATGACCTATGAGTAGAAGAAATCTTTTTATTTCACATGTTACCCGAGTGTAATTTCCCAAGTCGGAGACCGGAGAGATCTCCAGAGTTGGAGAGATCCTTAAAGACCCCACAAGGGGGACTTACTCCCTGATTTACAACATGAGGCCACAGATTCAGTCTTAGAACAGCTTCTTGAAAAATCTGAGAGTATTCACTTTGCAATATTACCACAATACTTAGAATTCTTAAAGAAAACGTTCCAGTAGTCAAGCTAAGCAAACTCAGTTTTAGTAGAAATATAATTTGACTTAAAATTCTTTTGGTTGCCTTTAGACAGTAAGTTGACATTTATTGAAGAGGTCAGTTTTAATAGCACTCAAAAAGCATTACAGAAATCTCTTATAAGAAAGCAAAGTGTAATGGGCTCACACAAAGTGCCAATGGCGAGAAGTCAGCTTTTTTTAAAACCCCACTTCCCCCAGCTTTAAAAAAAAAATGTATTCAATTATTGTAGGAAAGCATTAATATGACCTTTATCAATTCACAGTATCTCATATAAATGTGTTGAAGTCTTATAGGATGTACATATTTCAAAAAGACCAGTATGTTTGAGAGAAAAAAAATAAAGTGGTCTTATACAGAAGCCATATGAAAGACCAATACCGTAATTGAGAAAACATAAGAATGTACATTTGTAACGTCTGCAACCTGCCAAGATGATGAATATTTAAAAGTTTAACTTTTGTTAAGTCTATTATTGGCAACAGAGTAATTTCAACTGGGAAAAGCAATCCTTGAACCAGTTAGGGGATTATCTGGAGTTTTGGCATTCAGATAAAGCCCGCTTATTTGGAACAAAGCTACTTTGGGGTTTTAAGGTTTGTAAAACGTCACCCTGCCTTGTATTTTAAACTTTATTAAAATGACCTGCAGCCAGAAAAGTCCCTATATCATTGCCTCAGAGAGACAACATCTTATAAAGACACCTTGAGGTGTGTGGCCTTCTCTGTCTTCTATAATAGAAAATAATCATCTTGTAATGTTGTAAGCAAATGGCAGAAGAGGTGCCTACATTCTTTTACCCCAGGCAACCAGAAGAGAACAACTGAACTCTTTGAATGCCTGGTACATCATCCAATGGCAAGTGGAACATTAAAGAGAACAGGAGTTGCTTCTGGCATTTTCCAAATACTAATTGTGCCTTTGGGAGACCTTTGATTTTAGAGATTTTTGGAAGCAAAATAATATGGTTTTCTCATATTGAATTAATGGGTTAAAACAGCTAAGCCATATGAGGAACTTGTACCTTGGCTTTAATACTGATACCTACTGAAAATCAAGTACACCTGCCCTGGCAGCTGCATTGCTCAGCAGGCGCTCTGCTCTCTAACAGTGCTACCTGCTGTGCCCTAAGCACTCCTTGTTTTTTATTGCATCTGAGTCTGTGGTCTACTGGAAATCCTGCCCATTCTTAAGGTCTGGTTCAAATTATCACTGCCTAGAAGAAACTTTCTTTGATTCTCACAACTGTGATCAAAGCACACAGAACTTACCACATTCAGTTGTGTTACCAACATCTATGTAATACACATGAATCCTTCTCCAGATCACAAGTGAAGGCAGGAACCCCCTTCCCTTTCTTCCAGCTCTCTGTTAAGAGTCGTTTTCCCCATCACTATGCACACAGCCTGTGCATGCCTGTGCTTCTTGCATTACAACACTTTTTTCCTCTTCCTCACAAACTTCATTTTTTAATTATTTTTTTCACAATAAAAATTGCATATATGTAAGAGGTATAATGTGATGTTTTGATATATGTATACATTATGAAATGGTTATCACAATCAAGCTAATGAACATAGCCATCACCATCTTTGTGTGTGTGTGTGGTGAGAACATTTTAGATCTACTCTCGTAGCAAATTTCAAGTATACAAAACGTAATTATTAACTATAGTCACCATGCTGTACATTAGATCTCCAGAATTTATTCATTTTGTAACTGAAATTTTGTGCCCCTTGGCCAACGTCTCCTTATTTTCCCTACCTCCAGCCCCTGGTAACCACCCTTCTACTCTCTGCTTCTGTGAACTCATATTTTTAGATTCCACACATAAGTGAGATCATACAGAACTTGTTTTTCTGTGCCTGGCTTATTGGGTCCCTGGATGACACATTTAACACAGATCTCTGCCACTGGGGGCTTAATGGCCATCCCCCTGTCTGCACTGTGAACTCTGGAAGGGGCGGTTGTTCTAGGAGTATCTCAAGAGCCACTGTCATGGAATGCATTTAACCCATATTTGTTGTCACTTTATCCCTCTACATTTTGTATGTTTAAATTAGTAATTATATTTCATTTGGGTCAAACCATAATTATTAATAAATATTTCCAATCTGCTAAGTGCTTTTAGAAATGAAATAATAATATTGTTGTCCAATATTATTATATAACTTCAGTTCAGTTCAGGCAATGTCATTAATGACTTAAGGAATGCCCTGGAAGACTACCCGACTGTTTACGTAGTGGAGATGGAACTTTTGTAGGCATGTGCCCTCTCTTAGGTCAGCAAAAACCACAATGCATGATTAAAGAAAGATACACAAATGAACACAGGATCTATTTCCAATATTGTAACTTTTCCCTTAACAAAGGGATCACTGGAAGGCACCTTATAATCCAATGTATGTTTCTATTTCTCAACCTATAAAAATAAAGAACTGAAGCAAACTGAAAACTATCATATGCTAAACTAGGTAAGTTGGAAATGTGTAAAGTCTATACCTGTGACCTTCTAATTTTGTAATTTGTAATGAAACTGTCAGTATTTGGTAAGAGTGTTGGCAAAATGTTTTAGTCCAAACACCGCTGCACAAATTAAATAGCTGCTCTGCAGAGGAAAGTGGAACTTGGGAATACTTCAAATGAATGGTGTGTGTGTGGGGAGCTCCATCTTTTCCACCACAGTGAAACCATGTTACCCAAGTTTGGAAACTGTTTATACAAAATGAAATGAAATCTTAGAACCCCTCAGATGTGCAAACCAAAAATTAAACAACATGAATAACACAAACTGAGGGAAAAGGCTGTTACTTTTATCTGAAATAGGCCTTTTCATGTAAATAAAATAGGTGACTTTTTTTTTTTAGGTTAAAATTTGGTTCATTTTAACTTCAGGCAGTGATTTTTTCCTAATGTTTGTTTACCATTTTCCCAGCTACATCACCCTATCTTCAGAACCTTCTTAGAAACCAAAGGGCCAGGCATCTTCACTCTAGTGACAAGACAGAAATCCAGAGTGGGGATTTTCCATACCCAAACACATAGTTTGAATTCTGGAAGGAAAGCCCCACAGCCTTACTTTTCTTAAGACCTCATTAAGACCTTCTTAGTCTGATCTTACATTTTCTAATACCAGAACAATGAAGTTGACATGCAGTGAGAGCCAGCCATGTGAATTTATTTTGTTCTACTTACTTACCTGAAATTAGGGCCACTTGGGAAAGGAAACATTCACTCTTTCCTGTCTCTGATGATAATAAAATGCCAGGTATTGCTGTTGCTTTCTCCTCTCCTAAACCATTTGACAAAATCATCCCTCCAGCCTTGCATAGGCTTTTCTACTTGCATCTCTCTCTGTCTTAGCCCATTTTTGTGAGCCTTCTCCTTCACACTTTTGGAGCCATTGTAGTTCTTTGACTCTCGTCTTTAAAAGATTTTGTGCATAATTACAAACCGTTGAACACATCATAAGCTCATAACTGTCTTTTTTTTTTTGAGATGAAGTCTCGCTCTGTCATCCAGGCTGGAGTGCAGTGGTGCGAACTCGGCTCACTGCAGCCTCTACCTCCCCAGCTCCAGTAATTCTTGTGCCTCAACCTCCCAAGTAGCTGGGACTACAGGTGCACATCACCACGCCTGGCTATTTTTTTTTTTTTTTTTTTGTATTTTTGGTAGAGACAGGGTTGTGCCACATTGACTAGGTTGGGCTCAAACTCCTGACCTCAAGTGATCCACGGACTTCTGCCTCCCAAACTGCTGGGATTACAGATAAGAGCCACTGCGCCCGGCCTGATAAATGTCTTTCTTATCAAAATGATAGCATAGCAGTGAAAAGTGTGAGCTCTGGAGTGAGACTGCAGTGAATGCAAATCCCTGATGCTACTACTTAGCTACTACTTAATCAAACCTATCTCTCAGGGTTTCTATGAGCTAAACGAGATAATGCTTGAAGATAGTTTAGCACATTGTCTGCTAGACAGTTAATGCTCAATAAATGTTACCTGTTGTTTATAAGTGGGTTACCATTTCTACACAATCTTCTATTTTTAAAAATTCTGTTGGGACTATCAACCTATCCAGCCCTTCATTATCATCATAACTGGGTCATCCTAAGCTATCTCTGCCAGAGAGATGCTTCAGGCCTCACCTTGCAAAGCACTGTTATTAATTCATTTCTTTTTAATTTATCAAGGGACTTTCACTAGCTACTAATTTAGCAGAGCTCAGAGTCTCCCTGTATGTCCTTGAGCTGAGATGTAGGAGATCAAGTACAAAGAAAAAAAATACTAATTGCTTAGCCTTCCAGCTGTTCATTTTCTTGTTTTTCAAAATGGCCCTTAGCAGCAAGCAGGAGACAGGAAAAAGGCTGTTCTAAATTGGAGCTTGATTTAATGTGTTCTGGACACAAAACTTTCACTTTCAGCCCTCTTCAAGCCAGAAATACACAAAGTACAACCTGTAACGTATTTAGTAAATGATGAGTGGCCGAGAGGTCAAAGACAATCTGGCACTAGAGAAAAATCTGATCTTGTTCAAAAGTGTCTCTTGCAGCCTGGCTTTTGGCTGGGTGTGCTTGACTGTCGGTTCTGGGAAGGCATTCCAAGTGAGGCTAATATTGCCCCTTTCGAGCAGGTAGAGAGAATCCTTCCCTGATTCCTTTCTCTGTCTTTTAAAAGACAGTAGGGAGAAAAGTTGTTTATCTGATATAAAATTATTTATCTGTCTTATTTTTCTGTTTTTGATTCATTGACTTTTATTACAGTTAAGACTCATCAAGGGATAAAATCTGAAAACTTATAAAGGATACTTATTACAGAAAAAATTTAAGGGTAAGTGCTTTTTTGCTCACTGTCTTTATTCAGAAAAAAATATAGGAAATGTACTTAAGTTGAAATAGAGATTTTAACTACTGAACCCATAATTCTGATACTAAATAGTTGTTTTACACAGTCCCTTAATATTTCTGGATGTCTGCTTCCTCAGATCGAAAATGAAGGGCTTCAATATATGAGCTATAAAGCCGCTGTCAGATTTTAAAACTTTATGGTTCTACTAGATGTCTAATTTATAAAGAAATACACTGTCCCCTCCCCAGACAGTTACAGATAATGTGCTATTTTTCACAAACATTGCTGATATAGCAGCTATTTTCAGTTTCCAATGAAGTGAAGAACAATGTGACCTATTTAAAAGCTGGCTCATGAAAGAATATTAGCCACCAGTTATCAGTCCTTTTATTTAATTTTCTTGATAAGGACTGTATGATAGAAACATTTATTTGCTGCAAAACTAATAGCAGCCTAGACTGTATTTCATAATACTGTACATGCACTCTGTAATAGCTCTGAGAAATGGATTTCATATTTGTTGCCAATTCAATTTAGATGGGTTGAGAAAAAAGAGAAAATACACTTTTGTGCTCATCTTTCCTGAATGACTAAACAGTTAAAAAGACATATGGTTTCTCAAGATCATTAAAAAACTTTAACTGTTACTTTCCATGTGGATTGCTTCTCTGTGTAGGATCCAGAAATGATTGCTATTAAGATTGCAAGAAATTTCTTTTTCGGTTTTAAGAAAATATTCTTCTGTTCATATACATGCTTTCCTAGAATGAGTTAACAGATATTTACTAAGAAAGACAAGAGAATAACAATAAATGGGAAACCGAGTTATTTCAATGAGGAAGCAGCAGCATTATTTTAATGAATAACTCAGTTCGTGAATGTAGTTTCCTTAATTTCACCTGTCTAACAATAATCTGGCTACTGTCTATCTGTGGTAATTAAAACATATTTTTAACATTTTGTCTTCCATTCCATGCTCATGGATAGGAAGAATCAATATCATGAAAATGGCCATACTACCCAAAGTAATTTATAGATTCAATGCTATTCCCATTAAACTACCATTGACATTCTTCACAATATTAGAAAAAACTATTTTGAAATTCACCTGAAACCAAAAAAGAGCCCAAATAGCCAAGAATATCCTAAGCAAAAACAACAAAGCTGGAGGCATCATGCTACCTGACTTCAAACTATATGACAAGGCTACAGTAACCAAAACCTCATGGTACTGGCACAAAAACAGACACATAGACCAATGGAACAGAATAGAGAACTCAGAAATAAGACCATACACCTACAATTATCTGATCTTTGACAAACCTGACAAAAACAAGCAATGGGGAAAGGATTCCCTATTTAATATATGATGCTGAGAGAGCTGGCTAGCTATACGCAGAAAATTGAAACTGGACCCCTTCCTTACACCTTATACAAAAATTAACTTAAGATGGATTAAAGACTTAAATGTAAAACCCAAAAACTATAAAAACCCTAAAGGAAAATCTAGGCAATACCATTCAGGACATAGGCACAGGAAAAGATTTCATGATGGAAAATGCCAAAAGCAATTGCAACCAAAGCAAAAATTGACAAATGGGGTCTAATTAAACTAAAGCACTTCTGCACAGCAAAAGAAACTATCCTCAGAGTGAACAGACAACCTACAGAGTGAGAGAAAATTTTTGCAATCTATCCGTCTGACAAAGGATGGTACAGAGAGTAGAGAGTGGAGTAAATGAGGGAAGAAAAACAACCAGAGTGAGATGGAGGCTGAAGAAGAGAAAAAGAAGGAGGGCAGGGAGAAGGGACTCCTTGAAGATTGGCTTGGCCTAAAGGAGGGTGACTACACATTTTGGTTTGCCTGTGATCGTGGTAGTTTTAGAGTGTCCCTTCAATCTAAAATTGTCCAATATGGATGATAAATGATCACCATATATACACAAATGCCCCAAATGCCAGTAGCATACCTAACAGTAGGACACCTGTCCTGGCATGCTGACTGTCATGTGGTGCATCCAGGGAGGAAAATTGTCCAGCATTTGCAGATATTGGACAACAAATGGTGCCCATAGGAAGAAAATGTCACTGCATTTTATGGTATATTTGTATAATTTAATTGACAGACTTCTTGTGGCTTAGATATGTAGAGAAAGGATTCTGTATCAAAAATCATAATCTTACTGTTGGATGAGACTTTTCCTTCATCAAATCTGTGCCACTGCTTCTGTCTTCCTTTGCCTCTAAGGTGCCCCAAGGGTAAGCACGCCCTTGTGCTCTCCTTGCCCCTTGAGTGTAGGCTAGCTTCTGTGACTCGCTTCTAGCCAATAGAATGGGGAGGTGATGGCATGACTCTTCCAAGATTAAGGCCTAAAAAGACTCAGGATTTGTGTTGGTGCTCATCACCCCCCACTTTCTCTCTAAGGGAAACTGGTGCTGTGGAGAGACCCATGTGGAAAGGAACTGAGGACTCCCGGCAAAAGTCACCAAGGACCGAGGTTGCTGACAGCTGCATGTGAACTCGGAAGCAGATCAATCCTTGCCCAAGCCCACACTTTGTCTACAGCCTTGGTGAGAGACCCTGAGCCAGGGATGCACATCCAAGCTGCACCCAAACTCTTGACCCACAGAAACTGTGAGATGATGAATGTGTTTAAGCCCCCATATTGTGGAGTCATTTATTACACAGCAATAGATGGCTAAGATGAGCACTATTTTTATCCCCTTGTGAGTTCATGGCTTGGTCTCCCTACCTCCCACTGACTAAATGTGGCTAAAGCAAAATCCAATAACCAGCTGTCTCTGAACAATATTAACTGAATGCCTACTGTTTACTAGCATGACAGGAATTCAAAAGAGTTTATGAGGGAAATGGCCACAGTGAGGCAGAGGATTTACATGCTGGGAAGGCTTCATCCTGGCAAATTACCCAGGGCAGACCTTCCCTCCTTCACTGTCTAAAATATCCAACTCTTATAGTTTCAAATCCCCATCTCTTATTGTCTGTCTTATAGAAACCACCCTGACTCCTCAAATACAGTCACTCCATTCCCTATGAAGCTGCTTTTTTTTTTTTTTTTTTGAGAGGGAGTATCGCACTGTCACCCTGGCTGGTATGCAGTGGCGTGATCTCCGCTCGCTGCAACCTCTGCCTCCCAGGTTCAAGCGATTCTCCTGCCTCAGCCTCCTGAGTAGCTAGGATTACAGGCGCCTGCTACCACGCTTGGCTAATTTTTTTATTTTTTGTAGAGACAGGGTTTCACTATGTTGGCCAGGCTGTTCTCAAACTCCTGACCTCATGGTCCGCCTGCCTCAGCCTCCCAAAGTGCTGGGATTACAGGCATGAGCCACTGTGCCTGGTGGAAGCTGCTCAGAGATGGGGCGCTTCCTCTAGTTTTCCACTTGACTCTGGTCTTCCTCCTAGTTCCCTTCCTTCCAGGCAGAGGCTGAGGCCAGGCACATGGTACCTTTGCTCTTACTTTGTTTGCAAAAACAATGGCTGCATTTTCCCGCAGCTGACTAGTAAAACTCTTGGCTGACTCATTAAATATTTCACCTTTGTTGGTTTCAAAGCACAGCTTACATATTAATGAGATCCACTGTTTCTCTTTTTGATAAGGACTTTTTTCCAGTTTCATGACATAGTTCACTCTTGAGAAACAACAAAACATGGTGGTTAAGAGCTTGGCTCTGAATCCCAACTTCCCAGTTTCAGGTTCTGGCTCTCAAATTTACCAGCTGTGTGATCTCGGGCAATTTGCTTCACTTCTCTGTGCCTCCATTTACACATAAAAAATTGGATAATAATGACTGTAATTGTGAACCAAAGAACATGTGTCCCTATTTGGAATTACTAGAAATGGTTAGCTGTTTTAGAATGCCAAACAATTGGGAATACATGGCCAACAGTCCTGACGATGCTTGGGCACAAGGAAGTTAATATGTGCAAAGTGCTTAGAGCAAGGGCTGGCTCCAAGTGAGCACCTGTGAGCCTTAGCTACTATGATATTATCACAATATCATTTGGAGCAAATATAAAGCAACCATTTTTTTAGATCAAAATGCTATTCTGAGCTGGGACTATCTTCTTTGATTTAAATTTATGGAATTTGCCATGAATTGTGAAATAACCCACCAGCCTATACTGGCTTCTTAGAGAGAGTGATCCATGACTCAAATTCTCCAAAAGAAATAAGACTTCTTCCTCTCTGCAAAGGCTTTGGAAGTTATTTGTAGGCAAAGAATGGAGATAAGTTTTGTATTACTCCAGGAAACAGAGAGGCCACCTATTTGATAGGCAAGATGAGGATACTATAGAATCATTTATCAAACTTTCAAACAACTGCAGTTTGTAAAGTAACAGACCTTGTGGAAAAATCAGTTCTCTTAGTCAAGGGAGAATGCAATTTAAGTTTCAGTATTCCACATAGAAGAAATGAATACATGCCCAGTGATGATGCATAGATAGTCACAAGGGCCTCATAGATGTTATTAATAACATTTTCAGTGGACTAAGAAACAGGTATGTATACAATACTTTGTTTATGGAAGTGGACAATCTGTTTTGGAATAAGAACTCAGAAGCGGTTGTACACACACACATATACACATGCCTCACAGCTTTGCCAAAAGAGTTGGGTGTTTCTGCTCTTAGGATTCTTTCTTCTGCTTTCCTGATTCTGTCCCCTCTCTCTTGACTTCCTGCTCTCCCTAACCTCAACCAATCTTCCTCACTCTGCTCCCTTGCTCCATTCACATTCTTACTACAGATATATGCTGATGCTAGAGGGTGTTGGTTAGAGCCACAAGTACTCATGGTGGTGATGAGAATGTGAAGTTTGTGCATAATTTTCCCAGAAGCACAGGAGTATACATGGAGAGAAAAATCTATGAATGAGCATATTTTATTAAAAAAGAAAAATAAAACTACTGTAGATCCTAGACCCTTGAAACTCAAATTATGGTTCCTGGAACACTGGTGTTTCAGGTGTCACTTGGGAGCTTGTTAGAAATGCAGGACGTCAGACCCCAAGCCAGACTATTGAAACCAAATCTGCTTTTTAACAAGATCCTCAGGGATTTGCATGCATATTAAAGTTCTAGAAGCACTTCCCTAGAAATATGTTAGGTTAAAACTCAAGCTTTTTTTTTTTTTTTTTTTTTGAGATGGAGTCTTGCAGTGTCACCCAGGTTGGAGTGCAGTGGCATGATCTTAGCTCACTGCAAGCTCTGCCTCCCAGGTTCATGCCATTCTCCTGCCTCAGCCTCCCAAGTAGCTGGGACTACAGGCGCCCGCCACCACACCTGGCTAATTTTTTGTATTTTTTTTAGTAGAGACAGGGTTTCACTGTGTTAGCCAGGATGGTCTCGATCTCCTGACCTTGTGATCTGCCCTCCTCGGCCTCCCAAAGTGCTGGGATTACAGGCGTGAGCCACCACGCCCGGCCAAAACTCAAGCTCTTACAGCAGCATAGCACATCAGTGAAAGCATGAAACCTGATACTAGAATGTCTAGGTTTAAATCCTGTTTCCACCACCTACCGTCTGAATCATACTTTCTTCTTTCTTTCTTTTCTTTTTCTTTCTTTCTTTCTTTCCTTTCCTTCCTTCCTTCCTTCTTTCTTTCTTTCTTTCTTTCCTTCTCTTTCTTTCTTTCTTTTTCTTTCCTTCCTTCCTTCCTTCCTTCCTTCCTTCCTTCCTTCCTTCTTTCTTTCTTTCTTTCCTTCTCTTTCTTTCTTTTTCCTTCCTTCCTTCCTTCCTTCCTTCCTTCCTTCCTTCCTTCCTTCCTTCCTTCCTTCTTTCTTTCTTTCTTTCTTTCTTTCTATCTTTCTTTCTTTCTTTCTTCTTTTTTTGAGATGGAATCTCACTCTGTCACTCAGGCTGGAGTGCAGTGGTGCTATCTTGGCTGACTGCAACCTCCGCCTCCTGGGTTCAAGTGATTCTCCTTCTTCAGCCTCCTGAGTAGCTGAGACTGTAGGCACGTGCCACCATGCCTGGTTAATTTTAGTATTTTTAGTAGAGATGGGGTTTCACCATGTTGGCCAGGCTGGTCTCAAACTCCTGACCTCAGGTGATCCTCCCGCCTTGGCCTCCCAAAGTGCTGGGATTACAGGTGTGAGCCACTGCACCCGGCCCTGAATCATGCTTTCTAAACCTTTAGAGACTCAGTTTTCTCATCTATAAAATGGGAATGATAACAATACTATCCCATTGGATTGTTAATTGAATTAACAATTATAGAATGCTTAGAACAGTGACTGGCACACAGCAATTAAGCACCATATAAGCATTGGTCAAATATATTTTCCAAAGTTAAGTGTAACATAATTAACAAATTCTAGAACTTCTTTAAATAATCAACGGAATAATTCCCAAAGCCCATTCGACCAATTTTTCCACATTCTAACCCACTATTCTCTCAACCCTACTTCTAGGCTGCCTCTGAGCTTTGCATATAAGCTTTGTGCTTATTAACCCTGCAGTGCAATTATTTGTTTATTGTCTGGCACAAGAAGGAGATCAACAAATGCTTGTAAAGTAAATGGATAGATATTTGATTTGTCATTATTTCCAAATCTTTCTCAAAGCCCAGATATTTCTTTGTTTTTCTCATGCATTTTCCTCCTTGTATTGTTAAAGAACAGAATATGCTACCCCAAAATATGACTATGAAGTAATTCGGGATGTGCCACCCAAAAATATGCCACTCTTTGATTATTTTAAGCTGAAGGCATTTGAAAAACAGCAAATTCAGGGAGAGGCTTTCTCTGAACTCTGCTTATCTGCTTAAAGACAGATCTTCCAAAAGGATCTCAATTGTCATAAATCCCCTCTCCAGGAAATTTTATCAACCAGAGAAGACTGACTCTTCTCACAGCAGAGGAGACTAGAAGTTGACACTAAATCCAGAAAAACGTTGTCCCAAACGATCATATCTCCTATCTCTTCTTCTACTGCCCCTCATCTTTCCTAAATACCATTTACTCTCCACGTGACCTATATCTGCCTCCCCTTACCCTTTTAAGATAGTATATAAGCTTTCAAATCTCACTGCTTTTCGAGTACTCACTTTCTTTTTCTGTGATGACCCATGCATATAATATTTAAAATTCATACTTTTGTATATCTTTAAGAAATATTATTTTAGATTCAGGGGGTACATGTGCAGGTTTGTCACATGGATGTATTACATAATGGTGAGGTTTGGGCTTCTAGTATACCCATCACTCAAATAGTGAACACTGTACACAATAGGTGATTCTCCAATTCTCACTCCCTTCCTGCTCTCCCTGCTTTTGGGGTCTGCAGCATCTATTATTTTCATCTTTATATCCGTGTATACCATTGTTTAACTTCCTCTTATAAGTGAGAACATGCAGTATTTGATTTTCTGTTTCTGAGTTATTTCACTTAGGATAATGACCTCAGGTTCACCCATGTTGCTGTAAAGGACATTATTTCATTCTTTTTTATGGCTGTCTAGTATTCCATGGTGTACACATACACATTTTCTTTATCCATTTAACCATTGATGGACATTTAGGTTGATTCCATGACTTTGCTACTGTGAATAGTGCCACCATAAACATATGAGTGTGGGTGTCTCTCTATATAATGATTTATTTTCCTTTGGGTAGATAACCAGTCATGGGGTTGCTGGGAAGAATGGTAGTCCTACTTTTAGTTCCTTGAGAAATCTCCATACTGTTTTCCATAGAGGTCATACTGATTTAACATTTCTACCAACAGTGTATAAGCATTCTCTTTTCTCTGCATCCACACCAACATCTGTTGTTTTACTCTGGAAAAAACCCAAAAAAATTCAGGCATCTGAAAATAGGTATTGTTAAAGAAAAAAATTATTCAATGACACTTGTCATAGCACAGTAAGGCAGACTTTATTCAGGTCCACCGCAATAGGTATGGGGACCACAGCGATGGGGTATTGCAGTGAAGGAGAGAGACTGGGCTCAACTCTGAGTACAGCATGGGCAAGTGGGACCATAGAGCCAAGGAGCAGGGTAGGGGTCAGCAAATGGAAAAATTACCAAGAGGGAATCTCTGGGGTAAGGTGAATTCAGGCTAAACTGACTTAGCAGGGGTCTTGCGAAAACTGGATTTTACATGGAAGTGCACAGATGGGCCTAGAAGAATATTCAGAAGGCTGAGTAGAGTTTGGCCAAGCAAAGATTCTTTGTCTGTATCTATGAGGCCTCTAAAAAGGAAAGCAGAGTAAGCTCGGAATAATTTTTAAATGATTCCAAAAAAATAGGTGCATGGAGACTAGATTTTTATAAAGGTCAACAGCTTTGAAAACTTCATTCTGTTAAAATCAAGATAATCAGTTTCCCAAGTGATCTCTAAGAATAATATAGGAAGTCATGGGGCTGAATAATAATAATAGTAGTAATAATTAGTGGTCACCCCCAAAAAGTAGGTGCATGGAGCTTCTACATATCTTTTGTAAAGAGGTGGGAGTCACAGAAATGAATGACACGAAAATTGTGAGATAGGCAGGAAGTCGCACTCCTAGGTACTGAGGACGTTCTCTGCACTGACACACCTTAGCAGACCTTCAGACAGACTTAATGGGGAAGCCAAAGAAGCTTATGCTCAGGGCCCATCACTTTCACAGGGTACCTTGCAAGGCCCTTGGAGAGGCTCTAGCAATTTTATATTCTTAATTTTATATTATTTTGAGGAGAGTAATTTTAGTGAAGTATGTGTAACATTGTATAAAGAAAAATGGACAATTTTGCATTATTCTGTTATTGAGCAAATGGTCTCACTGCTTGATGTAATTAGAAGCCATACTACGGCACCAGCTTTTGAGATAAAAAACAATTCATTGAGAGGCTGACACAGAAGGCATGGCTGAAATCTGTCTCCCAAATTTGAGTCTGCGGCAAGTTTCAAGGGATTGGAAGGCAGAAAGGATTTTGGTGTGGTAAGGTCTGATTGGAGAGCTTCAAATGTGACTATTTTTGGTAAGGTACGTTGAGGCTGATTTTAGCCCTGGATCTTCCTGGCCGTCAGACCCCCTCGCTTTTGAAATGGTTCTGATGTTCAGGTTCTGGTTGTGTCCTGGTCTTCCTGGTTCCGTGGGGAGGAATTGTTGGTTTTGGATGTCAGAGGTCAAATCTTTCCTATTGTACATGCCTGGGCCATATGACTTGCAGTCTTGGCTCTGTTATATCTACAAGGTACTTAGACATTCTATTATCAATAGAGTAGGCCCAGTTTGAGATGCTCCTGTGGTTACTACCATTCTTCCTGGAGAGGACCGCTTACAGCCTCCCAGCCCCAGTTGTGTAAGTTTCCCACAAACCTGCATCAGCCTCAGCTGGATTGTGCTTCTGCAGAGAAACCCTTGTACTCCCTTCTCTCTCCCCTATTCCGGCCGTGAAAGCAGGTTCTGCTTACCAAAGTCCTCTGAGTTCTGAGCGGTTTTGGATTCTGGTTTGTTCTTTGATAAAGACATAAATGACAGGACAATTGTTTCCTTGGGCTGGAGTAATGAGCTCACATTCTCAACATTAAACTTAAAAGAAATAAATATTTAAAAATCTAGCATTCGTGTTACAAAATAAAGGCATAAGATATGAGAAACTTGGCTACAGTATCATCTGTGAAGAAAATAATTGTTTTGTTTCACTCTGTACTCAAAGTGTCAATAGTGCTAATGAGGTTATTAAAAAGCTCTCGAGTTCCCACCACACGTAGAGTCACCAGGCAAGCAGGAAGGGTCCACTGCGTTCTGGGAACCTGTTTCCTGAGGGTTAAAAGCATAATTTTCAGAAATGTAAAATCACAAAAATAAAATAAATGTGTCAAATATTTTATTTAACTCATTAATTAAAAACCATTTAAAATGAGATTTTGATTTGCAGAGATTTATATTCTCTGCCAGACAAAATTCATTTGCATTGTCATGCACGGGTATCATTTGCATAGCTATGGGCAGGAAACATTTGCATCGTTATCCATTTTCTATAACTTAAACCCTATTCCAACAGAGTTGTAAAATAGCCTAGTCAATCACAGGCAATTGAAAGTGCACGTCCTGTGGAATTAGAGAATCCCAGAGGGTCTGCTAACAATGTCCTGCCCTCCACTGAAAGGACACCAGGAATCACTTTGGTCTGTTTCTAAGACTTGGACCATTTTTTTACGTGAGATATATTATGAAGAGAAGAATGTTTATCCAGAGTGTAACCAGGAGAGCAGAAGCTCTTGAAATTATGTATTAATATTATGTGGACACACGATAGGACCAGGAATATTTTCAGCCGGGCAAAGATGAGATGCACTGTGGACAGTGATCCAAGTTATAAAATACTAAAGAACTGTCATGAAGCAAAGCGCTGTCCTTATTTTGTGTAGTTCCAGAGGTCAGAACCAGAGTAAACGGGGTTGGGGGTAGGGGTAGGAGGGGGTAAGAAGCTACAGCAAAGCAGATCTTAATATATGAAAAACTTATTAAGAAATGGGAGTTTTGGGCCAGGTGTGGTGGCTCATGCCTGTAGTCCTAGCACTTTGGGAGGCTCAGATGGGTGGATCACTTGAGGTCAGGAGTTCAAGACCAGCTTGGCCAACACAGTGAAACCCTGTCTCTACTGAAAAAAAAAAAAGAATTAGCCGGGCGTGGTGGCATGTACCTGTAATCCCAGCTACTTGGGAGGCTGAGGCAGGAGGATCACTTGAACCTGGGAGGTGGAGGTTACAATGAGCCTAGATCATGCTAAAACACTTCAGCCTGGGTGACAGAGGGAGACTCTGTCTCAAAAAAAAAAAAAAAAAGAAAAAGAAAAGAAAAAGAAATAGAAGTTTTGATTTGTGGGTTCTCTGTCATTGAAAATGTTCAAGCAGAAGTTATATAATCTTTTATAGGAATGTGAAAGGAAAATATCTTGGGCCCATGAGGGAAGGCAGGTAACTCCTTTATGGAGTTTAAGCTCACTTCCAACAGAGAAGATGAGTGTGTGTGTGTGTGTGTGTGTGTGTGTGTGTTGTTGTTGTTGTTGTTTTTCCTGCTTCTAGGATGGTAGAGAGCAGTCTTCTGCCTGAAACCCATTCCTAGATAAGTAACTGAATTAGGGTTTAGCTTGGCTAAAGTTAAGATTAACAACCAACTGGTCTACATGTCAGAGGCATTTGAACCAGAGCAACTCCATCTTGAGTAGAGGCTGGGTAAAATGAGGCTGAGACCAATTGGGCTGGATTTCCAGATGGTTGGGCATTCTAAGTCACAAGATGAGATAGGAGGTCAGCACAAGACAGATCATAAAGGCCTTGCTGATAAAATAGTTTGCAGTAAAGAAGCTTGTCAAATCCCACCAAAACCAAGATGGTAACAAAAGTGACCTCTGATCGTCCTCACTGCTACACTCACATCAGTGCCATGACAGTTTGTAAATGCCATGGCAATGTAAGGAAGTTACCCTATATGATCTAAAAAGGAGAGGCATGAATAATCCACCCCTTGTTTAGCACATAATGAAGAAATAACCATAAAAATGGGCAACCAGCAGCCCTCAGGGCTGCTCTGTCTGTGGAGTAGGCATTCTTCTACTCCTTTCTTTTTTTTTTTTCCTTTTTTTTTTTGAGATGGAGTCTCACTCTGTCACCTGGGCTAGAATGCAGCGGTGTGATCTCAGGTCCATGCAATTTCTGCCTCCCTGGTTCAAGCGATTCTCCTGCCTCAACCTCCCGAGCAGCTGAGACTACAGGCACGTGCCACTACACCTGGCTAATTTTTGTATTTTTAGTAGAGACGGGGTTTCACCATATTGGCCAGGCTGGTCTCAAACTCTTGACCTCAGGTGATCTGCCCACCTTGGCCTCCAGAGTGCTGGGATTACAGGTGTCAGCCACTGCGCCCAGCCTACTCCTTTATTTTCTTAATAAACTTGCTTTTATGTTACTCTATGGACTAACCCTGAATTCTTTCCTGCACGAGATCCAAGAACCCTGTCTTGGAGCCTGGATCTGGCCCCCTTTCCTGTAACATGAATTTCTCCTTACCATTAGAGGGTTCAGTGATCATGTTGTTGGGGCTTTGTTGTTTGTTCCCATTTAAAGTTGTTGTTTAAGGATCCTAATTCTAGTTTGGAGATGCATTTGAAAGGTCTTCTCTATTGCTTTTTGTCCCAAATTTTTAATCTTAATTGAGTTTGTCTGTGTGCATTTGCATGAGGAACTAAACTGTTGTTTTGATATGTTAATGAGAGACTGAGTTTTCTTAGCCCTGAAGAGAAGGGGCATTTTGCTCCTTCCAGCTGAAAGGCTTCCCTGGGTGACCGGGGGCCCCATGGGAGTGTCTGGGAGGTTGACCACCCCATGACGTGCAGCAGCCCTGCAAGGGAATCCCCAACAAAAATTAATTTTATAAATGGCTCATCTAGGTAACACATGTAAGGGCTAATCATCTGGTGTTTTGAGCCCTCTCTGAGGTCACAGACCTCTGGAGGGAGAAACTGAGACATATAAAAGGGTTGAAACTACTCAGTGGTGACACACTGTGGAGTCCTGCCCACAAGCAGCACATGTTGATCCACCACACAAAAACCATGGACCATAGCTCAGTTCCTCCCTTAAAAAAAAAAAAAAAGAAAGAAAAAAAATGGGAAACAATCTAAGAATGATGAGAAAACAAGGAGAATGACCCCCTTTTGAGCAGTCTGTAGGTTTTATGGCACCTCTACTTGCCAAAATAATATGGTCTTTGTGCACATTTACATTAAGGAAAAAAGAGCCCTTGGCTGGGCGTGGTGGCTCACCCCTGTAATCCTAGCACTTTGGGAGGCTGAGGTGGGTGGATCTCCTGAGGTCAGGAGTTCAAGACCAGCCTGGCCAACATGGCGAAATCCCATCTCTACTAAAAATACAAAAATTATCCGGGCATGGTGGTGCATGCCTGTAATCCCAGCTACTCAGGAGGTGAGGAAGGAGAA
Source organism: Homo sapiens (assembly GCF_000001405.40). Taxonomy (NCBI): domain Eukaryota; kingdom Metazoa; phylum Chordata; class Mammalia; order Primates; family Hominidae; genus Homo; species Homo sapiens. The sequence goes on along the minus strand of NC_000008.11, from coordinate 60,312,130 downwards.
TCACTTGAACCCAGAGATGGAGGTTGCAGTGAGCCGAGATCACGCTGTTGCACTCCAGCCTGCGTGACAGGAGTGAGACTCCATCTCAAAAAACAAAACAAAACAAAACAAAAGCCCTAAGTGTCAGGCCTCTGAGCCCAAGCTAAGCCATCATATCCCTTGTGACCTGCACGAATGCATCCAGATGGCCTGAAGAAAGTGAAGAATCACAAAAGAAGTAAAAATGGCTGGTTCCTGCCTTAACTGATGACATTCCACCATTGTGATTTGTTCCTGCCCCACCTTAACTGAGCAATTAACCTTGTGAAATTCCTTCTCCTGGCTCAGAAGCTCCCCCACTGAGCACCTGGTGACCCCCCACTCTGCCCACCAAAGAACAACCCCCTTAGACTGTAATTTTCCACTACCCACCCAAATCCTATAAAACGGCCCCACACCTATCTCATCTCCCTTCACTGACTCTCTTTTCGGACTCAGCCTGCCTGCACCCAGGTGATTAAAAAGCTTTATTACTCACACAAAGCCTGTTTGGTGGTCTCTTCACACGGACGCTCTTGACATTTGGTGCCATGACTTGGATCGGGAGACCTCCCTTGGGAGATCAATCCCCTGTCCTCCTGCTCTTTGCTCCATGAGAAAGATGCACCTGTGACCTCAGGTCCTCAGACCAACCAGCCCAAGGAACATCTCACCAATTTTAAATCAGGTAAGTGGCCTCTTTTTATTCTCTTATCCAGCCTCTCTCACTATCCCTCAACCTCTTTCTCCTTTCAATCTTGGCACCATCCTTCAATCTCTCCCTTCTTTTAATTTCAGCTCCTTTCCTTTTCTGGTAGAGACAGAGAAGATGTGTTTTATCCATGAACCCAAAACTCTGGCGCCAGTCACGGACTCAGGAAGACAGTCTTCCCTTGGTGTTTAATCACTGCGGGGAGGCCTGCTTGATTATTTACCTACGTTTCAGAGGTGTCTAATCACTGCAGGGACACCTGCCTTGATCCTTCACCCTTAGTAGCAAGCACCACTTTCCTGGGGGGCAAGCACCCCCCACCCCTTCTCCCATGTCTCTACCCTCTCATCTCTGGGCTTGTCTCCTTCACTATAGGCAACCTTCCACCCTCCATTCCTCCTTCTTCTCCCTTAGCCTGTGTTTTCAAGAACTTAAAAGCTCTTCAACTCACACTTGACCTAAAACCTAAACACCTATTTTCTTCTTGACCGCTTGACCCCAATACAAACCCGACAATGGTTCCAAATAGCTAGAAAATGGCACTTTCAATTTCTCCATCCTACAAGATCTAGATACTTCTTGTCATAAAATGGGCAAAAGGTCTGAGGTGCCTGACGTCCAGGCATTCTTTTACACATTGGTCCCTCCCTAGTCTCTGTTCCCAATGTAACTAATCCCAAATCTTCCTTCTTTCCCTCCTGCCTGTCCCCTCAGTCCCAACCCCATGTGTCACTGAGTCTTTTCAATCTTCCTTTTCTACCGACTCATCTGACCTCTCCCCTCCTCCCCAGGCTGCTCCTCCTCAGGTCGCTTACCGTCAGGCTGAATCAGGCTCCAATTCTTCCTCGGCCTCCGCTTTCCCACCCTATAATCCCTCTATCACCTCCCCTCCTCACACCCAGTCCAGCTTACAGTTTCATTCCATGACTAGCCCTCCCCCACCTGCCCAACAATTTCCTCTTAAAGAGGTGGCTGGAGCTAAAGGCATAGTCAAGGTTAATGCTCCTTTTTCTTTATCCGACCTCTCCCAAATCAGTTAGCATTTAGGCTCTTTTTCATGAAATATAAAAACCCAGCCCAGTTCATGGCTCATTTGGCCGCAACCCTGTGAGGCTTTACACCCCTAGACCCTGGAGGGTCAGAAGGCTGTCTTATTCTCAATATGCATTTTATTACCCAATCCACTCCTGACATTAAATAAAGCTCCAAAAATTAGATTCCGGTCCTCAAACCCCACAGCAGGATTTAATTAACCTCGCCTTCAAGGTGTACAATAACAGAGTAGAGGCAGCCAAGTAGCAACATATTTCTGAGTTGCAATTCCTTGCCTCCACTGTGAGAGAAACCCTAGCCACATCTCTGGCACAAAAGAACTTCAAAATTCCTAAGCCACAGTGGTCAAGCATTCCTACAGGACCTCCTCCATCAGGATCTTGCTTCAAGTGCCAGAAGTCTGGCCACTGGGCCAAGGAATGCCCACAGCCCAGGATTCCTTCTAAGCCATGTCCCATCTATGCGGGACCCCACTGGAAATCAGAATGTCCAACTCGCCCAGCAGCCACTCCCAGAGCCCCTGGAACTCAGGCCCAAGGCTCTCTGACTGACTCCTTCCCAGATCGTCTCAGCTTAGCGGCTGAAGACTGACGCGGGCTGATCTCCTCAGAAGCCTCTTGGACCATCACAGACACTTTCAGTAACTCTTGCAGTGGAGGGTAAGTCTGTCCCCTTCTTAATCAATATGAAGGCTACACACTCCACATTACCTTCTCTTCAAGGCCTGTTTCCTTTGCCTCCATAACTGTTGTGGGTATTGATGGCCAGGCTTCTAAACCTCTTAAAACTCCCCAACTCTGATGCCAACTTGGACAACATTCTTTTATGCACTCCTTTTTAGTTATCCTCACCTGCCCAGCTCCCTTATTAGGTCAAGACATTTTAACTAAATTATCTGCTTCCCTGACTATTTCTAGGCTACAGCCACACCTCATTGCCTCCCTTTTCCCCAGTTCAAAGCCTCCTTCATATCCTCCCCTTGTATCTCCCCACCTTAATCCACAAGTATGGGACACCTCTACTCCCTCCTTAGTGACCGATCATGCACCCCTTACCATCCCATTAAAACCTAATCATCCTTACCCTGCTCAACACCAATATCCCATCCTACAGCAGGCTTTAAAAAGATTAAAGCCTGTTATCACTCACCTGTTACAGCATGGCCTTTTAAAGCCTATAAACTCTCCTTACAATCCCCCCATTTTACCTGTCCAAAAATCAGACAAGTCTTACAAGTTAGTTCAGGATCTGCACCTTATTGACCAAATTGTTTTCCCTATCCATCCCATGGTGCCAAACCCATATACCCTTCTATCCTCAATATCTCCCTCCACAACCCCTCCACAACCCATTATTCTGTTCTGGATCTCAAACATGCTTTCTTTACTATTCCTTTGCACCCTTCATCCCAGCCTCTCTTCACTTTCACTTGGACTGACCCTGACACCCATCAGGCTCAGCAAATTACCTGGGCTGTACTGCCGCAAGGCTTCACAGACAGCCCCCATTACTTCGGTGAAGCCCAAATTTCTTCCTCATCCATTACCTATCTTGGCATAGTCCTTCATGAAAACACACGTGCTCTCCCTGCTGATCATGTCTGGCTAATCTCCCAAACCCCAACACCTTCTACAAAATAACTCATTTCCTTCCTAGGCATGGTTGGATACTTTCACCTTTGGATACCTGCTTTTGCCATCCTAACAAAACCATTATATAAACTCACAAAAGGAAACTTAGCTAACCCCATAGTTCCTAAATCCTTTCCCCACTCCTCTTTCCGTTCCTTGAAGACAGCTTTAGAGACTGCTCCCACACTAGCTCTCCCTGACTCATCCCAACCCTTTTCATTACACACAGCCGAAGTGCAGGGCTGTGCAGTCAAAATTCTCACGGAAGGACTGGGACTGCACCCTGTAGCCTTTTTGTCTAAACAACTTGATCTTACCATTTTAGGCTGGCCATGATGTTCCTGTGCAGGGGCTACCGCCACCCTAATACTTTTAGAGGCCCTCAAAATCACAAACTATGCTCAACTCACTCTCTACAGTTCTCATAACTTCCAAAATCTATTTACTTCCTCACACCTGATGCATATACTTTCTGCTCCCCAGCTCCTTCAGTTATACTCACTCTTTGTTGAGTCTCCCACAATTACCATTGTTCCTGACCCAGACTTCAATTCGGCCTCCCACATTATTCCGGATGCCCCACCTGACCTCCATGACTGTATCTCTCTGATCCACCTGACATTCACTCCATTTCCCCATATTTCCTTCTTTCCTGCCCCTCACCCTGATCACACTTGGTTTATTGATGGCAGTTCCACTAGGCCTAATCATCACTCACAAGCAAAGGCAGGCTATGCTGTAGTATCTTCCACATCTATCATTGAGGCTACCACTCTCCCCTGCTCCACTCCTCTCAGCAAGCTGAACTCATTGCCTTAACTCAAGCCCTCACTCTTTCAAAGGGACTACGCATCAATATTTATACTGACTCTAAATATGCCTTCCATATCCTGGACCACCATTCTGTTATATGGGCAGAAAGAGGTTTCCTTACTACATAAGGGTCCTCCATCATTAATGCCTCTTTAATAAAAACTCTTCTCAAGGCCACTTTACTTCCAAAGGAAGCTGAAGTCATTCACTGCAAGGGCCATCAAAAGGCATCAGATCCCATTGCTCAGAGCAATGCTTGTGCTGATAAGGTAGCTAAAAAAGCAGCTAGCGTTCCAACTTCTGTCTTTCATGGCCAATTTTTCTCCTTCTCATCAGTCATTCCCACCTACTCCCCCACTGAAACTTCCACCTATCAATCTCTTCCCACACAAGGCAAATAGTTGTTGAACCAAGGAAAATATCTCCTTCCAGCCTCAGAGGCCCATGCTATTCCGTCGTCATTTCATAACCTCTTCCACGTAAGTTACAAGCCACTAGCCCGCCTCTTAAAACCTCTCTTTTCCTTTCCATAGTAAAAATCTATCCTCAAAAAATCACTTCTCAGTGTTCCATCTGCTATTCTACTACTCCTCAGGAATTTTGCAGGCCCCCTCCCTTCCCTACACATCAAGTTCGGGGATTTGCCCTTGCCTAGGACTGGCAAATTGACTTTACTCACATACCCCGAGTCAGGAAACTAAAATACCTCTTGGTCTGGGTATACATTTTCACTAGATGGGTAGAGGCCTTTCCCACAGGGTCTGAGAAGGCTACTGCAGTCATTTCTTCTCTTCTGTCAGACATAATTCCTTGGTTTGGCTTCCCACCTCTATACAGTCCAATAACGGACTGGCCTTTACTAGTCAAATCACCCAAGCAGTTTCTCAGGCTCTTGGTATTCAGTGGAAACTTCATACCCCTTACTGTCCTCAATCTTCAGGAAAGGTAAAATGGACTAATAGTCTTTTAAAGACACACCTCGCCAAGCTCAACCTTCAACTTAAAAAGGACTGGACAGTAGTTTTGCCTCTTGCACTTCTCAGAATTGAAGCCTGTCCTTGGGATGCTACAGGGTACAGCCCATTTGAGCTCCTGTATGGATACTCCTTTTTATTAGGCCCCAGTCTCATTCCAGACACCAGCCCAACTTGAACTGCACCCCAAAAGCTCATGATCCCTACTATCTTCTTTCTAGTCATACTCCTATTCACTGTTCTCAACTACTCATAAATGCCCTGCTCTTGTTTATACTGCCGGTTTACACTGTTTCTCCAAGCCATCACAGCTGATATCTCCTGGTGCTATCCCCAAACCAACACTCTTAACTCCCTCTTAAAGTGAATAAATAATCTTTGCTGGCAGGGCACCCTCCAATACTTTCACCCTGATAAAGTCCTATTCTTTACTTTTATACTCACTCTTATTCTTGGTTCCGTTCTTATGCCACCCTCTACCTCTCCCCAGCTATCTCCACCACACTATCAATCTCACTCTCTCCTACCGTTTCTAATCCTTCTTTAACAAACAATTTCTGGGTTTACATTTCTCTTTCCTCCAAAATCATGGAGGCCTTGACTTACTCACTGCTAAAAAAAGGGGACTCTGCATATTTTAAATAAGAAGGGTTGTTTTTACCTAAATCAATATGGCCTGGTATATGACAACACAAAAAACTCAAGGATAGAGCCTAAAAACTTGCCAACCAAGCAAGTAATTATGCTGAACCCCCTTGGGCACTCTCTAATTGGATGTCCTGGGTCCTCCCCATTCTTAGTCCTTTAATAGCTGTTTTTCTCCTTCTGTTATTCGGACCTTGTGTCTTCCATTTCTTAATTCATCCAAAACCATATCCAGGCCATCACCAATCATTCTGTATGACAAATGCTCCTTCTAACAACCCCATAATATCACCCATTACCACAAAATCTTCCTTCAACTTAATCTGTCCTACTCTAGGTTCCCATGCCGCCCCTAATCCTGCTCAAAGCAGCTCTGAGAAACATCGCCCATTATCTCTCCATACCACCTCCCCAAAATTTTCACTGCCCCAACACTTCAACACTATTTTATGTTATTTGTCATATTAATATAAGAAGACAGGTATGTCAGGCCTCTGAGCCCAAGCTAAGCCATCATATCCCTTGTAAACTGCATGAATGCATCCAGATGGCCTGAAGCAAGTGAAGAATCACAAAAGAAGTAAAAATGGCTGGTTCCTGCCTTAACTGATGACATTCCACCATTGTGATTTGTTCCTGCCCCACCTTAACTGAGCAATTAACCTTGTGAAATTCCTTCTCCTGGCTCAGAAGCTCCCCCACTGAGCACCTGGTGACCCCTGTGCCTGCCCGCAAGAGAAAAACCCCCTTAGACTGTAATTTTCCACTAACCACCCAAATCCTATAAAACGGCCCCATCCCTATCTCCCTTCACTGACTCTTTTTTCGGACTCAGCCCACCTGCACCCAGGTGATTAAAAAGCTTTATTGCTCACACAAAGCCTGTTTGGTGGTCTCTTCACACGACTTGCAAACTATAGAGTTTTAAGTCCTCATTTTCTCAACTTTTTCTTTTCTGCCTGCTCTAAATCTGCTGTGATTTTTCTTCTCTTTTTATTTTGTGTGCACCACCACACACAGCTAATTTTTGTATTTTTAGTAAAGACAGGTTTTCACCATGTTGGCCAGGCTGGTCTCGAACTCCTGACCTCGTGATCCGCCCACCTCCCAAAATGCTGGGATTACAGGCATGAGCCACTGTGCCTGGCCCTATTTTTCTATGAAGATAAAAACCATTGTTTAGATCCAACAAGTTCTTTTTGCAAGCTGGTAATTTGTAATTATCTTATGGCTAAAAGTTCTGAAGTAAAAGCTATAGGATCTGTGTGTGTGTGTGTGTATTTTTAAAAGGCCTTTATAATTTCTATAATTTTGTGTTTAATTGGCAATTAGATCCATTTTAATTTCCCTCTAACATAGGAAACTTTTCTCTCTGCACCTTGTAGTGTAAATTTTGGTATTTGACTTTCACCTGAGTTGCTTCTTTTAACATGCAAATTTAAGGCTATTTAGTTGACAACTGCCCAGGTTTGTAAAAACAGGTTATCAAGAATCTGAAATTCTAAGAATGGAAGTAAAGGGTTTTTATGAATCTGTAAAATGTACTTCTATCAGCATGCCTATCTATTTATGTGTTGTGTACACAATGTTTCACTACTAAAAATATGTAAAAGAGCTCTAATTAATTGCTTAAAAATAAAAGTGCTTAAATCAGATACTAAAAAGGAAAAGACTAGTCAAATGCTTTTTCAAGTTTATGTAATTTAAGTAAAATCTTTAACAAATAAGCTAGCTTTAAAATTATTGACAAAGTAATATTAGAAATGTCTTAAGAATTGCCAGTATACTTTTTTGTTGGCAGTCATTAATCAAGTAATTTCATACTTATCCCTGCCAAACACTATAAGTGTCAAATTTTGGCACAGGGTTTACGAAACTATAAACCCAGCCCAAAACAGAATAATTTTTCCTTTTGAAATTTTTAATAAATAAGATATTGATATTGGTTTAATGGAAATAGCCACATCTTAAATTTAGTAAGATTACCAAAATTTCTAATCTTGTAGCTTTGGGCAGTCTAGTCCACAGGAAAGAAGGAGGTTTGCTTTGGGAAAGGACTGTTATAGTCTTTGTTTCAAAGTTAAGCTGTAAACTAAGTTTCCCTGAAAGTTAGTTTGGCCTATGCCCAGGATTGAACAAGAACAGCTTGGAGGTTAAGAACAAGATGGAGTCATTTGGGTCAAACCTTTTTTCACTCTTTCAGTTATTATGCAATGGCAGTTTTATAACTTTAAATCATGACTCTCACAGTTTTCCTAAATAATTTGGTAAACAATTAAAATAAAATAATTAGGTAAATGTAATGGGCTAAATACTTGTAGACAAACTGATCATAATTTAGAATGTAAAGTTATATTAAATTAATAAATAGATATTTCATTATTTGGGTGATATGGTTTGGCTGTGTCCCCACCCAAGTCTCATCTTGAATTGTAAGTCCTACAATTCCCATGTGTCATGGGAGGAACCTGGTGGGATGTAATTGCATCATGGGGACTGTTCTTTCCTGTGCTGTTCTCGTGATAGTGAATAAGTCTCATGAGATCTGATGGCTTTAAAAATGGGAGTTTCCCTGCACAAGCTCTCTCTCTTTGGCTGCTACTATCCATGTAAGACATGACTTGTTCCCCCTGGCCTTCCACCAGGATTGTGAGGCATCCCCAGTCATGTGGAACCTCTTTCTTTTGTAAATTGCCCAGTCTTGGGTATGTCTTTATCAGCAGCATGAAAACAGACTCATACATTGGTTATTTTCCAATAAATATATAGTAGGAAAACATTCTTGCTAAAAATAAAAAAATAAAAAAAAACTGTGCCCTTATTAAAAAAAGGTGAACAACTTTTGTCTAATTCAAAGCTTATTTAAAGGTTATATATAAAACAAGGTAAAAGGAACCAGAAAATAAAAGAGGTATTTTTTCACTGTTGTTGCGGTAAGAAAGCTGAAAGAGAAAAAATTTTATATGAGAATCTTGTATGGTAAATTTAGTCCTAAAATAAAACTACTGGTTGTTTAAGAAAGAGGTATGTTCAGGACAAACCAGAAAGTCTGAGCATGTCATGAACAGTCAGTGTAAGTCAGAGTAAGAGGATTTATATTGAAAAAAAAAAACCCAAAACTTTAATATGATCAAGTTATCATATTGTTTTGGTTTGCTTAGGAAGACAGAAACAGAAAAAAAAATTTTAAGGTTATTCCACCCATGTATCTTCCTGTATGTGCTTTTAAAGTCCTTGTGACATTGAGTTACAGGGCTTTGACTCCTGGATCTAAAAAGGACATCAAGTCCTGCTACATCACTGAGAGCAATTAAAGCCTCACCTTCGGGCCCTGTAGAAGATGTCAAACAAAATAAACTGCATTCCTGAGACACAGGGGAAGAAATTAAAACTATTCAACTCCTCAAGGCCCGGGGACTATCATGGAAGAGGTGGGCACATATGATTGTAAGGGCCAATTTTGGAAGATAACATAAGTTCAGTTTCTCTATAAATTAATCATTAATATCAAAGACACACTGATGCAAGACCAGCATATGGGCCCCTGTGAGTATCAAGGTTTTCTTGAAGCATTAACCAATTCCTTAACAAAGGTTATAAAGGTTTTAAAAGGCTTATGTAAGCTATATCTTATGGTCAAGATTAAAGTTTTATAGATTTTTAATAAAATTTTGGAAAACAAATTTGATTGTCTTCATGCTGTTTTTAATATTGTTTGGAAAATTAACTTTCCTCTCTCAAAAAATAAAAGTTTTCACCTTTTTTTTTTTGAAATCTTTGAGTTATCACTTTGGTTAAATGAATGACTTATTTTACAATGACCTGTGATCCTATTTTGTGATATCAAATATTTGAAACCTTTGATATTTGACAAGCTTTCCTAAATCAAATTATAAATTATGTTTTTTTTTCTGACCGAATCAATCCTTTAAGATATTAGGTTCCCTAAAGTCCAAAAAAAAAAAAAAAACATAATTTGGCTTATTTGGTACAAAAATTATACAGGAAGCATTGTCAAA